>NC_000017.11:41935980-42560980 GCF_000001405.40 Homo sapiens
GCCTTGGGTTTTCCTAAAGGTCAGATTAGAAGGGCTGTTTCAAAGTAGGCCTGTCTTTAGCCTGGTGTCAAAAGCTATAATGCGGTCCTGAGCCCAGCCTTCTATAGTCCCTGGCTTCTTTCCTCACCAGACGCATACCAAGGGCTGGCCTTAGCCATCAGCATTATGGCAGGGGGAGAAGGGAAGCAAGTGAGAGCAAGTGAGAGCTTGCTCTGTCGGTGGCAAGGCCTGGAAATGGACAGTTTCCCCTGCATCCTTGGCCTCCCTTTGTTTGGAAATCTGGCTGCCATAGCCTTGGGCTAGCGGGGGCTGTTAGCTCCTAGGAGTTATACCAAACAGCCTGCACCATTTGCCTGCTAGGCTGGCTTAGGGCCAGCTTTGCCACAGCCTCCACCATCCCCCTGCCAAAGGCAGCCATTTCTACATAAAAATATGTGATAAGTCATGCCTGGGGGGTCTGGCCGACCTGAGCTCCAGCTTCTTTCCTTGCAGGTCCTTCTTCCATTAAGCTGGAGAACAAAGGGGACCTCTCCTTCTTAAGCAAGCAGGCTGAGGTAAGGGCCCTGGTTCTGTGGTTGTATCCCTCCAAGGGAAGAGGCTATGTGTGCCTGAGAAGGGGTCTTGGGAGTCTAGCTGCAACCTGACCAGGCATACTCCGTGACTCTTGGCCCACAGAAAGGTCCTGGAGTTGGAGGAATCTGGGATCACAGACCCTAGGGCCATGGCTGGGTACACTCTGCTCCTTGCTGAAGCTCTGTTGGGTGTTGCTCCATTTTCTCAGAATATAAAAGCCCAGCAGAAGCCTCAGCCCATGAAACACCTCTTACACCCCACCAAGGGAGAGCCCAAGTGGAAGGCCTCGCTCAAGAGTGAGAAGACTGTCCGCCAGCTTCTGGGGGAGCTCTACGTGGACAAAGAGTATTTGGAGAAGCTCCTATTGGATGAAGGTTTCGGACACTTTGTTGGCACGGGGCCTTGGGGGAAAGGAAATCTGGGTGGATGCTTCATGCATGAGCTGAAGGCAGAACCTGTCATATAATATTAGCTGACGTGTACCTGTGGACAGGTTTTATTAGCATTCTCATTTTACAGATGAGGAAACTGAGGCGCAGACCAACAGAAACTAAGGTCATATATAGGTAGGCAATGACATGGCTTATATTCGAATCCAGGAAGTCCAATTTTAGAGCAATGCTCCTAAGTGCTATGGTACCCTGGGAGGGAACAACAGAGATTTGGTCTCCTTTACCACCATAGTCCCTGAAGGGACATCCCCTTTGCCTTCAATCCTTACAATGGGCAAAGGAATCCAGCGGATATGTGCTTAAATCCGAGGATATTAGTTCTAGAATGCTCTGAAACATCATCTGGTCCAAGTTCTCCTTTTGTAGATAAGGAAATAGAGACCCTGATTGGGAAGGAACTTTCATAAGTTGACAAACAAGTTCATGGTGGAGTCAACATCAGAACCCAGGCCTCTGACCTCCAGTCCAGTGCTCTTTCTTTTAAAGACAGAGTCTTGCTCTGTCACACAGGCTGGAGTGCAGTGAAGCAAATTCGGCTCACTGCCACCTCCACCTCCTGGGTTAAAGCGATTCTCCTGCCTCAGCCTCCCTAGTAGCTAGGACTATAGGCGCCCACAACCACATCCGGCTAATTTTTTGTATTTTTAGCAGAGATGGGGTTTCACCATGTTGGCCAGGCTGGTTTTGAACTCCTGACCTCAAGTGATCTGCCCACCTCGGCCTCCCAAAGTGCTGGGATTACAGGTGTGAGCCACTACACCTGGCCAGTCCAGTGCTCTTTCCACCACACTGCTGCCAGTGACAGGATGAAGGACAGAAGCCTGAGATGAATGTCCCACATCAACATGGGGATGGGAGTATTGCCATTAGCTGATAAGCCTGAGCAGGGTCACCTGTGAATCAAATGCCTCTTCTCCAGAATTGGCTTCCCAAGGTCATGTGTAGGGTTCCCTGTTCTGTGACACAGGAACAGCTTCACTGCTGGCACATCTCCTTAGCAACAGGCCTGAATGCCTCCTATTCTCCAGAGGACCCGCTGCGGAGGGAAGAGGTGGCTTGAATATTACCTCAAGTGGCCTTGTAGCTTTGCTTCTGGCTGTAACCTCTGGCCAGGCAGTGGGCAGGACTTGGGCACCCGCCTTCCAGCTTCCAGCATGCACAGGCCCACTGGGCACCTGGGAAATCACTGGGCACTGGCAGCCTGGGCCAGATCGTGCATTTAGACTCAGTGTTATCTGAGGACACAGCTTGAACTGGGGAAGCCCCGAGGCTTCTCAGCGAGCCATCCACCAGCTGCCCCTTCTGGCTAGCTCCTCATATCTTGCCATAAGGGGCCCATAGCATGGAACTCCCTGATAGTGGGGCTCTGGCTGCCTCCTGGCCTGGATAAACCCACTCTGCCACTATGCGCACTCACACTCCTCTCTGTTTCAACAACTCCAAGCAGAGCAAGTTCACAGAGGGCCCTGCAGCGGCCACCGGGAGGAAACAGGAGGCAAATCCCTTAGAGGCCTGTTCTCCTTGGCGCCTCCTCACACCCCTTCCCCACAGACCTGATCAAAGGCACCATGAAGGGCGGCCTGACTGTGGAGGACCTCATCATGACGGGCATCAACTACCTGGATACTCACAGCAACTTCTGGAGGCAGCAGAAGCCGATCTACGCCAGGGAGCGGGACCGGAAGCTGATGCAAGAGAAATGGCTGCGGGACCACAAACGCCGTCCCTCACAGACAGCCCATTACATCCTCAAGAGCCTGGAGGACATTGATATGTGTAGGTGTTGTTCTCAGAGGGTGGGGCAGGTGCCTCCAGTGCCTTATCAGGTGGGGAAGGAGCAACCAGGTGTCTGAGCCCCTGGTCTCTCAGACCTGCAGATGGTGTCTGCAGGAAGAGGAGTTACCCTGTCAGCTAAGAGGAGGCTGCCCTGGCCTCCACAGCACCCCTTTCCTTTCTCAGTGCTCACAAGTGGCAGTGCTGAAGGGAGTCTTCAGAAAGCTGAGAAAGTGCTGAAGAAGGTACTGGAATGGAACAAGGAAGAGGTACCCAACAAGGATGAACTGGTTGGAAACTTGTATAGCTGCATAGGGAATGCCCAGATTGAGCTGGGGCAGATGGAGGCAGCCCTGCAGAGCCACAGAAAGGACCTGGAGATCGCCAAGGAATAGTGAGTGCCCTAGGGGAGGCCACTGGCGTGAGCCTACGGAGAAGGACACCTGGGGCTATCTGAGGCCCTTGCCAGGGCTGCTGGTGGCTTGACTCCCATTTTCTGCTCTGCATGCCTGAGGTAGATTCTCCTGGAGGTGGGGACCACCTGCCCAGGACTGAGGGTGGGGGCACCTAGACTGTTAGCTTTTTTGCCACCAAAAGGGTAGTGGCTCAAAATTCCAAAAAGCTACCCAATGATCTGGCTCTTAGGGATGTTTATATTCTTACATCAGCTTAACGAGCATGCATGAAGCCCCAGACATGCCAGATGCTGCTAGTGTGGGAACACAGTAATAACCAGACACAAGGGCCATTTCCCTGCAGATGTCAAGCAAAAAGGGACATAGCTAATTAATTGCAATTGTGATAAGTGCCATGAAAGAAAAGTACAGGATCCAGTGTGGTGAGAAATACATTCCAGGAGGACTTGATGACATTGGGGAACACACAGGGCCTATGGAAAGGCCCTGAGACAGGAGGGTACTTAAGCCTGGAGAGCACAGCATATTGCCAGGGAGAGGGGCCAAGAGGAGGCTGAAGGAAGTGGGCAGGGGATGGATCAAGCAGGGTCTTTTAAAACCGGTGCTGATCAAGAGCACGGGCTGTGGAGTCAGGCAGACCTAGGCTGTGGAACTTGCACCGCCCAGCCGTGGAACCTGAGATAAGCCACTTTAGCTCCCTCAGCCTCAGGGTCTCCTCCTGTTAGCTGGGCACCCTGTAGGGCAGAAGGGAGGATGAAATACAGAAGTACCTGTGCAGACCTTAGGACAGTGCCTGGTATCCACAATAGTAGTAACACCAGCTCTCCAGAAATGAGATCTTCTCAAGACTTGCTGACTTCCACCCGGAGGTTCCATCGCTTTCTCAGCATCCTGGTTCTACCCTTTGGAGTCATTCTTGACTTCCTCCTGCCTGGTTTCTACCCATCTCACCAGTCTGAGCCTCCTTGATCTCCCATCATCCCATTTGCCCTCACAGTGCCCAGCCCTCAGCCGACCTGAGTCCTGCTGCTTCCCCTGCCTCTGCTGTCTCTCTCCAGCTCCTCCCACAAATCTCCAGAGACACATGCTATGAACTCTCCCTCCCCTGCTCACAAGTGGGCCTGGGCCCCTCACTGCCTGCAGGTTAAAGGTCAAGCCCCTTTGCTTGGCCCTCAGGCCCTCTCTAAACCCACCCTGGCCCTCTTATAGCAATCTTCCCTTGGGGTCAAACGTTCCTGAACATTCCTGCCTCCTGCCCTTTCCTCTTCACTGATCCAAGCCCCATATGCTTTCCATTCCCAGTTCATTTCTCGCCTGCCTCCACTGTGCTGAGCAGGAATATCCCATACTGGCCATCCCATATTAGAAAAAAATAGCTTTAGGGACAGACCTGTCTTCGATCCCTGTCTTCTAACTGGCTCTGCCACTTAGAAGCTGTGTGGATTTGATTAAGTTGCTCCTCTACTCAGTTTCCTCATCTCTAATGAAGGCATAATAATACCAACCCACAGGGACTGTGGGGATTAGATGTGATGTATATATATGGTACCTTGGATCCAACCATCTCCCATGCACAAATGAGTTAGAAATCTTTACTTCTCGCCAGACCTCTCTCCTGAGCCTCAGACCTGTGTGTCCAGCAGATTCTAAGACATTTCCATCTGGATGTCCCACAGGAATCCTAAACTTAACATGTCCAAATCGGAATCCCTTATCTTCCTCCCAAACTTACTTCTTGAGGGTTCCCCATCCCCGAGGATAGCACTGTTGGCCACTGAGTCCCAAGCCAGAAGACCGGAGGCTTCCCAGATACCTCCTTCCCCTCTCTGTTTTTGCCATATCGCTCAAGTTGGTCTGGATGACAGGCGTGAGCCACTGCGCTTGGCCCCCTCACTGTTCATGCCCAGCAATGGCCATGTCTTGTCCTGTCCATACTTTCTCTGTTTCCCTCCCACAACTCAGTCCAGACCATCCTTACTTCTTGCCTGTTTCCTCTGACCTGGGCTTCCTACAGTTCAGCTGTCCTTTCTCTGAAAAACAACTCCTGTGGTTGGGATGAAATTTCAATGCCCTGCTCAACACAGGTTGCCCTTCTTCACTTGACTTCTCCTGGCCTGTCTTGACCTGGCTTTCTCCAGGCCCCCAGGCATTCTGGGCCCCAGCCAGTGCAGAGCTCTGTGCATATCCTCCAGCCCCAGGAATGCTTTCCCTTTTCCCAGCACTTGCTTTATCAAGCTGCCGCCACCCATTCTTCAACATTTCAATAAAGGTTGAAAAGCCTGCCTCCTAGCCTGAGCGGTGGCTCACGCCTGTAATCCCAGCATTTTGGGAGGCCAAGGTGGGTGGATCACGAGGTCAGGAGATCGAGACCATCCTGGCTAACACGGTGAAACCCCATCTCTACTAAAAATACAAAAAAAATTAGCCGGGCGTAGTGTTAGCCGGGTGTGGTGGTGTGCGCCTGTAGTCCCAGCTACTTGGGAGGCTGAGGCAGGAGAATGGCGTGAACCCAGGAGGCGGAGCTTGCAGTGAGCCGAGATAGTGACTGGGCGACAGAGCGAGACTCCGTCTCAAAAAAAAAAAAAAAAAGAGAGAAAAGAAAAGCCTGCCTGCTGCCCCAGGGGTTACAAATCCCTCCCCTAGGCTCCCTCTCCACAGGTAGCCTTTCTGTCCTGTTAGACTTTGGACTTTGGAAGGTGCTATTCCCAGCATCTGCCACACAGTGGGCATGTAATGAATGTGTGCTAAGTGACTGAATAATTTGAGATGGAGTTTCACTCTTCTTGCCCAGGCTGGAGTGCAATGGAGTGATCTCGGCTCACTGCAACCTGCAACCTCCGCCTCCCTGGTTCAAGTGATTCTTCTGCCTCAGCCTCCCAAGTAGCTGGGATTATTGGCAGCCCGGCTAATTTTGTGTTTTTAGTAGAGATGGGGTTTCACCATGTTAGCCAGGCTAGTCTCTAACTCCTGACCTCAGGTGATCCGCCCACCTCAGCCTCCCAAAGTGCTAGGATGACAGGTGTGAGCCACCATGCCCGGGCTATTAGTTTTTAACATCCACAAATGAGCCTCACCCAGGCTTACTCCAGTCTTCCTTGTGAGTCCCATGTGCTCCAGGAGCTCCCTCATTCTAATCAGCCACTTGCTAGATTAGCCACTTACTAGTCTAAGTGGTTTTTTCAGTGCCCACGGCACTCATTTATTTCTCTGAATAATCTATAAATTATTTGATCACATGCTTTATTTTTGCTATTATGATTTTTAGTACATATTGTTATGAAAAATGGACATATTACAGCTTATTCACTCATTCAACTCGCCAGAACAGAGTACCCACTCTAGAAGAGGGGATCCACTCCGACGGGCTGTGACAGCAGCAGGTGCACAGTGTGGCCCAGGGGCCAAGGAGACAGGCAGGTGGGAGCTTGGCAGGGGCCTCAGGGAAGGCAGCAGGGTCAGCAAGGTGGGCAAGGGGGAGGGAGAAGGGGACCTTGGGCAGGGCAGAAAGATGTGGCAGGGATGGAGGACTTGGAGAACCATAGGTAGGTTAGGTGTGGCAGGGCTAGGGACCAGGGCCTGCAGGCAGTGGGAGGTCTGGATGCCATGCCTCGAAACCGGTTCAGCCCTCAGGCACTGAGGCCCAGTGTTTTTGTGTGTGTGTTTTGTTTTTTTTGTTTTGTTTTTTAGCAACAGGGTATTGCTCTGCTGCCCAGGCTGGAGTGTAGTGGTGCAATCATATTTCACTGCAGCCTCCAACTCCTAGGCCCAAGCAATCTTCCTACCTCACCCTCCTGAGTAGCTGGGTCTACTGGCATGAACCATTGTGCCCGCGTTTTGTTTTTACACAAGTACTATAATGTCAGGCTTGCAGGCTTGAACCAGAACTGCGTGGTACTGAGAGCAAAACCTGAAAGTTGTCCCCCGCAACCCACTTCCCGTCACTTCCCAGGATGATGTTGTTGGAATGTGTCCTCTGGCTCCTTTTCAATGTGTTTACCTACATACTCATGTACATATGCAGGATTTTTTAAAACCAAAGCAGTTCCTTGCTATTTTTTTATTTTTTTAAAAAAGAATATGTCTTCCTCTCAAATATAACCACAGGCCAAGCACAGTGGCTCATGCCTGTAATTCCAGCACTTTGGGATGTCACACGTGTCCATGTGAAGAGACCACCAAACAGGCTTTGTGTGAGCAACAAGGCTGTTTATTTCACCTGGGTGCAGGCGGGCTGAGTCCGAAAAGAGAGTCAGCAAAGGGTGGTGGGATTATCATTAGTTCTTATAGGTTTGGGATAGGTGTACAAAATACATTCTTAAGGGAGGGGGAGAATATTACAAAGTACCTTCTTGAGGGTGAGGGAGAATATATCGTATCAGGGTGGAGCAGGAACAAATCACAATGGTGGAATGTCATCAGTTAAGGCTATTTTCACTTCTTTTGTGATTCTTCAGTTACTTCGGGCCATCTGGTTGTATACGTGCAGGTCACAGGAGATATGATGGCTTAGCTTGGGCTCAGAGGCCTGACATGGGAGGCTTAGGCAGGAGGATTGCCTGAGACCAGGAGTTTGAGAACAGCCTGGGCAAATTAGTCAGATGTGGTTTCTTGAGCATATAGACCTAGTTACTCAGGAGGCTGAGTCAGGAGGATCCCTTGAGCCCAAGAGTTTAAGGCTGCAGGGAACTATGGAGGCCAGGGGTTTGAGACCAGCCTAGGAAACGTGGCAAAACTCCATCTCTATTAAAAATACAAAAACTGTTGGGAGGCCGAGGCGGGTGAATCACGAGGTCAGGAGTTCAAGACCAGCCTGGCCAACATGAAGAAACCCTGTCTCTACTAAAAATACAAAATTAGCCAGGCGTGGTGGCACATGCCTGTAATCTTAGTTACTCAGGGAGCTGAGGCAGGAGAATTACTTGAATCCTGGAGGTGAAGGTTGCAGTGAGCTGAGATCGTGCTATTGCACTCCAGCCTGGGCCACAAGAGTGAAACTCCGTCTCAAAAAAAAAAAAAAAAAATTAGCTGGGCGTGGTGGCATGTGCCTGGAGTCCCTGCTACTCAGTGGCTGAGGCATGAGAGTCACTTGAACCCCGGAGGCGGAGGCTGCAGTGAGCCAAGATTGTGCCACCGCACTCCAACCTGGGTGACACAGCGAGACTCTGTCTCAAAAAACAAACAAACCCCAAACACACATACACACACACACACACACACACACACACACACACACACACACACACACACACACCCCCCCGCATACACAGAAATTGCCTTTCTTAGAGCACTGATAACATTTAGATTATTTTTTTTGGCCAGGTGCAGTGGCTCACATCTGTAATCCCAGCACTTTGGGAGGCCAAGGTGGGTAGATCACCTGAGATCAGGACTTTGAGACCAGCCTTTCCGACATGGCGGCAAGCTTGTCTCTACTAAAAATATAAAAATTAGCTGGGTGTGGTGGCGGGCACCTGTAATCCCAGCAACTCAGGGGCTGAGGCAGGAGAATTGCTTGAACCCGGCAGGTAGAGTTGCAGTGAGCCAAGATCATGGCACTGCCCTCCAGCCTGGGCAACAGAGTGAGACTCTGTCTCAAAAAAAAAAAGTAATTATTTTTAATGCTTATTATTATAAACTGTGCTTTAATGACTGTTCTTGTCACATTATCTTTTTGAGGTAGATTCCTAGAAAGGCAATTGCTGGTTCAAAGGGACATCTTTGCAAGCTGTTGATTGATTACTCTCCAGAAAAGTCCTGATAATGTTCATTCTTGGCCCCAGGGCACAGATGTGCCACATCCTTGCTGGGCTGGACATTGTCCCTCCAACTGAAACCCTGAGTTTCTGAGGCCAGGGCTCCTGTCTTTGCCTTCTTTCCTATTTCCACAGTGCCTAGAACAGCTGATTTCTAGTGAATGGCTTGTTTTGCTTCTTCCCCACAGTGACCTTCCTGATGCAAAATCGAGAGCCCTTGACAACATTGGCAGAGTTTTTGCCAGAGTTGGGAAATTCCAGCAAGCCATTGACACGTGAGTGACCAAGAATTGCCTCTTCCCCACCTCCATGGTTAGAACTTCTCACCATAACATGAAAATTTGTTTCCGGTAATAAGAATCCAGCCTGGGCAACATAGGAAGACTCCCTCTCTACAAAAAAAAAAAAAAAAAAATTAGCCGCGCATACTGTCCTGTGCCTGTGGTCCCAGCTACTTGGGAGGCTGAGGTAGGAGGATTACATGAGCCTGGGAGGTTGAGGCTGCAGTGAGACATGATCACACTACTGCACTCCAGCCTAGACAATATGTTACCAGTGGAAGGTATCCAAGTTATTGCCGGTGAATCTGTACAGGTCTGCAGCAACCTCAATTCTTGCCTCCTCAGAAGAAAGAATTTGAATGAGGAATGGGAATTTATTAAAAAGCTAGGCCGGGCGCAGTGGCTCATGCCTGTAATCCCAGCACTTTGGGAGGCCGAGGCAGGCGGATCACTTGAGGTCAGGAGTTCGAGACCAGCCTGGCCAACATGGCAAAACCCTGTCTCTACTGAAAAAATACAAAAATTAGCCGAACACGTTGGCACGTGCCTGTAGTCCCAGCTGCTCGGGAGGCTGAGGCAGGAGAATCGCTTGAACCCGGAAGGCGGAGGTTGCAGTGAGCTGAGATCATGCCGCTGCACTCCAGCCTGGGCGACAGAGCAAGATACAGTCTCAAAAAAAAACCTTTAGGGCAGGAAAGAAAGGAACGTATACTTGGAAGAGACCCAAGTGGGCACTGAGAAGGACAAATGCAGTGTTGGTGTTTAACCTTGATCCTAGGACTTTACAAACTGGCCCCTTTCCCCTGATTCTTCCCTTAGGGTTGGCTGCCCATATGTGCAGTGCCCTCCTTACCCTTGGGAGGTGAGCACGCACAGTGTGTTGAGGAAGTGGCATGCATGCTTATCTGAGGCTTTCTTCCTCTCACCAGTGGAGTGCCCCCCGAAGGTCAAGCTCCACCATTTTGTCTCTTAATGTGCATGCCTGGGAAGTTGCTTCTCCCTGGCACCTACATTCAGTTAACACTTTAGTGCGACAGGTGTGGACCATCAGGAAATGCCCTCTCCATGACACTGGCTGCCAATTTATCACTTTTTTTTGTTTGTTTGTTTGTTTTGAGACGGAGTCTCACTCTGTCACCCAGGCTGGAGTGCAATGGCACAATCTCAGCTCACTGCAACCTCTGCCTCTAGGTTCAAGCAATTCTCCTGTCTCAGCTTCCCGAGTAGCTGGCACTACAGGCGCCCGCCACCACGCCCAGCTAATTTTTGTATTTTTAGTAAAGACGAGGTTTCACCATATTGGTCAGGCTGGTCTCAAACTCCTGACCTCAGGTGATTCACCCGCCATGGCGTCCCAAAGTGCTGGGATTACAGGCGTGAGCCACCGCACCCAGCTCAATTTATCACTATTTTATTTTATGTTATGTTATGTTGTTTTTATTTTTATTTTATGTTATTTTATTTTTGAGAAGGAGTCTCACTCTGTCACCCAGGCTGGAGTGCAGAGGCGTGATCTCAGCTCATGGCAACCTCCACCTTCCAGGTTCAAGCGATTCTCTCCTGCCTCAGCCTCCCAAGTAGCTGGGACTACAGTTGTGTGCCACCATGTCCGGCTAATTTTTCTTTTCTTTTTTTTTTTTGAGACGGAGTCTCGCTCTGTCCCCCACGCTGGAGTGCAGTGGCGTGATCTCGGCTCACTGCAAGCTCCACCTCCCGGGTTCACGCCATTCTCCCGCCTCAGCCTCCTGAGTAGTGGGGACTACAGGCGCCCGCCACCACGCCTGGCTAATTTTGTATTTTTAGTAGAGACGGGGTTTCCCCGCGTTGGTCAGGCTGGTCTCCAACTCCCGACCTCAGGTGATCCGCCCACCTCAGCCTCCCAAAGTGCTGGGATTACAGGCATGAGCCACTGTGCCCGGGTGTGCATTTTCCAAATTAATATTTTAATAATAAGCGCAGGCCAGGCCGGGCGCGGTGGCTCACGCCTGTAATCCCAGCACTTTGGGAGGCAGAGGCGAGCGGATCACAAGGTCAGGAGTTCGAGACCAGCCTGGCCAACATGGTGAAACACTGTCTCTACTAAAAAAAAAGAAAAAAAATACAAAAGTTAGCCAGGCATGGTGGCGTGCACCTGTAATCCCAGCTACACAGGAGGCTGAGGCAGGAGAATTGCTTGAACCCAGGAGGCGAAGGTTGAAGTGAGCCGAGATCACGCCACTGCACTCCAGCCTGGGTGACGCAGCAAGACTCTGTCTCAAAAAAATAAATAAATAAAAAATAAGCACAGGCCAGGTGTGGTGGCTCACGCCTGTAATCCCAGCACTTTGGGAGGCCGAGGTGGGCGGACCTCCTGAGGTCCGGAGTTCAGACCAGCCTGGCCAACGTGGGGAAACCCCGTCCCTATTAAAAATGCAAAATTAGCCAGGCGTGGTGGCACACTCCTGTAATCCCAGCTACTCAGGAGGCTGAGGCAAGAGAATCACTTGAATCTGGGAGGCGGAGGTTGCAGTGAGCTGAGATGGCGCCACTGCACTCTAGCCTGGGCAACAAGAGCGAAACTCTGTCTCAAAGAAAAAATAAAATAAAATAAAATAAAATAAAAATAAAATGGCTGGGTGCGGTGGCTCACGCCTGTAATCCCAGCACTTTGGGAGGCTGAGGCGGGTGATCGCCTGAGGTCGGGAGTTCAAGACCAGCCTGACCAACATGGAGAAACCCCGTTTCTACTAAAAATACAAAATTGGCCAGGTGTGGTGGCACATGCCTGTAATCCCAGCTACTTGGGAGGCTGAGGCAGGAGAATCACTTGAACCCGGGAGGTGGAGGTTGCAGTGAGCAGAGATCTTGCCATTGCACTCCAGACTGGGCAACAAGAGCAAAACTCCATCTCAAAAAAATAAATAAATAAAAATAAAAATAAAAAATATTAATTTGGAAAATACAGAAAAATAGAGAAAAGTATTCAGTCTCACCACCCAAAGACAAGTACTAATTCTAATCCTACTCTTTTATTGATACTGTGTTTTTTCATTCCAATCTTTTTTGTTTTGATTTTTCTCTCATATATTCTTAGTAATTTTTTTCTTTCTTTCCTTTTTTTTTTTTTGAGACAGGGTCTCACTTTGTCACCCAGGTGGGAGTGCAGTGGCACGATTATAGCTCACTGCAATTTCAACCTCTCAGGCTTAAGCGATCCCCCTACCTTAGCCTCCCAAGTAGCTGGGCTACAGGCGCACACCACTGTGCCTGGCTAAATTTTGTATTTTTTTGTAGAGATGGGGTTTTGCCATGTTGCCCAGGCTTGAACTCCTTGGCTCAAGCAATCCACCCACGTTGGCTTCCCAAAGGCTGGGGTTACAGGAATGAGCCACCATACTTGGTAATAATATTCTTAAACATTATTTATGTTGTGTGTATGTGTGTGTGTTTTGAGATGGAGTCTTGCTCTGTCACCCAGGCTGGAGTGCAGTGGCATAATCTTGGCTCACTGCAACCTCCACCTCCCGGGTTCAAGTGATTCTTCTGCCTCAGCCTCCCGAGTAGCTGGACTACAGGCGCCTGCCACCATGCCTGGCTAATTTTTGTATTTTTAGTAGACAGACAGGGTTTTGCCAGCTTGTCTAGGCTGATCTCGAACTCCTGACCTCAGGTGATCTGCCCACTTCAGCCTCCCAAAGCGCTAGAGACATGAGCCACCACGCCAGCCTCAACTGTTGTATTAAATTCCACATTCCATAGGTGTTACCAAAATAGTCTCAGTAGTCTTAAAATATCTTTATGCTTATGAACTCCACCCTTGTATCCAAAAGAACTGGTAGCTGGAGAACAAGTTTTATTCCGCCACCCAGCAGGAAGCCTTGGCATCCTGTGGCCCAGTGCATGGTTTTGGGGGATGAAGCTGACTCTGGTTCTTCATGTCCCCAGGTGGGAAGAAAAGATCCCTCTGGCAAAAACCACCCTGGAGAAGACCTGGCTGTTCCACGAGATCGGCCGCTGCTACTTGGAGCTGGACCAGGCCTGGCAGGCCCAGAATTATGGCGAGAAGTCCCAGCAGTGTGCCGAGGAGGAAGGGGACATTGAGTGGCAACTGAATGCCAGTGTTCTGGTGGCCCAGGCACAAGGTATGGGCTCAGAGATGACCACCCTACCTTTTCCAGCCTTCAGGCCCAGCTCACACCAGGGCTAGGAGTCTTGTGGACTGAGTTTACCATCCCAGTGTTTCTCCTTCCCAGATTATTCTGAGAGTGGGGATAAGCCACTCTATTTTGACCAGCACGTGGTAAGTGCTTTCATTAAGCAAAGCTTGGTTAGAGCTTGGGGTACCTTGAGCCTACCTCTGCCCTTGAGGAGGTCAGCTGCAGACCCACACAGCATCGTGTCATCCTCACAACAGTGCCCATGTATTGAGCCACTTTCCTTCTGCCTTGGTACTTTTTTTTTGTTTTGTTTCATTTTGTTTTTGAGACAGAGTTTCGCTTTTGTTGCCCAGGCTGGAGTGCAGTGGTGCGATCTCGGCTCATTGCAACCTCTGCCTCCCAGGTTCAAGTGATTCTTCTGCTTCAGGCTCCCAAGTAGCTGGGATTACAGGCGTCTGCCACCACACCTGGCTAATTTTTTGTGTTTTTAGTAGAGACAGGGTTTCACCATGTTGGCTAGGCTGGTCTCAAATTCCTGACCTCAGGTGATCCAAACGCCTCGGCCTCCCAAAGTGCTAGGATTACAGGCGTGAGCCACCATGCCCGGCCCTGTTTTGTTTTTTGAGACGAAGTCTCACTATGTTACCCAGGCTAGACTGCAGGGGCACGATCTCAGCTCACTGCAACCTTGGCCTCCCGGGTTCAAGCGATTCTCCTGCTTCAGCCTCCAGGGTAGCTGGGATTACAGGCGCGCACCACCACACCCGGCTAATTTTTGTATTTTTAGTAGAGACGGGGTTTCACCACGTTGGCCAGGCTGTTCTCGAACTCCTGACCTCAGGTGATCCACCCGCCTCAGCTTCCCAAAGTGCTGGGATTACAGGCATGAGCCACCACACCCAGCCAGCATTCTTGTATTGAATCATTATGATGTAGGTAGGCATTATCATCCTTATTTTAGAGATAGGGAAACTGAGGCACAGAGAGGTCCAGTAGACTCCCCAAGTCCTATGAGGGAAGCTTTTTTTTTTTTTTTGAGATGGAGACTCACTCTGTCACCCAGGCTGGAGTGCAGTGGCGCGATCTCAGCTCACTGCAACCTCTGCCTCATGGGTTCAAATGATTCCTGTGCCTCAGCTTCCTGAGTAGCTGGGATTACATGTGTGCACCATAATACCCAGCTATGTCTTTGTATTTTTAGAGATGCAGTTTCACTATGTTGGCTGGTTTCAAACTCCTGGCCTCAAGTGATCCACCCACCTCAGCCTACCAAAGTGCTGGGATTACAGGTGTGAGCCACTGCGCCTGGCCGAGGAAACCTTTTATTTTTTAATTTATTTTATTTCTTTATTTTTATTTTTTGAGATGGAGTCTTGCTGTGTCACCCAGGCTGGAGTGTAGTGACACAATCTCGGCTCACTGCAACCTCTGTCTCCTGGGTTCAAGCGATTCTGCTGTCTCAGCCTTCCGAGTAGCTGGGATTACAGGCGTGTGCCACCACTCCTGGCTAATTTTTTTGTATTTTTGTAGAGATGGGGTTTCACCATGTTGGTCAGGCTGGTCTCGAACTTCTGACCTCAAGTGATCTGCCCGCCTCTGCCTCCCAAAGTGCTGGGATTATAGGCATAAGCCACTGCACCCGGCCTCCAAGGGAACCTTTCAGAGTGATGGAAATGTTCTAAAATGGGATTGTGGTGGCCACTGTACAACTCTGTAAATTTTCTTCTTTTTTTTTTTTGAGATGGAGTCTTGCTCTGTCACCTAGACTGGAGTGCAGTGGCACAATCTTGGCTCACTGCAACCTCCGCCTCCCGTGTTCAAGCTATTCTCCTGCCTCAGTCTCCTGAGTAGCTGGGATTACAGGCGTGCGCCACCACACCTGGCTAATGTTTGTATTTTTAGTAGAGACGGGATTTCACCAAGTTGGTCAGGCTGGTCTTGAACTCTTGACCTCGTGATCTGCCTGCTTCAGCCTCCCAAAGTGCTGGGATTACAGTTGTGAGCCACTGTGCCCGGCCTCAACTCTGTAAATTTTCTCAAAATCATTGAACTTTATCCTTACAAGCCGGTGAACTTTATTTATTTATTTTTTTGAGAAGGCGTCTCACTCTGTTGCCCAGTCTGGAATGCAGTGGCGCGATCTTGGCTCACTGCAACCTCCGCCTCCCGGGGTCAAGTGGTTTTCCTGTCACATTGAGATAACTTTAAATTACATACTCAGTTAAAAATTAGGCTGGGGACAGGCACGGTGGCTCACGCATGTAATCCCAGCACTTTGGGAGGCCGAGGCAGGTGGATCACCTGAGGTCAGGAGTTTGGTACCAGCCTGACCAACAAGGTGAAACCTCGTCTCTACTAAAAATACAAAAATTAGCCAGGTGTGGTGGCACACGCCTGTAGTCCCAACTACTCGGGAGGCTGAGGCAGGAGAACTGCTTGAATCCAGGAGGCGGAGGTTGCAGTGAGCCCAGATTGCGCCACTGTGCTCCAGTCTGGGTGAAAGAACGAGACTCTGTCGCAAAAAAAAAAAAAAAAAAAAAAAAAAAAATTAGCCTGGCCATAGTGGCTAACACTTATAATCCTGGCACTTTGGGAAGCCAAGGTGGGAGGATCGGTTGAGCCCAGGAGTTTGATACCAGCCTGGGCAACATAGGGAGATCTCATCTTTACAAAAAATAAGGCAACTTAAAGAGACCTCATCTCTACAAAAAATAAAAATTAGGGCGGGGCACAGTGGCCCATGCCTGTAATCCCTGCACTTTGGGAGGCCAAGGTGGGCAGATCACAAGGTCAGGAGTTCAAGACCAGCCTGGCCAACATAGTGAAACCCCATCTCTACTAAAAATCCAAAAAATTAGCCGGGCGTGGTGGTGCATGCTTGTAATCCAAGCTGCTCGGGAGGCTGAGGCAGGAGAGTTGCTTGAACCTGGGAGGCGGAGGTTGCAGTGAGCTGAGATCGTGCCACTGCACTCCAGTCCAGGCGACTATGAGACTCTGTATCAAAAAAAAAAAAAAAAAAAAAATTAGCTGAGTGTGGTGGCAGGCACCTGTGATCCCAAATATTTGGGAGGCTGAGGTAGAAGGATCACTTGAGCCCAGGTTGAGACCGCAGTGAGCCATGATCATGCCACTGCATTCCAGCCTGGGATACAGAGCGAGGCCCTGACCCTCACTCCAAAAAAAAAAAAAAAAAAAAAAAAAAAAACAGAAAGAATGAAAGAATAATCCTGAATGATTTACTCTCTTGAATAAGCATGTGACTCTTCTGCAGACCTTTAATGTCAGAGTCCCACTGGTCTTGAAAGGAATACTGCGACTCCACATATTTTCAGAATTACACTTAAATTTCCTTTAAGTGTAATAGCCTTTTTTTTCTTCTTTTTTGAGATAGAGTCTTGCTTTATCACCCAGACTTTAGTGCAGTGTCACGTCCCTGCATTCATGGCTCACTGCAGCCTCAACCTCCCAGGCTCCGGTGATTCTCCCTCCTCAGCCTCCCCAGTTGCTGGGACCACAGGTGCATGCCACCATGCCTGGCAAATTTTTTTTTTGGTAGAGAACGGGGTCTCCCTATGTTGTCCAGGTTGTTCTGGAACTCCTGGGCTCAAGCAGTGCTCCCACCTCGGCCTCCCAAAATGCTGGGATTACAGGCATGAGCCGCTGTGTCTAGCCAAGTGTAATGGCGTTTTATTTTATTTTATTTTATTTATTTTTGAGATGGAGTTTCGCTGTTTCACCCAGGCTGGAGTGCAGTGGTGCAATCTCAGCTCAGTGCAACCTCTGCCTTCCGATTTCAAGCGATTCTTCTGCCTCAGCCTCCCAGGTAGCTGGGATTACATGCGTCCACCACCATGCCTGGCTAATTTTTGTATTTTTAGTAGAGATGGGGTTTCACCATGTTGGCCATGCTGATCTCAATCTCCTGACCTTGTGATCCGCCTGTCTTGGCCTCCCAAATTGTTGGGATTACAGGTGTGAGCCACCGCGACTGGCTGTAATGACCTTTTAAAGTCTGACTTATGAACACAAGGGCTTATTTTCCCCATGGGTCTCAAAGCAGTGCTTGGGAGGAGGATAGATCTTGGATATACTCAATTGTAAAAGAAAGCAGTGGTTTGTGAAGACCTTGGCTGGTAAGCACTTTCTCCTTTATGAAGCTCTTGGCTAGGTGAGGTGGTTCACGCCTGTAATCCCAGCACTTTGGGAGGCCAAGGTGGAGGATTGCTTGAGGCCAGTAGTTCGAGACCAGGCTGGGCAACATGGTGAGACCCTGTCTCTATTAATTTAATTATATATATATATATAGAGAGAGAGAGAGAGAGAGACAGGGTCTCACTCTGTCACCCAGGCTGGAGTGCAGCAGTGCAATCTGGGCTCACTGCAACATTGACCTTCTGGGATCAAGGGATCCTCCCATCTCAGCCTCCCGAGTAGCTGGGACTACATGCATGCGGCCTCACACCCAGCTAATTTTGTATTTTTGGTAGAGATCGGGTCTCACTATGTTGCCCAGGCTGGTCTTGAACTCCTGGTTCAAGTGATCCGCCTGCCTTAGCCTCCCAAAGTGCTGGGATTATAGGTGTGAGCCACCGCACCTAGCCTATGTATGTATGTATTTATTTTTAATTAATTAATTTTTTTGAGACAGTCTTGCTCTGTCACACAGGCTGGAGTGCAGTGGCGCGATCTCGGCTCACTGCAACCTCTGCCTCTGAGGTTCAAGCAATTCTTCTGCCTCAGCCTCCCGAGTAGCTGGGTTTACAGTCGCCCGTCACCATGCCTGGCTAATTTTTGTATTTTTAGTAGAGATGGGGATGTCACCATGTTGGCCAGGGTGGTCTCGAACTCCTGACCTCAAGCAATCCGCCCACCTTGGCCTCCCAAAGTGCTGGGATTACAGACGTGAGCCACCACGCCCGGCCTGACATATGTATTTAATTTTTTAAAATGAAATGAAGCTCTGAGGGCTCAAATCAATCACTCAATCAATCTGCTAATCATTTCAGTCCCAGCTCCAGCACTAATTGGCACGGAGAGCCCAGATGAGCCGCTTTTTCTACGGGTTCAGATTGTACCTGAGTGGGGCCTGGACTCGAGACAGCTGAGGTTCCAGCAGCTGGCCCATGGATTGCATCCAGCCCTCTGTGCTTTGGTCTGCATATCATTTTTGAAAAAAATGAATGACCATTTAAAAAATATGAATTTCTGGCCGAGCGGTGGCTCACACCTGTAATCCCAGCACTTTGGGAGGCCGAGGCAGGTGGATCACCTGAGGTCAGGGTTTAAGACCAGCCTGACCAACATGACGAAACCCCATCTCTACTTAAAAAACAAAATTAGCCAGGTGTGGTGTCATGTGCCTGTAATCCCAGCTTCTCAGGAGGCTGAGGCAGGAGAATCGCTTGAACCTGGGAGGCAGAGGTTGCAGTGAGCCGAGATTGCCCCATTGCACTCCAGCCTGGGCAACAAGAGTGAAACTCTGTCTCAAAAAAAAAAAAAAAAAAATTCGTCTTCCAGAACAATCTAAAGATGGAGCAGGATGCGGTTTTCTCCTCCACTCTGGAGACATATGATGTATGCACTAGACTGCACCACAGTCCCCTTCTCTCACCAACGCCTTTGAATGAGGCCCAGGTTCCTCAGTCCTGGTTCTCGATGGTGACATAGCCCAGGAACACGGTGGAAAGGATGGTGCTGAGCAGCTCAGTGATGCTTCCCTGGGGCCTGGGTCCGACTACAGCTCACACAAGCTTCTGATGGGCCCTGGCAGTGCTCGAGTAGCCAGAGGCTCCATCATGCACCACACGTTGTCACACTCTACCTGTGTTGTGCCTTCTCCCCTTGCTCTCCAGTGAAGCTGAGAGACTTCGAGTCAGCCGTGAACAATTTTGAGAAGGCCCTGGAGAGAGCAAAGCTTGTGCATAACAACGAGGCGCAGCAGGCCATCATCAGTGTGAGCCTTTCCACCCGCCGGGCTTCGGGTGTCAGGAGTGGGGTTGGGTGGTCAGGCCTTCAGTTCCCCCTCAGCCTGCTTGGGCGCCATTCCACAGCCGTTTTTTTGTTTGTTTGTTTATTTGTTTTGAGACAGAGTCTTGCTCTGTTGCCCAGGCTGGAGTGCAATGGCGTGATCTCGGCTCACTGCAAGCTCCGCTTCCGGGTTCACACCATTCTCCTGCCTCAGCCTCCCAAGTAGCTAGGACTACAGGCGCCCCCCACCACGTCTGGCTAATTTTTTGTATTTTTAGTAGAGACAGGGTTTCACTGTTAGCCAGGATGGTCTCGATCTCCTGACTTTGTGATCCGCCCGCCTTGGCCTCTCAAAATGCTGGGATTACAGGCGTGAGCCACTGTGCCCAGCCAGAAACAAAAATTTTACAAAATATATTTACCTCTGCTACGTACTCTGCATGCTGATATTTCCTATTACATTCTGTTTTCTTATTTTTATTTATTTATTTATTTATTGAGACAGGGTCTCACTCCCGTTGGCCAGGTCAGAATGCAGTGGCACTGTTATGGCTCATTGCAGCCTCGACCTCCTGGGCTCAAGTTATCCTCCTGCCTCATTTTAAAATTTTTTTGTAGAGATGAGGTCTCACTATGTCTTGAACTCCTGAGCTCAGGCAATCCACCCTCCTCAGCCTCCCAATGTGCTGGGATTACACGTGTAAACTGTACTTAGCTTTTTTTTTTTTTTTTTTTGAGACTGAGTCTCACTTGTCACCCAGGCTGGAGTGCAATGGTGTGATCTTGGCTCACTGCAACCTCCGCCTCCCGGGTTCAAACGATTCACCTGCCTCAGCCTCCCGAGTAGCTGGGATCACAGGCGCCCCCCCACCACGCCCAGCTAATTTTTGTATTTTTAGTAGAGATGGGGTTTCACCATGTTGGCCAGGCTGGTTTGGAACTCCTGACCTCAAATGATCTGTCTGCCTCGGCCTCCCAAAGTGCTGGGATTATAGGTGTGAGCCACTGTGCCTGGCCATAATTTTTGTATTTTTAATAGAGATGGGATTTAGCCATGTTGGCCAGGCTGGTCTCGAACTCCTGACCTTAGGTGATCTGCCCGCCTCGGCCTTCCAAAGTGATGGTATTACTGGTATGAGCCACCATGCCCGGCCTTTTTTTTTTTTTTTTTTTTTAAATAGAGATGGGGCCATGTATGGTGGGACCTAGCCTGGGACCCAACGTGTTGCTGGGACTCGGCAACATGGCGAAACCCTATCTCTAAAAAATAAAAAAAATTAGCCGGGTGTGGTGACTCACTCCAGCCACTTGGAAGGCTGAGGTGGGAGGACCACTTAAGCCTGAGAAGTTGAGGCTGTAACAAGGAGTGATCTCACCCCTGCACTCCAGCCTGGGTGACAGAGCGAGACCCTGTCTCTAAATAAATAAATAAGTAGAGACGGAGTCTCAGTATGTTGGCCAGGCTAGTCTCAAACTCTTTGCCTCAAATGATTCTCCTGCCTTGACCTGCCAAAGTGCTGGGATTACAGGCATGGGCCACTGTGCCTAGCCTTATTTTCTTATTTTCTTTTTGCTTTTTATGTATTTATTTTTAGACAGAGTGTCTCTCTGTCACACAGACTTAGTACAGTGGTGAGATCATAGCTTACTGTAGGCTTGACCTCCTGGGCTCAGGCAATCCTCACACCTTAGCCTCCCATCTAGATGGGACTACAGATGCATGTCACCATGCTGGGGGCTAATTTTTTATTTTTTGTAGACTCAGGGTCTTACTCTGTTACCCAGGCTGGTATCAAACTCCTGGACTCAAGTGATCCTCCTGCCTCGGGCTTCCAAAGTGCTGGGACTGAGCCACTGTACCCAGCCCTCATTTTCTCTTATCAGCAGTCCCCAAGCTTTTTGGCACCAGGCTCCAGTTTTGCAGAAGACAGTTTTTCCATGGACCGGTGGTGGGGGAAATGGTTTCGGGATGAAACTGTTCCACCTCAGATCATCAGACATTAGATTCTCATGAGGAGCATGCAACATAGATCCCTCACGTGCCGTTCACAATCGGGTTCTCCCTCCTATGAGAATCTAATGCCGCCACTGATCTGACAGCCTAATGCTCACTTGCCGACCCTCCGCTTACCTCCTGCTGTGTGGCCCGGTTCCTAACAGGCCATGGACCAGTCAGTGGCCCAGGGTCTAAATTGACGTTAGGACTTGCAGTTTGAAAAATACCACCTCCAGGAGACAAGAAATCTAGTGTGATTTCCTCATTCTCTTGCCTAAACCTTTTATTACTTCCTGGCTGTCTCTGTTCCTGACTTTTTCCCACAGGGGTAGGAAGGCACTGGGTAAGCTCTCCCCTGTGGGCCTCTCCAGCTTCCTGCTGGTCAGTCCCCAGCCCCCATCACCTTGCATTCCAGCTCCAGCCAATACCAGCTTCCTGTCTTCCTAAACAGGCTTTCTTTTTTCTTTTCTTTTTTTGAGACAAGGTCTTGCTCTGTCACCCAGGCTACAGTGCAGTGGTGTGACTACAGCTCACTGCAGCCTTGATCTCTGGGCTCAAGAGATAAGTATCTGGGACTACAGGTGTGGGCCACCATGCCTGGCTGATATTTTTAATTTTTATTTTTTGTAGAGATGAGGTCTCACTATATTGCCCAGGCTGGGCACTTGAGAGCTCCTGCACTCAAGCGATCCTCCTGTCTCAGCCTTTTAAAGTGTTGGGATTACAGGTGTGAGCCACCACACCCGGCCTAAACAGGTTTCTTATGCCTCATAACATATGCTGTTATCTCTGCCTGGAATATTCTAAACCTTCCCTTCCCACCTCCTTCACCTGGCTAACTCCCACTCAACCTTTAGGTTTCAGCTTAGATGTCCCCTCTTTGAGGCGGCCTTCTCTGACCCCTCAGTCTGGGTGAGGAGCCCTCACATCAGGTTTCACAGCCTTGATATGTCCCCCATCAAAGTCCACGTTGTGCACTTGTAATTGCCTAGACTTCCATTGCTTAAGGAGGCAGCTGCTAGCCACGTGAGGCTAAAGTTAATTAAAACTAGGCTGGGTGTGGTGGCTCATGCCTGTAATCCCAGCACTTTAGGAGGCCGAGATGGATGGATCACCTGAGGTCAGGAGTTTGAGACCAGCCTGGCCAACATGGTGAAACCCCATCTCTATTAAAAATACAAACAATTAGCCGGGTATGGTGGCACACACCTGTAGTCCCAGCTACTTGGGAGGCTGAGGCAGGAGAATCGCTTGAACCCGGGAGGTGGAGGTTGCATGAGCCAAGATCATGCCATTGCACTCCAGCCTAGGCAACAGAGCGAAACTCCATCTCAAAAAAAAAAAAAAAAAAGTAAATAAAATGTAAAATTCTCAGTCACACTAGCCACATTTCAAGTCATTATAGCCACATGTGAGGCCGGGTGCGGTGGCTCACACCTGTAATCCGAACACTTTGGGAGGCCGAGGCGGGTGGATCACGAGGTCAGGAGATTGAGACCATCCTGGCCAACATTGTCTCTACTAAAAATACAAAAAATTAGCCAGGTGTGATGGCACACTCCTGTAGTCCCAGCTACTCGGGAGGCTGAAGCAGGAGAATTGCTTGAACCTGAGAGATGGAGGTTGCAGTGAGCCAAGATCACGCCACTGCACTCCAGCCTGGGCGACAGAGCGAGACTCCGTCTCAAAAAAAAAAAAAAAGCTACATGTGGCCTATGGGTGCTACATAATACAGATCTAGAATATTCCCATTGTCACAGAAATTTCTGTTGAATAGTGCTGGCCTAGACTGTGTCAGGAGGCAGAGACCAGGGGAGAAACTTGGAGGTGCTCTGGGCTCCCCCACCCCACCCACTCCCAGTGCATCCAGGTGGACGCACAAGCTTAGTAAAGTCTGCACACCAACTTCACAGGTGCACACTCACCCAGGCCTCTTCCTCCTGCTTCTGACCAGACAGCTTCCTTAAGCCCTTCCCACAGCCAAATTCCAGAGCACCACTGGCACGCAGCTGGACCCCAGGAAGTATCTGCTGGAGTGAAGTAAACGGGGCCCCTGTCCTTGGGGAGCTTATGCCATCATTGAAAGAAGCCAGATTGCATAACTTGTGGGCAGCAAAGGGGCATGGCCTCAGGGACCAGCCTGGGGTCTGCAGGCACTGGGCAAAGAGAGCAGGGACCCTGAGAAGTGAAGGCTCAGGACACTCCCAGTGGGAGGAAGACCTCATGCTGTGCTCTGAAGGACAAGGATAGCAGAGCTGGCCAGGCCGAGGAGGGGCAAGTGCACTGAAGACGTGGGAGGTCGGCGCTGAGGGCTGGTGGCCGGCAGAAGAGAGATCCTGGCCTGGGTCCCAGAGCTGGGGGGTTCCCGGTGGCGGGGGATGGTGGTGACAGAGCCCCAGACAGTCAGCACACCAGCCTGGACTTGAAGGGCTGTGGACAGCAGAGAAGTGATCTGATCACCTCTGTTTTTTGGGAGGCAGGTTCATGGTGAGCTGTTTGTGAGGACTGTGGTAAGGCTAACACTGCCCTCTCATGGCGGAGAAATCATACCCAAAAGACCCCAGCAGGCGCAGTCTATCCTCTGCCACCATACGGCCCAGGGAAGCCCAGGCCTAGCATGTTGTCGTCCTCGTCATAAATGCCATGTCCCCAGCTCTGGCTTCCAGGCGAAGAGCACCCACCTCACTGCAGCCCTGCCAGATGTACCATGCGCCACATACTTCCATGTGATCGCCCTGCAGACAGACAGCATGGCCGTTCAGTTCAGGAAATATTCGCCGAGTGTAGATTGGCTCCAGGCTGCCAAGCTCAAATGTGTGCGGCCATTGTCCTAGCCCACAAGAAGATTACAACGAAAGGCCAGACACAGTGGCTCACACCTGTCATCCCAGCACTTTGGGAGGCTGAGGGCAGGAGGATCACTTGGGTCCAAGAGTTCTAGACCAGCCTGGGCATCATAGCAAGACCCTGTCTCTTAAAAAGAAAAAACAAACAAACAAAAAAACAGTTACTCAGGAGGCTGAGGCAGGAGAATGGCGTGAACCCAGGAGGCGGAGCTTGCAGTGAGCTGAGATCGTGCCACTGCACTCCAGCATGCATGATAGAGCGAGACTCTGTCTCAAAAAAAAAAACAAACAAACAAACAAAAAACAAAGCACAAACCCTGGTTCATGACCAGTGCCATAGGGGACTAGGGGAATTCAGAGTGAGAGAGCCCCAGCTGGGAGGCAGAGCTGGAGGCTTTCCAACAAGGAGGATCTGAGGTCACCTTGAAGGCTAGGCAGTAGTTTGAAGGGTTAGGGGCAGAGAGAAGGTACCTGTGACCCTCACTGACTCCTCATGGGACCAGGCCCCCGACCCCTCACCCTCCTGGATTGGCAACTCCAGGTAGGAAGGCTCACAGTGGGAGGGAGGTGGGGGGTGGGCAGACCAACACCACAAGAGAGTGCATCCAGGCCCCGGAGCTGCTCAGTAGACACTACCATGTGTAGCTGGTGTTCTGTCAGTGCCAGCCACGGGCCTGCTATGAGCAAGAAGGCAAGACCTGCCCTCCAGAGGCTCACAGGGGCTCCAGGCCCCTGTGGATCATGCACTCGAGTTGGGGAAACTGCAGACATTCTGGAAGGCCCTTCTGAAGGCAGGCCAGCCCCCAGCCTGTCCCCTTGGTGTGTTTCTGGGTCTTTTCAGTGCTGCCTTGCTGAGTGCTTGCAGGTTTGGATTGTCTTTTTGCATTGACTGAAGCCAAAAGCAGCTTTAGGTAGTTCATCTAAAGGTAGAAATGAGTAGATAGACACAACTCCCAATACATGCCTAAGCCAAAGAGAAATGCATTTGACTGACTCGCAGTCATGTATCTCCCAGACACAATTTGTGTGGATCATTCTGAGTCAGTAAGTGTAGATTAACCTGAGGGTAGGGGTCATTGGAGGGGCCAGAGGGAAACCAAGGGTGGCAGGTTCCCACCAGAGCCCTGCCTTCTGGGATTGATCTGGGTGGGGAAAATTAATGGTGTAGGTGCCAAACACAGGGGCTAAGCTCCCTCTACCATCCACAGGCCTTGGACGATGCCAACAAGGGTATCATCAGAGAACTGAGGAAAACCAACTACGTGGAGAATCTCAAAGAAAAAAGCGAGGGAGGTGAGTTCCTGAAACTCTGAAAAGGCAACTTCAGCATTCTCCCTCTGCTTTCTTTTCCTCTAGTCCGAGACACATGCGACAGCAGCTCCCCAATCTGGGGGCTTGGCACTGCCCATCGTGCATTCTAATTTCAGTGCCACCAGCAGCCCTAGCCTATCTCTGGGGCAGTAGAGGGTGAGGATTCAGCCCACCATGGGCTGGACTGTCTGGCCCCAGAGCGCACTCATTTCTCTCTTCAATTGATTCATCAAGTATATGGTGAGCACTTGTCATGTACCTGGAAGGTGTTAGATTCTGGGGAGAGAGGCCCATCCCTGCCCTGGAGGAGCCCATGGCCCTTTGGGCAAGGCTGACCAGTGGAGTTGTCAGCTGCTGGGATCCTGCACACAGGTGCTACACCGAGGTGGAGGTGTGCTGCCATGAGGGTGCATGCAACGGGGCGTGGGCTCCTCTGGGGAGGCAGAGGAGGCTTCGACGAGGAAAAATCTTCTACCTCCAACTCCAAAAGATGCCCAGGAGTTTTCCAGGAGAGAAGTGGGAGAAGAAAGGCATTTTTCCAGCAGGGAACAGCAGGGCCAGAGGCACAGAGACAGAATAACAGTAGCTACACTTTGGGGGCTCTTACTGTGTGCTAGGCACTGGGTTAAGCACCAGACAGGAGTGATCTTGTTGGGTCTTTACCCCACTAGGAGGTGTAGGTGCTGTGGGGGGAAAGGGAGGCTGAGTGAGGTGAGTGCTCTGCCAGAGTCATGTAGCTAGGGAGGGGTGACTCGGGGCCCCACTCTCCCCACCTGCGGCGCTGCTCTCGGGCCAGCAGTGTGATGGGCAGGTGCAGAGGGGCATAAGGTGCAGAGGCTGCCTGACAGCTGTGCCTTACCACATTCTTTCTCACAAGGTCTCCAGGGAGTAAACAGGCCTTTGGCCCCCTGCCTTTGGGCTCTCCTTTCCTGCAGGGAGGGAGTGAGGGAAGGAGAAGCAGAAGATGGCTGAGCAGCCCTACCCCACTGGAGAGGGGCCTAGAGGAACAGGGGTGTTAAGCGCAGTAGCCGACCCCCATTCATGCTTCCCGCAGGCCAGGCATTCTTTCAAAGACTGTGTGCACGGACTCATCCTATCTGTATCTGTTCAGGAACACTATGAAGGAAGTGTTATTAGCTTGACTTTATGGAGGACATGGAGGCAGAGGGGTTAGAGGCTACAGTGGTTTTCAGTCTTGGGCAGTCTGCTCTAGAACCCACGCGTCGGCCCGTGCCACACTGTTTCTAGTGACACAGACAGCCTTTTCCTGCCCCAGTCTGTGGAGCTCTCACTCCAGCCAGACTGCAGTGAACAGAGCTGGGGCTGGAGGTCCGGGAGGACAGAGCCCAATGCAGATTCTTGGCTGCAGCCCTCCAGGCTGCAAGGCTGAAATCCTTTCTGGTCCAGGCAGGGCAGCGGGAGGTTTCTGGGCACCTGAGCAGCCAGATGACAGCCCTTTATTATCCAGCACCTGCTCTGTGGTGGCTGGACCCCCTCAGAGGGGCTCTGTCTCCGCCCCCACATGCCCTTTGAGCTGCTCTGAGAAGCCACAGGAGCAACAGCTGTGGAGAGAGACTCTGCGGGGAAGCAGCCAACACCCCAGTCTCCCTACCCTGGCCTGCGTCCTTGTGCCTGGAGAACTGCCGGGCACGTCCCTCTCAGAACAGCAGGTGGCAGCATTGCATCTGTTTTCACCACCAAAGGGCTGTGACCCCCTGAGACCTGAGACCCTCTGCAGATACCTCAGTAACTAGTGGTTTCCAGGAGGAGAATGTAAGGGAGACGCAGAAGGGGATGTAACTTTTCTCCATAACTGATAAAAAAAAAAATTTAGGAGCAAGGATCCCTTTGCTTGTAAAATAACTCTTCAGCTGAACTTTTTGTTAGCAGCGTATATCTTTATAGGAAACCTATCTTTTTCCTTATGTTTTTTCTATATTTTCATAGGAAACCTCCCAACAAATAATGAATGTGCTTCCCAGGGACAAAGAGAAAGTGTCAGAATGAAGATGCTGGAGAAAATCCTTCTGTCATTTTCCAGCACCTATGCTATTTCTTGCAGGGAAAAGAGGTGTTCTGGGGTCAGACTGTCCTGGGTTCAAATTCTGTCTCACTTGCACACTTGCAGTGTGACCATTGTGTGATTTCTTTTCTTTCTTTTTTTTTTTTTTTGAAACGGAGTCTTGTTCTGTCATCCAGGCTGGAATGCAGTGGTGCAATCTCAGCTCACTGCAACCTCCATCTCAGCCTCCCAAAGTGCTGGGATTACAGGCATGAGCCACTGTGCCTTTTTTTTTTTGAAATGGAGTCTCCCCTCTGTTACCCAGTCTGGAGTGCAGTGGCGCGATCTCAGCTCACTGCAACCTCCATCTCAGCCTCCCAAAGTGCTGGGATTACAGGCATGAGCCACTGTGCCTTTTTTTTTTTTTGAAATGGAGTCTCCCCTCTGTTACCCAGTCTGGAGTGCAGTGGCGCGATCTCGGCTCACTACAACCTCCGCCTCCTAGGTTCAAGTGATTCTCCTGCCTCAGCCTCCTGAGTAGCTGGGACTACAGTCTTGTGCCACCACTCCCGGTTAATTTTTTTTTTTTTTGAGATGGAGTTTTGCTCTTGTTGCCCAGGCTGGAGTACAATGGCACAATCTTGGCTCACTGCAACCTCCGCCTCCTGGGTTCAAGCGATTCTCCTGCCTCAGCCTCCCAAGTAGCTGGGATTACAGGCGCCTGCCACCATGCCCAGCTTATTTTTGTATTTTTAGTAGAGACGGGGTTTCACCTTGTTGGCCAGGCTGGTCTCAAACTCCTGACCTCAGGTGATCCACCTGCCTCGGCCTCCCAAAGTGCTGGGATTACAGGCGTGAGCCATGCCGCCCGGCCGTGTGATTTCTTTTCTATCGATCTCAGGTCCCTTGACTGCAAACTCAAATCAACGGCAGTGCGCATTTTCATGATGTCTGGATGGGATAAGCTATACAGCCCTCACGTGATGCACAGGACGGAGCTGGGCTCAGTCAATGATGGTTCCCTTTCTCTGCTTTTGGAAAGGTGTGCTGTCAACACCAATTTAAAGAGCTGGCAAAAACAGTCATTCTCAGGGCCTTTCTCTCATCGGCCTCTCAAAAGCACAGGCCTCCACAGAGATGAACAGTTTCTTTCTTTTTTTTCTTCTTTCTTTTTTGGAGACGGGTCTTGCTCTGTCACCCAGGCTGCAGTGCAGTGGCTGGATTTTGGCTCATCACAGCCCCAACCTCCTGGGCTCAAGCGATTCTTCTGCCTCAGCCTCCGGGTAGCTGGGACTACAGGCGCCAACCACCACGCCTGGCTAATTTTTGTATTTTTAGTACAGACAGGGTCTCACTGTGTCGCCCAGGCTGGTCTGGAACTCCTGGCCTCAAGGGATCTGCCTGCCTCAGCCTCCCAAAGTGCTGAGATTACAGGCGTGAGCCACCGCACCCGGCCTGACATGAACAAACTTTTATCTTTCTTCCCGCTTTTCTCTTATTTTTCAGAAGCTTCACTGTATGAAGATAGAATAATAACAAGAGAGAAGGACATGAGGAGAGTGAGAGATGAGCCCGAGAAGGTGGTGAAGCAGTGGGACCATAGTGAGGATGAGAAAGAGACAGATGAGGACGATGAGGCTTTTGGGGAAGCTCTGCAGAGCCCAGCAAGCGGAAAGCAGAGTGTGGAAGCAGGAAAAGCCAGAAGCGATTTGGGAGCAGTTGCCAAGGGCCTGTCAGGAGAATTAGGCACAAGATCAGGAGAAACAGGCAGGAAGCTACTAGAAGCTGGCAGAAGAGAGTCAAGAGAAATTTATAGGAGGCCTTCGGGAGAATTAGAGCAAAGACTCTCAGGAGAATTCAGCAGACAGGAACCAGAAGAACTAAAGAAACTTTCAGAAGTGGGCAGAAGAGAGCCAGAAGAACTGGGAAAAACACAATTTGGAGAAATAGGAGAAACGAAAAAAACAGGAAATGAGATGGAAAAGGAATATGAATGAAGCCATCGGTAGAGATGAGGATCAGGAAGCTGGTGTTCAGAGGGATCATGGGATTTTATTAAACTGGATTTTCAAGCGATTTGTCTGTTATAGGAAAAATGAGGGTTTTACTTCTGCTGCTTTCCATCACTATTTTGCCATTAAATAGGTGTCTTTCACTCTTGCAAACCCTGAGTCTGTCACTTTGCCTCTTCACCCCTGCCCATTCTTGGAAGAGCATCGTGGAAGAAATGAGAAAGGTGCCAAGAAGAAAGGGTTTCAGGAGGGTGAAGATACGGGCGCTACAGGGAACAAGAAGTCACAGGGAGGAGAGGGGAAGGCCTGGGAGGAGAGGTGCTTCCCACACACCGGTGACTGACTGAGTCCCTCCAGTGCGCAGGACAGCGGGGAGGCTTTATGGATGGAACAGTGGTGGGGCGGCCCCAGCTGTCACAGGTAGGAGAATGCCGCAAGCCAGAACCAAGCGAATGCTGGGAGTGAGGCCAAAGATAGGGGAGTGGCCTGGGAGTCGGGAGGGCAGACAGACTCCGCCTCTGACACCTCTGGGTGGCATAATCAGGTAAATCAGGCTCTCCAAGCTGGCTTCTCCTCTGAACAATGGGATACCTGCCTCAGGGGTTGCTGCGAGGACTGAGTGCTTAGCACAGCACTTGGACAGGAAACTCAAAAATCCAACGGAGCTCTCAGTGGTTTCACAGAGGAGGTGGCAGCTGAGGATCTGGCCTCAGAGGATGTTAGGATTTCACTCCGTTACTCATCTGTCCCTTTGGCCATTGCCATCCTGGTCTGTCTCCACAGCTCCTAGAAGGAAAGGTCGGGGCTGAGACTGACTTTCGGCTGGCACAGGGCCTGGACGAATGAGGCCAGTGAGGCATTTCAGATGCAGAGTTTACCGGAATGCCAGCAAATTGCATGATAATATTTTAATCCAATGTGGTAAAAAAAAAAGTTTTTAATTAATGCAAAAGTCCATGATGAATAAAATATCAAAAATTAAAGACAGGATCCGACTTTGCACGACCCTGCCTCACTCACTTCCTGCTAATCCACGGGACCGGGGAGGGTGACTGAGTTACCCCTCAACACGCAGAAAAAGCTAGTGGCCGCTCAGCTCGCAGGCGCAGTGGGTGGGTGCGCGTGGGGAGCAGGCGCGCGCAGGGGGCGGGACCGGGCCGAGGTTCCCGCGCGCGGCGAGAGTTTCGGGTTTTGGTTCGCAGCGCCTGCGCGCAGAGGAGACGGCCCGCCCCCAGCCCGCCCGGGTGCCCGCTCCGCCCCCCGGGCTATGTAAAGCGGCCGGGCTCGGGTCGTGCCACCGCTGGACTCCCGTGTCCCTCCGCGCAGGCGGGCGGCCCCGGAGCGCTGGTGCCGGCAGAGGCGGCGACGGTGGCGCCCCTCCTCATCATGGTGAGAGGCCGGGCGGGGCCGGGCACGGGGTAGCACCAGGGCGGGAAACGAGTGTCGGGGCCCCTCGGGAGGAAGCGTCTTGCAAACGAGGACCCGGGGCTCCGGGTTCGACTTCCAGTTTTCTTGGTACTCAGGGCGGCCCTGAGGTCTGGGAGAAGCGGAGGGGTTTTGGGGTGCCGGAGAGGCCGCTGTAAAGGGAAACGGTGGTGTTTCTCAGGAGGGAACTCGGGACCGCAGAAGCTGCTGCGCCTCTGGGAGCCTGGGTGGGCCTGGGCCGGGAGCCCGGGAGCTGCTCCCGACCCCACGCAGGCCCGCGCTGGGGCAGCCGCTTCGGCGCCCCCTCCCCGGGCCCAGTCTCATCACGCGGAACCGCTGCCCCGCGCCCGGGTGCGGGCGGGAGGTGGAGCCAGTTCAGAGGAGGGGACCCTTTACGGTAAAAGCTGCCGTCCCTTGTGGCTTCTAGAAGATAGGAAAACAAGTGGCTCCGAGAGGCGCTTCTGACACACAGCACAGCGGCGGGTAGAGCTGGATCCTAATTGCAGGTGCCCTGTGCTGCCCTGTTCTGGACAGGCACAAAGACCACGACTTTGTGGGGGCCGGGAGAGGGTAGAGGAGGAGGTGGCAGGCTTGGTGAAAGAGGGCCTTTGTCCAGTGCTCTCCTGCCCTGCCCCCCACCAGCCCTTCTGTGGGACCATTGTACCCGCATGCCAGACAAGAGAGTATTATCTGTTGCGGCCATTGTTGGGGGAAGGGAGGCAGTCTTGGGGTAACCCTTCTCCACTCCCCCCCTTCTCTGTGCACTCAGCCGTGGCAGCTGTGGCTTGGCCCAGACACAGAGACCCCCACCTCCAAAGAGGACGTCCTTAGTAGGTGCCAAGCATATAAGAGTGAGGCCAGTCCCAGAACCGCAGGCTCCTGGCGCGCCCCGCATGCCTCCAGCACGTTTACCTTTCCGAAGTGGCAGGAATGGGGAAAGCGCACGCTTAGGAGAGCTTCAGACAAGCTTCCCTCTTCCTCCTCCACGACCAGAAGCGGAAAGGTGCTCCCGGACCGAAAGGGAAAGAAGGTCCAGCACTGCCCCGCTTGGGAAGGCACCCACAACCAGTCTAGGGACTAGGGGTAAGGCCGGCGGGGAGCCCGCGAATGACCTGGGCTGACATCTCTTCCCCTCCTTACACAGAACAGAGGCTTCTCCCGAAAAAGCCACACATTCCTGCCCAAGATCTTCTTCCGCAAGATGTCATCCTCAGGGGCCAAGGACAAGCCTGAGCTGCAGTTTCCCTTCCTTCAGGATGAGGACACAGTGGCCACGCTGCTAGAGTGCAAGACGCTCTTCATCTTGCGCGGCCTGCCAGGAAGCGGCAAGTCCACGCTGGCACGGGTCATCGTGGACAAGTACCGTGATGGCACCAAGATGGTGTCGGCTGACGCTTACAAGATCACCCCCGGCGCTCGAGGAGCCTTCTCCGAGGAGTACAAGCGGCTCGATGAGGACCTGGCTGCCTACTGCCGCCGCCGGGACATCAGAATTCTTGTGCTTGATGACACCAACCACGAACGGGAACGGCTGGAGCAGCTCTTTGAAATGGCCGACCAGTACCAGTACCAGGTGGTGCTGGTGGAGCCCAAGACGGCGTGGCGGCTGGACTGTGCCCAGCTCAAGGAGAAGAACCAGTGGCAGCTGTCGGCTGATGACCTGAAGAAGCTGAAGCCTGGGCTGGAGAAGGACTTCCTGCCGCTCTACTTCGGCTGGTTCCTGACCAAGAAGAGCTCTGAGACCCTCCGCAAAGCCGGCCAGGTCTTCCTGGAAGAGCTGGGGAACCACAAGGCCTTCAAGAAGGAGCTGCGACAATGTAGGTGGCAGGTTGGGGCCTTATAAGCCCACCTTGCTGGGCACAGGGTGCTGCGGGCAAAGGACCATCATTGTACTCAAAGGATGGAGCACGAAGCAGCAGGAGGCAGAGAGAGGCTCACCTCAGCGGGGGCAGGGGCAAGCGGTGCGTCCCAGTGGTAGCCTTGGGGAGTTGGCAGCACATTGGGAACACGGGGGCTTCCCAGAGCGCCTTTCCTCCCACCACACCTATCCTTCTAGCCCTCTTCTCTCCGACACCCTTTTCCCAGCCTGAATGTAGACCACTGTCCCTTGTCTTGGAGGTGGGAAAAACAAATTACTGTAGTAACAGGAAACATGTCCTCTTCTAATGTAACCTTAGAGGGGGAATCAAGCCCAGTGTTTTCCAACGCATTTTTAGCAGCAGAATCATGTTCCAAAAAATAATAATAATAATCACATGAAATTGTAAGCTGCAAAAAAATTAAAACTAGGACTATTGTGGCTTCACTGGGGATGGTTCTCAGGCCTCGGACTGCTCAATTTACTCATGGGTTTGTGGCATCTGCAGCTCCAGAGGACACAAGTCTCACACTTAGGCCAAAACCCGTTTTCAGATGGAAAAACATGGACCCAGGAGGGATGTGGGGTTTACGGGCTGGAACCCTGGACTCTGGCCACTCTAGCAGGGTTCTCTCTTGGCATGGGCTTTTTGCTCCAATGATAGGTTTGAGATAAAGAAGGGTCCTGGTGGCTCTCCTGGAGTGACCTGTTGGAGAAGTGCCACCCACTAATCCATCTATATGCCTTTAGGCCATTTCTGGTTGCCTCCAATTTTATTTATTTATTTATTGTGACACGGAGTCTCCCTCTGTTGCCCAGGCTGGAGTGCAGTGGCGCTATCTCAGCTCAGTGCAACCTCTGCCTCCCAGATTCAAGCAATTCTCCTGCCTCAGCCTCTCGAGTAGCTAGGACTACAGGTGTGCACCACCACGTCCAGCTAATTTTTGTATTTTTAGTAGAGACGGAGTTTCACAATGTTGGCCAGGCTGGTATTGAACTCCTGACCTCAGGTGATCCGCTTGCCTTGGCCTCCCAAAGTGCTGGGATTACAGGCGTGAGCCACCACCGCACCCAGCCACCCCCAATTTTAGATGATCTTCATGCCTGAAATAGCCCCACTCTGGTTTGTTGACATTGTGTATATTGCACAGAAGCAGGGAATTTGTGCCTGTATGGGTTCTCAGAGAGCTTTTTTCTCAGCTCCTAAACTTGAACTCTGCAGTGAACTGTGGTGCTTGCAGTGACATTGGCCAGGAGCAAGCCCTGTACCTGTGAGCTGGTGGCTCTGCCCTGGAGTGACTACTGCTCAAAGTTGCTTTTAATATTTATTTATGAGACGGAGTCTTGCTCTGTTGCCCAGGCTGGAGTGCAGTGGCATGATCTCGGCTCACTGCAACCTCCGCCTCCTGGGTTCAAGCCAATTCTCTGCCTCAGCTTCCCAAGTAGCTGGGAATACAGGCGCCTGCCACCATGCCCGGCTAATTTTTTTTTATTTTTGTATTTTTAGTAGAGACAGGGTTTCACCATCTTGACCAGGCTGGTCGGTAGCACAAAAGAAAGGAGGGGCCCTTGGCCCAAGATGGGACGAATCAAGCTTGACAGGATGATTGCCAGATCTTTTTTTTTTTTTTTTTTGAGACGGGGGTCTTGCTCTGTCGCCCAGGCTGGAGTGCAGTGGGGCAATTCGGCTTACTGCAACCTCCATCTCCCGGGTTCAAGCAATTCTCCTGCCTCAGCCACCCAAGTAGCTGGGATTACAGGCACCCGCCACCATACCTGGCTAATTTATAAATTTTTAGTAGAGACAGGGTTTCACCATGTTGGCCAGGCTGGTCTCAAACGCCCCGCCTCAATTTCCCAAATTGCCGGGATTACAGGTGCGAGCCACTATGCCCAGCCTATTTTATTTGTAAAGGAAAACTGGATTTTTCTGCCCAGGATTAGAGCAGGAGAAATGTAATGGGCCAGCAAGGCTGCTCTCAGGAGAGGCCTTCCTCCCCTGTGGAGGGCGAGACATCCTCATGGGGACTCAATTCAGAACATAACAGGAAAAAGCGAGTGACTCCAAAGACAGCCACAGGTGTGGAGTCTGGAAATCAAAATCACAGATACTCCACTCCTCTTTGTGTCTTCCAGCCCCATAATGTCACCCCATTATAGTCCAAGACCCTTCCTGTACCAGGAGGCCCCCCCATAGGCCTGCAAGGTGTGTATTAAACTGATGGTGACGTTGTGACTGCTTGTCCAGATGGGCCCCTGAGTGAAATGGGGCACTACTGATAGTTCCCTGGTGGTCCTGGGAACACTGGGGTATATGGTCACCCTAACTGTTGTGCTGGATTGATAGATAGGGTTGGTCACTTGCCCGAGGCCGATGGCTGGTACATGGCAGAGCTGAGATATTCACTGTGTTCTGGCTGTTTCCACCGTACCATGTTGTTCCCAGCCCTCTGTTTTCTTTCCACCCCACTTCCCATGACTTGCTTCCCCTTTGAGACGTGGTGCTAGTAAATCTTAGATTCCCTTGGCCTGTACTGCCTGCCTCTGTTACAAATGCCTTAGAGTTTGGAGAAGAGATGGAAAGATCTATACAATGTAAAGCCAGAGAATTTTAACTTTTTTTTTTTTTTTTTTGGAGACGGAGTCTTGCTCTGTTGCCTAGGCTGGAGTGCAGTGGCACTATCTCGGCTCGCTGTATCCTCTGCCTCCTGGGTTCAAGCAATTCTCTACCTCAGCCTCCCAAGTAGCTGGGATTACAGGCGCCCGCCACCACGCCTGGCTAATTTCTTTGTATTTTTAGTAGAGACGGGGTTTCACCATCTTGGCCAGGCTGGTCTTGAATTCCTGACCTTGTGATCCACCCACCTCGGCCTCCCAGAGTGCTGGGATTACAGGTGTGAACCACCGCACCTGGCCTGAGAATTTTAACTTTTTATTGCTCTAAAGTTGCCATTAGTTTGACCAACTAACCAATGAATGAGCTGTAGTGGGTTGCTGGAGAGGTGATGCTTAGTGTCCGAGTGTTTTGCGCTGGGCCTCGGTGGTCCTGGTGGCGGATGTTGGTATGCCCCTGCTCCCCTGCCCTGACTGCACCCGTTTTCTCCCGGCAGTCGTCCCTGGGGATGAGCCCAGGGAGAAGATGGACTTGGTCACCTACTTTGGAAAGAGACCCCCAGGCGTGCTGCATTGCACAACCAAGTTTTGTGACTACGGGAAGGCTCCCGGGGCAGAGGAGTACGCTCAACAAGATGTGAGTCTTCCCCAGGGACACATGGGGGAGGTGGGAGGTTGGGGGAGAAGGGGCTGCAGCATCTTCTGAAGATAGGTACCGGTGCCAGGCAGGGACCAAAAACCAGATGGCAGCTCAAGAAAAATGGCATCTCCTCCTCCTAGCTCCCCTGTCCCCAGGCGTAGCTGCATAGACCTCAGCCGCAGGTTCTAAGGAGCCTGCCCTGGCAGTACTGCCAGCCTGTGCATTCACCTGCCCCCAAGCACCTTCGCCTTCTGCAGATTCATGGAGAATGCTGGTCCACAGTGGGCTCCTGCTCTGGTCTCTCTGAGCCTGTTTTACCTTCCAAAGACTAGGAGTCCTTCGCCCCCAGGGAGCCTGGTGCACTGAGGTCCCCATCCCTGTCCCCAGGTCTGAGGTCTGGCCTGGCCCCAGAGTGAGGGAGTTTCATACGATAATGAAGCTTATTGGCTAATGGGTACGAGACCTTTCTGCACCACACAGCTGGCACCTTACACCCACAGCCACTGACAGTGATCCCTGAATGCCAGGCATGTCACCCATATCCACAGTCTCCAACTTCCAAGTGTCCACCCCCAAGCCCACTCTCCCACTTCTCTGCCTAGGTTAGCACAATCGTTTGTTTGTTCACTAGAGTGTCCTCCCAAATGGAAGCTCCCCTGAGGGCGAGTTTTTAAGTTTCGTTGACTCCTGTGGTTCCAGCACCCTAGCATAGTGGAATGAATATGTAACACCTGAGCTACCATCCCTAACCATGCCTTCATTTAGCATTTATTAACTACCCATTTCATGCCAGACACTGTTGGGACAAGGGATCGTGAGCAAAAATAGAAAAGCGTTTATGCTGAGATGGGATGGGCTGTCTCAAAGAATCAGATAGAAGCAGACATATCATCAGATGGGAACCAAAGTGTAAGAGCAGGTTTCCATCAAGGGCGAGTCTGACCTCAGTCTGACCTCACCCTGTCCTCCAGGGCGCTGTCTGGGTCCCAGGGGAAGCTGAGCGGTGCCAACAGTAGCAGCTGTTGTGTGCGCGGACACCCCTGTGGGCTGTTTACCTAGTCACTCTCATAACCACATTAACTCTGAGGTAGGCTCTGGTTCTCCCTGTTTTACGGGTGATGAAGCCAAGGCACCGAGAGGTCAGCCAGCCCGCTGAGGCCGGAAGCCAGTGTGCAGGGAGCTGGGCTCCCTCAGGAAGTCCGGCTGTCCCCGTGTGGCCCTGTCTGAGCGCCTTCGTGTTTCTCACTTGAGCCTGGAGCGCCTATGGAAGGTGCGTGCCGCAGTTGTTAGTGGATGCTGGGCCTATACCGACCCCTGCTCAGCTGTGCTCACTTCTGTTAGACTTCCCCTTCTCTCCTCCAGGAGGGACCCTCCCTGGGTCAGCTGTTCCTCAAGAGCCTGCCATCTCTAGCTTGGGCCCCTCTTTCTCACTCTCCCCAGGTGTTAAAGAAATCTTACTCCAAGGCCTTCACGCTGACCATCTCTGCCCTCTTTGTGACACCCAAGACGACTGGGGCCCGGGTGGAGTTAAGCGAGCAGCAACTGCAGTTGTGGCCGAGTGATGTGGACAAGCTGTCACCCACTGACAACCTGCCGCGGGGGAGCCGCGCCCACATCACCCTCGGCTGTGCAGCTGACGTAGAGGCCGTGCAGACGGGCCTTGACCTCTTAGAGATTCTGCGGCAGGAGAAGGGGGGCAGCCGAGGCGAGGAGGTGGGCGAGCTAAGCCGGGGCAAGCTCTATTCCTTGGGCAATGGGCGCTGGATGCTGACCCTGGCCAAGAACATGGAGGTCAGGGCCATCTTCACGGGGTACTACGGGAAAGGCAAACCTGTGCCCACGCAAGGTAGCCGGAAGGGGGGCGCCTTGCAGTCCTGCACCATCATATGAGTGTTCTCACCACCACTTATGCCCCTAGAAGGGAAGGGGAGAGGGAAACGTGCCCTCTGTTTGATCCTTGTTTTGTGACATTTTTTTTTTTTTTTTTTTTACTCAAAGTTAACCTACCTGTAACTTTTTAAAAACTTGTAAAATAACTGACCCTCCCTTCCTGTCCGCCCTCTTCCCCTCTAATGCTCACGCTCCCAACACAAGGTGGGCAGGGAGGCACCATTCAGGAACCTGGACCAAAGCTGACGAGGCTGGGCCAAGCCAGGGATGGGGCCACAGCCAGAACCCCGAGCCCTACTTCCAGGTTCTGGTTAGCTCAGCCCCAGCCCAGCCCAGCTGCTCTGCCCAGAGCTGGGTGAGTGGGGAGACACCTCAGAGCCCCGCAAAACCCACTGACCGGAGGCAAAAGGCAGTGGGGCTGGGGGTAGTTTTCCATGGTCACAGAGAACTAGTGGTGGCTCTGAGAAGGGGAGGACCTCTGGGCTTTGATTCCATCTCCTTGTCTTTTTTCTTTGTTTTTAGAGACAGGGTCCTGCTATTTCCCAAGCTGGAGTGCAGTGGTGCGATCATGGCTCACTGCAGCCTCGAACTCCTGGGCTCAAGCAATCCTCCTGAGTGATCCCATTTCTTAATCAGTGTAGCCCCAAGAAGGCTGGGGCTATTTACCAGGGTAGAAAAAGGAGCTTACCTCCCACCTTTGGTCCTAAGTCCCTGCCCCCTCCCCTTCACACCATAACTAGGTAACAGTTTGATAACTAGGGAAGAAAGCAGAACAGTTAAGCAGCCGCCACATCCCCGCTGGCTGGGGGCCTCACTCCAGGAAGGGGCTGGACTGGCTGTCCTTTCCAGTGGCCTGGCTCCGCTGTGTGGATGGGGAGATCGGGGCCAGAGGCAGAACCCTGGTGAGGAAGCTCCAGTCCTGCTCTCTACCCAGCCCATCTTGCCTCCATGGTGCCTCTGGAGGCCTCTGGGCCTCCTCTAACAGGGGCTGGTGGGCACCAAGAGCCAATGGAGTAGACCCCTGGCTGGTAAGGGCCAAGTCCCACCGGTTGCTTCTGGGAAGGGGTTTCTAACACTAGTCTGTGTGCTGTGGTTCCTGGGGTGCCCTCCACTGCCCTCTGTTCAGTAACAGGGCCTTGCTAATCGGGTTGTCACTCAACAAAAGTGCTTTGGATTTAAGTTACTATCCTGGCTTTGCCCAACCTCAGCAACCTGTAAGACTGATAATGAAATAAATCATGTTAATCCTAGCTGTGTGCAGTCTCTCTTACCCTTCTGTGCCCAGCTCAGTCTTCCCTAGGGCTGGGTGTATTAGGACTGGCTTTGTCCCACAGCTTGGGGCCATCGGTCCTGTCTCCCCTCTGCTGGCCGGGCACAGCTGTGGTGAGGTTGGGCAGCTGAACAGTGTTGGCTTTCATGAGGAGGCAGAAAGCAGAGGCTGGCCTCAGACTCATACAGAAGGTGGGGGTTGGCTGGGTACGAGGGATGTGGAGCACAAAAGCCTCTCATCCCCCATTAACCAGGGCACCAAGCCCACAGGTGTCCCCAGCCCACTGGATCAGAAAGAGTTCAGTAAGACCGGAAGCTCCTGGTATGGGTTTCTCCCAGTTCTCTAGGGAAGGCCACCTGCAGGTCACTGAAACTTCAAGCACCAGGGAAGATCTAACATTTGAGTCCCTTCCAGGCCATCAGAGGCCTAGTCAGCCACATGGGAAACTTCCAAGACCTGACTCAGGCATCATTCCACCATGGCTAAGGCACCAGCCGGGGAAGACTTGAAAGAAAGGGGCAGGAGCTCAGATGAAGAGAAATCCTAAGTTACCTTTCTAGGTCAAGGCCTGTCCCTGGCCATCTCTGAACTTCAGCTAGAGCTTCAAGTCTGTGCCTGGAGCTCCTGGGAAGGCTACTCACCTTGAACACCACGCTTGACAGGACAGCATGGTGCATGCCGCTGCATCCGTGAGCAGTGTGTCTCCTGCATGCAGAAAGGGAGCAGAGAAGGCCAGGGGCTTTTGCTAAAAATAGTGGCCAGACCAGAGCTCTGGAGCCACCTGTCCCACCTCAAATGGGTCTGGGGGTCAGGAGGCAGGGTTTTATCTCTGTCTACCATCTCCCTCGAACCCACACTGCAACAGGAACTGTGAGAGTCTTTGTAAGTAAACTGCCCTGTCTAGGTCAGTACCCACCTGAGCTTTGGACGCACACAGCTTTTAGTACCCACCTGAGCTTTGGACACACACAGCTTCTAGTGATTTCTGGGGCCCCACCGTAAAGTGAGCATGCTTTCTGAACTCGCTTCTCTGTGACTGATGTTAGGCTGGGCCCAGAGGCACAGCCGGGGCCTGCCTAGCACTCACATGCTGGACAGGTCTGGGAGAGGCAGAGTGCCCCACCTGCCACTAGGCTGGGTGCCCACAGCCCGCATGCAGCAGCTTGCTGCACCCCAAGTCCAGGTCGGGCTCAGCTCTGGCTCACAGACTGGAGACAATGCAGATGCCAGAGCAAAGGGCCAGGAAGGGTCAAAACATTTTATTCTCTTTTTTTTTTCTTTTTTAATAAAGTTAAACAGTAAAACAAAAATTCACAAGCTGCCTCCCTGTCCACCCCCGCCTCCCTCCCCTGCCCTCGGTCTTCGGCATTGGTTCCCTTTGCTCCACCCCACTCACAGAGACACAGGGCATCCAACTGAGAAAACGAAACTGCTCTAAGCACACGGAGACGTGATGAAGGGAGGAGGTGAACTGTTTCCACATTCAAGATTAAACTGAGTGAATCTGCATTTTCTGGGTTCTGGGTGGTTGCCCTTCATTAGCCAAATTGAAAAAAGAAATTCCCTGGACCAGATGCTGAAAGAGAAAAGAGGGGTTGGTAGTTGGCTATGGATTTTCTAAGGAAGATCACTTTGCTCTGATTATGGAAAAGTCTTCAAGGGCTGCTTCAAACTCAAACACAGAGAGAAACTCTATGGGTATCAAACAGCTCAGGCTGTTTTTGGGTGCAAGAGGGAGCACGTGACTGTATTATACATGGGTAGCTTCTGACCTCAGCATTATCTATATAGTACCTTTGCTCTTGCAGAGAAGCCTTGGTACTAGGCAGTTAGAGATGCCTCCCTGACCCTGCAGAGATGCGGTGGCTAAAGGTCCCAAGGCAAGGGGTGCCTGGGAACCTTCCTGTCTTCATCCTTAGCAACAGCCGAGTGGATAGATGCCCTGCTAGATGAGAATTCAGCTGCCCCCGCTCATGGGCCCCTCTGACTCCCAAAGAGCTGCCTAAGAGGCAATGAGTGTGTTGGCTTGTGATCTGGGAACTCCCAAGAACAGCAGGCCCACCTACCTTCAAAGCTGAAGCCGCCAGGACCGCCAAAGAATGCCTTGAAGATATTGTTTGGATCAAAATCTGTAGAGCAGGGCAAGTAACATGGAAGGGAAGAAAAGGTGAAAAATTAGAAATGTTCGAAGAGAACTGATGACACTGAGAACAGATCTCCAAAGCTTTCCTGGAGAGTCTCACTCCCCTCCTTTCCCAACACTTCAGACTGCAAGTGAGCAAACCTGCCCCATCCCGTGCAAAACATGCTACCTGATCCCACTCCTAGGACATGTTCCCTTCTCCTTCCAACTGCTGCCCCAAAGGAAGCTTTCTCTGCTTCAGCTTGCTTCATTGGGCTGTTTTCTCAACAAATGGAATGCCATTTGCACTTACACAAGACTTTCCCCATACTCTGTCTCCCTATAATGCTGGAGCGGCTACTAAAAAGGATAAAATGTATCACTTAAATGTTACCAAAAATAAATATAAGAGCAAGATCTAGGATTTACTGTATTTGATTCCATGTCTTTTACTCCGTAGACTCTAGGCTAGAAAAAAAGCTATGGTTTATTAGCTGGGCGTGGTGGCTCACACCTATAATCCCAGTGCTTTGGGAGTCTAAGGTGGGAGGATCACTTGAGCCCAGGAGTTCAAGGCTGCAGTAAGCTATGATCACAACACTGCACCCCAGCCTGGGTGACAGCAAGACCCTGTCTTAATAACAACAACAAACCAACAAAAACACCTACTAGGTGCAAAGTACTAGGTACTTTGCATACATTACATTACTTAATCCTAGTAATGTTTTGTCAGGGTAAGTATCATTCCCAATTAATACTCAACAAAACATATGTAGGTGGTTCAAGTAACTTGCCCACGATCACATGGCAGCGAAAGCAGCAGAACTGGAAAATCCAACTCCTGCCTGACTGGCTCTGTGCACTTTTGCAAGGCCACAGCATGTCTGGTGGCCCCATCCCTGACTGACTGCCCAAGCTTCACAGAAGGACTGACCCCCACCAGGTGATCCCACAGCCACCTCGTGCCCAGAGTGAGTTTCTCTGCTTGCATCTGTGTGTCTTCCTGGGCTCCTGGCTTAGTGAATGACCCCGAGTCAGCTATGCCTGTCACTTTCCCCAACACATCTGAATAGCAACCAACTCCTGCTGAGTCTACCACTAACTAACTCCCTGACTGTGCCCTCCAATCCTTTCCTACCTTTTGTGTCTTCCTTCCATCTCCATTCTCCTTACTCCCTCCAACCCCAACCTCCTCACCCCTATCACAAATATATTTCCAGAGCCAAAATCTGGTCCACAGTGCCCCTACTTAAAACTTCACGGCTGGCCGTGGTGGCTCAGGCCTGTAATCCCAGCACTTTGGGAGGCCAAGGTGGGTGGATCACGAGGTCAGGAGATCGAGATCATCCTGGCTAACAAAGTGAAACCCCGTCTCTACTAAAAAAAATAAAAATAAAAATAAAATAAAATAAAATTAGCCGGGCGTGGTGGCAGGTGCCTGTAGTCCCAGCTACTTGGGAGGCTAAGGCAGGAGAATGGCGTGAACCCGGGAGGCGGAGCTTGCAGTGAGCAGAGATCGCGCCACTGCACTCCAGCCTGGGCGACAGAGTGAGACTCCGTCTCAAAACAAAACAAAACCTCTTCACTAGTTTTTGACTGCTTATAGATCTTCTTAACTGCTAGGCAGAGGAACATGTTTATTGTGGTGAACCTAGGTTTATTAAACACAAATACCCCCACACTGAACTGGAGAGGACTCAGCATTATCTATATAGTACCATCATTCTTATTTTAAATTCCGGCTGGGTGCGGTGGCTCACGCCTGTCATCCCAACACTTTGGGAGGCCAAGATGGGCGGATCACACAAAGTCAGGAGTTTGAGACCAGCCTGGCCAACATGGTGAAACCCCGTCTCTACTAAAAATATAAAAATTAGCCGGGTGTGGCTGCAGGTGCCTGTAATCCCAGCTACTCAGGAGGCTGAGGCAGGAGAATTTCTTGAACCTGGGAGGTGGAGGTTGCCGTGAGCTGAGACTGCACCACTGCACACCAGCCTGGGTGACAGAGTAAGACCATGTCTCAAAAACATAACAACAAAAAAAAATTAAATAAATAAATAAGTTGCAATGGAAGGCCAGGCACAGTGGCTCACGCCTGTAATCCCAGCACTTTGGGAGGCCAAGGCCAGTAGATCACTTGCGGTCAGGAGTTCAAGACCAGCCCGGCCAACATGGTGAAACCCTGTCTCTACTAAAAATATAAAAATTAGCTAGGCATGGGGGTGGATGCCTGTAATCCCAGCTGCTCAGGAGGCTGAGGCAGGAGAATTGCTTGAACCCTGGAGGCAGAGGTTGCAGTGAGCCAAGATGGCACTACTGCACCCAGACTGGGCTCAGTCTTAAAAAAAAAAAAAAAAAAAAAAAGGCCGGGCGCGGTGGCTCACGCCTGTAATTCCAGCCCTTTGGGAGGCCGAGGTGGGTGGATCACGAAGTCAGGAGTTCCAGATCAGCCTGGCCAATATGGTAAAACCCCGTCTCTACTTAAAATACAAAAATTAGCTGGGCGTGGTGGCGCACACCTGTAGTCCCAGCTACTCGGGAGGCTGAGGCAGAAGAATCACTTGAACCCTGGAGGCGGAGGTTGCAGTGAGTCGAGATGGTGCCACTGCACTCCAGCCTGGGTGACACAGCAAGACTCCGTCTCAAAAAACAAAACAAAACAAAAAACAAAATCCCAATAGATTTTCTTAGTGGAAGAGATGGTAGGTCTGTTCACCATTCACAGGTCAGGTCCTCTTTTTTTTTTTTTTTTTGAGACAAGTCTTGCTCTGTCGCCAGGCTGGAGTGCAGTGGTGCGATCTCAGCTCATTGCAACCTCCGCCTCCCGAGTTCAAGCGATTCTCCTGCCTCAGCCTCCCAAGTAGCTGGGACTACAGGCGTGCGCCACCATGGCTAGCTAATTTTTGTATTTTTCATAGAGACGGGGTTTCACCATGTTGGGCAGGATGGTCTCAATCTCTTGACCTTGTGGTCCGCCCACCTTGTTCTCCCAAAGTGATGGGATTACAGGCGTGAGCCACCATGCCCAGCAAATTTTTTGGCAGACAACTTAGAGTGAAGACTGACTGAATTAATTAATTAATTTTTGAGATGGAGTCGCACTCTGTAACCCAAGCTGGAGTACAGTGGCGCAATCTCAGCTCACTGCAACCTCTGCCTCCTGGGCTCAAGAGTTTTTGGTGCCTCAGTCTCCTGAGTAGCTTGGACCACAGGCATGCACCACCATGCTCAGCTAATTTTTTTGTATTTTAGTAGAGAGTACAATTTTTTTGGTATTTTGTATGTTGCCCAGGGTGGTCTTGAACTCCTGAGCTCAGGTGATCTGCCCGCCTTGGCTTCCCAAAGTGCTGGGATTACAGGCGTAAGCCACCGCGCCCAGCTCACAGGTCAGGGCCTCTTATCTCTGACAGCCCACAGTGAGCAACAATATTGACAATAGGTGTGCTTTATATCATGCTAAATCTTTTTGGGAAATTAAAATCTGTGAGTGTTTATAGGAATGTATGACATACATAAATGTCAGCATACACTTTGCAGTGGGTAAAAAAGAACTTCCAGATAATAGGAAAATGCTCATATTCCTTACCACATACAGCCCTTATGGCCTGTGAGCTCTGATCCAGCTACTTGCCGGCCTTCCACCACCACCTGCCTCTAGCACCCTATCCCTTTATCTTCCCTAGACCAAGCCCCCTGCAGATCCCCAAAGAGGCCATGCTTTGCTTTTTTAGTGGGGAGGGATGGAGTCTCACTCTGTTGCCCAGGCTGGAGTGCAGTAGCGCCATCTTGGCTCACTGCAACCTCCACCTCCCGGGTTCAAGTAGCTGGGATTACAGGTGTGCACCACCACACCTGGCTAATTTTTCTTTTTTCTTTCTTCTTATTATTTTTTTTAATTGAGACAAAGTCTTGCTCTGTCGCCCAGGATGGAGTACAGTGGGACAATCTCGGCTCACTGCAACCTCCGCCTCCTGGGTGCAAGCGATTCTCATGCCTCGGCCTCCCGAGTAGCTGGGATTACAGGCGCCCACCACCACACCTGGCTAATTTCTGTATTTTAGTAGAGACGAGGTTTCACCATGTTGGCCAGGCTGGTCTCAAACTCCTGACCTGGTGATCAACCTGCTTTGACCTCACAAAGTGGTGAGATTACAGGCATGAGCCACCGCGCCCAGCCTAATTTTTGTATTTTTAGTAGAGACAGGGTTTCACCATGTTGGCCAGGCTGGTCTCAAACTCCTGACCTCAAGTGATCTGCTTGCCTTGGCCTCCCAAAGTGCTGGGATTACAGGCATGACCCATGGGGCCATGCTTTTCTGCACTTCCAAGCCTTCCCTTGCTAGTGCTCGCCTCCTCAGAGCTCACTGCACACTGTGAACCTGCCACATTTGACTGCATTTGTTTGACTCCATGTCTATTACTGTTTGGACCAGGGATCAGATTTGGCCCAAATAGACTCTCCCTCTGGAGCATCTTTGGAAAAAATTCTAACATTCTACAGCTGTCAAATTCATCCCAGGCTGCCCCAGCCAACTCACCACCCATATTCATGCCCTCCTCATCTAGGTCCTGTCCACTGTCATAGCGAGTCTTTTTCTTGGGATCAGAGAGGATAGTAAAGGCCTCTCCAACTTCCTTGAACTTCTTCTCCTCCTCCTTCTGAACCTCAGCACTGGCTCCACTATGCCGATCTAAAGTGGGGAGTAAAAGAACAACTCAGTGGAAATCAAAGTTTCAAGAAAACAAAGTTTAAGAGAAAAACTACTTTCTGTCTAATTTTGGAATTTGGCACTTCCCAAAATTTGGAGGGTCCACAAGTCTGCAACACCTTATTCTCAGCTGAAGGACCTCTCCAAGGGGTCCCCTCTGGACTGAGTGTGGCAGTTGGCCTGCCCTGCGGGTTCTTCCCACTGAGCCCACTCCCCGCACCTACTCTACCTGGATGGTGCATCAAGGCCCGTTTCCGATAAGCTTTCTTGATCTCGTCCTCAGAGGCATTCTTGTCCACTCCTAGAATCTTGTAGTAATCTTTCCTCTTACTCTTCTTCAGTTCCAGCTGCGCATTTTTTAGGAGCTGTTTGTGTTCTACAGGAAGACATCTGGCATCAGTGGACAAATCTGACTCTGGTTTTTTCCTCACCAGGTCTCAGCCCAGCTGCCTGGGAGTTAGAGGCCTTGTTAACCATGCCAGGGACTTTTACGGTGCTTTCTTCTGGAGATTAGAAAAAAAATCTACTCGGCCAGGCACGGTGACTCATGCCTGTAATCGCAGCACTTTGGGAGGCCTGCATCAATGAGAGATGCAGGTAAATGAGACAGAAAAGGGAACTCTAAACACAGGTTTGCTTCTATTTCGGTAGCACGAAAGAAAGGAGGGGCCCTTGGCCCAAGATGGGAGGAATCAAGCTTGACAGAATGGATCACCCGAGGTCAGGAGTTCGGGACTAGCCTGTCCAACATGGTGAAACCCCATCCCTACTAAAAATACAAAAAATTAGCCAGGCGTGGTACCATGTGCCTGTAATCCCAGTTATTCGGGAGGCTGAGGCAGGATAATTGTTTGAACCTGGGAGGCAAAGGTTGTAGTGAGCTATGATCATGCCATTGCACTCCAGCCTGGGTGACAGAGCAGGACTCCATCTTAAAAAAAAAAAAAAGAAAAAGAAAAAAGAAAATCTACCCAGACTTAGGTTCCTCACTTTAGCCTCACCACACAAAAAATGAAATGAAAACGACAGGGAGGATCTGGAACCAGAAAATAGGTGCCTCATGCCCCAACCCAAGATATCTGTTCACTTTTTTTTTCTTTTTTTTGTTTTTGTTTTTGAGATGAAGTCTCGCTCCGTCACCCAGGCTGGAGTATAGTCGCGCAATCTTAGCTCACTGCAACCTCCGCCTCCTGGGTTCAAGGAATTCTCGTGCCCCAGCCTCCTGAGTGGCTGGGATTACAGGCGTATACCACCATACCCACAATTTTTTGTATTTTCAGTAGAGATGGGGTTTCACCATGTTGGCCAGTCTGGTCTCCAACTCCTGATCTCAGGTGATCTGCCTGCCTCAGCCTCCCAAAGTGCTGGGGATTACAGGCGTGAGCCACCACGCCCAGCCTTTGTTCACTTCTTTCTGGCTGGTGATCAAATAAGTTCTAGGTAGATCCCTGATCCCTGAATCAAACTACCTTGTGTACAGATTTATGGCCTACGAAGTCCACACAGTTCCCTAAAAAACAAATGCTTTTAAACTTACCTTTTGTTTTCTCTGTCTGGTATACTTTTTCATAGTCTCGTACTGCTTCTTCATACTGTTCTGTGTCCATGTAACTGAGAAGGAAATACAAGGCAATACAGCACTAAGACATAAATAGCAGTGGTTCTCAGGATCACTCTAGGGCAAGAGGCATGGCTCAAGCAAGAGACACACACTTCTGGTAAGATGCTTCAGAAACAGGAGCCCTTAATCTAGCAGTGAGAGAAAATTAGCTAACAAGTCCTCAAGGAAATAAAAAGAGAGGTCGCATGGCACTTGCATCCAACCAGCAAAGTGATGTTCAGCTTTGAGCAGAAAGTAATCAAGAGGAAAAAGTTCCTTCTGACACACAGCCACCTAAGAGGTACTGGACTGCCTTAGAAAAGACAATGTGAAGGGATCTACTTGATTACTTTGGGTTGAAACACACAAGAGAAAAATTATCAAGTGAATAAATGGGTATGAAAGAGCTTTGAAACCTATAGTGCCATAAACATGCAGGACTAGCTACAATCCAGAATAGAGGTGGGATTAGTGAGCCACTAAAAGGATCAAGTTCAACGTGGCAGCTGCTGGCAAATCCCTCCACTAAGACCAATCAATGAGAGATGCAGGTAAATGAGACAGAAAAGGGAACTCTAAACACAGGTTTGCTTCTATTTCAGTAGCACAAAAGAAAGGAGGGGCCCTTGGCCCAAGATCGGAGGAATCAAGCTTGACAGGATGATTGCGAGATCTTTTTTTTTTTTTTTTTTTTTTGAGATGGAGTCTCGCTCTGTTGCCCAGACTGCAGTGCAGTGGTGTGATCTCGGATCACTGCAAGCTCCGCCTCCTGGGTTCACGCCATTCTCCTGCCTCAGCCTCCAGAGTAGCTGGGACTACAGGCGCCCGCCACCTCGCCCAGCTAATTTTTTATTTTTTTTTTTAGTAGAGACAGGGTTTCACCGTGTTAGCCAGGATGGTCTCCATCTCCTGACCTCGTGATCCGCCTGCCTTGACCTCCCAGAGTGTTGGGATTATAGGCGTGAGCCACCGCACCCGGCCGACTGCCAGATCTTTTAAGTGTCTCTTCCACAGAAGCAAGTGGCATTTTCCATGCCCAGATAAAATCACTGGCACCAGGGCTGGCCTACCAATTGAAGACTGTGGTAGGAGTTCCAGAGACAGCCACTGTCAGCTGGGGAATGGGAAGTGATCATGCAGTACAGCTAGCTGCTGTACAACAGAGATTCAATTTCTTACCTGCTACCACACAAGCCCATTTTCTTTCTTTTTTTTTTTTGACACAGAGTCTCACTCTGTAGCCCAGGCTGGAGTGTAATGGCACGATCTCTGCTCACTGCAACCTCCGCCTCCCAGGTTTCAAGTGATTCTCCTGCCTCAGCCTCCTGAGTAGCTGGGATTACAGGCATGTGCCACCACACCTGGCTAATTTTTTGTATTTTTAGTAGAGATGGGGTTTCACCATGTTGGCCAGGCTGGTCTCGATCTCCTGACCTGAACCGATCTGCCCGCCTCGGCCTCCCAAAGTGCTGGGATTATAGGCGTGAGCCACTGCGCCTGGCATAAGCCCATTTTCACAAACATCACAGATCCCCACCAGCTTGGAGGCCAGGGCAGGAGAGTGCTACCAATGTGGCTGGCAAAAGAGAAGCCCAACATCTTGGGCATCTTTGATTTTCTGGCATCATTTTGATTTATGACTTTAAAAAAACCAATGGCCTGCAAATACAGGACATAAATATTATATTAGGAGTTCAGAATCAATGTACAGAATAAAATGTAATAATTTGAAGTAAGAGAAATGATACTTTGATACTGCACTCCAGCCTGGGTGACAGAGCTGGATCCTGAATTAAAAAAAAAAAAAAAAGGAAAATTGATAGCTGATAGCCCTGGGTATAGAATGATGTGACAAATGATTAACCCTGATGAACTTTCTTTAGGTCTATATGTAATGTATTAAACAAACTATACTAATTTGCATTTTTACTTCATGCTTTTTAAAATTCAGGGATATCCTCACATTTTAATTTTGTTTTAAAGTTGAAGTAGAAAAGTAAATAGGGCTTTAAGGAGAAAGGGTGAACTCTAGCTCATGATGGCATGTGTAGCAAAGATGTGGGTGGGTGGCATCTCCCCAGCTTTAGGGGTAAGTTGAGGCAGACTGCAGCAGTAGTCAGGCCAGATGTAAGGGTTTGGCCCGAGCTAATCTCCAGTACTTCTTGTCAATTCCAGCTGCTTCAGGAGATTGTTGCCAAATATTCAGCCAGCTGAACAGGGCATGCTGTCTCCCCTGTAGTGATCTCAGAGGCAGAGCCACTCCAAGAAGGGCAGTTCTGTTTCTACCACAAAGATAAGAAGTTGTCTGATCAAAGCAATTCCTTATTTTCATTTCTTGCACATAAACAAAGAAGAAAATAATCCTTCATCCAATTATCCTCCGAGCAAATCAAGAATTTTCTATGGTGTTGGGGGCTTGCTTAAAAAAAAAAAAAAAAAAAAAAAAAAAAAAAAGGCCGGGCGCGGTGGCTCACACCTGCTGGTAATTCCAGAACTTTGGGAGGCCAAGACAGGCAGATCACTTGTCATCAGGAGTTTGAGAACAGCCTGGCCAACATGATGAAACCCCATCTCCAATAAAAATACAAAAATTTGCTGGGTGTGGTGACATGCGCCGGTAATCTCAGCTACTTCGGAGGCTGAAGCAGGAAATTCGCTTGAACTCAGGAGGTGGAGGTTGCAGTGAGCCAGTACGGTGCTACTGCACTCCAGCCTGAGCGACATAGCGAGACTCCATCCCGAGCGACATAGCGAGACTCCATCCCAAAAAATAAAACAAAGCGATTTTTCTCTTCTCTTCCCATCCCCTGGCATTCCATATACAGAGCATTCCATTAAGTTCATACAGTATCAAGTATCTAGCCACCCCCTTCCCACTGGACATGTAGGTGATTCTCCCCCCGCCTTTTTTTTTTTTTTTTTTTGCTATTATAGATAAAATTGCAGCAAACACCTTCATGTATATAGCATTTTGCGTCTGTTAAAGTCAGTCTTTGGCTGAATCAAAGGGTGCTTTTTTTGTCTTCCAAAGCTTCTGCTTCTGTGTGCCAGTGGTTTGCAAAGATGGAATGACTGACAGTCAGTCTCACAGAAGTTATAATTCCCTGTATGTTTCTGTTGGACAGACTTAGTCATCAACTTAGAAATTCACTTTTAAAAAAAGCATCACACACAGCAGCAGTTTTCCTATTTTAAGTGAGATAATTTTGAGAAAACTAAGTGGGAGGTAGTCCATGAGATATTCTGTACCACTGATGAGACAAGGAAGCTTAAACTACTGGCTCATCAGGCATCAGTGACAGCATCTGTTCTTTGGATATGACATTTTATAATAAGGAGTGGAGCAGGTGCTGGAGGATTAGTATACAATAAATACATCTTCTCTAAGAACTTTAAAGACGGGAAGTTTTTCTCCGCCTAGAGAATAATCTGAAATCAGAAGAGATGGATTTCTGAGAAAGATTTCTCCTAGCCCTGTTCCTATCTGGAGAAAACCAGCTGGTGGGTCTAAGAGTAAGAGGAGCAACCATGCCAGGGAGCACCCTGACTCTGGGGCAAATGTGAGCATTAGAGGTAGGCACATCCTGGCTCATAATCACCCTGTCAGACACAGAGTGCCCTCCACTCAAAACACTCAAGCAGAGAGTAGCCATCCAGGGTGTTTCAAAAGGAAGTTCCTTTATCCTGGGAGGCTGAGCCGGATTACATCTCTTCCAACTCTAAGATTGTCTTCCCTCGCCCAGAACAAACAGGATGAAGTACAACTCTCAACTGTCTCCAAGAGTTGTTTTCTCTTCCAAGCACCATACATTCATTCAACAAAACATTTATTCAGTGAGCACCTATGTGTCAAGCACTGTGCCAGGGTAGAGCATAAGTGTACAACACAAAATAAAATCTCCAAAGGAAATGGATTTAAACTTTTTAACAAAAGGAATTTGGGTCAGGCATCAGAGGAAACTTACTGACCGTGAGGGGCGTTAGACACAGGCATGGGAGACTGAGGGAGCTTGTGCAATCTCCTCCGCTGGAGGTCTATAAAGATAGTCTAGGGCTGGAACAATCCCACCTAGAGGCAGGGGGAAGGACCAAATGACCTCACAACATCTCTGGGTCTGCTTCGTCATCCACAAGGCAATTCCCCTGAGGCCAGCGGCAACTCCCTCTTCCCCCTACCCATCAGAGGCACTTACCACTGAGCTCTTCTCAAGTAGGCTTTTATGTAAGTGTCATCAAGCTTCACTGCATTTGTGCAGTCTTCTATTGCATCATCTAGTTTCCTAAGCTTCAGGAGAGAGAGAGCAATCATACTTCACACCTTTGGTGACTGAGGGAGCCCAGAAGCTGTGAGCATGGCTTCAAAACTCTAAGAGGATCAGTCATGCTGGCCCCTTAAATGTCATATTAAGTTCTAGTTCTTTGTCACCAGGGCTATGGACAGCAACTTCAAAATTGATTTCTCTTGTATATGATACAAGCCAGGCACATCTGTCTTCAAGGATAAACTACCTTTACCATTCCATGTTAGTGCCCAATGAAAACATGAAAATAGTAAGGCTGGTTCCTGCCCTCCTTTTTTCCAGAGGTCACCTGCAGGGATCAGAAATCACTCTGATTTTTAACTGCTAGAATTCTGCAAGGGCAAGGAGTCTACTTTTTGTTTCTGATGTTGGGTAGGGCCACAAAAGCACTCAGGCCATTTTCAACCATGCATGGTGACCATCAATTACACTGGAGAAAAACAAGCTTGCCTCATACTCTTCCTCCAAATCACTCCTAAAAAATAAATGATCACTTGCATAAGCAAAACAACAAAAAAGCAACAGTAGGTGCTTAAGATTATCCCACAGACCCTAGCCATTCTCTTACTGGAGGAAAGGGACCTTAATGAACAGGTGAGAATATCCTTGCAAATTGTCCAACTGCCCTCAAATTCCATAGAGATGACAAAAGCTTGCCTCTTGGAAGGGAGTTCCTAACAAACTATTAACCATAACAACTTTCCCTCTTTCATCTTGCTTACCCTCACTAGGCAGATTTCCCAAGACCCTTTGATGTCCCTTAAAAATATTTCTATAGGCCCCAAGATCTAGATCAAGAGCTTACCTTGGAATTAACCGTACCCCGATTACAGTAGAGTTTAGCATTTGTTTTTATATTGTTGGGGTCTATCCCCAGGGCTTCTGTGTACAGTTCATATGCTAGTTTGTAATTTCCTTCCTTAAATGCTTTATTCCCATCTTCTTTCTTTGCTTTGAGTGCTTTGGCATTCTACAGAAAAAAGCAAGGGGAGGATCGGTTCATATCCACAAAGCCTCAGACCATTGCACAGAGAGGCCAGACTCTATTTTCAAGTTCTTTGCTTCCAGCAGTTCAGCATCACAGAGCCCCGCCAACCCCCAATCTGGGCTATCTGTTGCTCATTTGAGCTTCCTACAGAGTGGACAGGAAAAGAGTTACCAAAAATACCAATGAGACCTATGTTACTGGGTCTGCCTTCACTTCTCAGGACAAGTATTACTATCTATCTTCACTGAGGGGAAAAACAAAACAAAAAAACCCTCTTAGATATTAAAGGCATCCGACCCTATATGATCACATCTACCTTTAGGTAAATACAAGTAGTCCTGAAACCATTTCTAATAAAGACCAAGCATCCTTGCAAAGCAGGAGGAAAAGCTATCACATTCCTTGTGATTCTAAAACCTTCCACTCTAGCCATCTTAAAGGTCCCAAAAGGAAGCTCTTTCCCAGTTAGGTCTGGTGACTAGAACTTACTCTGCAGGCAATGCAGGCCTTCTCGTGGTCAGGAGCCATCCTGAGAGCCTGTACGAAAAACTGAACTGCCTTCTCAATACAATCTTCGTAATAAAGGCAAAGACCTCGTACATACAGAGCATCTGCATTGGTGGAATCCATTCGTAGAATGTCACTGCAATAGTCAGAAAAGGGCACATTGAGCTGTGCTTTAGAATGTCCCCACCATTACTACCATTTGTGGCCAGTTTTCCTCCTTGACCATGTGTCTAGCATTCAAAATATCCAAAGGTAGACAGATTCCCAAGAACTGTTCCCAAACTTTCCCCAAATAAACCACCTATAATTATCTTTAATACACATCTTGTGTCTTACAATCCTTATTAAACTAGAACAGGGTTTGGCAAACTACAGCCCACAGGGCCAAATCCTTTCTGCCACTGGTTTTTGTAAATAAAACACTATTCAAACAGCCACACCCATTGGTTCATCTATTATCTAGGGCAACCTTTGCACTGCAATGGCAGAGTTGAGTTAGTTGCAACAGAGACCCTGTGGCCTGCAAAGGCTAAAATCTGGCCCTTTGCAGAAAGTGTGCCAACCAGTGGAGTAGAAGGAAAAGGACTACCTTAAACAAACAAACAAAACCACAAAAACACAATCTGTTCTTTCATATATAGCTCAAGTACCTGCTATACTACTATACTCCTGTATACCCTACGGGTTTTCAAAGCTGGTCTAATCTTTGACTTTAAGTCCCAAGAGGGTCTGATCAGCCCTAGCTGGCCTACTCTGGGGACCATATCCTGTGGTGAAGCTGCCGGACACCATCAGTCCAATGGTATCTGGCATTTTAATGTCCAGCTAGCCTGACTGCATACCTAGCCACAGACTGTGCTTCTGGATAACGACCCAGCATTGCTAAACATTCTGCCTTGAGGATTTTGAAGCGATGGCAGGCAGGGGCAAATTCTAGGGCACGGTCCATGCAGAAAACAACCTGTAGGGAAGAAGAAAACAAATAAGGCTCTTCATCAGGGACTCCAGAAACATCTTCACTTTAGTTTAGTCACAGGTAACAGACTCAAAACTCAATGAGGTCTTTGGGTCCACTTCTAAGTAATATCAAAGTTTAAAAACATACCTAATTCATTAAATAAAAGCACTGAAATGAGGACAGCAAAGGCTCCAGATGATAATGAGGACAGTAAACATTTACTGGGTACTTTCATATATGAACCCATTTAATCCTCACAAGAATTTTATGAAATAGGCAATATTATCACTTTTTTTTTTTTTTTTGAGATGGAGTCTCACTCTGTCACCCAGGCTGGAGTGCAGTGGCAGGATCTTGGCTCACTGCCACCTCTGCCTCCTGGGTTCACGCCATTCTCCTGCCTCAGCCTCCCGAGTAGCTGGGACTACAGGCGCCCGCCACCACGCCCAAGCTAATTTTTTTTTGTATTTTTAGTAAACACAGGGTTTCACCATGTTAGCCATGATGGTCTTGATCCTCGTGATCCGTCCTCCTCAGCCTCCCGAAGTGCTAGGATTACAGGCGTGAGCCACCACACCCAGCCTTAAAATAGTTATTTTAAATGGCTCTAAATAGGCTACATCAGATTACTATTCCCAACATGCCACTATACAAACCACAAGCCAAGGAGCAATCACACACACAAAAAGGTGGGGATTAATTTACTCTTTCAGCCTCATAAAGCATCTCCATATATTCTGTTTTTCTCTTTTTACTAGTTTGTCCTCTGAGCTTTCAGTTTTGGTTTAGCTGCTATTTATTCCTGGGAGAGCCTTGCTGAATCACATTCACGCCGAGAATAAATGAACCGAAGGACAAATCTGGAGTTAAGGGACACCTATTCCCTCTAAGAATTTGGCCATGGGGGTCAGGAAGAGATAAACTCTGAAAACTTACAAGCAGAAAAATTCAAATTCCATCCACAGGAGACTGGTTAGTTAACATGGACATTCATATAATGGAATACTATATAGTTCTAAAATAGAATGAAGAAGCTCTTCATGTACTAATATGGAAAGACTTCCAAGAGCTACTCAGTGATTTTTTTTTAAAGGTGCAGACCTGCCATAAAGCATACTACCTTTCACGCTAAATAAAGGGAGAAAATCAAGGATCTTTATTTTATATAAGTACAACAAAACTAAGGAAGAAAATAGAAGACATAAGAACAGTGGTTAGCTTAGGGGAGTGAGAACTGGGCGGAGAGAGGACAAGTTTGAGGGGACACTCATCACTGAATATTTTTCATACTTTCTAACTTTTGTTTGTTTTGTTTTTGAGATGGGGTCTTGCTCTGCTGTTCAGGCTGGAGTATCAGTGGCACAATCATGGCTCACTGCAGCCTCGACTTCCCAGACTCCAGTGATTCTCCTGCCTCAGCCTCATGAGTAGTTGGGACTGCAGGCACACGTCACCACACTCAGCTAAAATTTTAAATTATCTGTAGAGACAGGGTCTCAATAAGTTGCCCAGGTTGGTCTCGAACTCCTCGCCTCAAGTGATCCTCCTGCCTTGGCCTCCCAAAGTGCTGGGATTACAAGCATAAGCCACTGCATCTGGCAACACTTTCTAGTTTTTGAACCATGAATAGCACCTATTCCAAAACTGAAATTTAAAATATGAGCAAGTCAGTAAACACTACCACATTACCAGCTGTTTCACTGAGAAGACTTTCTGCAGTGTCACACAGCAGTGACAGGAATGCCTCTCCTTCAGTGGCACAGGTTTACTGTCCTGAAAGTTTTCTGTTTTTTTGTTTTTTGTTTTTTTTGAGATGGAGTTTCGTTCTTGTTGCCCAGGCTGCAGTGCAATGGCATGATCTTGGCTCACTGCAACCTCTGCCTCCCGGGTTCAAGCAATTCTCCTGCCTTTGCCCTCTGAGTAGCTGGGATTACAGACATGCGCCACCAGGCCTGGCTAATTTTTTGTATTTTTAGTAAAGACAGGGTTTCTCCATGTTGGTCAGGCTGGTCTCTAACTCCCGACCTCAGGTGATCCGCCCACCTCGGCCTCCCAAAGTGCTGGGATTACAGCCATGAGCCACCGCACTCGGCATGTCCTGAAAGTTCTAAGGACAATATGAAAACTTAAGCATTATGTAGGTAGAGTTGTGCTAACTGTCCTGCCCCCCCAGATGGAAAAGGAATGAGGGGGCAGGAAAAAGTCAGTCAAAATGTCAGCAGCCACACCCTGTTGCCTTCACAAGGACCCCGTTTTATGCAGAGCTGGTTCTGCTAATCATGGGGATCGTCAGTGCTTCACTTCCCACCCCCCAACCTCCCCATGACTAGGGACAGCTGCAGGCAAAGAAGATCTTTTGTTTCTTCCAAGTTCATCTGTTTCCCCTGCCAGGATCATAATTCTTCATTTGTGACATCACCGTGAGCTACAGTGGGGGGGCTGGGATGTCACAAACAGAGGATTCTGTCACAAACTCAGGATTCTGGCTCTGGAGTAGGCAAGAGAGAAAAGAAACCCAAAAGACCACCTCTCAAGACAAAGCTTTTGCCTATGTAAACCTCAGAAAACTGACAGTAGGCAGAATTGCTTTCCAAACACACACATGCCAAACAAAACAAACTTATGAATTACATTACAAAGACAACTGTGGTTATTAAAACCAATGGACAGAAGAGGGATGCTAATAAGTTACTGCCGGGACTCTGCATAAGCTAATCAGATATATACATTACCAAATAAAAGACCATCAGTCAATGTGAATGATTCTTAATGTATCCTCTTATCAAAACATTTACTGAGGCCAGGCGTGGTGGCTCACGCCTGTAATCCCAGCACTTTGGGAGGCCAAGGCGGGAGGATCACAAGGTCAGGAGATCAAGACCATCCTGGCTAACACGGTGAAACCCTGTCTCTACTAAAAACACAAAAAATTAGCTGGGCGTGGTGGTGGCCGCCTGTAGTCCCAGCTACTCAGGAGGCTGAGGCAGGAGAATGGCATGAACCCAGGAGGCGGAGCTTGCAGTGAGCCGAGATCCCGCCACTGCACTCCAGCCTGGGCAACAGACCAAGACTCTGCCTCAAAACAAAACAAAACAAAACAAAAACAAAACAAAAAAATTTACTGAGCACATGCTACAAAAAGTACTGAGCAAATTCCCACATATGAAGTGACAACTCTGTTCCTTGGATAGTAGTCACAAACTTAAGTGATCCAGAAAATCTCTCCTGATCAGTGGTTTTTAACCTTTTTGGGGGTTATCTACCTCCCCTTTTGAAACTCAAGTGAAAACTATTTCCAAGCACCATCTAAAGAAGAAAGGAGTTACACAGATAAAGCATAATAACTGCGAGGTCTAGAAAGATATCTAGAACTTTTGGCCGGGGAGGTGGCTCACGCCTGTAATCCCAGCACTTTGGGAGGCCAAGGCGGGCAGATCACCTGAGGTCGGGAGTACGAGACCAGCCTGACCAACATGCAGAAACCCCGTCTCTACTAAAAAAAAAAAAAACAAAATTAGCCATGCGTGGCAGCACATGCCTGTAATCCCAGCTACTCGGGAGGCTGAGGCAGGACAATTGTTTGAACCTGGGAGGCGGAGGTTGCAGTGAGCCGAGATCACGCCACTGCACTCCAGCCTGGGCAACAAGAGCCAAACTCTCTCTCAAAAAAAAAAAAGGCCTGGCGCGGTGGCTCACGCCTGTAATCCCAGCACTTTGGGAGGCTGAGGCGGGCAGATCAGGAGGTCAGGAGTTTGAGACCAGCCTGACCAACATGGTGAAACCCCATCTCTACTAAAAATACAAAAATTAGCTGGGCGTGGTGGCGCATGCCTATAATCCCAGCTACTCAGGAGGTTGAGGCAGGAGAATCGCTTGAACCCGGGAGGCAGAGGTTGCAGTGAGCCGAGATTATGCCACTGTACTCCAGCCTGGGTGACAGAGTGAAACTCCATCTCAAAAAACAAACAACAACAACAAAAAACAAAAACAAAAAACAAAACTACAAAACTTAGCCAGGTGTGATGGCATGCGCCTGTAATCCCAGGGTGGCTGAGGCAGGATAATCGTTTGAACCCGGGAGGCGGAGGTTGCAGTTAGCCACTGTGCTCCAGCCTGGGTGACAGAGTGAGACTAGGCCTCAAAAAAAAAAAAAAAAAAAAAAAAAAGATTATCCAAACCTAATATTTAATTCCAGCGGGCTTTCCCTTTATTAAGAAGTACACTATTAGACCAGTGCTTTACATCAACAATAGAAACAAACTCAAGTGGCACACTCATTTTACCTTTTATCATAGGGCCAAATATAATTAAGAAAATAAGTACCTTAGCACAAAACATTTTTAAGAGGAAAAGTCAGAAGCCTAATTTAAGTGATAATTTACTATTCTAGAGCTTTTGTGCCATACTACTCCTCTTAATTATCACACACACACACGAATGGGAATTTTGCGACAAAGAGCAGATGAGATTATCTCATGGTTGTACTGTACCTTCCGAAAATCTCGCTTCTCAAAATCTGTTTCTGCTATTTTCTCATATTCCATGACTGCATTAGCATTCTTGAACTGCACCGGAAAATCAGACATAGGAAAGTTTTAATGAAGCTGTAGATTAAACAACCACAAAAAAATTAACAAGGCCTTGATGAATTTGAATTCAGTAAATATACCACACTGCCTCTTTTGATAGAGATAGGGTCGAATGCATACCTCCTGTTGTGAATGGCCATTTTTATGATCCAGTTCTAGGGCTCTCTGGCAACTGCGACAGGCTGCCATGGCATTCCCTAGAGAGAGGTGGTACTCGACCTCTCATAGAAGTCCCTAGGAGATTTTCTTTCAAGAAAATCAGAACCACAGACATTTCACAAATCAAATTGATGAAGATACAGTCAAGACTTCTTAACAGAAGGGCTAGACCCAATCTTCACCCTCAGTTTGAACTTCAAGTCAGGAACACAAGTGTTATGCTTGATATACATGAAATAAAGGCAATGCATTGCCAGGGATTGAGCATATGTTTTGAGATTCTCACTGAAATGCATCTAGGGTAAACTGTATATACAGTCATACACTCTGGTCAACAATGAACTGTATATATGGCAGTGCTCCTGTAAAATTGTAATACCGTATTTTTACTGTACCTTTTCTGTTTAGATACACAAATACCACTGTGTTATAGCTGCCTACAATATTCAGGACAGTAACACGCTATACAGGTTTTAGTCCAGAAGCCACTGCCATATAGCCTAGGTGTGTAGCAGGCTATGCCACCCAGGTTTGTGTAAGTATACTTTATGATTCTGCACAATGACAAAATCACCTAACAAAATGTATGCCTGTCATTAAGCGACACATACTATATATGGAGATGGAACTAAAACATGTTTTAGCTGCTACCAATTTAATCAAGGCTTGAATTTACTCAAATTCTTTTTTATTTTTTTGAGACAGGTTCTTGCTCTGTTGCCCGGGCTATAGTGCAGTGGTGCGATCACGGCTCAGCCTCAACCTCCTGAGCACAAGCAATCCTCCCACCTGAGCCTCCTGAGTGGCTGGGAGCACAGGTAGGTGCATGGCACCAGGCCTGGCTAATGTAAAAAATTTTTTTGTGGAGACAGGGTCTCACTAAGTCCCAAACTCTTAAATTCTTTAACCTCACTCAAATCAGTCCCTGGAAGCATTTGCCTATTCCCCAGCTATCTCAGAAACACTTCAATTTTCACAGATTTTTAAAAGCTGTCAATCATATTCAAAACTCATTTTACAGATTAGGAAGCTGAGGCTTAGAGAGGCTATGAAACTCGCCTAAAGTCACCCAGGTGTGCTGATGGCAGAAGTGAGACTAGACCTCAGTTCCGACTTTCAAGTAGCCACTCCTCCCAAATATACCATACTGCCTCTTTTGACAGAAACAGGATCAGACCCGTACCTCTTGTTGTGCCTGAGCATTTTTATGATCCAGTTCTAGGGCTCTCTGGAAGCTGCGACATGCTGCCATGGCATTCCCCAGAGAGAGGTGGCACTTGCCCTCTCGTAGATGTCCCTAAAAGAACACCAAGAGGGAAGAAAAGAAGCATGATTGGCCAAGTGGAAAGAAATCAACAGCAGCAACAGACACCCACACAAAACCAACACAGAGGCCAGGCGCGGTGACTCACACCTGTAATCCCAGCACTTTGGGAAGCTGAGGCGGGCAGATCACTCACTTGGGGTCAGGAGTTTGAGACTAGCCTGGCCAACATGACAAAACTCCGTCTCTTACTAAAAATACAAAAATTAGCCGGGTGTGGTGGCATATGCCTGTGGTCCCAGCTACTCTGGAGGCTGAGGCAGGAGAATTGCCTGAAGCCGAGATCGCGCCACTGCACTCCAGCCTGGGCGACAGAGCTAGACTCCATCTCAAAAACAAAAACAAACAAACGAACAAAACTAACACAAAATGAAAATGACTACAGCAGTAGTTCTCAACCTGGGCAATGTGCCCTCCAGGGGACATTTAGCAATGTTAAGAGACATTTTTGGTTGTTACAACTGGGCAGAGGGGGTGCTACTCATACTCAGTGATTAAAAGTCAGAGATGCTGCTAAACAACCCACAGTGCACAGTAAAGTCCCCCACAACAAAGAATAATCTGGTCCCAAATGTCAGTAGTGTCAAGGTTGAGAAATACGGGGCTAGAGAAACTCAACTGTAGCAACCCAGCCTTCCCCAAACAGCCCCATTACATACATACCCGGACAAAACTGTCATCCAACCTCACTGACTGTTGTGCATCTCCAAGAGCTTCCCGGAACCTTCCAAGCATCATCAAGGTGGCTGCTCGATTACCATAATAGCTAGCATTTTTAGGACACATATCTATAGGAAAGGCAGAAGAACGTAAAACAAAGTTTAGAACAGGTCCCTGCTTTGAAAACTTAGAGGGGGCTGGGCGCAGTGGCTCATGCCCATAATCCCAGTACTTTGGGAGGCCAAGAGGGGAGACCACTTGAGGTCAGGAGTTCAAGACCAGCCTAGTCAACATGGCACAACCCCATCTCTACTAAAATACAAAAAAAAAAAAAAAATAGCTGGGCGTGGTGGTGGGCCCCTGTAATTCCAGCTACTCAGGAGGCTGAAGCATAAGAATTGCTTGAATCTGGGAAGTGGAGGTTGCAGTGACCCAAGAGCACATCACTGCACTCCAGCCTGGGCGACAGAGGAAGACCCTGTCTCAAAAAACAAACAAACAAATAAACAAAAACTTAGAGGGCATCTCCCTCCAAACAATGTTAAGGGAATCTATCTGTAACGCTCATAAACTCTTTTTTCTTCATGGAGACAGGGTCTCACTCTGTTGCACAGGCTACAGTGCTGTGGTGCTATCTCGGCTCACTGTAACCTCTGCCTCCTGGGTTCAAGTGATTCTTGTGCCTTAGCCTCCCAAGCAGCCAAGCAGCTAGGATTACAGGCATGTGCCACCACGCCTGGCTAATTTCTGTATTTTTATTTATTTATTTGAGGCACAGTCTGGCTCTGTTGCCCACGCTGGACTGCAGTGGTATGATCTCTGCTCACTGCATCCTCCGCCTCCTGGGCTCAAACCATCTTCCTACCTCAGCCTCCTAAGTGGCTGGGACCACAGGCACACGCCACCACATCCAGCTAATTTTTGTATTTTTTGTTGAGATGGGGTTTTGCCGCGTTGGCCAGGCTGGTCTTGAACTCCTGGCCTCAAGTGATCCATCTGCCTCAGCCTCCAAAAGCGTTGGGATTACAGGAGTGAGCTATTGCACCCAGCCCTGACACACTCTCTTTAGAATGCCACAGCCAGCACAGTGGCTCACACCTATAATCTCAGCACTTTGGGAGGCCGAGGTGGGCAGATCACTTGGGGCCAGGAGTTTTGAGACCAGCCTGGCCAACATGGCAAAACGCTGTCTCTGCTAAAATACAAATAAATTAGCCAAGCATGGTGGCACACACCTGCAATCCCAGCTACTCAGGTGGCTAAGGCATGAAAATCGCTTGAAACTAGGAGGTGAAGGTTGCAATAAGCCAAGATTGTGCCACTACACTCCAGCCTGGGTGACAGTGACACTGTCTCAACAATAAATAAATAGGCTGCATCCAAATTTCTGACTGCTTGTGCAAATGGACAGCAGCAAGGATACAATCAGTTTTAAAACAAAACAAGGTACGGCTTTGAAGTGTAGTGATTATCTTTTGAGGAGAGAGGCAGCTTATTAATCTTAATGAACTGTTTTGTATAATGAGACATTAAAATGAAATGTGCATGTTGAGCTGGGGTAAGCAAATTAGGTGAGAAGAATGCTGACACGGGATTAAAGTATGCTGGCAAATTAAGCATGGAGATAACTAAGACTTCTTTTATGTACAAAGGCCATTTTCTAAGGTAGTAAATGAATTGACAATGACTGAAATGTATTTAGGTGGGTTTTGCCATAACATTCAGTATTTCTGGAATTGCCTTTAATTTATCAAAAGAAAAACTACCCACCCCAGTTAGAAGAAGTTATCACAGCTGGGGATGGTGGCACATCCCTGTAATTCTAGCACTTTGGGAGGCCAAGGTAGGAGGATCGCTTGAGCCCAGGAGTTTGAGACCAGCCGGGGCAACATGGTAAGACCCTGTCTCTATTTTAAAAAATTTAAAGAGTTAAAAAAAAAGAAAAGAAAAAGAAAAAAGTTATCATTCATGAGTTTGTTTTTTTTTTTGAGACGGAGATTCGCGCTTGTTGCCCAGGCTGGAGTGCAGCGACGTGATCTTGGCTCACTACAACCTCTGCCTCCCAGGTTCAAGCAATTCTCCTGCCTCAGCCTCCCGAGTAGCTGGGATTACAAGCGCCCACCACACCTGGCTAATTTTTGTATCTTTAGAGACAGGGTTTCACCATGTTAACAGGCCAGGCTGAAATGAAATGTGCATGTTGAGTTGGGGTAAGCAAATTAGGGGAGAAGAACTCCTGACCTCAGGTGATCCGCCCGCCTCGGCCTCCCAAAATGCTGGGATTACAGGCATGAGTCACCACGCCTGGCCTTCATGAGATCATTAAGCCTGAAGGAGTTCATACAGTAACAGTTATCAACCCATTGGGCAAAAGGCTACTTCTCAGAGAGAAGCTACTTTTCTCAATTTTTTTTAATTTAATTTTTGAGATGGAGTTCTTTGGTCGTCCCCCAGGCTGGAGTGCAACGGCAGGATCTCAGCTCACTGCAACCTCCACCTCCTGGGTTCAAGCGATTCTCCTGCCTCAGCCTCCCTAGTAGCTGGGATTACAGGCACGCACCACCACACCCAGCAAATTTTTGTATTTTGTAGAGACAGGGTTTCACCATGTTAGCCAGGCCGGTCTCAAACTCCTGACTTTAGGTGATCTGCCTGCCTTGGCCTTCCAAAGTGCTGGGATTATAGGCGTGAGCCACTGAGCCTGGCCTATTTTTTTTATCTTTTTGAGATGAAGTCTTGCTTTGTTGCCCAGGTTGGAGTGCAGTGGCACAATCTTGGCTCACTGCAACTTCTACCTCCCGAGTTCAGGCAATTCTCCTGCCTCAGCCTCCCAAGTAGCTGGGATTACAGGTGCCCGCCACCAGGCCCAGCTAATTTTTGTATTTTTAGTAGAGACAGGGTTTCGTCATGTTGGCCAGAGTGGTCTGAAACCCCTGATCTAAAGTGATCCGCCTGCTTTGGCCTCCCAAAGTGCTGGGATTACAGGCATGAGCCACTGAGCCTGGCCTATTTTTTTTATCTTTTTGAGATGAAGTCTTGCTTTGTTGCCCAGGTTGGAGTGCAGTGGCACAATCTTGGCTCATTGCAACCTCTACCTCCCGAGTTCAGGCAATTCTCCTGCCTCAGCCTCCCAAGTAGCTGGGATTACAGGTGCCCGCCACCAGGCCCAGCTAATTTTTGTATTTTCAGTAGAGACGGGGTTTCGTCATGTTGGCCAGAGTGGTCTGAAACCCCTGATCTAAAGTGATCCTCCTGCTTTGGCCTCCCAAAGTGCTGGGATTACAGGCGTGAGCCACCAGGACTTGGCAGCTACTTTTAATAATATTTGGCAAGTAAATGTTTTCTAGCGTAAGTATCAGTTCTTTCTCACCTATGGCTTTTGTATAATAATTATAAGCTTCATTGTAATCTTTCTTGGCATAGTATGCATTTCCTTGTTCCTTGAAAGTCTCTGCTTCCCTGAAAATGAAAGAGAAAGAGAATCATGTTACTTTACAAAGGGAATAACCTCTGTAATCTTACAGGAGGAATCTTTGGTCTAGAGCCCGCAGCACACTGAGCTGAAAGTTAGTGTGATACTTGAAGGATTTATAGATTTGTTGAATAGGCCAATGGACCAAAAGGAGGTGCTAATGAAAGAATCCAAGTTCTTCAGATGCTCCTTTTTGTCACTTAGATACATTCAAACTAAATCAAGAAAACCCCTCTTATGTTCCTGCCTCACCTCACTATTTCTGCCTGTAGTCATCCTCCCCGCAGGACAAATTTAGACATTCCCTCATGGCAAGGAATTTTTCTATCTCCTTCCACAGTGTCACAACTGCTGCCTCTTTTGCAAACTTACAGGAAAAATGGTTACTCCATTCAGGGCAACTTATTTCTCAATGTGAAATAGGTCACATCCTCAAGAGTTTTAATAATTTCACCTCCTGAAAAGTGGCTCATGCATTTGTCACTGGAAGAACAAGCAGAGCAAAGGCAGGTGGCAAAAGAGTTAAAAGCATAGCATGTTGGTGTTTAAGACAGGAACAGAGCTGAGTGACAGCAGAGACTAAGACCGTGGATGACAGGGACATATGAGGTACAGGATGCCAGTGCCATACTATAAGGAGCACCCATCCACTGGTGTTCCCTCTTCCCATCACAACAATGTAGGTACTTGCTGCCCTCTTTGTACTCCCTCCAGTACCTTATATATTCAGCAACTGGGTGATAGCAGTATTTTTTCCCTACCTCTAAGATCTATTTTTTGAAACTGTGCCATTAGACAAAGTATACTTTCCTAAACTTTGTCCTAAAGGAACAATGTTATATAATTGGGAATTAGATTCCCGAGCAAGTACCTAGAATCAAATCAGACATGACCAACAGTGTTTTAAAAGAACTAGTAACCTCTATCAAGATACTCAAAATCATTCCACTGCTCAAGTGATAAAGATAATTCTTTACTGAAATGATTACTGCAACATTAACTAAGTACCTGATCATTTTTGTTATGAGAAACATCTTTCTTTTCCTGTTGTTCACATGCAAAAAAGAACCTAGTTCGGGGTTGCCTGAAGTTGAGGCAAAAGTCCTAGTTCTTAAACCTTGGTGATGGTACAGCAATTTACAGCTTGAGTCTACGGATATCTGCATTAGGGAGATTTGTGATTTACTTAAGTATTTTAAACTACAAACTGGTAAAGTCGCCCTCCTTTTATTGAGGTGATCCTCCCTCTCCATTCTTCTCCATCACTGTCCTGGCAAGCCCTACTAATATGAAAAGGCTGCTAGAAGGAGAAGGCAAATGGGAATGACCTATAAATGCTGACAGCTGTGAAATGTGATGGATATAAATCTGCTTGAGTAACTGTCTATACCAACTATCACAATGCTGAAAAGAGGCCTTCTGCTATGAAAAATCTTCAAGAAAGATCCCCCAATTGCAAGATTTAAAGAACCAACTGAAATCTTGCTACATGGTATTCACCATCCTGTAACTCTAAATTAAGCAAAGTGCTTATAAAAACTCTCAGGAGCCTATCCTTTAAGAGCAGACATGCCAAGGGATTTGAACAAAGGACTTCCCCAAAACTGGATTTCGATTAGTCAAACTGCTGTGAAGAAATGGAGTAGCAAATTCCAAAGTAAGACATTAGGCCCAAACTCCATCAGAGAAGATCTAGCCTCTTCTTCAGTTGGCTAGTGGCTAAGAATATACAAATCTTTGAGGAAAACGAAGACATCTAGGTACCTGGGGAGACACTGTGTCAGCAGTATAAAGCTTGTTAGTCGAAAGTGAAATAATGTACAGGGCTGCTGAAAGGTGCCCCTAGTCTCCTCCTTCCTAAGACACTACCCCTATGGAGGTCGGGGAGTTCAGGACTGGCTTCTAGAAAAAATGCAAAGGATGATTTTGGTGGACAGTTACTAATAACTACTGAGGCCAGGTACTTTCCATACAGTATCCTCTATAAAACACAGTCCGGTGAACTTCATTATTCCCATTTTTCAAAAGAGGAAATAAGGCCTGGGGGTTAAATAACTTGCCTGAGGTCAGGATGTTACCCATGTTTGTCAGAATACAAAGCTTGTGCACTTTCTACTATGCCAAGCTTTCTCTCTAATGCTTGCCTCCGCTTACTGCTAACTATTTTGAAAATTAGTCTGTACTACGAGGAGTAAGACATGGACAATATATGTAAGACATGGACAATACATATAAATTTGTTTAAACTAAGACACACAGTACACCCCACATGTAATATTCAACCCCAGAACCAAAATCGGTATTTAAATAAGCTAAATGACATTCCTAACAATTAGTCATAGAGGAAGCAGGGCTCCTTTCTCTTTAAGATGCAAGACCTAGTGAACTGGACTTTGCCTCCCCAAAGAAATGCATTTCATTTTAGTAAATGGTGAGTAGATTCCATTCTAGAGCAAACAAAGCAAGTAATGTAGAGTCAGCCCACAGCAAAAAGAACAAGAAGAATTGTGTTGTGACAAGTTGCCATGTTTTTAACCTCACACTGCACAGCATCAGGCCAGAATTAGCTATTCCCACACAACTGCCTCATGAAAAGGACTTATTTTCATAGAAACGTGGCTGATTAACAGCTGCCTAAACAATGGGCACTTAGTGCTTTTAGACTGAACGCTTATTTTTTGCCTTCAGGTCCAATGCCCAAAGTGGACTGGAGTCCCTCCTTCATTTTGAACCTCCCCACCAAATACACAACAAGCTTTAACCAGTGGGCCTGACCCTGCGAGACCAGTCGAGGAAAGAGTGGATCTTTGGAATCCAGCATGGCAGCAGCAAGAACTGAACAAGGCTGCATCAGGAACAATTCCAGTGTCAAATCCATTCAAGTCCTGCCCTGGAAGTCTGAGAAAGGGCTGAAGCTTGTTCAAGTTGCCTTTACAGCAAAGGGACTGAAGGATGAGATGTCAAAGGCGTGGGACTGGAAAAAAAGGAGAAGAGCTGGTTAACACTGGAATTGAAGGCAATCTGGTGGTGGCATCTGTCACTCACTCACTGCCAGGGTCAATTCATCTGATAGCCAAGTGAGGTTGTAACATGCACCTACTGAAACACACCAGTACTGAGAAAAGAAGACTTAGGATTAATTGGCTTCACCTAGACCAATTAAAAAAAAAAAGGATTCCCAATGCACTAAATTAAACTACAGATTATTTTCTGTGGCTACAAAATTAAATTCAGATTAAACTCTTAAATATAATACCACAGCAAAATATAGACTTGGCCATAACTGACCTGATGGTACTATTAACAACTACAATATATTTCTAGTGTTATTTCAGATTTTCGAAGCATTTCCAATGAAGATTTTCAATTTTTTTTTTTTTTTTTTTTTTTTAGATGGAGTCTAACTCTTTTGCCCAGGCTGGAGGGCAGTGGCATGAACTCGGTTCACTGCAGCCTCTGCCTCCTGGGTTCAAGTGTTCTCTCGCCTTAGCCTCCCGAGTAGCTGGGATTACAGGCATGTGCCACCATGCCCAGCTATTTTTTGTATTTTTAGTAGAGACGGGGTTTCATCATGTTGGCCAGACTGGTCTCAAACTCCTGACTGCAAATGATCCGCCTGCCTAGACCTCTCAAAGTGCTAGTAGGATTAAAGGCGTCAGCCACCACGCCTGGCCAAGATTTTCAAATGGCCTTCTGAGGTGGTTATGGCAATAATTTCACCTATCCTCCAACAGAGGAAGAGCTAGTGAGGCAACCAAGATGGCTGCACAGGTCTCCTAAGTCCTAGAAGTTTATGTTTTCCCCCACATCCTGTTAGTGTCAAGGCTTTTAGATTAAAACTAATTTATCCAGTTCTCCCACCAAATCCTTGGGTCAACTTCTAAGCAGAATAGCTTCACAGCTCTGATTCACCAAGAGATGCTGGGAATGACTCCACCTCCACCAATCCAGTCTTTTCATTTTAACTGACAGTAATAAAGTTGCATGAAAACAGCTACTGAAAGGTTTTCCAAAAAAATCTGTCCTCTCTGGATGCATGGAGGATCTCTCACAACAGGATCAGCACACTGGAAGCCCTGGCCTTCAGAGAAGACATCCCATTCATGGTCTCCTTTGCTATTTTAAAATGTATTTCTTTGTTTTTCAGAAATAACCTTGCTGGGCGCAATGTCTCACGCCTGTAATCCCAGCACTTTAGGAGACAGAGACAAGAAGACTGCTTGAGTGCAGGAGTTAGTTTGAGAACAGCCTGGAAAACACAGGGAGACTCTGTCTCTACAAAAATTTAAAAATTAGCTGGGCATGGTGGTGCAAGTCTGTAGTCCCAACTACTTGGGAGGCTAAGATGGGAGGATCACTTGAGCCTGGGAGGTTGAGGCTGTAACGAGCTGTGATTGTACCACTGCACTCTAGCCTGAATGACAGAGCAAGACTGTCTCAAAAAAACAAAACCACCCACCAGTAAGAAAACTGCAGCTTTGAAAACTTGCTCTTCTACAATAAATGTTCGTTAAAATCTGTATATCCTTTAGACATGTAGTTACATTATCTCTCTCAATTCAGCATTCATTCATTGCTGACACTAATTACTCCAACAAACACTGCTAAGGGAATCATTTGGTATCACACAGGTCTTAGCAGGGCTCAGCATCATGTGATTAAATCAGACAACTTGGGCTTATGGTTGCTAGCCAACTTTGCACATTTACAGCTCAACTAAATTAAAAACACATTAAAACATCATAGTTGACATTGCAACATGCCCCAAATTAGATGCCCTATAAAAATTTCCATTTTCTCTCTAAATACTTCCAAGTTGAACACTTAAGATCTCTGCGTTGGGTCAACTAGTCTAACTTTTAGCAATTAAAGCATCAATCAGAAACTTTAGTCAGCCTACACTAATGCAGAATTAATTGTGTGGTAGTTTTTAAAATGTCATTAACATGGCTGGGTTCTCTCTGGAATTGCTTGACATATCACGTATTTGCAGATTATTAAAACAGGGATGAGATTCTTCATCATTTTAAAATTTATTCCACCTCACTGCATGAAAAACAGACTAGCATGGTTTCATTATTCTGCAACACTTGTAACCTAGGAAATGTGGATCCAAATTTTATATGACAAAAAGCACACCGCACTGTGGTTTGATTTTGTTTTTTCTTTTTTTTTGAGACGAAGTCTGGCTCTGTCACCCAGGCTGGAGTGCAGTGGCGCAATCTTGGCTCACTGCAATCCCCACCTCCTGGGTTCAAGCAATTCTCCCACCTCAGCCTCCCTAGTAGCTGGGATTACAGGCACACGCCACCATGCCTGGCCAATTTTTTTTTGAGAAAAGAGCTTTATTTATTTATTTATTTAATTTTTTTTATTTTTTGAGACACAGTCTGACTGTCACCCAGGCTAGAGTGCAGTGGCGTGATCTCAGCTCACTGCAAGCTCTGCCTCCCAGGTTCATGCCATTCTCCTGCCTCAGCCTCCCAAGTAGCTGGGACTACAGGTGCCCACAACCACGCCTGGCTGATTTTTTTGTATTTTTAATAGAGACGGGATATCATCGTGTTAGCCAGGATGGTCTCAATCTCCTGACCTCTGTCACCTCTGTTACCTAGGCTGGAGTGCAGTGGCGCAATCTCGGCTCATTGCAACCCCCACGTCCTGGGTTCAAGCAATTCTCCCACCTCAGCCTCCTGAGTAGCTGGGATTACAGGCACACGCCACCACGCCTGGCCAATTTTTTTTTTTTTGAGAAAAGAGCTTTATTTATTTATTTATTTATTTAATTTTTGGGAAATTATAGGCTCACGCCTATAATCCCAGGAGGCTGAGGCAGAAGACCTCCTGAGCCCAGGAGGTCGAGGCTGCAGCAAACCATGTTCCTGCAGCCTGGGTGACAGAGTGAGACCCTGCCTTTAAAAAAAACAAAACCAGGCTGGGCACGGTGGCTCACGCCTGTAATCCCAGCACTTTGGGAGGCCAAGGCAGGCAGATCATGAAGTCAGGAGTTCGAGACCAGCCTCATCAATATGGTGAAACCCCATCTCTACTAAAAATACAAAAATTAGCCGGGCGTGGTGGCATGCACCTGTAATCCCAGCTACCCGGGACGCTGATGCAGGAGAATCCCTTGAACCCAGGAGACGGTGGTTGTGATGAGCCAAGGTTACACCACTGCACTCCAGCCTGGGCAACAGAGCAAGACTCCGTCTCAAAAAAAAAAAAAAAAAAAAAAGTCCAGGCACGGTGGCTCACGCCTATAATCCCAGCACTTTGGGAGGCTGGGCAGGCAGATCACAAGGTCAGGAGATCAAGACCATCCTGGCTAACACGGTGAAACCCCATCTCTACTAAAAGTACAAAAAAGGATTAGCCAGGCAAGGTGGCAGGCGCCTGTAGTCCCAGCTACTCAGTAGGCTGAGGCAGGAGAATGGTGTGAACCCGGGAGATGGAGCTTGCGGTGAGCTGACATCGCGCCACTGCACTCCAGCCTGGGCAACAGAGCAAGATCCTGTCTCAAAAAAAAAAAAGAAAAAGAAAAAGATACTTTTCTTTTCCTTTAGGCTATTAATAATAATACTTTATACTGCCAATGAGTCAATATCCCTTATGCATTCCTCTTATATTTACTACTCCCCAAATGTCGCCTTACTCTATGATTGTTGTGCTCCATTTATTTTATTCAGTCAAACTTACTAGTTGCCTGTTGATCTAGAAATGCCCTCCACCCTTCAGAATTCACGGGATCTTGGCCAGTCAGAGTAGAAATTCTTTCCTCCTTCCCACAGTCCGAGACCTCTTGTCCCCAATGGCATGTCACAGGGCCTGTTTCATGTTGCACTCTCCCTGACCTTCATGACAAAATAAAGTAAAAGGAGCCCAGGAGCCTAACTTCTATTCCATCTTACCAAAAGCATATCATTTAGATTCTTCTTTAAGAAAAAAATTTCTTTTTTTTTGGAGACAGTCTCATTCTATTGCCCAGGCCAGAGTGCAGTGGTGAGATCTCGGCTCACTGCAATCTTCACCTCCCAGGTTCAAGCGATTCTTGTGCCTCAGCCTCCCTGGTAGCTGGGACTACAGGCACGCACCACCATGCCCAGCTAAATTTTTGTATTTTAGTAGAGATGGGGTTTCACTATGTTGCCCAGGCTGGTCTCAAACTCTTGAGCTCAGGCAATCCACCTCCTCAGCCTCCCAAAGTGCTAAGATTACACACATGATGAGCCACCACAATTGGCCAGAAAAAACTGCCTTTTTTTTTTTTTTTTTTTTTTTTGAGACAGAATTTCGCTCTTGTTGCCCAGGCTGGAGTGCAATGGCGTGATCTCAGCTCACCGCAACCTCCGCCTCCCAGGTTCAACTGATTCTCCTGTCTCAGCCTCCCAAGTAGCTGGGATTACAGGCATGTGCCCGGTAAGAAGTTTCTTTTTTAAAAAAAAATCTAGGCTGGGCAAGGTGGCTCATGTCTATAATCCCAGCACTTTGGGAGGCCAAGGAGGGTGGATCACCTGAGGTCAGAAGTTCAAGACCAGCCTAGGCAACATGGTGAAACCCCATCTCTACAAAAATACAAAAATTAGCCGGGCATGATGGAGGGTGCCTGTAATCCCACCTATTCGGGAGGCTGAGGCGGGAGAATTATTTGAACCCAGGAGGCGGAGGTTGCAGTGAGCCGAGACTGTGCCATTGCACTCCAGCCTGGGCAAGAGTGAGACTCCGTCTCAAAAAAGAAAAAAAAAAAAATCTACTATTCTACAAGTGAAATGTCAATATAAGTTTCACATAGATAAGTGGAAGTCACAGGTATAGATATATATATATAGATATAGATTTTTTTTTTTGAGACGGAGTCTCGCTCTGTCACCCAGGTTGGAGTGCAGTGGCGCCATCTCGGCTCATTGCAAGCTCCGCCTCCTAGGTTCACGCCATTCTCCTGCCTCAGCCTCCCAAGTAGCTGTGACTACAGGCGCCTGCCACCACGCCCAGCTAATTTTTTTGTATTTTTAGTAGAGACGGGGTTTCACCGTGTTAGCCAGGATGGTCTCAATCTCCTGACCTCATGATCCGCCCGCCTCGGCCTCCCAAAGTGCTGGGATTACAGGCGTGAGCCACCGCGCCGGGTCAGACATATATTTTTTGAGACAGACTCTCACTCTTGTTGCCCAGGCTGGAGTGCAGTGGTGTGATCTCAGTTCACAGCAACCTCTGCCTCCCAGGTTCAAGTGATTCTCCTGCCTCAGCCTCCTGAGTAGCTGAGATTACAGGGCCCCACTACCATGCCTGGCTAATCTTTGTTTATTTTAGTAGAGATGAGGTCTTGCCATGTTGGCCAGGCTGGTCTTCAAACTTCTGACCTCAAGTGATCCGCCAATCTCTGCCTTCCAAAGTGTTGGGATTAAAGGCGTGAGCCATCACGCCGGGCCATAGATATATGACTTGGAATAATTCTATAAATATGGCAAGGTATTTATGCTCGGTGCTTCATCCAGAAAAAAATAGAAGGTGAGCGCTATCCAACTGCTACCTTTTAGCAAAGCTATCTGCTACTCAGCTTTCTTTACCCAATTTCCTACAGAATAGATAGTTTTCACTTTAAAGCACAAATGGAACAACCCTCCACACATCTCCGCTAATAAAGAGAAGGCAGAAGATGAAGAAAATTCCTTAACATACCAGTTCAAATTGTCCTCTGGGTGGACATTCAAGGAGAAGCCTCAACACGGGCAGAGTCAGAAGGGACCCAAAATGCACCAGAGGAGTCACAGACTGTCTACACAAAGCAGCAGCACTCCCTACTGTTCAGGCAGGGACGGACACCAGCCAGCAAGCTGTGCCTGGCTATGCAGCTGGCTATGCCTTATTCAGTAAGGAAGAAAAAGCAAGCAACCAATTCAATCCCTACAGAAATCCCATCACTGCAGGCAGAAACATATTCACTTGGAAATACTTGTCTCAACGGTGAGTTGGAAATTTATTTTAGGTCCTTAAATGAGAGGTGTCACAATCTATTACATCTACCTAACCTTCACTTATCCCTGGGGAGAGGAGACCCAACAATGAAGCTACTTCTGGGAAACATGCTTCTCTGAAACCATTCTGAGGATACAAGTCACTGGCTTTTCAGCATTAGCCAGAGGCTTGTTTTCATAACATATCCCCAAACCCACCATTTTCCATCCCTCGGTTCCCTATTCTGTGACATCTCCCACTATAGGGACACCAGCACCCATCAAAAATTTAAAACTGAGGAACTACAATTAAGGAAAAGGCTGCTTTGCCCTGGCGCAGTGGCTCACGCCTGTAATCCCAGCACTTGGGAGGCCGAGGCGGGCAGATCCTGAGGTGATGAGATCAAGACCATCCTGGCCAACATGGTGAAACCCGTCTCTACTAAAAATATAAAAAATTAGCTGGGCATGGTGGCATGCAACTGTAGTCCCAGCTACTCAGGAGGCTGAGGCAGGAGGATAGCTTGAACCCAGGAAGCGGAGATTGCAGTGAGCCGAGATCGTGCCATTGCACACTCCAGCCTGGAGACACAGCAAGACTCCATCACAAAGAAAGAAAGAAAGAAAGAGACAGACAGAAAGAGAGAAAGAAAGAGGCTACTTCCTAGGCCGGGTGCAGTGGCTCACGCCTATAATCCCAGCACTTTGGGAGGCCAAGGCGGGTGGATCACCTGAGGTCGGGAGTTCGAGACCAGACTGACCAACATGGAGAAACCCTGTCTCTACAAAAAAAAAAAAAAATACAAAATTAGCCGGGCGTGGTGGCGCATGCCTGTAATTCCAGCTACTCAGGAAGCTGACTCAGGAGAATTGCTTGAACCCGGGAGGCGGAGGCTGCAGTGAGCCAAGATTGCGCCATTGCACTCCAGCCTGGGCAACAAGAATGAAACTCTGTCTCAAAAATATATATATATAAAGGCTGCTTCCTGAGTTTTTTTGGGTGGAGTGGGGTGGGGTGGAGATGGGAACTAGAGTGGGGAGGAGCCTGGATTGTCAACGGTATTTCACTTCTCAAAGTTGTCTTGGTTCCTTAGTTCAACAGGTGGTTAACTGTCTCAGGGCAAACTGTCCAAGGAAGAACTCTCAGGACAGAAACTCCAAAAACAAGAGAGGGTCCTGCTTGCCCCTCACACTCTCTCCAAAAGTAATATTAGAATCAAGAGAGATGGTTAACACTGCTTATCTGACAATCTGGCCTCCCCACACAAATTGTAAGTCACATGCCAATAGAATTTCACGTCTCAGAATAAGACCTGAGAGTCATATATTCCTCCTATTACCATTCTCAAAAGCCTCAACCACTCATATTCTTACCCATGGTGAGGGTAAAACATAGGAATTGCCATTTTGATCCGAATGGGAGAAGGAAAAACAGTGTCACTCCAATAAAATGAATAGCCTGTTAGGATAACTGCACTTTGAATTTTGTTCTTACTTCAAAAGTTTAAAAGAATACCTGGAAAGACCTCTGAGTAACTTCCACATCACTCAGTGCTGGAGAAAGGGGACCAAAGACTAGTGCAGTAAGGGAGAAATGGGCTCTCAGAGGGACTCTGCATCAGGCCACAAAGCAACTAGGCAACTGCTGACTATTGTTCTCCAAACTTCTAAAGTCCCGAAGAACAAAAAAGCAAGTGCCCAGTACTCAGCTTTTCAAAACCATTAAAATACAAACTTCAATGACTAAACTAATCCCTGATTGGCTGGAATGTACAATAAGGCTGGGCTTTCGGCCAATCAGAGTTCTGTTTGTTGGGAGTGGACTGGACTCTAAGCAACTGCCACTCACTTGGCCCTATATTTTCTCAAAATTCTTGTTTCTCTGGCACTAGTTAACATGTGGATCTGAACTAAAGCACTAAGAGAGAACCTTTCTCTGTACTCTACCTTTGCTCCAGTTATGATTATCTACTTTGCCATCTGTTAGTATCAGGGTTCAATTAATTTGCCGGTATTGAGAATTCTGTATTCCTAGGTTTATCCCTTCCTTAACTTATTTCTCCTCCCATCTCCCATTTCTTCACATCTGACTACACTTAGTGCACAGCAAAAGGAAAATAGTGTTTCTCACTGATTTGGGTTCCAGGTCAAAGATAAATTCCCACTCAGTTTGGAGGCTTACTGAAATGTCTAGGTGCTTGCTCTGAAACTTCAAGAGGAAGATTAGAAGGACACATTCCTAAGAATTTAAAACCAGGTAAGGAAGAAAGCTGGGGAGGCATGCCCACAAGCTCTTCAGTTAAGTGAGGCCACAAACTCAAAAACACCATGCAAAGCTGCAGCAAACGAACAGCAACTACAGGAAACCCGGGACATGAATTGAGAGTTCAGTTGTTCCCATTAACAATCTGAATAGAGAAATAAAAGGCAAAATCCTAATCGCAAAGAGTGTACAATACCTAGGTAGTAAGGGCCTAATAAGAATTGCTCTTATTTGTGCCCATCAGGAAAACATACAGAGAAGTTAAGTTTATCAGCTCAAGGAATCAGGTAAGGATGTCCTGACTCTTAAGTCTATGGATCCCTTGATTCTTTTAGATCTTGTTGTCCAGTCACACTAGGTATATGCTGAGACACGTAAGTGTTTTCTCTTTGAAAAACAATTTGAGGTTGGGTGTAGTGGCCCACGCCTGTAATCCCAGCACTTTGGGAGGACAAGGCGGGCGGATCATGAGGTTAAGAGATCGAGACCATCCTGGCCAACATGGTAAAACTCCGTCTCTATTAAAAATACAAAAATTAGCTGGGTGTGGTGGCACACGCCTATAGTCCCAGCTACTCGGGAGGCTGAGGCAGGAGAATCATTTGAACCCAGGAGGCGGAGTTTGCAGTGAGCTGAGATCACACCACTGCACTCCAGCCTGGTGACAGAGCGAGACTCCGTCAAAAAGAAAAGAAAACAATTTGAAATCCCTCAAGTTTACCATAAGAAAGACTCCCTATAGAGATCAAGCTGTTTCCCAGCCCAGGAGATATAACAAGAGATCCTTAATTCAAGACAGGTATTCCCATATTAGGTAAAGCAGTCAGCAACTTCCCAGGAAAATATAAAGCCTTAAGTTAGTTGAAATGTGAAACATCTGAAGTTTAACCCTCTGGCTCATAAATAGCTTTGCCTGTTTTGGTGAGCAAAGAGAAATAATCTTCATGCATAGAATCCTGATCTGTTTTGGAGTGCCAACTAATATATCTTTTATTTTAGCCCCAACCCTTTTTTTTGAGACAGGGTTTCACTCTGTCACCCAGGATGCAGTGCAGTGGTGTGATCGCAGCTCACTGCAGCCTCGACCTCCCCCAGCTCAGGTGATACTTACACCTCAGCGTCCCAAGTAGCAGGGCCTACAGGTATGCACCATCACACCCTGCTAATTTTTGTATTTTTTTTTTACAGAGATGGGGGGCGGGTTTCACCACGTTGCCCAGGTTGGTCTCGAACTCCTGGCCTCAAGCAATCCACTGGCCTCAGCCTCCCAAGGTGCTGGAATTACAGGCGTGAGCCACCGCACCCAGCCTTAAATGTTTTTATAGAGACTAAGTCTCACTATGTTGCCCAGGCTGGTCTCAAACTACTGGGCTTAAGCGATCCTCTCATTTTGGCCTCACAAAGTGCTAAGATTACAGGCATGAGCCACTAAGCCTAGCCTTATTTTAGTTTCTTGGCTGCTGTAAGGGAAACAGAACTTTGTCAGAGTGACATGCAAAAAAATTGAAATCCATCTCTTTTCTCTACAGAAACACTAAAGCTAAGGAAATAAAACATGTAGCCATTTAAAATGCTGCAATCGTGAAGTCCGTCTTAAAAGCTCCTCTCATTTTGCCCCCCTATGGGACTGTGACAACTTAGCAGCAGCAGGACATGTCTTAAGCCAAGACGTAAGGAAGGAAGGACTCCTTACAAAGCTGGACCTCACAAAAACGACCCGAGAGACTCATTAACTCTTGATCCCTAAATGAACTGGTAGGAGGACCATAACAACAGAGGCAGGAACTTGGCCAAAGAACTCTAACCAAGCCAGACAGTAAAAGGGCATTTGTAAGGGATGCCCCTATCACTGCCCTCTGCTATGGCCACACAAGAGGAATCCAGGACACATGAAAAACATAAAACCACCTCCCTCCAAAGCTTCTAAATCTCCATCCCATTTTCAGCACTGGAAAAATCATACATAAACAAGGCTTTTTCATACTAACAGAGCCTAATGTTTATTCTTTTTTTTGAGACAGAGTTTCACTCTTGTCGCCCAGGTTGGAGTGCAATGGCACGATCTCGGCTCACCGCAACCTCCGCCTACCGGATTCAAGTGATTCTCCTGCCTCAGCCTCCAAGTCGGTGGGGCTACAGGCATGCACCGCCATGCCTGGCTAATTTTTTTTTTCTATTTTTAGTAGAGATGGGGTTTCTCCATGTTGGTCAGGCTGGTCTCAAACTCCCGACCTCAGGTGATCAGCCTGCTTTAGCCTCCCAAAGTGCTGGGATTATAGGCATAAGCCACCGCGCCCGGCCAATGTTTATTCTTCTAAGGATGTCTGATATGGCAAAAAGTTAAACTGATTTTTTTGTTTATTTCACTTATTTTCCTTTTTTTTTTTTGAAATGGAGTCTCACCATGTCGCCCAGGCTGGAGTGCAATGGTGTGACCTTGGCTCACTGCAACCTCCGCCTCCCGGGTTCAAGCGACTCTCCTGCCTCAGACTCCCGAGTAGCTGGGATTACAGGTGCCCACCACTACGCCCAGCTATTTTTTCTATTTTTAGTAGAGATGGGGTTTCACCATGTTGGCCAGGCTGGTCTCAAACTCCTGACCTCGTGATCCGCCCACCTCAGCCTCCCAAAATGATGGGATTACAAGTGTGAGCCACTGCACCCAGCCAATTTTCCTTTTGATTTGTGCAAAAAAGTGGTATATAATAAATAACTATGTTTAAGTCTGTCGAAAACAGTGCTATATATGAGAAACATAAAAGTCTGATAAGAATGCATTTTTTTCTTTTTTTAATTGATTTTTTTTTTTTTGAGACGGAGTTTTGCTCTTGTTGCCCAGGCTGGAGTGCAATGGCATGATCTCCCCTCACCACAACCTCTGCCTCAGCCTCCTGACTAGCTGGGATTACAGCATCACCCCACCTGGCTAATTTTTGTATTTTTAGTAGATGGGGTTTCACCGTATTAGTCAGGCTGGTTTCGAACTCCTGACCTCAGGTAATCCACCCGCCTTGGCCTCCCAAAGTGCTGGGATTACAGGTGTGAGCCACCACGCCCAGTCTTTTTTCTTTTTTTAATTAATTTTTTTCTGTCACTATTTGAACTACAGGAATAATGCATGTTGTCATGTTTAATTTACAGTTACATTTTCTTAGTGACAGATAAAATAATTTGCATTCTGCAATCAATGACTTTTTTTTGAGATGGAATCTCACTTTGTCACCCAGGCTGGAGTGCAATGGCCCGATCTCAGCTCACTGCAACCTCCACCTCCTGAGTTCAAGCGATTCTCCTGCCTCAGCCTCCCGTGTAACTGGGATTACATGTGTGTGCCACCACGCCCCGCTAATTTTTGTATTTTTAGTAGAGACAGGGTTCTGCCATGTTGGCCATGCTGGTTTCAAACTCCCGACCTCAGCTGACCCACCTGCCTCGGCCTCCCAAAGTGCTGGGATTACAGGTGTGAGCTACTGCACCCAGCCTAATGACACTTAAATTCCATGAAATAAGGTAGTTTACCTTATTTTGTTGTACTGCTATCAAATACCATGTTTTGTGTGATGTGGTCACATTACAGCATAACCTATTTTATTATATGTCTTCAGGTTCATTTACTCCAATTTTATGATAGACTATCCTCTAAGGCTGTGATTGAAGAAATGTATTTGCTTAAGATAGGAGGCTATGAAATGAAGTCCAAAATAGGGACACTCTACATCAGAGATTTACAATGAGTAGGGTGAGTTTTTAAAATTACCTATGGCCAGCCCGGCACAGTAGCTCACGCCTGTAATCCCAGCACTTTGGGAGGCCGAGGTGGGCGGATCACGAGGTCAGGAGATCGAGACCATCGTGGCTAACAGGGTGAAACCCCATCTCTACTAAAAATACAAAAAAAAAACAACAATTAGCCGGATGTGGTGGTGGGCACGTGTAGTCCCAGCAACTGGTGAGGCTGAGGCAGGAGAATGGTGTGAACTCAGGAGGCGGAGCTTGCAGTGAGCTGAGGTCGCGCCACTACACTCCAGCCTGGGCGACAGAGCGAGATTCCGTCTCAAAAAATAAAAAATAAATAACCTGTGGCCAAATCCCTATTTACAGTATAAAGAACCACTGAACTCTTTCCAAATACAAGTAAATCTCTACAATTAATTTAAGCTCCGTCTGCACTGGGAGGAATTTTGTTTCCCATTGTGCAGCTCTTTAATGATGTATAAGGGTTGATGATGCTTAGCTTTAAATATCTAGGAAGAAGTAGGAACAACATGAAAGCTCAAAATTAAGAACAGAGACTGGACTCTGGTGTCCTGGCTTCTCTGATATCCCAGGGGCCTATTACACTTTGTCAGGCCCCTCAGCTCCCAGCAGATCAGGAACTTGAGATCTGGCTGTGGTAACCACCCTCAAGCTTGATAACTATTCATTGCGTCCGAGTACTTCTTATATTTCGAACTCATTAGATAGTAAAAATCTCAGAATCCTGATTTCAGATCTCATGAACTAATTCTACATCACCGCCTCAAATTACCCAGCCTGAAGACACAACGGGCTTGGTATGAAGATATAAAGTATGTTGCAAAGAGACTGAGGGCACTGTAGATATCTTGAACAAAAGGGTCAGACTAACCCGCAGCTGATAAGGAAAGGGCTCCAAACTTCTAGAACCTTCTTGTCAATTCTGCTTTAGGATTAGAACAAGTATGACTACCCACAACTCTGTTCCAACCCCACTTCCAATAATCTGGCCTAACTGTTGCCAGAATCTAGAGCGTTCTCGAAAACCACTCACTCAGCAGCTCCCTTGGCTAGTCCGACTGGCAATCTCGAACCACTGCGGCTGCTTCGGAGTGCCAACAGCGCCCAAGCAGTTGCCCTCTTCCTTGGTGCTTAACTTAAGAAAGAACAGTGCTGGGAAGGATAAAGATCACCCAGGAAGGACAGGGGAAGAGGAGTCTGACGTAGAGAACACGAGATAAGCCCCTCGCTCTTCCTTTTTTTCTCTGTCATCTTTGACTTCTGGGATAACCGGGGGCAACCAGGTCAATTATGGAGACACACAATCACTTCGAACCCAGACTAGTGATCGCTGGGGTATAATTACAAGGGAAAACGGGGTGAGGAGAGCAAAGGTTTTGGAGACGGAAAGTGCAGACAGGCAACAATGCACAGAAGTTAACAAGAGAACGCGGGGGTCGGGGGCGATGTAAGGAAGTCGTCATCGACGCCGCGCCGCTTCCCCCACCTCGCACCAGACCTCTGAAATTGCCCTCGGAGACTCGGCCTCTCCTATAAGGACGATCGTCCTCTCAGCTGGAGAACAAGGCCATGCCTCAGCTCCTACGCCAGGCGGAAGCGGGAGAGGAAGGCCGACCCCCAAGAGCGCCCCTTCAGGGGGTCCATCCGGCCTTGATCTCAGATGGGGGGGTGTTTGCGGAGGGCGGGGCATCGCCTCAACAGCTGGGGGCTGCATCATGGCAGGAACGAGTTTCCCTGAGCCACGGAGCTGCAGGTCGCCTCCTCTACTACCCTGCTACCCGGTTACCTCTTCGCCTCTTGGTCGTCGAGCAGCTCCGGCTCGGTCGCCGCCATTACCACATCGCACTCCGCGGCAGCCGCCATCTTACCGCCGGGACCAGAGAGCTGGGTGGGAGGCCGGCGGTGAAGAGCACTTCCGGTTGGAGCATAGAGCAGCTCCGCGGCGCCGCGCCCAGAAGGGCTCCCTCGGGCTCGTCTACCAGAGAGAGGCTCCGCTTGGGGCCAGAGCGGCCTCCCGCCCCCGGATGTCCACGGTGGTCTCCGCGCCGGGGCGGGAGCCCAGGGGCTGTGCCGGTGCGTAGGCGGCGCCACTTTACCCGTGGGTGGGAAGGCGGGGTGTACCGGTGGTAGCCTCTCTAGGGCTTGGCTGCTTTCAGTATTCCAAGAGCCTCATTGCCATAGCAACTTCCAATCCTAGAGAGTCTTCCTGAAAGGCTCCGTGGAGTCTGGGTTGCGTGGGGACCAGGTGACCCAAGACTCTGTAGGGAAGGAGTCCCCACTGCTACCTTTCCGACCTTGGAGTGTGTCCACAGCTTCTTCCCGGGAAAGTCAAGAGACACTTTGAGCTCAGTTCCCCCAGCTTTCATCGTTCTCTGGAAGCCCTGCCCAGTCAAGCCAGGGGAACGCAGGGCGTCTTCACCCTGCGCCTTTCATCCACTCCGGATCTCCAAACACCAACTGGTTCATCACCCTAATGACGCTGACCCTTTTACAAGGCTCCTTTCATGTCAGCCGCCTGGGAGTGCCATCTCAGCATTAAGCCTAGGAAAGCTGACACATGGCGCCCCAGACCCTGCCCTGGAGTTTATAAGGAAGCTCGCGGGGTGAGGTCCTTGCTCTTGTGTCCCCAGTACTCCCACCTCTTATATAAACTCTCTACTCATCACGCTTGCCTTGCCGAATGCGGTCTGGATTGAGAATTCATAGGGGACAAGGGCACAGTTTAACTGTCTTTGTTGTTATTCCCTCACCCAAACGACTATTTGTGGAGCTGAATTAAATTGGAGCTTTCTGGGGTTAAATTGGAGGAGTATGAGGAGTAGCTTTACAATGTAAAGCTAAGAGTAAAATAAGAAGAGGGCAAAGGAATTTTAAAAGGATTTACCTGTTTGTTCCAGGAAAACAGCATGTGCCAATGCTCATACTCTGCCTATCCCAGTGTGGAGGGAGCTGAAACCACAGCGACCACTGAGTAGGGAGGGATAGGACAAGCTCACTAGGTTGGAAAGGAGGGGTCATTCGTTGAGCCAATCACTCAGCCCTTTCCAAAACGCCTACTCTGTGCTAGGTTGTGAGGGCACAAGACTTACAGACCACCTGCCCTGCCTGCCAGTGGCTCATAGTCCAGTCTAATGCTAGCCAACCTGTCTCACCATCTTCCCACTTTATGTTCTATCTAAGGCAACTCATTTATTCCCACAGCTTTACTTCCATCTGTTGATGACTCTCAACTTTTCATATCTCCAACCTAGACCTTTCTTCAGCTTCCACAGCTGTATATCCAACTATCTACTGGATATCTCTTGTATGTTTCACAAATCCCCAAGGCTTACCATATTTAAATTTAACTTTTTCATTGTCTACCCACACCTCAACAACAGAAAAAACAAATGTTGGATGTAATTATTATCTTTCCTAAATTCCGTATCTTGTTAAATGGATTAAACCATTCTCACTCTTGGCTTCCAATTTGTTGCCAAGTTTTGTTGATTCTCCTACCAAATATTTCCCAAATCTATCTCCACCTTTCCATCCCGATTCAGGCGCTCATCATTTTTTAAAATCTTGGAATAGGCTGGGTGTGGTGGCATGCATCTGTAGTCCCAGCTATTTGGGAGGCTGAGGCAGGAGGATCACTTGAGCCCAGGAGTTAGAGGCTGCAGTGAGCTATGATCACACCAATGTACTCCAGCATGGAGAAAAGAGCAAGACCCTGTCTCAAAAACGGCAACAACAACAACAACAAAACAACAGAAAAAAAAACTTGGAATACATCAATAGTCTCCTAATCGGTCTCTAATTTCATCTCTGTTCAGTCTTCCCTCTTCTGCCAGAGTGACCTTCCTCAGGGACTGATCATGTCTCTTCATTGGCAATGGCTTTCCATTGCCGTCAATTTGATCTCTTTGGCCTACCACACAAAGCCTTTGATTATCTGTTTCTTTTTTTAAATAATTTAATTTGAGTACCAATATTTAGGTCCTTTCTACCACCAATATTGAACCCAAGTTCTCATAGTTTCAGAAAATGCCATGACTTGTAGCCGTTTCCTCCACCCTAGAACACCCTTTCCCCCAGGCCCTTCAGTGTCTGCTGACTCAACGTTAAATGCCCTTTTGCTGTGCTCCACAGCACCTCAGTAGTTGTTAGACATCTAGCTTCTCTAGACCGTGAGTTCTGATGGGCAGCCACCATGTCTAACTCGTCCACTTTCTCTCAGTATATGGCCCTGCACCAGGCACAGACAGATGATGCTCAGAAAACATTTGACGAATAAATGATTGAGTAAACGAAGAGTTACTGTACTCTGATCGCCTTTACAGAGAGAACATCTGGGCCTCAGAGACACCAGAACACCCAGCGGCCCGCGTCCAGGGAGTCTAGAACCTTGGGCTCCCGCGCACACCCAGGCCAGGTCCTGGCCGTCATTCTCCCGCCGGCCTCTGGGGGAGCTGCGCGGTCCGCGCTCTCTCTCCGCTGCCGGAATTCGTCTTGCCTGACGGAAGCTGGGGAGCGGGCAGGCGGCGGGGGCGGGGCCTGGAGGAGCCTACACCGACTCTGGAGGAAGACTGGAGCCTTTGCGGCGGCGCTGCCCCTCCCCTGGTCCCCGCGAGCTCGGAGGGCCCGGCTGGTGCTGCGGGGGCCCCGGGAGGTACGGACCTGGGAGGCGAGGCTCGTCCGGCGCTAGGATCGGCCTCCGCCTCCGGGCCGCTTTAGGTGGCTGGTCTCTGCCTCTCATTCCCTCTGGGGGCTCCCCCGTGAGAAAATCTGTGGCGGAGGCACCTCTGGCCCACTCTTATGGTGTCCTTTATTGTGGGGCTCGCTATATGGAGAGGGGGTCTGTGTCAGGAGCTTCCCCTGGAGAGGTTTCTGTTAGGGACCGTCTTTGGGAGTGATCTATCTCTGCTCTCTGGGGGGGATCTTTGTCTGGAGCTTTTGGGGGGCTTGTGTTTGGAAGTTTGCCTTCGGGGAGATATCTGTCTGGGACCTCTTAGGGTTTCTGTATCTGAGCTTTCTCTTTTGTGTCTGTCAGTCCAAGGGCAGCAAAAAGTATGTCCTTTCTGAAGCCTTTTTTTCCGTAGGTTTCTTCATTCTTTTCTCTCTTGTCTTATGTTCATTTTAGCCATAGACTTGACTGGAGTTTAGAGGGAATTGATTGTTGTCCAGATGAGTCGTACAGGAAAGCAGATTGTCTTTTTTTGAGACGGAGTCTTGCTCTGCCGCCCAGGCTGGAGTGCAGTGGCATATTCTTGGCTCACTGCAATCTCCGCCTCCTGGATTCAAGCGATTCTCCTGCCTCAGCCTCTCAAGTAGCTGGGATTACAGGCACCCGCCACCACGCCTGACTAATTTTTTGTATGTTTAGTAGAGATGAGGTTTCACTATGTTGGCCAGTCTGGTCTCGAACTCCTGACTTTGTGATCTGCCCACCTCGGCCTCCCGAAGTGCTGAGATTACAGGCGTGAGCCACCGTGCCCTGCCCCAGATTATCCTTTTTATTTGCTCAGTCCCCCCAGGGAGCAGATGGCTTCAGACAGCCACACAAAACACTGTTCCTGCTTAATTCTCCATGGGGTCATGGTTAAAGAGAGGAAGCTGGGCTGAGCTCCCTTTACTAATTGGTCCTCTACATCTTGCGCACAGAAGGGAACCTGGCCCAGTGGCCAGTGACTCTCCTCTCCCTTTATGGCAGCATTTCCAAGCACCTGCCCTGTGACAGATACTGGCTAGGTACTGGGGATAACAAAGACGAATAAAATAACAGCTTACCATCCAGTAGTAGACATGGAGACATCCGTTTCCTCTGACTAGCATTGGGATGGTGCTGAAACCCTGGAACTATACATTCAGTTTAGAACTATACATTCAGTTTAGAACTCTCAGTTATGGACGTTCTGCCTTCTGTTTTTTTGGTTTTTGTTTTTGTCCACCAGAAAACATCTGCTAGTAACTGCCTTCTGTGTTGATGCTTTCTTTCCTCACCTTACCCAGCGTGCTTCTGTTCTTCAAGGTTGAAAACTAAGCATGGGGAAGAGCTGCAAGGTGGTCGTGTGTGGCCAGGCGTCTGTGGGCAAAACTTCAATCCTGGAGCAGCTTCTGTATGGGAACCATGTAGTGGGTGAGTGTTGTTGGAGGGGGAGGAACAGTGGAAGAAGTTGAAAAATAAGGAATAGGACTTGATCACAACACACACAGGCTAAAAGCTGCTCCTGGTGGTTTTCCCCCCTGGAAGAATAAAACTTACATTGTAACAGATCAACTCTACAACACTGAACAAATACGGAGGGAGAAAGCCCTATGTCCAAGATAGGAAAGAGAAGCTGTCATGTCACACTTGTGCTTAGCATGGAATTAGCATAAAATTAATGTCCATTGGCCGGGTGCGGTGGATCACGCCTGTAATCCGAGCACTTTGGGAGGCTGAGGCGGGTGGATCACCTCAGGTCGGGAGTTCGAGACCAGCCTAACGAACTTGGAGAAACCCTGTCTCTACTAAAAATACAAAATTAGCCGGGTGTGGTGGCACATGCCTGTAATCCCAGCTATTCGGGAGGCCGAGGCAGGAGAATCGCTTGAACTCGGGAGGTGGAGGTTGCGGTGAGCCGAGATTGCGCCATTGCACTCCAGCCTGGGCAACGAGAGCAAAACTCCGTCTCAAAAAAAGAAAGAAATTAATGTTCGTTCCCCTAAACCCAAATCATTTCAGTCCTGCCAGGCTGTCAATTCTCTGGCCTCCTCAGCCCCCTACATTCCTTTCTCCCCATTTGGTCAGCCTTAAGATGCTCTCATCACTCACATTTCCCATCTCTCTCTCCACTTCAGACAGTTTTCTCATTTTATACCAGGTTCGGAGATGATCGAGACGCAGGAGGACATCTACGTGGGCTCCATTGAGACAGACCGGGGGGTGCGAGAGCAGGTGCGTTTCTATGACACCCGGGGGCTCCGAGATGGGGCCGAACTGCCCCGACACTGCTTCTCTTGCACTGATGGCTACGTCCTGGTCTATAGCACAGATAGCAGAGAGTCTTTTCAGCGTGTGGAGCTGCTCAAGAAGGAGATTGACAAATCCAAGGACAAGAAGGAGGTGTGTGGCATAGGCTTCTGGTGGGAGCCTCAGTGGTCAGAGAGTTTGGGCGGAGGGCTGGTTTGGGAAGCCTGGCATGGCTCCATTCTTCACTCCAAGGTGAGTTAGGAGCCAGAGGTGGGGTGGAGGCCACTGAGGGTATCTTTACCCTCAGGATTGGCTGCATGTTGAGTCTGCTCAACAAAAGAGGCCTCTTTGTGGTTTAAGGGGTCCCTGACCTAATGTATGAAGCCCCCATTTAGTTGTTGAAGGGGTCACTGACCTAATGTATGAAGCCCCCACTTAGTTGTATGAAGTCCCCACATAGTTGTCCTTCCTGATGGTTCTGTGCTTTTAGCTATGAAAGCCCTTCTTTTGTTTGTTTGTTTGTTTGTTTGTTTGAGACAGGGTCTCACTCTGCCACCCAGGCTGGAGTGCAGTGGCATGATCACAGCTCACTGCAGCCTCAACCTCCCAAGGCTTAGGTGGTCCTCCTGCCTCAGCCCCCTGCTAAGACTACAGGTGCATGCCACCACACCTGGCTAAGTTTTGTATTTTTAGTAGAGATGGGGTTTTGTCATGTTGCTCAGGCTGGTCTCAAACTCCTGGACTCAAGCAGTCCACCTGCCTCAGCCTCCCAAAGTGTTGGGATTACAGGCGTAAGCCACTGCATCTGGCCACGAAGGCCCTTCTGTTCTCCAGAATCCCACAGTAAGCTGCAGGGTTCTGGGAGTGCTTCCTCACCTGTTGTTGAGCCAGAAACTGACTGCTAATAATGAGCATGTATGGGCAATACAGAGCTGGTGATAGAACTCCTAAAAGGAGGGCTAGATGGAGGCCAGAATTTGAACAGAGGAAAGAGAAAAAAAGCAACCATCTCCTTCCCCACAATGAGTGGTATGGAATCTAGAAAGAGATGAGATATCAGCCATTGAGCTTTCCTCTCATAGAACTCCTAGGTGGTTGCCAGCCCCCATGTCCATTCCTGGTTCTATGGTACATTCACAGGCCTATGCTCTGTCCCTCTTCCCCAGGTCACCATCGTGGTCCTTGGCAACAAGTGTGACTTACAGGAGCAGCGGCGTGTAGACCCAGATGTGGCTCAGCACTGGGCCAAGTCAGAGAAGGTGAAGCTGTGGGAGGTGTCAGTGGCGGACCGGCGCTCCCTCCTGGAGCCCTTTGTCTACTTGGCCAGCAAGATGACGCAACCCCAGAGCAAGTCTGCCTTCCCCCTCAGCCGGAAGAACAAGGGCAGCGGCTCCTTGGATGGCTGAAGAGCTGCCGTTCCTCTTTCACGATCCCAGCCCCATTTCAGTGTCTGGGGCTCTGGTAGATGTGTTGAGGGCAAAGTAGAGGACAAGCTGTCTTTCCCAGTCAGCCAGGGAGCTCCCCGCCAGGCCACGCCCCAGCCACTTTGCTCCCTCTCACCTCTGGGAAGTGCAAATACTCTTGGTTGACATCCCCTTCCTCAGCCCTCCCAGCCTACTCCCCATCCCAGCTTTTAGAGGATCTGCTCCACTGTCTCCTGGGGCAGTTGTGGGTCACTGTCCCTTCCAGCTGCCCCAGACAGGAAGCAGAGTCACCACGCAGCAGTGTCCCTTCTTGGGTCTGAGTTCCTATTATAGGTAGGGGCCCCACCCTCTGGGCTTCCCATCAGCGACACACACACACTTATGGCACCAGCCTGGACTCCAGAAAAAGGGTGTCCAGGTATTGTGTGTATGCATTTAGTTGTGCACACACAAATATGCTCCTATACTGGCATTAGGCGTCTCCTCATCCCTCACCCTGACCTTTCTCCTGTCCTTTTCTTGGCTGGAAGAAGTTGGCCTCCTGGGAGTGTAGTTTTCTGTTTTAAATCCCCCACCCCTGGCTGGGCTCAGTGGCTCACCCCTGTAATCCCAGCACTTTGGGAGGCCAAGGCGGGTCGATTACTTGAGGTCAGGAGTTCACGACCAGCCTGGCCAACATTGTGAAACCCCATCTCTGCCAAAAATACAAAAGTTAGCCGGGCGTAGTGGCACATGCCTGTAATCCCAGCTACCCGGGGAGGCTGAGGCAGGAGAATTGCTTGAACTCAGAAGGCGGAGGCTGCAGTGAGCCGAGATCGTGCCACTGCACTCCAGCCTGGTCAACAGAGCAAGACTCCATCTCGAAGAAAAAAAAAAAAAATTCCCCACCCCTACCAATTGTTTTACTTCCTCTTCCTGCTCAGGGAGCAGATGGGCCTCACTGGTTGAGATGGAATAGAATAACTGGGCTATGAGTCACCAGCCCACTTTGTGACCCAGCAAGACCTTTCCCCTCTCTGGGCATCAGTTTCTCATCTGTAAGATGACCAGAGTTGCTTAGATGATCTCCTAGATCCTTTCCAGTTCTCTTGATTTCGTAAAGCCAATGGCTTCTCCCTCTTTAAGGTGCTATGCCAACCAGCCCTGGAGGCTGGGATCTGCCGCTCCCTCCAGCCACCAGGGGGCAGGAGTGCACTACCTGCTGTCAGTCACCAGAGTGGCCGCTCAGTGCCCAGCCCGCCAGCCTCGCTCTTGGAGGCTGCTCTTTATCCTGCCTGTGGTTTTCAGCTCAGAGCTGGACTTCTATTTATAAGTTACCTGTATTTATATTTATATGCCCGCTCTCATGGTGAAGGCTGGACAAGGTGCTCCTCTGGCCCCTCCTTCTTACCTCAGATGCCTGAACAGAACAAGGCAAACCCGTAGCAGCCTCTCAGGAGCTGACAGGTCCTCTTTCGGGGCTCAGGAGGGTGGGCACACACCCAGCGGCCTGCAGAGTAAGCTTATTACCCACAACTGTGCCCGCTTTGTGCTTCTAAGGTGCACACCTAGCCTAGGTGAGACACTGCAGCCAGGCAACCACCGACACACGCCCCTTCTCAAAGCCAGAGGTGAGTGGGGCAGGTGCCCGGGGCTGGGTGAGTGGAATTAGGACACACACAGGCTTGGGCTTCAAGTTCATTTATTGATGCATTGGTTGGACACAATAAAACCACAATTGTTATCAAAAAGTTTCCCTCCCCTCCCCCTTTTTCTGGTTCTCCCATTGGAAATGTCTTTAAAAAACAAAAAAAAGATACAGGGGGATACTGGCAGGGTCCCATATTGTGGGGTGGGGAGGGGGCAGTGCTGCAGTGGAAAGGAGTTTGTGACATTGACATTGACAGCATGAAAATGGGTCTTGCCAGTGCATGTGAGACTGCCTCCCAACACTCAGCTTCACAGTGGCAGGGGCTGGTTGGGAGAAGGGAAAGCTGAATTTAGTGCTAGGACCAGTTTGGAGTGGGAAGCTGTAGGGGAAAGCTCTTCCTTTGGGAGCTCTGCGGGGGGTTCGGTGTTAGCTGAGTCCATAGTCTGAGGGAGACCCACACCCGCCCTCCAAGAGTTGGGGTTCAGGAAGTCAGAGAAAGGCTAAGAAGAAGAGCTTCTGAGGGATGAGTTACTCCCTCAATATTAAGACTGGGCTTATCAGCAAGTATCACTTGAACCAGGGAGGCAGAGGCTGCATGCAGTGAGCCAAGATTGCACCACTGCACTCTAACCTGGGCAACAGAATGATACTCTCAGACAGAAAAAAAGACTGGGCCCATGAATGCCCAGAAGACTTAAGATTAAAACAAAACCCTGGGCCCAACCAGAACATCACCTCCTCTCTTAGTCCCACCCCTTCAGAGCAGATGAAGCCCCCAAAAGCTTTCAGAACCAGCCCCACTACCTCCTTGGCTCTGCCCCACCTTAGCACTGCTGATCGAAGGACTTTTGGGTCCCCCTTTCTCCTCCATGGTCCTCTGTCACACTCCCATGGTCACCTTGTCCTGACAGCCTTGAGCCTGCTGCAGCTAGAGACCCCATCCCTATCTCCAGTGAAGCCCCAAAGCCTAGGAATAGAGGTCAGAGAGTCGTCCCCTGGCTAGGAGAGGATGGCTTGTAGAAGCTAAGATTCCTAGAGTCTGGCCATGTGGGTCTTGGGTGGAGGAAAGTGAGAGCACCACATGGCTGGGGCTGAGATTTTGCATAGATCTTTGGGGTCTGTCAGGGTGGGAAATGCAGGCAAGCCTAGGATTAACCCTGGAAGGCCTGCGAAAGGAGGGTGGGGACAGTCCTTGGAAGGCAGCTGCCCTTAAAACTAGCCCAGCTCTTTCTGGATCGGGCAGGACCCCTGAAGCTGTTCACAGTCCCTGTGGCATGTAGGAAACCAAGGTGTCTCAGGACAGGAGGAGACAAGGAGTGGCTATTGGGAAATCAGCTCTGGCCTCCCCATGAGGGCTAATAAGGGGCAAGGACGATAGGTCCTGTGGCAGGGCGGACAGCTCCTGCTGGGGTGCGAAACAGAGCTGGGCCCAGGATGGGAGCCGGGAAGAGGGTAGTGGCTGCTGTAGGGGCAGGGCGGAGGGCCAGGGGCCCTGGCAGAGCACAGATGGCAGTGGCTGCGGTGGGGAGCGGGCTGGGCAGGAAGCGGGCTGCCAACGTCTTGGTGAGTTGCTTCTGCAAGGCCAGTTTAGACTACACGGAAAAGAAAGGAATGGACACAGTCTCCACCCCAGAAAACCCCACCCCCTCCCTGGGGCCCATCCTCAAGCTTTTTGCTGCAGGGAAAGCGTGCCTTTTAGAGTTCCAAACCTAAATCCTCCTCCCTTCCCACCCCCAAACATTCATTCCGAAGGGCTTTCTCCACCACCTGTCTTCCTGTCCAGAGGGAGGAAAGTCTCAGCATGGGAGAAGGGAGGAGGATTTACGGGATAGAGATGGTCTCTAGGAGATGCACGCCCACCCCTCACTCTTGCCCCTAAGATGACTATCCCAACCCACCTCCCCGGAAATTCCTCTGCGCAGATCCCAGTTCCCAGGCCTAGCTCTGTCACTGCCCAGCAGCCTCATTGCAGGGTGGCCTCTTTTCCTGCCCCACCGCAGCCCCCCCATCTGGCCCTCCCAGCCCACCCTCTCCCCTCCTGACCCAGTCCCAGCTCTGTTGCCTGGAGACAGATACCTTGAGGATACTCACAGCCAGCGCTGCGTGCTTCTGCAGCTTGCTGTGCTGGCTGGAGGGCTTGGGGGTCTTCCCGGCCAGGCGGTCTTTGTGCCTCCTGCTGCTCATGTGCTAATGGACAGACAGACAGACTGGGAACAAGATGACAAAGCCCAAGGACCCCAAGACCATCATCCTCGACTCTTCCCCTTCCTCTATCCACAGCTCATACATCCAAAGCACACAGACTGGGTCCTCACCCTGGGGTAGGCCCTGGGAAGGGGAGGTGAGTCTTGGCCTTTGCCCTTAATTGGCCCACTGGCCTGCTGGCCTCGCTTCTCCAGCCTGCTCTGCTGTGCCCTGCCTGCTCTCTTCAGGGTCCCTCCCTCTGCTGCCCTGCCCCCCAACCCCCTCCCCTGGCTCCAACCCCAGTCACAGCCTCACTTCTCCCACCTGCTTCAGTTGGGTCTCTGAATTGACCTGGAGCTGACAGAGAGCACAGTGGAAGGCAGGGCTGGGCCCCTGCCGGCCGCCCCGGCCCCCTGTGACTCTCTTGGCTTTGTGTCCGGCACCTCCCCTGGACACCGGGCGGCCCCGGCTCCTCCGGGGAGCCCCTCGCTGACCTTCCATCATCCACCGGTGCTTGGCTCCTGGAGAGGGAAGAAGGCAGTCTCTCAGCAGCAGGAAGGGGTTGCAGGGGCCACAGAGACCCCCTCCACACTCATGCAATTTGGCTCTCCCTGTAAGCCTCACGGCTGCTCTGTGCACACATCGCCCTCCAGCCACACGTGGTTTCCCCTCCCAGCTTCTGTCCTTTCATGCCAGCCCCTCCTATGAAAGGCCTTTCTGCACTACAAATAGCTGCCTTCCCCTTTGCTTTGATCTCAGTCCTTTCCTTCTGGGTGTAATCTAAGGAGAGAGGCAGATGTCTCCTGTCTCCTGTGGAGTGACCCTTCAGAGATTTAGCGACCTTCAGTTCTTGCTGCCTCAGACTTCTCTTCCCAATTCTCCTTCCCCAAGGAGTAATGGGAGGACCCAGAAACGTCCGTTCAGTAACACACAAGCACAAAGCCTCCGCCATCCAACCCTTGAGCGAAGCACCCAGGAACTCAAGCCTGCCCTCATCTGGCGAGGCTTAGCTTCTGTCCCACCCTTTCCCTGGGCTCCAGCTCCTGGGACTACTGACCTGTGTTGTGAGCCTGAAGCTGGGAGGCCGAGTTCACTGTCACCTTACACGTGGGGCAGTAGAGGTGCCCCTTCTCACTCCTGCCTTCCCCACTCATGCTGCTTCCCACGGCAGCTGCCGCTGGCTCAGGCCCCGGTGCCTCTCTCCCAGGCTCTGGGGAGCAAGGTGGGCAGGAGGAAGAAGAGGATGAGGAGGCAGCATCCAAGAGCTCTGAGTGGGCTGGCTCCCTGCATGTAGGGTCTGGAGTTGGTGGTGGCTGGAGTGGAGGCCCAAGAGGAGGGGCTGCAGGAACTGCTGCAGAGATGGAAGAGTGTGAGACCCAAGATGACGCTGCAGACCACGATCTTCAGCTCTGACCATGGAGGTGGCCTGGAGGGCCCCTGGTGGATGACCAGCACTGAATTCCAGGCCCCACTTTTCTACCAACTCACTGGGCAGACTTGGGCCTCAGTTTCCCCATCTGAAATCATTAAGTTGGACACAGTGGTCTCAGAAAGCCCTCACAGCCCTCATATCCTTATTTGCTAACTTAAACAGAGATCACCAAAAAAGATGTACTAGAATGTTCAGAGAACACTATTCATAATATCATAAAACTGAAACTACCCACATGTCCACCAACAGGAGAGCAGATTTTTAAAAAACAATGGTGCGGGCTGGATACGGTGGCTCATGTCTGTAATCCGAGCACTTTGGGAGGCCGAGGCAGGTGGATCACCTAAGGTCAGGAGTTCGAGACTGGCCTGGCCAACATGGTGAAACCCTATCTCTACTAAAAATACAGAATTAGGCGTGGTGGCACATGCCTATAATCCCAGCTACTCGGGAGGCTGAGGCAGGAGAATCGCTTGAACCTGCAAGGTGGAGGTTACAGTGAACTGAGATCACACCACTGCACTCCAGCCTGGGCGACAGAGTGAAACGCCATCTCAAAAACAAACAAACAAACAAAAAAAACACAGTGGTATGGGCCAGACGCAGTGGCTCACGCCTGTGATCCCAACACTTTGGGAGGCCAAGGTTAGCAGATCACTTGAGTCCAGGACTTCGAGACCAGACTGGGTGACACAGCGAAACACCATCTGTACTAAAAATACAAAAATTAGCCAGGCATGGTGGCACATGCCTATAGTTCCAACTACTTGGGAGGCTGAGGCAGGAGAATCGCTTGAGAGCCAGGGAGGTGGATGAGCCTAGGTCACACCACTGCACTCCAGCCTGGGTGACAGAGCCAGACCCTGTCTCAAAAAAAAAAAGAGCTTTTAAGAATTTAAATTAAAAAAAAATAGTGGTATGATCCACGGTGGAGTACTACACAGCAATGAAAGAGAACAAACTACAGCTACACGCAAAAACATGGATGAATCTTACAGATATAATGAATGTTGATGAATGTTTGTGAGAGATGAATAAAAACTAGATACCGGCCAGGCAGGGTGGCTCACGCCTGTAATCCCAGCACTTTGGGAGGCCGAGGTGGGTGGATCACAAGGTCAGGAGTTCGAGACCAGCCTGGCCAATATGGTGAAACCCCGTTTCTACTAAAAATACAAAAATTAGCTGGACGTGGTGGCAGGTACCTGTAGTCCCAGCTACTTGGAAGGCTGAGGTAGGAGAATGGCTTGAACCCAGGAAGCAGAGGTTGCAGTGAGCCAAGATTGCACCGCTGTGCTCCAGCCTGGGAGACAGAGCGAGACTCTGTCTCAAAAAACAAACAAACAAAACAAAAAAAACCCACAAAACAAAACAGATACAAAAAAACCCCTGCACACTCTATGTTTCACCAAAAATAGGTAAAGCTGATCTATGCTGAGAAAAGTCAGGATCGTATTTACCATCAGAGGGGTTGTAGTTAGTTGAATAGTGTCTCCCCCAAAATTCACATCTATCTGGAACCTCAGAATGTGACCTTATTTGGAAACAGGGTCTTTGAAGATAAAATTAGTTAAGATGAGGTCATGCTGGGTTCGGGTGGGATTGATCTAGTGACTGGTACCCTTATAAAAAGAGCTTGTGGAAACACAGGGACACACAAGGGAGAATGTGGAGATGGAGGTGGAGATTGGAGTGATGCGTCTATAAGCCAAGGAGTGCCAAGGAATACTGGCAGCCACCAAAGGCCAGAAGAGAAGCATGGGACACTTTCTCCTCTAAGCCCCCAAGAAGGAACCAATGCTGTCAACGCCTTGATTTCAGACTTCTGGCCTCCAGAGCTGTGTGAAAATAAATTTTTGTTGTTTTCAGTCACCCAGGTTGTAGTCTCTTTTTTTGGGGGTGGGGGTGGGCAGGGGAGGTTAGAGACAAGGTTTTGCTCTGTCACCCATAGCTCACTGCAGCCTCGACCTCCTGGGCTTAAGCAGATCCTCCTGCTTCAGCCTCCTGAGTAGCTGGGACTACAGGTGTGCATCATCATGCCTGGCAAATAAATTTTTTGTAGAGACAGGGTCACACCATGTTTCCCAGACTGGTCTCAAACTCCAGGCTTAAAGCAATCCTCCCGCCTCAGCCTCCCAAAGTGTTAACCATCACAACATGTGAGCCACCATTCCTAACTTCACAAATGAAGTCATTTGTGAAGGCAGCCCTTGGAAATGAATACTTCAAGGTAATGACCAGGAGGAGGTGCAAGACAAGCTTCTGAGGTGCTGGTAACGTGTTTCCTGATCTGGGTGTGTTCAGCTTAGGAAAATTCATGGCGTGGTACACTTGTGTGCCTTTGCCTGTCTGTATGGAATACTCCAACACAAGCAAAAAGAATAAGCAGAAATCTCTCAACCCCTTGTCGGAAACCAGATTTGGAGTGGAGACGTGGGAAAGAGAAGAGCTCAGGACTGACCTTTACTCTGTGGCTCTCCAGGGGCTCCACTGGCCAGCGTTGGGATTGGGGACACTACAGCCCCATCCTGGGCCTGGGTGTGTGGCCTCTGCTTGCTCTTGGCAGCCTCGACAGCCTTGAGTTTTCTGGCGTGTTTGTGGCCTTTATAATGTGCCTCGGCCTGGTTCTGGGGAGGGGAGGGCAAGAGGTCACCATTCACTGGCTGAGTCCACATGCCCCATCTGTGAACTGGAGCCCAGCAGGGGGACAGGTCAAAGGGAGGCAGGGCTCAGGTCACACAAAGGGCAAGTCCTTGTCCTTGTCATCATCATCACCATAGCACATGTGGCTCTGAGGTTTGCAGAATGTGTTCTCGCACATGAACTCCAAGGCAGGCTGCCTCTGGCTTCAGATCTGACCCAGCCACTTACTAACCACATCTTTTTGTTGTTGTTGTTGTTGTTTTTGTTTTTTGTTTTTTGAGATGGAGTCTCGCTCTGTCGCCCAGGCTGGAGTGCAGTGGCGCCATCTCAGCTCACTGCAACCTCCGCCTCCCGGGTTCAAGCGATTCTTCTGCCTCAGCCTCCGGGGTAGCTGGGACTACAGGCGCCCGCCACCACACCCGGCTAATTTTTTGTATTTTTAGTAGAGACGGGGTTTCACCATATTAGCCAGGATGGTCTCGATCTCCTGCCTCGTGATCCACCCGCCTCAGCCTCCCAAAGTGCTGGGATTACAGGCGTGAGCCACCACGCCTGGCCACTAACTACATCTTTAGGCAAGTAACATCTCTCTGAGCCTGAGTCTCCTCACCCATAAACCCTGTGATGATAATACTGACCTCATGGGGTTGTCAGAATTACATGGGAACATGAATTACAAGGGCCGAGTACATAGAGTAGGTGCTCAATGAATGTTAGTTATCAAGTGTATCAATGCACAAATGGAGAAAGCAGAGCAATCCCCACACTTTGGGGTGTATGTACCCCAGAACATTCATCCCTTTGTTCATTTGTTCAACAAGTCATTACTGAGCATTTGCTATTTGCCAGGCACTGTGCCCGGGGTCCGGCAGGAAGAAGAATGGTTCCTCCCTCAGAACGAATTCTCTCCTCCATCTTTTTTTTTTTTTGAGACGGAATCTCGCTTTGTCACCCAGGCTGGAGTGCAACGGGAGCAATCTAGGCTCACTGTAACCTCTGCCTCCTGGGTTCAAGCGATTCTCCTGCCTCAGCCTCCCGAGTAGCTGGGATTACAGGCACCTGTCACCACAACTGGCTGCTTTTTTTTTTTTCTTCTGTATTTTAGTAGAGATGGGGTTTCACCATGTTGGCCAGGCTGGTCTCTAACTCCTGACCTCAAGTGATCCACCCACCTTGGCCTCCCAAAGTGCTGGGATTACAGGCATGAGCCACCACGCCCAGCCTCTCCTCCATCTCTTGCAGGACTCATGGAACCAGAAGGCCTGAAGGGAATCCTCAAATCTGGTCTGTCAGTGTCCTCCCTCCAAGGGTCCTCACTTGCTGCTCCCCGGCCCACCTCCTTGAAACATGGGAAAGACAGGCCCCCATGGCCCCTCCCTGGATGCTATACCACAGCAGTTCTGCTGGCATCCAACCGAAACCCCAGATTGCCTAACAGGAGGTAGACCTTCCCTGGGAGGCCAGAATGAGGTTCCTCCTCTACCTAGTGGTAAGATGTAGTAGAAAGGGGTAGGCTGTAGTAGAAAGTCATAGACCTTGGGGTCAGCCAGGCCTGGATTCATATCCCAGCTTTGCTACTTACCAGCTGTGTGGTCTTAGGCAAGTCACTTAACCTCTCTAAGGCTCACTTTCCTCATCTGAAAATCGGGGATTATAATAGCGCCTCTAGGCCAGGCGCGGTGGCTCACACCTGTAATCCCAGCATGTTGGGAGGTTGAGGTGGGTGGATCACTTGAGCCCAGGAGTTCGAGACCAGCTTGGGCAACATGGTGAAACCCTGTATCTGCCAAAAATATAAAAAAATTAGCCAGGCGTGGTAGCACATGCCTGTAATCCCAGCTACTAGGGAAGCTGAGGCACAAGAATCACTTGAACCCTGGAGGTGGAGGCTGCAGTGAGCCAAGATTGCGCCACTGCACTCCCGCCTGGGTGACAGAGTGAGACCTTGTCTAAAAAAACAAAACAAAACAAAAAAATCCCGCCTCCACCCGTCTCACAGATGTATCATGAAAACTATTATTTAAGGGGATGGGCATGATCACATTCTGTAAACTCTCAGGTGCCTTAAGAGCTCAGCTCCAGACCAGGAGCTGATGAGATGGGCCACTGGGACCTGGAGTGGAGGAAGGGCAGTCTTCTCTCTTGCAGAAGGATCCAGAACACAGGAGAGAGGCCTGGGGGGAAGGAAATGGAATCCCACTGGGCTACAGCTGGGCAGAAGGGGAAGGGGCAGAAGAATCTAGAGAGAGGAGAGGATGCGATGGTTAAAGGACCAAGAGTGCCTCTTCTGCAGCCAGGGTGGAAAATACCGACCACAGCCCCTTTGCCACTGATATTCCTCCCAGAAGGACTCTGAAAGCCCAGCCTCCAGCCCTCTCCCTGCCCAGCCCCCTCCCCAGACCTGCTTTCACTACTTTGTCTCACCGCTGAGTTGAACCTCAGGTGACAGATGTTACAGGAAATGAACAGCTTCTTCTTCAGAGGGGAGGGGACACCAAACGTGTGGCTGATGACAGCTTTCTGGACCGGGTCCATCTGTGAAGGGAGTGGGAGGGCATAATAACTCTGGGGTTGGCTTGGGAAGCAGGGGTCGGGGGCAGCACAAAATGCCCAAAACTAAAGATGACTGAAGAGGGCCTTGGTCAGCTTCTAGGAAGAACTTTTCCATCCTGTGGATGTTGGAAAGAGAAACAGCTGGGCCAGGCGCGGTGGCTCACACCTGTAATCCCAGCACTTTGGGAGGCCGAGGCAGGCAGATCACCTCAGGTTGGGAGTTCAAGACCAGCCTGACCAACATGGAGAAACCCCATCTCTACTAAAAAAAAAATACAAAATTAGCCAGGTGTGATGGCGCATGCCTGTAATCTCAGCTACTCGGGAGGCTGAGGCAGGAGAATTGCTTGAACCAGGGAGATGGAGGTTGCGGTGAACCGAGAGCAGGCCATTACACTCCAGCCTGGGCAACAAGAGCGAAACTTCGTCTCAAAAAAAAAAAAAAGAAAAGAAAAAGAAAAAGAAAAGGAAAGAAAGAAGAAGAAACAGCTGCCTGGGTGCAGTGGCTCACGCCTGTAATCCCATCACTTTGGGAGGCCAAGATGGGTGAATCACCTGAGGTCAGGAGTTCAAGACCAGCCTGGCCAAGAGAAACTCCTTCTCTACTAAAAATACAAAAATTAGCCAGGTGTGGTGGCACGTGCCTGTAGTCTCAGCTACTCAGGAGGCTGAGGCAGGAGGCTTGAACCTCAGAGGCAGAGGTTGCAGTGAGCTGAGATTGCGCCACTGCACTCCAGCCTGGGCAACAGAGTGAGACTCTGTCTCAAAAAAAAAAAAAAAAAAAAAGAGAAGAGAAAAGAAAAGAAAGGAAAAGAAAAGAAAAGAAAAATACACAGCCTCTCCCGGCTGTCTTTATTTGTCAGCCTAGGCTTCTGCTTGGAAGCAGGGGAATGGCCAGAGTGCCCTGCATGTTTCTGGGACATAGAACCATGTCCTGGTGATCACCTTGGCATCTCTTGGTGCCCCTTAGGTCATTATTTTTGTTTTTTGTTTTTCTCCTTTGCAATAATTACAACTATTGGGACAGAGAGTTGGAAACAAGGAGAGGCAGGGAAGAGACAAAGAACTCGTCTGTTGGAATTTCCTCTCCCATCACCCAGGCTTCATGCAGGGACCTGTGGGCTGGGGGAAGATAAGTCCTATCTCATCAGCTCTATCACTGTCACAGGGCCTGAGGCTGCTGACGACCTTTTTTTTTTTTTTTTTTTTTTTTTATAAGATGGAATACTGCTCTGTCGCCCAGGCTGGAGTGCAGTGGCATGATCTCAGCTCACTGCAACTTCCACCTCTCAGGTTCAAGTGATTCTGCTGCCTCAGCCTCCCGAGTAGCTGGGATTACAGGCGCCCACCACTACGTCTGGCTAATTTTTGTTATTTTTAGTAGAGACAGGGTTTCACCATGTTGGCCAGGCTGGTCTCGAACTCCTGCCCTCAAAATGATCCGCCTGCCTTGGCCTCCCAATGTGCTGGAATTACAGGTGTGAGCCACCGTGCCCAGCCATGACGACCTCTCTTGAGAGAGTGAGAGCCACAGCCAGGGGAGGTGGGGGGCCAGTAGGGGGCAGGGAGCAGCAAGTGGAGGCCTAAGGTTCCCCAAGGAGTAGGATCGTTTCTTTGGAATATTAATTTGGATTTTTTTTCTTTTCCTTATTATTTTTTTGAGATGGAGTCTCCCTCTTGTCGCCCAGGCTGGAGTGCAATGGCGGAGCCAAAATCTTGCAACCTCCGCTTCCTGGGCTCAAGCGATTCTCCTGCCTCAGCCTCCCAAGTAGCTGGGACTACAGGTGCCCACTACCATGCTCGGCTAATTTTTGTATTTTTAGTAGAGATGGGGTTTCACCATCTCTGTTGGCCAGGCTAGTCTCAAACTCCTGACCTCAGATGATCAGCCCACCTCAGCCTCCCAAAGTGCTGGGATGACAGGCATGAGCCACTGCACCTAGCTTCTTTTCCTTATTTTAAATCATTTTTTTCTTCTATAGAATTAAGGCTTTATGTTCCCTTTTCTCAGGAAGTTGGGCCAAATGCAGCTGTCTGAACTTGTCAAGAACTTTCCAGGCTGGGCGTGGTGGCTCACACCTGTAATCCCAGCACTTTGGGAGGCCGAGGTGGGAGGATCCCTTGAGCTCCAGAGTTTGAGACCAGCCTGGGTAATATAGTGAGACCTCATCTCTGCTTATATAAAAATAAAATAAAATAAAAAAGGAACTTTCCAAACCTTCCCAAGAAAAGAAAACAGAGCTTAGAGAGAAGAACATGGGTGCAGAAACTTCCCTGAGAACAGAAAGTGGTTCAAATTTTCACAGCACCCAGGGCCAGCAAGGGGCTCAGGGGACAGGACCTCAGAGGAGAATGGCCTGCAGGGGCCCCCTGCAATTGGAACCATGCCATTCAACAGTGAGCCTGTCAGCAAGCGACAGCAAGGACTCAAGACCAGAGGACCACCCCCCAAATGCCTCAGACTCCTTAGGACCTCTGTCTAACTCTGGAGGGTGGGAGGGAAGGGATTCCTAAGTGTGACTGAGGTGGAGTTTGCCACCATCTGCTCAGGATGGGGCATGCCACACCCATGATTTCACTTGAGTTTTCAAAATTTAAAAAAACAGAGATGGTTGCTGATCCCTCATATAGTGAATTAAAATTCATATACTTGTTATGCACACGTGTACAAGGAAATGTACAGACTAGGACACACACACAGCACAGAAGCTTCAGGCAGTTACAAATGCTCAGACAAGCAGAACAATTCACACTCATGCACACAAAGGGCACATGACCACAGGTAAACTCACAATCACCCAAGCCACACAAAAACACGCATGCTCAGAGGGCAGATACACGCCAAACACACAAAAGACACAAGGACACAATAAACCCTCAGATTGTGCAGGCACATACCTTAATTACATAAAATTACCCATGCACAAAGAGTTGTTTACAAACACACGTTGGACACCAACACACAAACTCACATCCACATATAACATACAAAACCTATAGAAACTACAACAAAAAGGCACAGGTTACACACACACACACACACACACACACACACACACACACACACGTCATCCACAGGAGCGCCTACACAGAAGCTTAAGTGGAATGCACAGACTACAGGCCCTTGCAGGCCCAGCAGCTATGATGGTGGGGGTGGGGAAAGGGCTGACACCATCTTGTTCCCCAGCCTAAGAGAGAGCGGGTCCCTCTCTTAGGATCCCAAATAGGGGTCCCTATTTGGGGAGCACCTATCCCCTCTGGGGGATGTTGGAGAAAAAGCTCCTGGTTAGACCCAGCTGCTGAGAGCTGGACCCTCTGAACCCACCTTCTGTGCCCACCCACAAGCTTGTGTGCATGCCCCCACCCGCCAGCCCAGCCCATACCGTGCTGAAGTTGGGGAAGAGACTGAGCGGGGCAGCGCCATTGAAGTGGAAGGCGAGCAAGTGCTTGAAGTCCAGCGGGGGCTGCAGAGGCCGGGTGGGCAGGGGCAGGGAGGCCAGCAGGGGGCTGGGGGCGCCGGAGGCCGGGCCTGCTGCAGGAGGAAGAAGGGCAGGGTCTGAAATGGGCTCTGTCCTACCCCCGTGGCCAGAACAAGAGGCGGGTGGGCTTCTTGGGTGTGGAGCTGGGCAGAAACCTGTGTCTCTCTTCACAGAGTGGCACCAGCCAGACCCATAGTGATTATAGCCCCCTTCTCTGTGCCCTTCCTCCCCACAGCTGGGGAAGCAGAGGCAGGGAGTCCACAGTTGAGGCTCCCAGCCCAGAGGGATGACCCTCCTGCCCCTACTGAGGCAGCATACTGAACCCCAGGGCAGCCCAGCCAAGAGAGGGACAGAGGGGTCTGGGCAGGCCCTGACACACACACCACCATGGAGACTGCATGATGTGCTGGGATTCCATTTTATTGCAAATTAAACTCAAACCCAGGGGTATTAGGAAAAGGCTAGCCCTCGCCCCTCTCACTCTCTAACTATCCTCCCTCCCTCCAGATCCCCAGGATTTCATGGCCAGGGCTGACAGGAGGGAATGGGAAACCCATGGGCTCTGAAGGGATGTGCTCCCCAGCTCTGATGAGGCCTAAACTGCTTCCCCCAGGAGGTAAATAAGCCAACATTCCTGGGTTGGGCCTCGACGCCAGTCCTTGGAGGTGGCAGGTACAGCACTGTGGTTTTGCAGTCTTTGGTCTTAAAGGTCTGAGGCAAGGGCAGGGGAGGGGTAGGAACTTGGAGAGCAACTGGACTTTGAGGAAGAAAATATCAGAAAAAAAAAAAAATCCAGCCCATCTGGGGCTTTTTTCGACCCTGTCATTGCAAAACCAAAAGTAGTCCTTTTAGATGTTTGTGTGGTAACACTATGAAAGATAGCATAGATTTATTTCACATTTGTAGGTTTTTATGTCTATATACACAGTTATACACAGAAAAGGCCTGAGGCTGCCTATTGGTGAGGAGGGAAGGAAGGGAACCACTATCTCTCTGGAACCATTGGCCCTTGAACCACCAGCTTGTGTACAGAGAGGACACTGTGCTGTGTGTCAGAAACAAGCACGGTCATCTACTCCCCAGTCATAGCTGAAGAGAAGAGACACTGCCAGGAGTGGGGCTAAGAAACAGCCAAGGACCAGACGCAGTGGCTCATGCCTGTAATCCCAGCATTTTGGGAGGCCGAGGCAGGTGGATCACTTGAGGTCAGGAGTTCGAGACCAGCCTGGCCAACATGGTGAAACCCTGTCTCTACTAAAAATACATAAGTTAGCCAGGCATGGTGGCAGGCGCCTGTAATCCCAGCTACTCAGGAGGCTGAGGCAGGAGAATTGCTTGAACCCAGGAGGCAGAGGTTGCAGTGAGCCAAGATCACACCACTGCACTCCAGCCTGGGCGACAGAGCAAGACTCCATCTCAAAAAAAGAAAAAAAAAGAAAAGAAAAAGAAAGAAACAGCCAAGGACCAAGGACCAGTGTCCGTTCCCTCAGCCACTCAATTTCCAAGACCTAGTCTTCCTTCCCCAAGCCAAAAACTCCCATCTTTGGGGGGACCCAAACTTGCCCCGAGTCCAGAAGGGAAAAGGGTGAGCTACTCCTCATCTAACTGTGTAAAGGCCAGGAATGATTTAGGGTACCCCAGATCCTAGCATCTCTGCCCACCCGCCCAGGCCCCTCTTGAGCCAGTCCCTTCCTCCACAGCCCACAGGGTGGGGGGGGTTGGTGGGAAGCTCCAGAAGGGCGGGTGGATGGCCTCAGGCCCCTGGGAGGCTGCAGTCAGCAGATCATCTTGGGTGCAGCATGGTCAAGTCTAGGTTGGCCCTTACAGTGCCCAGGGCCCCAGGCTGGATGGGCCGAGGGAAGGAGGCCACCCTCAGGTGAGCTGCGACCCCAGGAAGCCCTCTCCCCACCCACTCTCTAAGAACTCCACAGCCAACCCGAAGTCAAACTCGTGCAGCGGGGGCCCATCCACTGCGATCTTCACCATGTGGCCCCCCCGGCCTTCCCCGGCCCCACTCTGCCCCCACCACCGCAGCTCCCGGCTGCGGCCGACCTTGTCCAGCAGGCCAGCGCCCGCGGGCAGCGCCAAAGCCAAGGCGGCTAGGGCGGCGAAGTCGGGGAAGAGCTCGTGCAGCTCCGAGTGCGCGCACGCCAGCTGGGTGCACAGGGCCCGCGGGCCGAGCCGCCCAAGGCCGAATACTACGCGCTTAAACAGCGCGAAGTCGCCCAGCGCCCGCTGGCGCACCACGGCAGGAGCAAAGCCGCGCAGCAGCACCCGCAGCGCCCCCTCGCCATGCGTGCCCAGCTCCTCCGGCGCCTGCGGGTAGCGTCGGGGGTCGAAGATCGCTGCGAAGGCGGCCACGGCGTCCAGCGAAGGCCCGGGGTAGGAGTCCTGTAGGCCCTTCCGCATGGAGTCCAGGAAGGATCCCCGGAGCCACTCCAAGCCCCGGACCGCAGCCTCGGAGTAACCGAGCAGCTCCACGCCGCGGTAGGTGCAGCGTCCGCTGCTGGCGTCAGGGTCCATGGATGCCAGTTCCTGCAGGAAGCCCTGGAGGCGGGCCCCACCTGAGCCGCGCTGAGCTTGGAGGGAGGCCGCAGCCGCCATCACCAGAGGCTGCAGCAAGGCCAAGTCCGGCTCTTCTGCCTGCAGGACAAGGGAGAGCTTCTGCACAGAGGGCAGGGCATCCAGCAGCAGGTGGGTGAAGGCCACGAAGGTGAACTGGCGCAGGGCCAGGGCCAGTGACCCCGCCACAGGTGAGGCAAGGGCTGCAGCCTCCAGGGTGGGCACCAGGCCAGGCCAGGCCTCGGCCACTGCTTCCACTACAGGCAGCAGGGAGGCCCAGGGCACTGGCCGAGGCCCTGCCAAGTCAATAGCTGCAAGGTCCAGTGCTGCCCGGAGCTCAGGGACCAAGTGGGAACTAGGGCCACCATGGAGGCGGAATAGGGCATCCAATATGCTCTCATATTGACCCAAGTAGGCCGGGGGCTCAGGATCTGTCCGGCCAGGGAGACAATGCAGCTCTGCCAGCAGTGGGCAAGTGGCCCGGAGCTGTGGGCCCACACTCCCCAGGCGCTCACTGGGGAGGCTTGAGCTGAGCCAGGCCAGCTTGGGTGCAGATACGCCGAAAGCCTGCAGGATGTCCAAGAGCTGGCCAGCAGTGGCCTCGCCCTCCTGTAGCTCCACACTGCCCAGGAAGGTGGTGGCGGGCTGGCCATCACAGGGGGACACTGAAGTGGCAAACAGGGCCAGGCTGTGTGACTCCGGCCAGTCTCTGGTCTCGTCCAACACCAGCCCCACATATGGGGATGCCTTCAGGCGCTGGCAGGCCTCTGTGTGCAAGACACTGGCAATGGCCACCTGGGACAGCCAGGGAAAGAAAGGGAGGGAGGACTGAGTTAGGCTTGTCCTGAGAGGCGGAGGCAGGCAGTGCGGGGTGGTGGAAAGAGCCCAGGCCTTGAGGTTAGACAGACTTAGGGACTAATCCTGGCTTTGCCACTTACTGGCTGTGCTACCTTCGGCCAGTCACTTCACCTCTCCGAGCCTCAGTTTTCTCATCTCTACAGCTCCTGGCCTGTCTAAGAATATCCTCCCACCCCGGCCTCCCACCACACCCGGTCTAGTTTTCTCAGCTCTTATACCTGCTGTCAGCTAATACCAGCCCGAAATCTTCTCAAAGCTTGTTGTGAATTATAAACATCAACTTTTGTTGTGGTAAAAGCACTTTATGAATCATAAAGAGCTCTAGGAAAGCTAGTTTTTTCACTGTGTTTTTCTATAGCATCATCCTAGTCTGCCCTATTCCTGGGGGTCTCCCTCCACTGTCCAGCTCAGTGATTAACTGATAGGCACACTCACTCCCAACTCCCAACCAGTCACCCTGGGTCCCAGCTGTGTGCTGTTTCTCTATTTGTCATCTCTGTAGGATGAGATCCAACTCCCCCACCTCCAACCCAGCCCATAGGACTTACACAGTTAGTACCTAGGACAGAGCTGCAATTTGCATGCTTCCAGGGGCCATGTGAGTGATATTGAGCTTGGAGAGGGCCAGGGATAAGCCAGAGGGAACACCCTGCTCTCCAACTCCAGCACATCCTGCTCTGAGAGCATGGGGACCTTGCTTTTCAACACAAGTCACAAATCTAGATTTTTATATGTAATCTCCTGAGTTTTTTAAAAGTTGAAACACATTCGAGTTTTTCAAAAACATTATGAAAACCAATTAAACAGGCTCAGCACAGAAAACAGCCCCAAAAGAAAACTAAGTCAAAAGTCATTTCCATTTCCATTCCAGCACTTTGCGGGGCCAAGGCAGGAGGATTGCTTGAGGCCAGGAGCCCAAGACCAGCCTGGGCAACATAATGAGACCCCATCTCTATGTTTAAAAAAAACCAAAAAACAAAAAACAGAGGCCAGGCGCGGTTGCTTACACCTATAATACCAGCACTTTGGAAGGCTGAGGTAGGCAGATCACCTGAGGTCAGGAGTTCGAAACTGGCCTGGCCAACATGGTGATACCCCGTCTCTACTAAAAATACAAAAATTAGCTGAGCGTGGTGGCACATGCCTATATTCCTAGCTAATAGGGAGGCTGAGGCAGGAGAATCACTTGAGCCAGGAAGGCAGAGGTTGCAGTGAGCTGAGATCACGCCACTGCTCTCCAGCCTGGGTGACAGAGTGAGATTCCTCAAGAAAAAAAAAAAAAATTAAATACATCTGTGGGTCAATCAAGCCTCCAGGCCACCAGTTTGCAACGTCTGATTTAGGCAGTGAGAAGAGTGCCCCTGTGCCCGCTAAGAGGCCTGGTCTGGCCTCTTCACTGTTGTATCCCTGCAGCTGGCCCAGGACCAGGGACATAGGCTCTCAGGGAAGGTTCTGAAGGGTGAAGATATGAATGAAATGCCCTAGCTGCTCCCCAAGGAGCTGGCATGCTGGGGCTGTTCCCAGGTGGCTCAGTGTCCTCCCTTCCCAAGCCCTTCCCCCATACTTCTGGCTGTCACCCACCTGCATGTCCCTCACCCTCCTGGGACTGTAGTAATCGCCATGCTCTGTGCCCAGCAGTGCCTGGCACAGGTTGAACCTCTGCAGCTCGAGCAGGGCAGAGCAGCGGTCATTGGGCACATCCTCCTTTGCCATGCAGTACACAGTAGTCAGCACAGCCACTTTGGCCGGGTCTAACTCCACCTTGACGCCCCTGGAGGCAGGGGTCGTAGCCAGGCCTGGGCAGGCCCCTCCACCTTCAGCCTGGCCCTCAAAAGGGGGCTGGCCCTGGTTGACAGCCAGAGCCTGGCGGTGGGCTCCTGAGGTCACGTGGCGCAGCAGGGCGTGGCGCTGGAAGTTGTCTGTGCCCACAGTGAAGGCGTTTTCGGCTTTGCCATGCTTGTTCCGTACCAGGGCCTGGCGGCACTCGAGGCAGAACATCAGCTTCCGCTCATAGTCAAAGTCCAGCCAGGTAAACTCCTCTTTCCAGTGCTCGTTGAAGTAACGCTTACACTTCTTGTTGGAGTTGGAGGCCTCTCCCGCTGGTTTCTTCCCTGGGGGCACCATTCTTGCTCTCTCAGCAAGGAACCCCCAACCCCCACCTGAATGCTCTTGCCCCCCTGCCTCCCCCACACACAGGCACCTCCCTTGACAAGGAGAGTTGATGGGGAGGCAGGCTGGGGGCAGCCCGCCAGGCTAACAGGGCCCATCCATCTAAGCCTGGAGAGTTTATTCCTGCTCTGCCGGTGGGAGACTGGAGATGAAAGAGACAGGCAGAGGTGTTAGGGGTCTGTCATGGTAGGGGTGGTTTAGGGTGGAGTGGTAGGCTTCATGCTGCCCACAGAGTCCTCCCAGCTGAGGGGTGGAGGGACTCACTGGGGCAGGGGCTCTGGGCAGTGGGTGGAGTCATGCAAAGGGCCCTAGAGCATTATCCAAAGCAGGGGAGGTATGGGGACCCCAGCCCCCTCCCAGGGTCTCTTTCCACCCAGGACAAGGCACTAATTCGCTTTGACTGATGAAGCATCTCAGAACTGGAAAGGCTGGCATCACCTAGGCAACTGTATTTTATAAAGGGGAAACTGAGTCTGGAGACAGGTAGTGGTTCTCAGGGCCCATGAGGAGTTCATAGTGAACCAGGACTAAAACTCAGAACTCTCAACTCCTAGCCCAAAAGATGACTGTGCCCTTCAGCCCACAGTCATCTATTTCATCAGAAGGAAATCAGGCCAGGCATGGTGGCTCACTCCTATAATCCCAGCACTTTGGGAGGTGGCTCACTTAAGCCCAGGAGTTCAAGACCAGCCTGGGCAACATGGCAAAACCCCATCTCTAAAAAAAAAAAAAAAAAAAAAAATTAGCCAGGCATGGTGGTGCATGTCTAGTCCCAGCTACTGGGGAGGTTGAGGCAGGATTGCTTGAGCCTGGGAGGCAAAGGTTGCAGTGAGCCATGATGGCGCCACTGCATTCCAGACTGGGTAATAGAGCTAGACCCTGTCTCAAAAAAAAAAAAAAAAAAAAAAAAGACGGCCGGGTGGGGTGGCTCATGCCTGTAATCCCAGCACTTTGGGAGGCCGAGGCAGGCAGGTCACCTGAGGTCAGGAGTCCGAGACCAGCCTGACCAACATGGAGAAACCCCATCTCTACTAAAGGTAACAAAATTAGTTGGCATGGTGGCACATGCCTGTAATCCCAGCTACTCGGGAGGCTGAGGCAGGAGAATCGCTTGAACCCGGGAGGCGGAGGTTGCAGTGAGCCGAGATCACGCTATTGCACTCCAACCTGGGCAACAAGAGCAAAACTCTGTCTCAAAAAAAAAAAAAAGAAAGAAAAGAAATCAGCAGAAAGCTGATTCTTTCCAAGACACAGGAAGATTTGCTTTCTCTAAAGCTCCATTCCTTATACACACAGGTGAACACACACTCACACTCATACCCATTGGTACTGTGGTTCTGGGATGGGTAGCCCAGACCTGGGGCCTCAGACTGAAGGCAGCTAGCCAGTTGCCTCTACCTCCCTCACTCTGCCACCTCCCCAGGCACGAGGCCAGGATGAGCAGTTCAGGACTGAAAAGCCATGTCCAGCCATTGGCCAAAACCTGCCAACTCTACCTTTTTTTTTTTTTTTTTGAGACAGAGGCTCACTCTGTGGCCCAGGCTGGAGTGCAGTGGCGCAATCTTGGCTCACTGCAAGCTCTGCCTCCCGGGTTCACACCATTCTCCTGCCTCAGCCTCCCAAGTAGCTGGGACTACAGGCACCCGCCATCACGCCCGGCTAATTTTTTGTATTTTTAGTGGAGACGGGGTTTCACCGTGTTAGCCACGATGGTCTCGATCTCCTGACCTTGTGATCCGTCCGCCTCGGCCTCCCAAAGTGCTGGGATTACAGGCGTGAGCCACCGCGCCCAGCCAATTTTTTATATTTTTAGTAGAGACGGGGTTTCACCGTGTTAGCCAGGATGGTCTCGATCTCCTGACCTTGTGATCCGCCCGTCTCGGCCTCCCAAAGTGCTGGGATTACAGGCGTGCGCCACCGCGCCTGGCCTTAACTCTACCTTTTAATTATCTCTCCAACCTGTGTCCTCGTCTTCATGCCTAAATGTAACTACCATTTCTGGAATGTGAACTGAGGCCCTGTGCTAAGTGCTTTACAACGATCCAGGGTCAGACCCAGATGACTCTCTGTGGCTGAGATATTATCCTTTTGGAGAGGACAAAACTGAGGTCTGTGACTTTAACTGGCTTGCTCCAGGATTCATAAGCAATAAGTAGCTGAGGCTCAATCAGAGTGACCTCCTGACCCCAAAGGCTGTACTGAGACCCTGGTCTGTACTGTCTCTCTCCCTCCAGCTGCCTAGCCTTGGCCCAGTTCAGGCCCTCACGGTATCACCTCGATCACTGCAGCTGCCTCGGTCTCTGCATGGTCATTTCCCCCAGACTCATCCCTCACCCAACAGCCAGAGACAGCAAGCTCACACATAGATCCAACTGTGTCACTCCCTAGTTTCCACCTCTTTACTGATATCCCACTGCCTAAGTCTACACACCTAACCACAAGCCAGCAAGGCCCTCCCCAGCCTCTGAATACTTCTGTTAATAGAGCCTCCCGCCATTCCTGTCTGCCCAATCAATCCTGAAGGCTTGCATTCCCAGTAGACACCAAGCTGTTACTTTGTCCCTGCCTTCATCCTCTGAGCCTAGAATTCCCTCTCCCTCCTCTTTCCTTACTAATTCCCACTCATTGCCTGAGAGCAGCTCAGATATCCCTTCTGCCATGCTGATCCCCACAACCTGGGCTGGTAGCCATCCTCTAGTTCCCCACAGCTCCCTATGCGTGAGTCTTCATGACACAATATGGTGAATACAGGGATTCTGTACATATCTCTGCACTGAGTTCCTAGAAGCCAAGACCATGTTTGTTCATTTTCATATCTCGTAAGTCCCTGTCTGGGGCTGGGCACACAGATACCTCTCAGTAAAAGTTGGTTGTTTAAAAGAATGAAAGGGCCAGGCATGGTGGCTCACACCTGTAATCTCAGCACTTTGGGAAGCTGAGGTAGGAGGATCTCTTGAGCCCAGGAGTTCCATACCAGCCTGGGCAACATAAGGAGACCTTGTCTTTACAAATAAAATGTTTTTAAAAAATTAGCTGGGCATGGTGGTGTATGCCTGTAGTCCCAGCTACTCAGGAGGCTGAGGTGGGAAGATCACTTGAGCCCAGGAGTTCAAGGCTATAGTGAGCTATGATCATGCCACTGCACTCCAGCCTGGGAAAAATTGTGAGAACCTGTCTCAAAATAAATAAATAGATAAAATTTTAAACTAAAAATAAAAATACGAGAGGCCAAGGCAGGAGGATCACTTGAGCTCAGGAGTTCAAGACTAGCCTGGGCAACACAGCAATACCCAGTCTCCAAAAGATAAATAAATAACATTTAAAGATAAAATAAAAATAGAAAACAATGCCAACACATTAAAAAAGAAATGAATGGATTCATTTTGGCCACATGAAAGAACTCTTGTTTCTGAGACTGTCAATTAGATGATATTTTTTTTCCTTTTTTTTTTTTTTTAATTGAGACAGTTTCACTGTGTCACCCAGGCTAGAGTGCAGTGGTGCGATCTCAGCTCACTGCAATCTCCACCTCCCGGATTCAAGCGATTCTCCCGCCTCAGCCTCCCAAGTAACTGGGATTACAGGCACATGCCGCCATGCCCGGCTAATTTTTTTTTTTTTTTTTTTTGAGACGCAATTTCACTCTGTCACCCAGGCTGGAGCGCAGTGGCGCGATCTCGGCTCACTGCAAACCCCACCTCCCGGGTTCACGCCATTCTCCTGCCTCAGCCTCCTGAGTAGCTGGGACTACAGGTGCCCGCCACCATGCCCGGCTAATTTTTTTGTATTTTTAGTAGAGACAGGGTTTCACCATGTTAGCCAGGATGGTCTTGATCTCCTGACCTCGTGATCCGCCCGCTTCAGCCTCCCAAAGTGCTGGGATTACAGGTGTGAGCCACTGCGCCTGGCCCCGGCTAATTTTTTTGAATTTTTAGTAGAGACGGGGTTTCACCGTGTTGACCAGGCTGATCTCGAACTCCCGACCTCAGATGATCCGCCCATCTCAGCCTCCCAAAGTGCTGGGATTACAGGCGCCTGGCCCAATTAGACGATCTGAAGCTCTGAGACTGCAGTAACTGTCTTGTCCACTTGACATGTATACCAGTGCCCTGTGTGGAACCAGCACATAGTAGGTGGGTAAAACAAGGGCAGATGAGGAGAGTTCCAGGGCCGGCTGGTTTGGTGCAAGGAAAGGCTGCCAGATGCAATCGTAACTTCTTGGCCCTCTTCCTTGGGACTTTTTTTTTTTCGAGACAGAGTCTTGCTCTGTTGCCCAGTCTGGAGTGTAGTGGTGTGATCTCGGCTCACTGCAACCTCCGCCTCCTGGGTTCAAGCGATTCTCCTGCCTCAGCCTCCTGAGTAGCTGGGATTACAGGCGCGCACCACCATGCCCAGCTAATTTTTTGTATTTTTAGTAGAGACAGGGTTTCACCGTGTTGGTCAGGCTGGTCTCGAACTCCTGACCTCGTGATCTGCCCGCCTCAGCCTCCCAAAGTGCTGGGATTATAGGTGTGAGCCACCGTGCCTGGCCCTTGGGACTCTTGAGTGGCACTTGGTGATGCTCACCACACCCTCCTTGGAATCCTCTTTTCTCTTGGCTTCTAGGATCCCATGTTCCTTGGTTTTCCTTCCTCTGTCCATCACTCCTTGGCCTCTGGAGGTCATCTCCTCCCCCCCTTCCCAACTTCAAATTGTCTAACATTTCAGAACCATCTCTGCAGACCACTGGGAAATACACAAACCCAGCCTGGGCACCACACCACTCCATCCAGCTGCCTCCCCGGCCTGTTCCTAGACAGAACTGTTGATCTATCCTTATAAATATGCCATTCTTGGCTGGATGTGGTGGCTCACACCTGTAATCCTAGCATTTTTGGGAGGCTGAGGTGGGAGGACTGCTTGAGCCCATGAGTTTGAGACCAGCCTGGGCAACATAGGGAGAACCTGTCTTTACCAAAAAAAAAAAAAAAAAAATTAGCCGGTCATGGTGGCATATGCCTATAGTCCCAGCTACTCGGGAAGCTGAGGCAGGAGGATCACTTGAGCCCGAGTTTGAGACTGCAGTGAACTGTGATCACATCACTGTACTCCAGCCACCCTGGGTGACACAGCGAGACCCTGTCTCTAAAAACAAAAACAAAAGCAAATATGCCCCTCTCCCAATCATCCCTGTCTCAGGAAATGAAATCCATCCTTCTTCCTAGGTGCCCTGTCCAGAAACCTGCCCTTCAATCCCTGTTCTCTTCTACATCCAGAACCTGCTCCATCCATAGGTCTTGTTGATTCTTCCTCCAAAATCCACTTCTAACTTGTCCCTTCTCTCCACACCACTGCCTGGCGGCCTTGTCCAGGCCACCTTTATCTTTTGCCTGGACGAGTGCAGTTGCTTCCTGACTGCACACTGGGTTTCCATTCTTAACCTCTCTTAACCAGAGGGGGGCTTTTAAAAATATACCACTTTAGTGAGCCGAGATCATGCCACCGCACTCCAGCCTGGGAGACAGAGCAAGACTCCATCTCAAAAAAAAAAAAAACAAAAATACTGCTTTAGACCCCTCCACAACCACCCACTCCTCTAAGGCCAGTGCCAGAATTCCTTTGAGGTCTGCCAAATGCCCAGGGCTACTGACCTCTCTGGTGGCCACTTGTGTCTCCCTTCCTTCCTAGTAACACCACCCTTCTCTCTGGGTTCCTCCAGAGTGCCAGGTTCCCATCCCCCGGGTCCTTTGCCCGTGCTGTCCCTTCTTCCAGAATATTCCCAGCTGCCCTCCCAATGCTTTACCTGGCCTGTTTCATTTCCCCTTTGGCCTTAGCTTAACCATCCATTCCCAGGAAGTCCCTTCTTTTCTGTCATTGCTCCCTGTTTGTTCTCTCCATTCCATGCTCCACAGATTACAAATCTCTGCTTCTATCTGTGTAGTTCTCTTGCTTCATCCTCTCTCCACCCCCCTTCTCATGCACGTTCCCTGAGGGCAGGAAAGGTAACTAACTTCTTCATGTCTGAATCCCAGAGATGGGTACAGTGCCTGACACCCAGCAAGTGCACCACACAGTTGGGCAGTGAATAAGAAAGAGCAGGTTCCCAGGCAGAGAGGGCAGTGGAGCCAGCCCTTGGGCACCTTTTAGGTGATTAAAACAGCTGCCTTTGACATCCTTTCCTCCCAAGATCCTGTGATTCTATGACCTTGCCCAGCCCACTATGCACAGGATCTCAGAATGGGGGCAGAGGGGTGCAAAAGCAAGGTGATGCCCTTCTGGAATTTTGTCAGATCCTTTCCATGTACATCGAAGCTGCCTATCCTGCCCATTCTGCAGAACAAAAGGCAGGTAGGTAGAGCCCAGGAAGGTGGAGATTCTAAAACGGCTCTGTCCAACACAGCAGCCACTGGCCACTGCAGCTATTGTAAATGCAGCTGTTTAAATTACTTAGAATTAAATAAAACATTAGCATTCAGCTCACACTAGGCACTTTTCAAGTGCTTAGTAGCCAATGTGGCTAGTGGCTATTGCATTGGACAGCACATTTACATCATCCCAGAAAGTTCTATTGGACAGAGCTGCTATAAACAGGTCAAATTCCATTGACATTCTCCCCACCTCAACCTCAAGGAAACAGGCTGAGTGGAGTGAGGTGTAAACAAAACTCCATGGGTCCAGTTGTGACCAAGGCTGACCAGGAGGGCACACTTGCTGCAGACACAGGTCTCCTCTCATTTCTCTCCACACCCTGACCAGCCGGATGGGAGCAGGAACAACTTGACAAGGACCCCAAGGCATGTAAGCCTCAAACAGTATTCATGTGGCCCCAGAATGTGGGTCCCGAGCCTCCTCCCCGGGCTCCTGGGGGCCCCTTGCTTTGGGACCCCACTAAGAGAAGTCCAGCACTCAGCAGACAGGGCCGGGCGCCCCCTGCTCTGACAGCCCTGGTGAGAAGGGGCTCCCCTGCACCTCTTCTCACGCATCCTCCCGGGGGCTGGGACGGGGAGGGCTGAGGAACTTCCTCTGGGGGGCGCGCGGTGACAGAGCCCTCGGTGGGTCCCGCAGAGGCACTGAGCCTCCGCCCGCCCGTCCCGCCCGCTCCGGGAGGGGGCGTCCAGCCCGGCCTGGCGCCCCCGCCCCGTCCGCTCGCACTCACGGAGACACAGGAGCCACCATCTTGGGCGGTGGACGCTCTGGCCGCGGTCTCCTTGGGCTCCACGGAGCGACAGCAGCCACTAGCGGCAACGGGGGCGAAGAGGCGCCAGCAGCCAGCGCCGGCCAGGGTCCCGGGCAGGGCGGGCGGCGCCCCCGGGGCTCACCTGGCCGCGCCCACCTGCGGCGCCTCCCGCCCAGCGCGCTCAGCCCGGCCCCGGCCCCACCCCCCAGCCCCTGCCGCCCCACGCGCGGCAGCAGGAGCCAGAGGCTAGACCGCAGGCAGCGCGGTGCCGGGGTTCATTCGGTCCGCGCATGTATCCGGGGTTCCTCGAGGGGCTCACAGCCTAAGCCACAGACAGGTAGAGCGCGGTAGAGGCTGCAAAGTGTTCTGAGAGTTTGGAAGCAAGTGCTTTGGGATCACGAAGGAGCGGGCGACCAGCTGAAGGTCTGCAGGGCGGGTCAATTAGGGTTCGCAGCATTCTGGGTAAGTGAACTTTTACTAGGGGAAGGGCACTCCAGGCCGTGGGATGGCAGAGCAAGGATTCCTCTGGAAGTTGACAGGTCGCTGCAGGTTCATGAAGAATTGGGGTGGGTGGGGGCAGTGCCTGATGCTGGATGGCTCTAGGGGAATGCTGGGGATTTTGACCTTCCCACCTGGTGGGAAGCCTCCTCCGGAGGAGTTGGAACTGGGAAGCTTATTGTTTTAGCCTAGTGAGTTATTTGCAGTGGGGTTGACAGAGTGGGGAAGAGGGAGGGAGGTTGGCGTGACCTTTTTCTAAAACTCTGATACACAGCCGACCCTCATCCCGGTCTGCGTTACTCTGAGAGGTGAATTGAGGAGCTTCCCTGCAAGAGGAATGTGCAGACGTGGAGGTGTGGAGTCCAGAGGCCTGGGATGGAGCTCCAGTTATATTTAACTCTGAGGCCTTGGACTGGACACTTAGCTATGAGCCTGTTTCCTCATCTGTAAAGTGGGAATTACAACTTGGGGAGGAGGCTAGGGCAGGACAGAAATGGGTCTGAAGACCAAATGAGGTGCTAGGTGTGGAGGCCATTCAGAGAGGGGGCTGGCCTGCTGCTGTGGATCAAGGGCATGTCCAGACAATGACCCAGTCTCCCCTTCCAGACAGCACAAAGTCACCCAGAAATGCCTTCCAGTCCCCTCACAATTGGGTACGCTGCTCTTCTGCAAAAGGCCTAGGGTGCATGTTGATTTGAGGTCCCAGCCCCACCAGTGGCTGCTGGGAACTCCTCTGCCCCAGCATCCTCCATGCAGCACTGCTCTGTGCCACCCACCGTCTGCCTCTGACATTCACTGTGAACCCCAGCCCCAGAGCTGCTGGGATGGAGCGCGAATCACATGCACACACACGTGTGGCCGCCTGACTCCTGGCTACACTCAAATGAAGGGAGATGTTGCAGCCCCCACAGCTGCCCCCGAGTGGCACCACACAGCCCTCAGGTCTAGAATTCTGCACCCTGAAAGGGTCAGGTTGGGGGTAGGTCTTCTTGGATGGCATTTTGCTGCGGAACAGCCACCTTAAGTGTCTTGGAGCAGCCATGGCTCATTAGCTAACTGCCTCAAGAGGGTGGGGTGTGGTCAGAGGTATGAGCAAGCCAGACCAGTACAGAAGAAGAGGCTGCCCCCAAAGGTCCAACCGAGGCTGGGGCAGGGCACAGAGCAGAAATCTTATGAAATAACATCACCCTGGCTGCCACCAAGGGAGAAGATCTGGGAAAACCACATCCTGCTATTTTGCCATAATGGGAAAAGACAGACAGACAGACACACACACACGAGCACAGAGACACACAACCTGAGGCCCATATCACCCATGGATAGTGGCAGGTTTAGACATCAAGGCACATACATACATACCTCCCCCCACACTTAGACCATGTATTCTATCTACACACGAGATGTGTATACATATGGAGGTGGTACTGATGCCAAGATACACAGATACCCATGCTGGCTGGGAGGCAAAGGCAGGCACACTGGCCACACAAGAGCATGCATGCATACACAGATGGGCACGAGCAACAAAGACATATTTGTGTATACATATACCCAGAGAGACAGATGCACATGAACGTACAGACTCCTACAAATGCAGTTACAGACCATGGACAGCAATGGGCACACAGTGGCACACACCTTCACAAAGATAGATGCATGTACACAAAGAGCCATATGCAGATGCAGAGACCGGTGTGCACACACACTCCCCTTACAAAGTTAAATGCATCGGAGTTAAAAGAGCATATCTCCAAACAGAGTCTCTCTCCCACTCTTTCCCCATCCCCCTACCCCCAAGTCACGGGGCAGACAATAGGGTCCTCCCAGAAGCACATGCCTGCACACAACACATCTCAAATAATGACACTGCCATTTCTATCATGGATAAAAACCCAAACTCTGCGAAGAATATGGGAGTCCAGGGGAGAGAGAGCCAAAGTGGAGAGTGAGAGGTTGAGCCAAGACCCACTGCATGCCCACTCCCACCATGGCCAGGGGGTTCCTCCCCACATTCTCCAGAGCCCCCAAGCCACTTCTGGGTCATCTAGCACTCAGGATGTGCAGACTGCCCCCAAGCTGGAGGAAGACTCCAAAGCCCAATCACAACATAAACTCTGCCCCCAGTCGCACTGCCTCCAGGCCCTTGCCCCCAAGGAAAGGGTTCCCCCAAATAGCCTTTGATGGGTGATGGCTGTCTCCCTCAAAAAAGGCCAGGCAACCGTCTGTGTGGAGAGGTGAGCTGGGAGACCACAGATAAAGAGGGGGAGGGGAGCATTGATTTGGACCCCAGTGCAGTGGCTGGATCTCAGGGAGGAGGCACCCTGATTTCTGTCCCCCTCTGTCTGCTTCCCTCTCTTTCTGTGCTGCAGTAACAGCTCTCTCTTCACTCCCCTCGGACGTCTCCCCCTCCCCTGGCCCCTCAGAGGCAGTTAAAGGTGAGGTCTGATACAAGGAACCTTTGACATGGGCTCCCTGGACAGGCATCTGCCCAGATGTCCAGCACCCCTGTTTCCCGCAGGGTGGACCTCCAGCTCCCCAGCATTCCTACCCTTTCTTTCACCTTTGTTCTCGGCCAGAGTGGGGGCTTCCCTGCCCAGCTCTGCACCTGGGAAAAGGGTTGAGAGTAACTGGCTACTGGTGTCTCTGAGAGACAACTTTTGGGGGCCAACTATAGCAGGAAAGGATTGGGCTGGGGAGAGGGGAGAGGACCACCCTCACCTAAGCCCTCTCCCCACTTCCCAGCCCGGGCGTCATCAGCACTCACCCAAGAGCATTCTCTGCCTTTGGAGGCACCACCGCGGAGTGCAGAACGAGGAGCAAATGAAACCCAGCCAGAGTGACAGAGGGAAGGGGGGGATGTGAGGGACAGGAGGGGAGGGCGCGAGGGAGGGACTCCTGGTTCTGCCTGGAAAGCAGCGTCGTTCCTGGGCCCTGTCTCTCTTTGCCAGGAAGGAGCTGCCCATTCTCTGGTTTCCCCCATCCCAACCACAGGTGGAAAGAACAGGGCATGTTCTTCCCCCAGGGGAGAAGTGTGGGGGCAAATGTGCAGACCAAGAACTGGGGGAGGATATCGGGGAGCATCCCTCACCCCCTACTCACAGAGGATTCCCTTGCCTGGGGCCTCTTACACTGAAGTGAAGGGTTGGAAGGACTGACTTTGTCCACAGGGACCTCCAGGGAAGGAGGAGCTGCTGGTCCTGCTCTGCCTGCTGGATGGCTCTTGCCGCCCTCTTGCCTCAGGACTTGCTGCTGCAGGAGCCCGTTTTCCTGCCCAGCCTCACTCATCCTCTCCTCACCATCCCCTTATGTTTAACTGCTGTTGCTGAAGAGGAAACTGAGCCTCAGAGAGGTGTTGCCACTTTATCAAAGAGCACTGGCCATGCAGGGTTTGGGGAGCAGGGATCCAGGTGTCTTGCCACTGTTAGTCTAGTACCTGGACCCTTGGATCTGCTATCTGGGCGATGCCAGGAAGGAGAGGAGGGAGTTTATCTGATCCACTAGAACTTCTTTTTTTTTTTTTTTCTGAAGCAGTGTTTCGCCCTGTCACCCAAGCTGGAGTGCAGTGGCAAGATCTTGGCTCACTGCAACCTCTGCCTCCCGGGTTCAAGCAATTCTCCTGCCTCAGCCTCCAGAGTAGCTGGGATTACAGGTGCCTGCCACCATGCCCAGCTAATTTTTGTATTTTTAGTAGAGAGGAGGTTTCACCATGTTGGCTAGGGTGATCTCGAACTCCTGACCTCAAATGATCCACCTGCCTTGGCCTCCCAAAGTGTTAGGATTACAGGTGTGAGCCACAGCACCCGGCCTGATCCACTACAACTCCTGACACCCCTCCCATGCCCACCCAAGATCCCCCAGCCCCATTCTTCTCCTCTCCATTCACTCCTTCCTCTCCCTCCTCTTCCTAAAAGCTGGCTCTTTACCGACCTGAGCACCTGGTGGCTGGGAGGGGGTGGAGTGGGGGAAGGAGGCAGCCAGCCCACAGCTGGATCCAGTCCTACATCCAAGCCCAGGTCCCGATGCTAGCCCCCGACCCCCTCAGCATCCTGTCTCCACCAGACAATAACCTGTAATCTCTGGAGCAGCCAACATTCACAAAGAAGATCTGGGAGGGGTTGGCAGCGGCAGCTCCTGAAAACAGGTTTGTTAGGAAGGGGCTCTGGGGGGAGGAGTTGTTTGTGTGGGGAGAGGAAGGAAACTCAAGCCCAGAGCTAATTAACCCACCCAGAGACACAGACAGAATCTTTGTCTTCTTCCAGGGCAGGGATCTGAGCTAAGCCCCCTAATTCTGTACCCAGACAGCCTTGCTTTTCCTGGTGGTCCTGGGGGAGGGGGATGCCAATGGTCAGGGTCACACCTGGGGGAGGGGGATGTGATGACATTCGGGAAGAGCGTGGGGCACTTCTGTCACCTGCCACCAAGGGAGAATAGCAGCAGGAGGCAGAGGCAGGTCAGACTGCAAGAAGAACTTCTCAGTGGCCTTGGGGGAGCACAGTTTCTTTGCAGCATGCACCCAAAGGCCTCAGTATGTGTGTGGGAGGCCGTGACTGGGGAGAAAACGGCAACCCAGGGAGATACCGAAGGATGGGAGACAGGCTGGAGGGCTTCCGGGGCCTCCTGATGGGACTGAAATTAATCCATCTGCAGGGAGTGGGGGTGAGAAGCTCATCAAGCCAGTGACTCAGGCGTGACTTGAGCTCAAGGTCTTTGATCTCTGGGGCCCAGGATGCAGCCAGAGGCTTCTGCAGTCAAAGACTTGGAAAGGGGATGGAGGGACCGATTCAAACAGGAGCTAGGGGAGGTCTGAGGATGCAGAGTAGGGGAGCCTAGATTTGGCCTGCCACTCTTACCACTACCCCTCTCCCGCTGGAAGGCACAGGGACATGTAGTGTAGCTGCAGCCTTCTTGGCCCTGAAATCCACTATAGTCTGACTCGATCTCTGCTAACCTGTCCCCCGTACTGTCTACCTTGCACTCCCTGACTAAGGTTCTTCAGGCCATTTCAGCAAGCCAGAGCTTAAGTCATTTCAGAAATGCCCTCCTCTCCCCTCTTGTGTCATGTTGCAATGGATGCCATGGGGCAGGCCCACTCTGAATTGGATGACTGGGTTCTTTCTACCAAGAGACAAGGGAGGGACTGGTTGACCTTAAGAAGCTAGTCTCCCCATCCCTAGCCAGATGGCTGGCATCTCCCCATTTTTCAGTTGAGCACACCAAGGGACAGGGCAGAGGAGTGGCCATGGGTCCCGAGCATTTGTGGAATCATCTGTTGGGACAGCCTGCCCTCTCTGGGCCATACTCCTCCCCATTCTCAAACATGGCTCAGTTGCTCCTAATATATGCTGTTCTCCTCAGCAGGGCATCAGAGAGGAGTGTGAGATAGAATTTAGAGCCAGAAACCTGGGGCTGGGTGCAAGGGCTCACACCTGTAATTCCAGCACTTTGGGAGGCTGAGGTGGGAGGATTGCTTGGGGCCAAGAGTTTGAGACCAGCCTGGGCAACATAGCAAGACCTTGTGATATGGTTTGGCTGTGTCCCCATCCAAATCTCATCTTGAATTGTAGCTCCCATAATTCCCTCATGTTGTGGGAGGGATCCAGTGGGAGATGACTATCATGGGGGCAGTTTCCCCCATACAGTTCTCATGGTACTGAAAAAGTCTCACGAGATCTGATGGGTTTATGAGGGGAAACCCCTTTCACTTGGCTGTCATTCTTTTGTCTGCCACCATGTGAGACGTGCCTTTCACCTTCCGTCATGACTGTGAGGCCTCCCCAGCCATGTGGAACTGTGAATCCATTAAACCTCTTTCTTTTGTAAACTGCCCAGTCTCTGGTATGTCTTTATCAGCAGCATGAAAATGGACTAATACACCCTATCTCTACAAAACTTTTTAAAAATAAAAAAAAATTTAGCCAGGCATGATGGTACATGCCTGTAGTCACAGCTACTTAGAAGGCCGAGGGAGGAGGACTGCTTGAGCCCAGGAGGTAAAAGATGCAGTGAGCTATGATTGTGCCAGGTACTCCAGCCTGGGCAACAGAACAAGACGTTGTCTCAATAAACAAAACAAAACAAAACAGAGTCAGAAACCTAGGACCCAAACCCAACTGTGTGGCCTTGGGTGTTACCTAATCTCCCTGAGCCCCACTCTCCCAGTTTATAAAGTGAGACTGAATGTCATCATCCGTGCCTAGGATGGCTGGGTGAGGAGGAAATGCCATGCTGCAGGTGCAAGTGCTTTGTTCAGCTCCTAAGCAGATCCTCTGTGTGGGGCTGGGGGTAGGTCATTGCTCCTTGCCCAGCTGTCCCCCGATGCCCTGTGCTGGCTCAACATCTGTATCAGAGGTTAGTGCGAGGGGACAGCAAACCTCTGTCTCTTTGCAGTTGTCAGAGAATCACTTAAAGTTATTTAGGGGTGTGCGCGCGCGCGCGCGCGTGTGTGTGTGTGTGTGTGTGTGTGTGATGGTCCATAGGGTCATGGAGTTCAGCCTTCTTCTGGGGAAGGTCCCTGTGCCACACCCCCATTGGGAGGAGAGGCAAGGGGGTGAAAGAAGGCTCAAGATGCATTCCTGAAGAATGAAAGAGGCCAGGCGCAGTGGCTCACGCCTATAATCCCAGCACTTTGGGAGGCCGACCAGGTGGATCACCTGAGGTCAGGAGTTTGAGACCAGCCTGGCCAATATGGTGAAACTCCGTCTCTACTAAAAATACAATATTAGCCGGGCATGGTGGCAGGTGCCTGTAATCCCAGCTACTAGAGAGGCTGAGACAGGAGAATCGCTTGAACCTGGGAAGTGGAGGTTGCAATGAGTTGGGATCACACCACTGCACTCCAGCCTGGGCAACAGAGTGAGACTCTGTCTCAAAAAAAAGAAAAAAGAATGAAAGGGCTTCCTGGGCAGGAGACAGATGGGGGGTGGGCAGGGTAAGTCGGGGCAGTGCTTGGAGGAGGGAGACGAAGTGTGGGTTCCTGCTGCTTCCTCCTCCTGTGCCCCTCCAAGGTATTCCAGGGCTCACTCAGTGCTGGGAGTAAGAATTCCAGGAGCCAGATACTGCTGAGGAAGGAGGCCTCTGACTGAGATCTTGGTGAGGAGGCTCAGAGAGGGGAGAACCACCCCCCAGTCTCCCTCCCACAGATGGCCTCAGGGGATGTGAGCAGGAGAGGGTCCCTGCCTTACTGCCTGTAACCACCTGTCACTGTGGAAGCCTCCAGCCCTGCAGGCCCCTAATCAAAGCGACAGCTCCCACGGAAAAGTGCCCCTCCTGGCTGCCAGAGGCCCGAGACCTCGTGTCTCAATCTGGCATGGCGCCCCGGACACTGAGTGCCTAGGACCAATGCAGCGCATTCAAGGCTGCCCACACTTAGCCTCAGCCTCCCTGGAATGGCTGTGGCCCTCTGCATTTTCCCCAGGGAGCCTCCACCAGGGAGCTCCACCCTAAGGGCTCTCTGCTTTGTGGAGAGGGGCACACTGGCCTAGTCCCCACCTGGGCAGAGCTGGAAGAGGCATCCAGGGCGGCTGAGGGGCCCAACGTGCTCCCCCTCGCCCTGCCCCCCACCTCAGGGGCAGTTGCTGGCATCTTTTTTTATTTTTATTTTTTGAGATGGAGTCTCTATCGCCCAGGCTAGAGCGCAGTGGCGTGATCTCAGCTCACTGCAACGTCTGCCTCCCGGGTTCAAGTGATTCTCTTGCTTCAGCCTCCCGAGTAGCTGGGACTACAGGTACCCCACAACCACACCTGGCTAATTTTTGTGTTTTTAGTAGAGATGGGGTTTCACCATGTTGGCCAGGCTGGTCTCGAATTCTTGACCTCAAGTGATCCACCCGCCTCGGCCTCCCAAAGTGTTGGGATGACAGGCATGAGCCACCGCGCCTGACCAAGTTGCTGGCATCTTCTTGCTGGGGGCCGCCCTCCACCCCCAGCTCTCAGATAACTGAGGAGACAGGAGAAAGCCAGGGGAGGGGAGTGGGTGTTGGGAGGGTCATGGCCCAGGGCAGGCCCAGAGTTCACCAGGCCAATGGAGAAGGCAGCTTCTCTAGCTGGAGCCCCAGAATTCCAGGGCTCCTGGAAATCTAAGGACCCGTCCCCACTGCCTTAGGCACAGCTATCACTCCCCTCCCCTGCCCCACTCCCACAGTGCTGGTCACTCCTCCTAGGCTGGGTGGCTGAAAAGGTCTGGTTCCATGTCTGCCTCCTCCTCTAGACTGTGAGTGCCCAGAGGCAGGTACCAGGCACTGCTCAGTGGTACTGCCCAGCATCCTGCCTGAGCCCAGCACAGGGCTGGAGGGAGAGGTGACAGATGACACACAACGGATGGCCAGTGACTTCACAGGTCCAATTTAACAATCTGGACTGGAGTATCAGGCCTCACGTCTCCTGATGACCCCTAAGATGGTGCCCCCACGCCCCCGTTCTGACCCAGTACTGAGGGGCATGGGGACTGTGGGAAGAGGAAAACCAGGTAGAGGGGGAGTCCGCAGCCATCTGGGCAGCCTGTCTCTAGCTGGGACTCTCTTCTGGAGCTGTGACCTTTTTTGTTGTTGTTGTTTGTTTGTTTGTTTAAGACAGAGTCTCATTCTGTCGCCCAGGCTGGAGTGCAGTGGTGCGATCTCAGCTCACTGCAACCTCCGCCTCCTGTGTTCAAGCGATTCTTGTGACTCAGCCTCGCCAGTAACTGGGATTACAGGCATGTGCTACCATGCCCGGCTAATTTTTGTATTTTTGGTAGAGACGGGGTTTCACCATATTGGCCAGGCTAGTCTCAAACTCCTGACCTCAAGTTATCCTCCTGCCTCAGCCTCCCAAAGTGTTGGGATGACAGGCGTGAGCCTCCGCACCTGGCCCTGGAGCTGTGGTCTTTTCTCCTCTCCCCACACCTGCTCCCTTCATCTTGGTGTGGTGGGATTGGGAAGGGAGGAGCTTTTACCACAGGGACCGTTGCCCAGGAAGTAAGACCTGAAGAGGCTGTGTTACAAGAGGAACAAAGACCAGACAACATCCTCAGCCACAGGACTGGCCTTCCCCACTCAGTGTCAGCCCTCCATTTCTGTCTCCCTCTCAGCACCCCCTTTCTGATAACTGAGCTGCCCTCTGTGGCACTGCCTAAGCTAGAGGTGTCCGTGGCACCCCCCACACACCCCACATCCCATTGGCCACCAAGTCTTGACAGTTCTGCTAAAGAAAAGGCTCCAGAATCTATTTCTCCATTTCACCTCACTTTCCTTCTTATGTACCCTCGAGCCAGAGACACCTAAAAACACTAACTGCTCCTGCTCAAACCGCTTCTGCAATGCCCATCACCTTCAGAACAAAGGTCAAAGCCCAGCCTGGTGGCAAGGCTCTTGCAGGTGGCTCCCGCTGTCCTCTCCACACCCTGCACACTCCCTGCACACACCCAGCACACTGATGGCCAGTGACTTCACAGGTCTGATTTAACAATCTGGACTGGAGTACCAGGCCTCATGTCTCCTGATGACCCCTAAGATGGTGCCCCTCCCCACCCAAAGAGCCATGGGCTTGCAGGCCTCAATGCCTTTGCTCCGGCTGCTTCCCTGCCTGGGATCCTCTCTTTGTCTCCAGTATCCACGATCAATGTCACTTCCCATGTCAGTTTGCCTCTCCCTCCTCTGACTTCTATTTTTATTTTATTTTTTTTGAGACAGGGTCTCCCTCTGTTGCCCCGGCTGGAGTGCAATGGTGTGATCTCAGCTCACTGCAGCCTCCACCTCCTGGGCTCAAGCAATTCTCGTGCCTCAGCCTCCCAAGTAGCGGGGACTACAGGTGCTCACCACCACACCAGGCTAATATTTTGTTTTTTTAGTAGATGAGGTTTCGCCATGTTGCCCAGGCTGGTCTCGAACTCCTGAGCTCAGGCAATCTGCCCGCTTTGGGGTCCCAAAGTGTTGGGATTACAGGCGTGAGCCTGGCCCCTCCTCTGACTTCTTGAGGCACCCTGAATCCACCTCTAGGAAGCCTGTTATTATCTTGGAACAAACTCATCTGCATATGTATTTATTTAGATAGCTTTTTCCTGACAGGCAGATATGATGTCTTTTAAAAACATGAATCTCCCAAAAGCAGCTTACACCTAGTAGGTGGTCAATAAATATTTGGTGAATTAATGAGTTAATTTTTTTTTTTTTTTTTTTTTTTTTTTTTTTGAGACAGGGTCTCACTCTGTCACCCAGGCTGGAGTGCAGTGGCACAATCTCGGCTCACTGCAACCTCCACCTCCTGGGTTCAAGTGATTCGTCTGCCTCAGCCTCCCGAGTAGCTGGGACTACAGGTGTGTGCCACCATACCTGGCTAATTTTTGCATTTTTAGTAGAAATGGGGTTTTGCCATGTTGGCCAGGCTGGTCTCAAACTCCTGGCCTTAAGTGACCCACCTGCCTCAGCCTCCCAAAGTGCTAGGATTACAGGCATGAGCCACCATGCCCAGCCAATGAGTGACTTTCGAATCCAGACAGACACATATGCTCCAGAAACACCCATCAGTCAGATACTCTCTTGCTCAGAGTCATGCTTTTGGTGTCCAGCCTGAAATAATTGGGTGGGGAGGAGCTGGTCCCAGTCACCAGAGCACCCTGGCCTTTGCTTATGCCGTGACCTCTGCCTGTAATGCCCCTACTCCCCTCATCCATGTTCCGAGGCTCAGCCCCCTCTTCCTTCAGGAGACTTTCCTGCTGCCCCCAGGGACTGCAGCTTTGCCTTTGTGCCCTGAGGGTATGTCCCATGTGGCAACCACAACCCTTATCCCTTTTCACATGTGTCTCCACCCAAAAGACCCACTCAATCTTGGGGAGGGTGGTAAGCAGAGAGATTGGATCTTACTTGTCTCTGGCCTACAGGATTGTGTGTGTGGAGCGGGGGACACAGTGGGTGCCCCATGAATATCACCAAAAGAGAAGACAGCCCTCAAGAGGGTGTCTGAGGTCAGAGTGTAGCCTCCGGCAAAACTGCCAGCCTGGGCTGCAAGGTAGGTTTCTGTTGGCCTCCCCCAGGAGCCAGGGGTAAGTTCCTGCCTTTCCCACCTCCCCACACTGAGCCTGAATGTGAATCTGTTTGCTCTGCCAACAGCAGCCTGGGTGGTTCTTACTTTCCCTATGGCCCCTGTGCACCTGTCAGCTAGAATCACCCTCATGGAGGCATTCACCCATTTCCCCCAGAAATCTGCCTTGCAGCCAGCTGCCCCTTCCAAGCTCATAGCCAAACCTCTGCAAAGTCACCCCAGCTAGGGAGAAGCAGAAATCCTGGCCAGGAGTCCAAAGGAAGAGGGGCCTCCCCCTTGTCCCTGGGTTGGAGTGCTGTGTACCTTGCTGACCTTGGCCTTCAGAGACCACAGACCTGAGCTGGAGCCTGGGACCCCCACCCCGCAGATGAGGCCCTTGTCTGAAAGCCTGTGGCTACCAGGAGGCTCCAGGCTGGAGAAGTGCTGCTTAGGAGTCCTGATCCCAAAAGATCCCACAGGGAGAGTTCCCTAGAAACAAAGACCCAAGAGGCGGCCTAAGGACCCACAGATTCCGAGAGGTCCTACAGAAGGGTTGTCCAGATGCAGAATAAAACTTGCTGGCATCGGGGAGGCTTCAGACCCTAAGACCCCATTGAGGGCACCCCAGACGCAAAGACCCCCATGGAGGGAGGCCACAGACCCAGAGCCCCTCAGAGGGGCCCAGACAGAGATACTCCCCAAACCAAATTTGTGGGAGCAGCGTCCCCTCTACACTGACCTGGCCCTGAGGGGCTCTTCCCCAAGCTGAGCTGCCGAAGCCGCCTCTGGTGGGCCCGCCCCCCACAGTGCACCTGGGCCTGGGCCGCCGAGTTCAGCTGGATGTTGCAGACATCACAGAGCGTGTACGATGGCCGCTTTCTTTCTCGCTTGGGCTTAGGTGGTTCTGGGGGCCGAGGGAGGCACTCAGCAGCTCCAGATATGGGGGTCTCCTTCTCAGCCGGTGGGGGTGGGCTCAGTGGCCGCTTCATATCTGAGTGGATAGAGAGGGAGATGAATGAACGCCAAATGGTTGCGAATTCTTAGAGAGAGCAGGAGGGGCTCAAGACCGGGAGACACGGGGCTCTGTATCCTCTATATCCCTCTGAAATGCCCCAGCCCGAGGATGGTGGAAGGGCGCATAATGGGGTCTATTTCAAGCAAAGCAGCATTAAAACTTGGGACTCTTGGCTGTGGCTCACGCCTGTAATCCCAGCACTTTGGGAGGCCGAGGCGGGCAGGTCACCTGAGGTCAGGAGTTTGACACCAGCCTGACCAACATGGTGAAACCCTGTCTCTACTAAAAATACATAATTTGCTGGGCATGGTGGCGCATGCCTGTAATCCCAGCTACTCAGGAGGCTGATGCAGGAGAATCACTTGAACCCGGGAGGCGGAGGTTGCAGTGAGCCAAGATCGGGTGTCATTGCACTCCAGCTTCCACAACAAGAGCAAAACTCCATTTCAGAAAGAAAAAACAAACAAAAAACAAAAACAAAAACAAAAAAACTTGGGACTTTCTGGAAGGGTGTCCGACATGTCTACACACGGGGAGGCCAAGACACCTGGGGACTCGGAGGGCCGCAGAACATATCTCAGAGAGGCGGACTGGGGTCTTGGAGGAAAGGTGGTCACTGAGGGAGAGGCAGTGGCAAGGCCAGCTGAGTCACATTTGAGGAAGCGAGAGTCCTGTTCTCAGCTCTACAGCAAGCGCTGGCAATCCTGTGACAGCCAGGCATGTGGCGCTTACTGGAGACGCAGCAGCCGCCAGCCAAAAACACAACCTTCCTGTGCCCTGCACCCAGCAGGGTGACATTCACAAATGGTGACAGTGTGTGAAGCCATCCCAACCCCTGCTCCACGTGGCTCCAGATGCCCCCTGCTGTCTTGGCAACCGAGGCCGAGGCAACAGTTGGTGGTTTCGGTAGAGACCTGAGCCTTGCTGCCTGGGTCGGCTGAAGACAGCGCCCCTGCCCCCGCCCTGTCCCCCAACGCGCGCACACGCACATACACACACACACACACACACACACACACACACACACACACACACACTTTCTGTCTCTTCGGGACCCTCAAGTGGCCCCTCCAGGCCCCCATCTCCCATAGACAGTCTTTCCTTTCCAAGTCACTTCTCTGAAACTTGCCCTGCCTGACTTGTCTGCCTCTAACCATTTCTATTCTGGGGCTGCTCAGTGAATTTTGCCTTCTCTCGGAAATCTGCGTGCATGCTTCCTGCCTCTGCTTCAGACAGGGGCTTCCTGAGAGCAAGATCTGTGTCCCTCCCTCAGGCTGGGGCAACCCCAAGGCTAGGGCCTGGGTGAGTCATACTGAGCCCATCTCTCCTGTTATGGACTGAAGTGTGTCCCCTCAAAATGCATATGTTGAAGTAATAACCCCCAGTACCTTAGAAAGTAACTCTATTTGGAGATGGGGTCTTCAAAGAGGTAATTAAGTTAATGAGGTCATACCGGTGGGCCCTAATTCATATGATGGGTGTCTTTATTTTTTTCAAGATGGAGTCTCGCTGTGTCACCCAGGCTGTAGTGCATTGGTGTGATCTCGGCTCACTGCAACCTCCACCTCCTGGGTTCAAGTGATTCTCCTGCCTCAACTCAGCCTCTCAAGTAGCTGGGACTACAGGTGTCCGCCACCACGCCCAGCTAATTTTTGTATTTTTAGTAGAGACAGTGTTTTGCCATGTTGTCCAGGCTGGTCTCGACCTCCTGACCTCAGGTGATCCTCCCACCTTGGCCTCCCACAGTGCTGGGATTACAGCCATGAGCCACTGCACCCAGTGGGAGACAGAGTCTTACTCTATCACCCAGGTTGGAGTGCAGTGGCACAATCTCAGCTCACTGCAACCTCTGCCTCCCGGATTCAAGCAATTCTCCTGCCTCAGCCTCCTGAGTAGCTGGGATTACAAGCATCTGCCACCATGCCCAGCTGATTTTTGTATTTTTTTTTAGTAGAGATGGGGTAGTGCCATGTTGGCCAGGCTGGTCTCGGACTCCTGGCCTCAAGTGATCTGCTCACCTCAGCCTCCCAAAGCGCTGGGATTTCAGGTGTGAGCCACCGCGCTGGGTCTCATATGACTGGTGTCTTTATAAGAAGAGGAAATTTAGACACAGATAGTTATAGAGGGAAGACCATCTTCAAGCCAAGAAGAGAGGCCTTTGAAGAAATGAACCCTCCTGACACCTTGATCTTGGACTTCTAGCCTCCAGAACTGTGAGAAATTACATCTCCACTGTCGAAGCCACTGAGTCTGTGGTACTTTGTTATGGCAACCTGAGCAGACAAGCTCATCTCCCCAGAGGGCATTTCCTGTGTTCTGAGGCCCATGCTTACTTTGCAGATCAGACCAGTCCAGTGATGTCACAATGTCTTCACAAGACTATACATCCAACAGTGGAGCCCGCATCTGAACAAGGAAAATTAATTTTACAAGCCCAAGGCCAAAAACCTGCCTGTAGTCCCCAGATGCCACCCCCATTCTCAGTAAGCTGCTTGTCCTTTTTGTGAGCAGTGATCCCACATAACATGTCTGTCGTGACAAGTGTGGGGACTGTGTGTGGATGGAACAGAGGAGCACAGCGATAAGGGCAGGAGCTCTTTGAAATTTTATGTATGTTTAAAATTTCAATAGAGACAGGGTCTCGCTATGTTGCCCAGGCTGGTCTTAAACTTCTGTGCTCATGTGGTCTGCCCGCCTCGGCATCCCTAAGTGCTGGGGTACAGGCATGAGCCACCATGCCCAGCCAAGAGCAGGAGCTCCATGCTGATTCATACCTGGGTTCAAATCTCAGCTCTGTCACTCACTGGCTGTGTGACCTGAGCTCAGTTCCTTCGTCTATACCTCTGTAGAATGGGAGTGATCAATAACAGTTCCTAAGTCATACACACATTGTGGGGATTAGATGAGCTGATCTATAATCTATGTAATATGCTTCTCGGTGCCCTACAAAATCAGCTGTTTTTTGTTTGTTTGTCTGTTTTGTTTTGTTTTGTTTGAGACAGGGTCTCACACTGTTGCCCAGGCTGGAATGCAGTGGCACTATTTTGGCTCACTGCAACCTCTGCCTCCCGGGTGCAAGTGATTCTCCTGCCTCAGCCTCCCGAGTAGCTGGGACTACAGGCGCGTGCCACCACTCCCAGCTAATTTTTGTATTTTTAGTGGAGACAGGGTTTCACAATGTTGGCCAGGATGGTCTCGATCTCTTGACTTCGTGATCCGCCCACCTCGGCCTCCCAAAGTGCTGGGATTACAAGCGTGAGCCACTGGTGCCCGGCCAATCAGCTGTTATTAACACATAGTGTGTCTGTCTCTTGCAGCTTGTGAGTGAAGTCTGTCACCCTGTGTGTCTGTCATGATGTACCTGGGTCACTGCAAATGTCTGTTACCCCATCGTTTGTTGAGGTGAATCTATGTCACTCACTCTGTGTGCATGTCGTAGTGTAGCTGTGCCATAGTGTGGGTGTCATTGTGCCCAGACCATGAAATGAGACTGTCACTGAACATCTGAGACTCACTATGTGATATTGGTTGAATTATGTCCCCCAAAATTCAATATGTTGACATCCTAATCCCCAGCACTTCCAGAATATGACCTTATTTGGAAATAGGGTCGTTGCAGATGCTATTAAGATAAGGCCAGACTGGTATAGGGTGGGCCCGTAATCCAATATACATGACTGGTGTCCTTATGAAAAGGTGAAATTGACTGGGCGCAGTGGCTCACGCCTGTAATCCCAGCACTTTGGGAGGCCGAGGTGGGTGGATCACGAGATCAGGAGTTCAAGACCAGCCTGGCCAACATGGTGAAACTCTGTCTCCACTAAAAATACAAAAAAATTAGCCAGGCGCGGTGGTGGGTGCCTGTAATCCCAGGTACTCAGGAGGCTGAGGCAAGAGAATTGCTTGAACCTGGGAGGCAGAGGTTGCAGTGAGTCGAGATCGTGCCATGGCACTCAAGCCTAGGTAACAGAGCAAGACTCCGTCTCAGAAAAAAAAAAAAGAGAGAGAGACAGGGTCTTGCTCTGTTGCCCAGGCTGAAGTGGAGCAGTGTGATCATAGCTCACTGTAACCTCAAACACTTGGGCTGAATAGATCCTCCAGCCTCGGGCTCCCAAAGTGCTGGGATCACAGTTATGAGCCACTGCGCCCAGCCTTGCTGACACATATTGATCTTGGACTTTTAGGATCCAGAACTGAGACAATAAACTTCTACTGTTTAAGTGCCACCCAGCCTGTGGCACTTTGTTATGGGAGCCCTAACAAACTAACGCGCCATAGATCTCACCCTGGTGTGGTCATAAGTGCTTGGTGATTTGATGGTCCAAACCCTGCTGCTAGGGTTTGGATGTTGTGGCTGGGCGGCAGTCCCACAGATAGCCTCCAGGTGGCGCAGCAAACATCCAGTGGGAAGGTAGGTGAAGACTCCGTACCCCCTGGGCATGACAGACCCCAGTCCCCACACTCAAGGGGCAATGCAGCTGTCTCCTGGAGCCACACCACGGGTCCAGGGTATAGCTCTTCCCACAGAGGGCACACTGGAGGTCACTGCCATTGTGAGAAGGCCCCATTACTGCATGGAGCCCCCCACCAATATTTTGCACCTTCTCACCTCTAGATGGAGGTCATCACAGCGACTCTCCTGCCTCTCCATGTCCTCCCCAACTCTCCCAGCAGGAGGAGGCAGGAAGAAGGTCTTAGGTGCAAGTGTTGGTGGGGGGAGAGGTCCCATTCCCCGGGTGGAGGCTTCAGAGGAATGAGATTTTCCTGGCCATGCCAAGGAGAGCTGCCTGCCCCGCCAGCATGGGGACAGGGGTATTTTGAAATCTCAGTGCAATTTATGACAGGCGGGCCGGGGACATCGCCCAAGAGAGCAAATATCTGCCACACAGCTGATTAAACCTCTGTGATATATAGCCTCTGGGCTCACGGGGCCGCCTGGATTCTGGGCTAATTGTGTTCCCCCCAGCCAGGCTGCTGGGCCTGCTGCAGCCTGCCCTGCCTGACCCAGCCTTCCCAGCTGTTCCCTTAGGAGCCACACTGCCCCAGCTAAGCTAGGGGAGCCCAGTCAGAAAGTGTGGACGGGTGGGCAGTGACGGGGGCACACAGGTCTGTCTAACCCTGCCCTGAGCATCGGCAGCTCGGCATCCCCAACCCTGGCCCCTACTCAGAGCCAGCATGACCCACGCTAGCAGGACCTACACTTGGACAGGACCTAGTCCACATGCTGCCTTAAGCAGATGGGGAAACTGAGTTCCAGAGCAGGGCAGTGGACTTGCTTCAAAGCAAATGGAAAGACGATGCATGAGCTGATTATAGAGGCTTCCCTGTCTTTCTCTTCGCCCCCCAGCTGCTTACGTCACATCTTCTTTATGAAATAACAACCCCATTTATTGAGGGCTTACTGTGGGCCAGGTGTTTGACAAAAAGGGTCTTTTTTCTTTTTTGGGGGGGATAGGGTTTGACTACGTTTCCCAGGCTCCAGGCTGGCCTCAAACTTGTAGGGATCAAGTGAACCTCCTGCCCCAGCCTCCCAAGTAGCTGGGATTACCGGCATGTGCCACCATGCCCAAACAGGATCTCTCTTAAACTTCACAATTCCATGAGATGAGCACCATTATTAACCTGTTATCCCACTGCATAGATTAGAGAACAGGCTTTGGGAGGTTCTGTGGCTGGACCTGGACCTATGCTTGTCTGACTCAAAGCCCAAGTCCTTACCCACTGCCCCATCCCACCTCTCCTTAAAGCCTGCCAAATCCTGACCTGAACTGATGGGTGGGGAGGGGGCCACAGATTCAGAGAAGGGCTCTGGGGAGGGGCAGGGTTGTGCAGCCTCTATCAGGCCCTGTGCCTCGCAGAGACGGGCTACACCCTGGGTAGAAAGAGGTGGGGCCAGAGCCAAAGAGGTGGGGAGGAAGGACAAGGGGAAAGCAGAGAAAAAGCGTGTATGTACCCATCCATCTGTCTGTCTGTCTGTCTGGGATTTCTACAGGAAGCTGGTTAAATCTCCCTCTGTTCCCTGTCTTCCCTGAGAGATGGGCTGAGGCTGCTGCAGAGAGGGTAGGGGTTGGGCCCTGGGAGGGAGCCACCCACTTGGAGGCAGGCTCACACTACCTGTGCTGGAGAGCTGTGTAGCCCAGTTTCTGTCTGCCTGTCTGCCTGTGTGTCCATCAATGTGGAGCTGGGGGGTGGGTTGGGGGGAGCACGCAGGCAGGGCTCTGGGGTCCCATCTCCACCACTTCTGGTTGGGTGACAAATGCACGTGAGGTCCCTGGGTTTCCATGGGGTCCTTGGCCACCGTGAGGTGATGAGATTCCCTGCCTGTCCATCCAGAGAGGGCTGAATGGAGGGGACTGTGGAGGCCAGAAAACAGGCAGCAGACGGTTGTTTCTGCTGCAGCCTGGGAAAGGAGTCCTCCAGAAAAGGCTGCTTCTCCTAAAGAGGTAACCGGAGAGGAAGGTTCGAGACCTGTCCCCAGCCTTTGGCAGAGCATGAAGGGTTCCCTCCTCAAACCCTTAACAAGCCCAGTTACCCTCTGGCATTTTCCTCCATGTCAGCCAACAGCCACCCTCCCGCCTCCCCAGCCTACTTCCCAGACCAGGCCAGGCTGGCTGGCCGGCCAAACTTGGGCCAGACCCTGCCTCGCTGGGCTTTGGTTTCCTGTCTTTAAAGAGAGGGGGCCAGGCGTGGTGGCTCTTGCCTGTAATCCCAGCACTTTGGGAGGCCAAGGCAGGTGGATCACCTGAGGCTGGGAGTTTGAGACCAGCCTGGCCAACATGGTGAAACCCCGTCTCTACTAAAGATACAAAAATTAGCCAACATGGTGGTGAGTGCCTGTAATCCCAACTACTCGGGAGGCTGAGGCAGGAGAATTGCTTGAACCTGGGAGGCAGAGGTTGCAATGAGCCGAGATTGCACCACTGCACTCCAGCCCCAGAGACAATGAAACTCCGTCTCAAAAAAATAAATAAGTAAAAAATAGCAGGGCGCGGTGGCTCACGCCTGTAATCCCAGCACTTTGGGAGGCCGAGGCGGGCGGATCATGAGGTCAGGAGATCGAGACCATCCTGGCTAACACGATGAAACCCCATCTCTACCAAAAATACAAAAAAATTAGCCAGGCGTGGTGGCAGGTGCCTGTAGTCCCACTACTCAGGAGGCTGAGGCAGGAGAATGGCGTGAACCCGGGAGGCGGAGCTTGCAGTGAGCCGAGATCGCGCCACTGCACTCCAGCCTGTGCGACAGAGCGAGACTCCATCTCAAAAAAGTAAAAAATAAAATAAAATAGATAAGAGAGGGGATTGGGCTCCTAGGTCCTTTGCAGGCTGAATTGCAGTGGCCACACAGAGCCGCTACTGCTAAGGTGGAAGGCAGTGGAGGCCAAGGTATATGATTCTGCCTTAGCCTGGGAGAAAGGCAGGGTGGGTGCACCTGGTGGCAAGCGCCTGTTGTCCCTGGAGCACAACAGAAACATCGCCTCCATGAATCCTCAGAACAATCCTGCGAGGCTTGACACATGAGGCAACTGAGGCTCAGCATCACAAAGAGAGGCAAGTAGGTAGGGCCAGGTCTCCTCCATTCTATGAGGCAAAGGCAGGGGGTGAGGACCCTGGCAGGCCCCATCCCAGTCATTCATGGGGTCACAGGCAGGAGTGTGGGATCCTGGCCCTCCCTACCAGCCCAGCTGCAGAGAGAAGCACCTGGAAGAAGAGAAGCCTCATCTGTTCCTGTCCTAGCAGAGTGCAAGCCCTCCTGGGCCTGGGTACCCGCTGAGTGTCCCTGAGGGGCCGTCAATGAGCATTTTGGCTTCTCCACCCTGCCACCTCCCCACTGCCCTCTCCCAGCACTGACACCTCCCCAGGGCGAGGAAGGGGAAACAGCCCTCTTTAGTGGTGTGGCCACCACAGAGTGGCACCCATCCCAGCTATTCCATGGGCCCAGGGAGCTGGGGTCACCCAGGGCCACACCCTGAGATCCCCTCAGAGGATCCAGAGGAGTCACCTGCGCCAGACCCCAGCACATACACCCCTGCTTTGCCAGAACAGGAGGCCCGGGGGCTAGGCAACAGCTGCTCCAGGTGCCAGGTGAGGGGTTCCGCTGGACACACCCAAGGCACCATGTCTGTCTTCCCATCTGAAGTGGTGACAGAGGAAGCCTGTCGCCTTCCCCTGGGGCCTTCTGGGTGCTGGAGATTTCAGGAGTGAGCTGCTGAAAGCCAACACTCCAGCTCCAAGGGAGGGAGAGAGGGCACAGGAGGTGAAGGAGCAGTATGGTCCAGAGATGAAGTCACTGTCCCCCACCGCCTCCCCTCCCTGGTCTGCTCTGTCCTCACCCCCAGTTGTCTGCATCCTCCAGAGGGCCTCAGTCCCTCCTGACACCCCCAAAGACAGGGGCTGGCTCTGCTGGCCACTGACACTCCCCCAAAGACCCCTACCCTCAGGAAGGAAGTCCTTCTTGCTGTCTAACCTGCATCTCTCCTTGCAGGGTCCATAGTGGCAACACAGAGCAGCTGCTTGTAAGGTGGGATGGTTGTCTCCATACCCCCTGTCCTTGCCTCTGCTGCCAGGCAAAGCCCAGGAAATCTGACCTATTGCCCTGTTCACACTCAGCAGGCAGAGGAGACCCGCCGGCCCCATGCCCCCTCCTAGGAGCACCAGGGCTCAGGATCCTGGCACAGCCCGGGTTTATCTCCTGCCTGCTCTCCTGCTCTCCCTGCCCAATCCCATAGGACCCAGAAGGGGAGCTCCCTCAAACCCCACTCCCTGCTTTCCACTAGTCACCACGTCCAAGTCAGGGCAGGAGCCTAAGTCCTGGAAGCCAGAAGGAGGAGGGTTGGGAGCTCCTGGGACTGTTCCTGAGTTGTGGGTGGGGGCAGAGTGTTCTGGCCAGGGGCCCCCCCATGCCCCTTGCTGAAGCTGAGACATTCTGCACGTTGGGGGTAGGAAGGGGCGGGACAGGAAGTCCTCCAATGACTGTGAATGAGGTGGAGGGTGGGGGAGCAGGAGTACTTTTTGCACCCCCCAAAAGATAATTGTTGCTCTTCCCTCCCCTACCCCTTCCCTTCTATTCCATCTCAGTGTTGATAGGGGTGGATCAACTTTTGGATTCTCTAAACTTCTTAAGAAAAGACGGTGGGTTATCTGGTCGCGCCCCCTATCTCCGGAGAATGGTCCTCTCCTTAGGGTGGGTGGGAGTAGAGGGGGAGTCTCACCCTGTACTCCCTCTCTCCCCCTAATGGGAGCTGGAAGTCCTTCTTGCCATCACCCTTGGTGTCCTCCTCGCGACCTCAGTTTCCGGTTAAGTTGCGGTTCTTTCCCGGTCACCAGGCAAGAAGGGTCTCCGCCGCTGCCCCCAGCCCTGCAGAACCACCTAAGTGCTGAGCACGCGGCGGGCCCCCTCCCGCCGGCTCTGCCCCCGCGGCGCGTGGGTCCGGGATGGGCGGCGGGGAGTGCGGGCCCGAGTCCGGCGCCCGCGCCTACCTGGAGAGCGCTCCGGACAAACCCGGCTGCGTCCAGCCGCTCGCGGCCACCCGGGGCGGTCCTGAGTCGCAGCTCCCGGCCCCGCGCTCTCCCGGGACAGCCACAGCGTCTCCGAGCCCGCCCCCGGGCGGCCCGACGGGAGCAGGTGCCAGGAGCCGCGCCGCCCCCGCCGGCCCAGGACAGCCTTGGCGGGAGAGGGGCTCAGCGGTGGGGCTCCCCGGGTGGGAGGAAGAGAGGGGAGACTCGGAGGCTCTCCTGGCTGAAGAGCTGCGCGCACGGGTGAGTATCCCGCCTACCCCGGCTGACCAGGCCCAGCGTACCTGAGGGCTCCCAAGGTGTCCCAGAGCTCAGGGAAGGGGACCCCAAACTGGCTGCCTTCCCCCACCCCCTGTCAGCACCACCTTCCGCCCCCGGCCGCTACCTCTGGCAAGCAGGCCCCTCTTTTGCAAGGAAACTCAGGGAGTGGGAGGAAGTTGACATTCATGGACCACCTGCTGGGTGCCAGGGGGATCACACTGAAACCTCAGAACCACTCTGCCCAGAGCGGTGCAGTTCCCCATTTTACAGACCAGGAAAAGAAAGATTGGGGACTTAGGTAGGCACGGTGGCTCACGCCTGTAATCCCAGCACTTTGGGAGGTCGAGGCAGGCGGATCACTTGAGGTCAGGAGTTCGAGACCAGCGTGGCCAACATGGTGAAACCCTGTCTCTATAAAAGTACAAAAATTAGCCGGGGGTAGTGGCACGCCTGTAATCCCAGCTACTCAGGAGGCTAAGATGGGAGAATCGCTTGAACCTGGGAAGTGGAGGTTGCAGTGAGTCAAAACCACCCCATTGCACTCCAGCCTGGGTAAGAAAAGTGAAACTTCGTCTCAAAAAAAAAAAGGTTGTGGACCTTAAGTAACTGGTCCAAAGTCACACAGGAAGTGGGCACCAAATGGGAGACTCCAGGCTGCTCCTAGGCACTGTCTCTGGAGGTCAGGGGAGACAGCCAGAGTCTGCTGGGGAGACTTCACCAGTGTGTGTGGCTGAGAGTCCTTTCTGATTCCTCCCAGGGAATCAAAGCACAGGGTCCAGCACACAGTGGGCACACACAGGGGCATGGAGCCAACCAGGAAGAGCAGGAGGCAGGGGCTGGTGGCACGACCTCCTAAGAGCACTGTCACCATTCTGTTGTTGGAGAAGCAATAACAGGGCAAGAGAGCAAGAAAGAGCCAAGGAAAGCGGACACAGAGGGCTCTTGCAGCCAAAGAAGAAGTGGCGGTGCCATTTACCTGCCTGGCACTGGGGCAGGCCTACTGGGGACCAGGCCACACAGAGAGGAGGCCCCATGGTGGGGAGCCTCAGGGATGCCTCACCCACGGTGCCACCAAGTCTCCTAGCACTTCCTGGTTCACCAACCACCAACTCACCCCTGCCTTGGGCCTTGCCCCTGCTCTCCCCTCAGTCTGGAACATCCTCCCAACATTCACAGAGATACCTCCTTGTCACTCAGGCCCCAGCTCAAATGTTACCTCCCCAGGAGCCCCTTTCCCCAGCTTCATCACTCTTAGTCTCAGACTCAGTTTACCACCCTCTTAGGGTATCTCTCAGGTTGTAATTCTTTTGTTTGCACCCTGACCTGTCTCCCCCATGAGGGCAGGGCCCTTATTTCCCAGCTATCCACAACACCAGTGCAAAGCTTACTGCATACTTAATAGATGCTCAATAAATAGTTGTTGAATGAATAATAAATGCATTTCCACTTTTAAGATAAATCCACATTAAATTGTACATTTTAAATGGGGGAATTGTATGGTATGCAATTATATTTCAATAAAGCAGTTACTAAAGATTTTTTTTTTTTTTTGAGACGGAGTCTCACTCTGTCGCCCAGGCTGGAGTGCAATGGCACAATCTTGGCTCACTGCAACCTCCATCTCCCAGGTTCAAGTGATTCTCCTGCCTCAGCCTCCCAAGTAGCTGGGACAACAGGCGCATGCCACTACGCTAGGTTATTTTTGTATTTTTAGTAGAGACAGGGTTTCACCATGTTGTCCAGGATGGTCTCGATCTCCTGACCTCATGTTCCACCCGCCTCGGCCTCCCAAAGTGCTGGGATTACAGGCGTGAGCCACCGCGCCCGGCCAAAGATGTTTTTAAAAAGTAAATCCAGGGTGAGGAGGACAGTCGTGGTATACCATATGTACCTCACTATCCCACAGCACACGCATCCTCTAACTTAATCCGGTCACACTGATCTCCATCACAGTCCACATCCTGTGGCTGTCCACGGAGAATTGCAGTTGTTCAGACTTGGAAGGGATCTTAGAGGTCATCCCATCTCTTTTGTAGCAGCTTTGACAAGGTATCCTCTGGCCTCTGCCTGAACATGCCAATGATGGGGAGATCACTACCTAACAAGATGGCCCATTCCACTATGCTAACGTTAATTAAAATGGGGGGTTGGAACCTGTTTCCCTATAATGCTTGCATAATGGTCGTAGATCTGCTGCCTGGTAACACAGAAAACGTGCACTCCACCTTCCACAGCCAGAGAAACACAGCAGGCAGTTTCTTCCTAAAGGGGCTCTTCTCCCAGCTAAAGAGACCCATTTGCCTCAGCTATTCTTCCCCTGACATGGTCACCTCCTCCAGGAAGCCTTTGAAGATGTGCCTCCCCCTTGTATGTGCTCCCAGGGCACCTTGTATGAGACCCTAACACTGCCCTTATCACACTGTATTAATTAAACTGTCTCTCCCAAACCCTGCTTTGGTTACCCAACTATACTGAGCGCTCCTCCCCCAGGGTAGTTCTGGGCCTTCATTCATTTCTTTTGCCTGGTACCTTGCATGGTGACCAACTGACCTGATCTAAACCACTTAATTAAAAATGTGTTGAATAAATGGTTTCCAAGTGTTGGATTATCCCAGTTACATTCCTTTATACTCCTTTTTTTTTTTTTTTTTTTTCTGATGGAGTCTTGCTCTGTCGCCCAGGCTGGAGTGCAGTGGCGCGATCTCGGCTCACTGCAAGCTCCGCCTCCCGGGTTCACACCATTCTCCTGCCTCAGCCTCCCCAGTAGCTGGGACTACAGGCGCCCACCACCACGCCCAGCTCATTTTTTGTATTTTTAGTAGAGACAGGGTTTCACCGTGTTAGCCAGGATGGTCTCGATCTCCTGACCTCATGATCCACCTGCCTTGGCCTCTCAAAGTGCTGGGATTACAGGCGTGAGCCACTGTGCCTAGCACATTCCTCTAAACTCTTTTAGGCTTTTGGTATCCTCCATAGAACAGAAAAAGGGACAGCACAACCTCCCCCCATCTCTGCCCTCCTCTGTGAATGCTGCCCATCCCTCAGTTTTTCTTCAGCCTTGAACTAGCTTTACATAGAGCTGAGCGTCCTTGAAACCCCCAGGTCTATTTTCACGTGATGCACTGGTGAGTTCAGCCTCCCTATCCCAGCCCCCGAGTGAATGGTAGTTTCCTGCGCTGGGAGGCCCAGACCGTATGTTTGGGCTTGCTGGCTCTCCCATTCTGCTTAGCCTATTGAAATCATTCAGCAGGACCACAGGTGCCAGCTTAGTGCCACCCACAAAGACGTGGCTTCACCTAGATACCTAGGAATAACACACCCCTAAACTCCAACTCTGCACGCAGGCAAAACACTGCCGTCTATTGTGGGCCTTCTGTGTGCCAGATCCTTCCCATGCCCTTTCCCACTCATTTCATCCCCTACTAACCCTGAAAGTTTGCTACTACTCTCCAGATTTTGAAGATAAAGAGGGGGAGGCTCTGGCCGGGCGCGGTGGCTCACGCCTGTAATCCCAGCACTTTGGGAGGCCGAGGCGGGTGGATCACGAGGTCAGGAGATCGAGACCATCCTGGCTAACACGGTGAAACCCCATCTCTACTAAAAATACAAAAAAATTAGCTGGGCGTGGTGGCGGGTGCCTGTAGTCCCAGCTACTCAGGAGGCTGAGGCAGGAGAATGGTGTGAACCCGGGGGGCGGAGCTGGCAGTGAGCCAAGATCGCGCCACTGCACTCCAGCCTGGGCGATAAAATGAGACTCTGTCTCAAACAAACACACAAAAAAAACAAAGAAGGGGAGGCTCTGAGAAGTTAACTTACCTGCCCAAGGTCACACAGCTAGAAAGGGGCAGAGTGGGGATTTGGACCCCATTGGATGACTCCAAAGCATAGGGTGTCTCTTTCCTTTATACCATGGTGCTTCTAAAGGCCTTATCCCAATATGCCCAGTAACTTTTTTCCTACAAAGGTGGGGTGAAGAGGAAGAACAAATGAAAAAGCTCTTCCTGGTAATGGAGAGCTGGGGGTGTGAGGTGGTGCTAGCCCTTCCTGGTCCACCTTCCACTTGCCCAGTGAGGGATTCAGGCCCCTTAAATATTGCCCTCCCCACTCCAGAAAATGACGCTTAGTCTAAATAAAGCCTCTGAGTCTCCAGTTTGACTATTCCAGCTCTCACTACTGGCCAGTCTTATCCACTGTCTCCTCTTCCTCTGTTTTGTCTGTGGATGACTCTTCAGCCCTAGAACAGTGCCTGACACACAGAAAGTAACAAAGACATATTGCTGGATTTGAGGAATGAACCAACTCTCACTGTAGGTGCAAAGAGAAATGGATCAGGCACCTTGCTCTGACTGTGTGAGTTTAGGCAAGTTACTTCCCCTCTCTGAGCTTCAGTTTCCTTATCTCTAAAACAGGGCAATTAACAGGTAACGGTGTAGAGGATGGTGTGACATCATGCCTGCAAAGTACCCCATATAATATGTGCCCAACTAATAGTAGGGGCATTATTAATTAGGTGTTGCTGGTCCCGGCTTTAGAGAGAGGGACATTGAGGCTCAGAGAGGTGAAGGAACTTATGCAACCCTCAACATTACACAGCTTGGAAGAGGCCCATACCGAACAGCAGCTGATGGGCCTGGATTTAAGGCTGTGCCCTTTTTCTTGCTCCTGGGGCCTTTCCCAAATGTTCAATAAGTAACATTTCTACTACAAAGATAAGAGGTGGTTAAAAGAATTGTTCATAATAATAACACTAAGGGCCCCAGCTGAAGCAAAGCCTGTAACAAAGGGACTCAGGCAAGGAGCAGAGACCCCGGCCCAGCCAGCAGCTTCCCTGCTCGGCCCACAGCCCAGACTGGGGCTAGGACGGGTGGCGTCATTCTGGACTCCTGGGCTCTAGGAGGGTGGGAGAGGCCCCAACAGTGGGTAGGCCTGTCCCACCCCACCCATCATGGGTTCTTTCTGCCCCCACTGAAAGGGCAGACTCTCTAGTGGCTTGAACAAGTCCACTGTGACCCCTCCCCCCACATTTTGCCTCCTAAAATAGCCCAGAGCCACCATGTGCCCAGGGCGGCTCCCCACTGGTTGCAAATCCCCCTGAAATCAAATCCCCATCCTGCCCCAAGGAGGACGGCACCACCTCCTGCCACTGCTGGGCTCCAGCGCCAGCCAGGCTCCCCCAGTGGAAACCGGGACAGTTGTCCTTCACAGTGACCGGGACATAAATCCCCAAATAATGAGACAGGCACTGGGAACACAGAACCAGACACAGTGCTAATTGGTTTGCTTCTGGGCAGAGATGATGTGGAGACAACAGTAACAGGCCTCAGTTTCCCTGGCGGTGTATTGGGGTGGGGGGATGCAAGGGCCAGGGATCCCTGGCTGGGCTGATTTTCTACGCCTTCTGACTGGCCTCACAACCTACTAACCAGTCGCACTTTTTAGGATATTAAATTCCCAGATGTAAAAGGAAAGGGCTGGGGTCTCCTGGTCCAGGTCCTGAGGTAGGAAGCCTAGAATCTCTACCATGATCCAGAAACACCTTCTTTCCATTAAGAAAAAAAAAAAAATTCAACCAACACTCAGATCCTTCCCAGTATGCATGGGGGACTGGGGGAGCAGGGAGGCGGGGAACCCAGTGCAACCTCCCTGCTCCTCATGTGAGGTTGGTAATGGATTCTTGGACAAGCCCAAGGACCTCAGTTTGCAGTAATCAGGATGAGATTATCACATTAAACTTTCAAAGTCTTTGCTCAAAAAGAAGCAGCAGCAGCTGACACCCTTGACTCCCCCGACTTTCCCACTGTCACCTTCTCCTGGACCATGACCAGATGAGCTCCAGATACAGGCCACGTGGAGGCTCCACTGCACTGGGGCAGAGGCAGGGGCATGGACAGGATGATCTCCCTGGGGGTGGCCTCAGGGTTGTGGTAAGATGGAAGGGGGAGGAGGTGGGGGAGAGAGGTGAGCATGTGTGTCTGCGGGTGTAATTTGGAGGGACTGCGGGGAACTGGAGTAACTTGAAGTCAGGCAAATGTGTTTACGTTGCAACTTCGCCACTAATCGTGTGACTGGGAACTTGTCCCTTCTCTTCACATCTTAGTTTCCTGTCTGTAAAATGGAGATAATGGTAACAACAATGCCTAATAATAACTCCTCTGACTCAAGGCTGATGTCTGAGAAGATTAAATAAGATAACAGAATATACTAGCCCGGCACGGTGGCTCATGCCTGTAATCTCGGCACCTTGGAAGGATGGAAGGACCAGGTGGGTGGATTGCTTGAGCCCAGGAGTTTGAGACCAGCCTGAGAAACATGACAAAACCCTGTCTCGCAAAAAAAAAAAAAAAAATATATATATATATACATATATATATATATACACACATATATGAACAAAAATTAGCTGGGCATGCTGGTGCACACCTGTAATCCCAACTACTGGGGAGACTGAGACGGGAGATTGAGGCTGCAGTGAGCCATGATCATGCCACTGCACTCCAGCCTGGGTGACAGTGAGACTCTGTCTCAAAAAAAAAAAAAAAAAAAATACTGACCAGGCACAGTGGCTCACGCCTGTAATCCCAGCACTTTGGGAGGCTGAGGCAGGAGGATCACTTGAGGCCAGGAGTTTGAGACTCTATCTTTACAAAAAAAAAAAAAATTAGTTGACCATGGTGGTGCATGTCTGTAGTCCCAGCTGCTCAGGAGGCTGGGACAGGAGGATCATTTGGGCCCAGGAGTTGAAGACCACAGTGAGCTATTATTGTGATACTGCACTCCAGCCTGGGTGAAAGAGCAAGACTGTCTTCCCCCATCACCCCCCAAAAAAAAGAAAGAAGGAAAATGCCCTAAAACTGTAAAAGCCCACTGCGATGTGAGGGATGATGTCATTAGTTACAGCAGGAGGGATGGTGATAAGACCATAGAAAGAACTTCCTCACAGCCTTGCGTTGGAAACTAATGGAGCAAAAAAAAAGAAAGAAGACAAACAGGCTTGGGTAGAATGCCAAAGATCTCATCAATGATCCACTCTCCCAACCCAGGGTGCCCATCCCCATGTCCAGGCTCCCCTCCTGCCCATCATCTTGCCTCCCAAGGCTGCCAGGCAGCCATCAATTTTTCCCAACTCAGAGCTCTATTCAGCTTGTATTTGTTGCCAACACAACAGAAATTATTTCAACCTCTTCATCCAGCTTGGCAGAGCTACCTGGGGTGTGTAGGAGAGGCCAGAGCTGGAAGAAAGGAGGCTGGAAATTGGGGTGTCCAACAGTGGGGTGGCCGTCTCTCCAGAATATTAGCTGCAATTGCAGCATTCTAGAAGGCAGTCAGCTTCCTGAGAGGACAGCCTTATACTGCCCCATGGAAGGGAAGGGAAAGCCTGAGGATCCAGGGGTCCTCACGGGGACCTTGGCCACCTTTCCTCTTACTTAAAGAGCTGCATTCAGAAGGTGTTGGGAAGGAAAGGCCCTGACTACCAGCCAGGTTCAACCCTGTGGAAATTAAGATCTGTAAGTCTCCCTGACCCTCCCTTCATTTCCTGAAGCTTTTATTTAGTTTGTCCAGCAGGATCCTCCCATCCCAGCCCACTGATTCAGGCCTTGGGGTCCTGTCCTCCTCCTCAATATGAGAAACTAATCCTAACCCATCCTAACCTCACAAGGATGGAGGCAGATTGAGGATGACACCAAGATTCCAGGGTCACCTGGGGTGGGGAAGGGAGAACCTCCAAGTCCATTGGCTGAGGGAGATGGTGGGGTATCCATGGTCCACCTTGCTGGCCAGGGAGCAGCTGCTGACCACATCAAAGTCCTCCTCTCAAATCGGTCCGGTGGGAGGAGGCACAAAGCCGTTGCAGGCCATGAAGAAGGAGTCCTTTCAAAACCAGCTGAGAGGTTCCAAGAAACGCCCTGAGGACAGGCTGTGTCAACATGTCCTGTGCCCCCCAGGCCCACTGGTGCAGCTTCCAAGCAGCTTCCCACAGCAGGGCCACTCAGAGGCCTTGGCTGGAAGGCAGGGGAGGGTGAAGGACAGAGCATGAGCTCCAGGAGCCATCAGACCTTGGGCAAAGTCCTTACCTCTCTGATCTATAAAATGGACTCAGTAGTATATACCTCATGGGGTTGTTGGGAGAACCAAGAGGTGATATAGGGATAGCGTCTCCCTTTGTGCCTGGCACAGAGTAGGGGGTCGATAAATTCACTCAATAAACACTTATTGAACACCTACTATATGCCAGCCTGTCCACTCTATACCTTGGGATCTAGCAGTGAACGGAAGTCCAAAGGGCCCTCATGGAACTTGCAAATCTGGGTTAGGGGAAGAAGGATGGGCGCAGACAATAAGCAGATAAACACATGAATCAGGATGGACGAGGGCTTGCAGAAGACCAGCACTCAGGAGGGGCCCCTCTGGAGGGGCTCTGTCAGACCTGGCTGACCTGAGGGATAGGCCTGCCTGAGGGTTTTTGGCCACAACCACTCACGGGAATCACCTGAGCAGCCTTGGAAAATTCTGATGTCCAAGCTCCGCCCCAGGGATTTTATTTTTTTGAGACAGAGTCTGACTCTGTCACCCAGGCTGGAATCCAGTGGTGCAATCTCTGCTCACTGAAACCTTCACCTCCTGGGTTCAAGTCATTCTCCTGCCTCAGCTGGGATTACAGGTGCCTGCCACCACGCCCAGTTAATTTTTATATTTTTAAAGTAGAGTCGGGGTTTCACCACGTTGACCAGGCTGGTCTCGAACTCCTGACCTCAGTGACCTGCTCGCCTCAGCCTTCCAAAGTGCTGGGATTACAGGCATGAGCCACCACGCCCAACCTCTACCCAGAGATTCTGATAGGCTTGGTCTGGGTGCAGCCTGAGACTGTAAAATTCTGCCCAGGTGATTGACATGCAGCCAACAGTGAAAGCCTCATGCCCAGCAGGCTTCCCAAGTACCTGGCTACAGGAGCACCACCTGAGGAGCTTGTCCGGCATCCTAGGCTGGGCTCCACCCCCAGGGGTTCAGATTCAGGAGCCTGGGGTGAGGCCCAGCATCAACAGGTGCCCAGATTCTGAAGAGTTTCTAGGAGAGCAAGGGCGAGCTCCAGAGACTGGCTCTCAGAGTCTTCCTCACACTGAGCCTGGCCACACTGCATGGGACCACCTGCTGCTCCCATGAGCACTGTCCCACTGCCTTGCCCCCAGCCTAGCAAGTCCCCCGCCTTTCTCCAGGCAAGTCCTGCTGCTGCTCCTAGGCTTACCATGAAGCCTGAAGCTTCCCACCACCTCAGCCCCTTGGCTGAAGCCCCTATGCCATCCTGTTCCATGGCGTGCTTCATGTCTGGCTGAATCCTGGGCTCCTAGAGGTAAGGCCAACTCATCCATGGCACATGGCACCAAGCCCAGCACCTCACAGGGTATGACTCGTGACCTCAGTGATCCGCTCGCCTCAGCCTTCCAAAGTGCTGGGATTACAGGCGTGAGCCACCACGCCCGACCTCTTCCCAGAGATTCTGATGGAATACCAACCTTCTGTTGAAGGAATACCAAATCTCTTCCAGCCTCCCCTGCTCCCACAACTAGGCCAAAGGTGGCAGTGTGGTGACTGGCTCCTCTAGATCCCTACTCCACCCCCTCACCTGAGTCTCTGGTCCCAGGATTCCTCTTGTGGCATCTGGCTTCTCTCCCACCCACTGCACTCTTGGCCTTGCCCTAAGAGCCAGCCCTGGGATGGCAGACAGTGTACAATTATGTTTCCCCAGGCAAAGGTGCTCCAGGACGCCCTTTCCATCCCCTCTAAAGAACCAGGTATCAGCCAGTGTGGCTGTTCATGCCTGTAATCCCAGCACTTCAGGAGGCTGAGGTAGGAGGATTGGTTGAGTCTAGGAGTTTGAGACCAGCCTGGGCAACATAATGAGACCCTGTCTTTACAAAAAATACAAAAATTAGCCAGGCAAGGCCAGGCGCGGTGGCTTACACCTGTAATCCCAGCACTTTGGGAGGCCAAGGCTGGTGGATCACCTGAGGTCAAGAGTTTGAGACCAGCCTGTTCAACATGGTGAAGACCCGTCTCTACTAAAAATACAAAATTTAGCCAGGATGGTGGTGCACGCCTGTAATCCCAGCTACTCTGGAGGCTGAGGCAGGAGAATGGCATGAACCCGGGAGGTGGAGGTTGCAGTGAGCCAAGATTGCGTCACTGCACTCCAGCATGGGCAATAGAATGAAACTCCTTCTCAAAAAAACCAAAACAACAAAAAACAGTACCTCTTGAGAGACAAAGTGGCAAATGTAAGAAACCATGTCTGTTCATTTTTGCTTGCCAGCATAATTTCACAAAGCTCCTGACTCGTGACAAAATGTTTTTTTGTTTTTTTTTTTTGAGATGGAGTCTCTTGCTGTCACCCTGGCTGGAGTGCAGTGGCGTGATCCCAGCTCACTGCAAGCTCTGCCCCCCGGGTTCATGCCATTCTCCTGCCTCAGCCTCCAGAGTAGCTGGGACTACAGGCACCCGCCAACACGCCCCCGCTAATTTTTTGTAGTTTTGGTAGAGACGGGGTTTCACCATGTTAGTTAGCCAGGATGGTCTCGATCTCCTAACCTCATGATCCACCCACCTCGGCCTCCGAAAGTGTTGGGATTACAGGCATGAGCCACCGCGCCTGGCCATAACAAAATGTTTTAAAAAACCAATCACACTACAGGAGGTCTTTGTTTTCTGGTAACTGGCCCAAAAAACAAAGATTTTACATTTTACCAAGAAAATCCTGTGTTGTCTTTATTAAGTTTTTGATTACTTAAAAAAAACTAAACTTTAAAAGAATTAAAGTTTTTACATCCATGTAACTTTCTGTATTGCTTTTCAAGTCTTTTTTTTTTTTTTTTTTTTTTTTTTTTTGAGACAGAGTCTCACTCTGTCGCCCAGGCTGGAGTGCAATGGTGCGATCTCAGATCACTGCAACCTCTGCCTCCCAGGTTCAAGCGATTCTCCTGCCTCAGCCTCCCAAGTAGCTGGGATTACAGGCGTCCACCAATACACCAGGCTAATTTTTATATTTTTAGTAGAGATGGCATTTTGCCATGTTGACCAGGCTGTTCTTGAACTCCTGACCTCAGGTGAACAACCTGCCTCGGCCTCCCAAAGTGCCAGGATGGCAGGCGTGAGCCACCATACCCAGCCACTTTTAAAGCCGTTTATCACTCTGGTTAAATAAATATTATTTGGGTGAATGCAGTGGCTCACACCTATAATCCCACCATTTTAGGAGGCTGAGATGGGAGGTTTGCTTGGGGCCAGGAGTCCCAGACTAGTCTGTGCTGAACATATCAAGACCTCATATCTGAAAAAAAAAAAAATAGCTAGGCATGGTGGCAGATGCCTGTAGTCCAACCTATGAGGGCAGATTGCTTGAGCCCAGAAGTTCCAGGCTGCAGTGAGCTATTATCACACCACTACACTCTAGCCTGGGCGACAGAGCTTGTCTCAAAAAAAAAAAAAACCCAAAACCAAAAACAAACAAAAAACTATTATTTTAGAATGACCTATGATTCTGTTTTGATGAAGTGTTTTAAACATTTTTACATCTTTGGCAGGTTTCTCCAAGATCAAAATCCTAAATTAAGCCTTTTTAAACTAAATAGACATATAAAAGACATCGTCAAATAATAAATAATAATAGATCTTCTTTCAGTTACATTTATGAGTGTTATTAATATAAACGTTTCACAATTATATTAGTTCATAAAAATCTAATATATTATCAATGATAATTTTATTTTATTTTTTCTTGGAGACAGGGTCTCACTCTGTTGCCCAGGCTAGAGTACAGTGGTATGATCACGGCTCACTGCAGCCTCCACCTCCTGGGCTGAAACAATCCTCCTGCCTCAACCTCCCAAGTAGCTTTGACTACAGGCATACACCACCATGCCCAGCTAATTTAAAAAAAAATTTTTTTTTTAGAGATGGGGTCTTGCTATGTTTCCTAGGCTGATCTTGAACACCTGAGCTCAAGCCATCCTCCCACCTCAGCCTCCCAGAGTGCTGGGATTACAGGTGTGAGCCACCATGGCTGGCCAGTCATAATTTTAATTATGTTCAATATTTTCCATATTTTATACAGATATGTTATTTATATAAACAATCTAAAGACTACTTAAAATGTATAAAGATCTGGGCTGGGTGCGGTGGCTCATGCCTGTAATCCCAGCACTTTAGGAAGCCAAGACAGGCAGATCACCTGAGGCCAGGAGTTCGAGACCAGCCTGACCAACATGGTGAAACCCCGTCTCTACTAAAAATACAAAAATTAGCCAGGCGTGGTGGCGTGCACCTGTAATCCCAGCACTTTGGGAAGCCAAGGCAGAAGGATTGCTTGAGTCCAGGAGTTCAAGATCAGCCTGGGCAACATATGGAGACCCTGTCTGCAAAACATTTTTTTTTGTTTTTAATTTGAGACAGAGTCTCACTCTGTTGCCCAGGCTGGAGTGCACAATGTCGGCTCACTGCAACCTCCACCTCGCAGGTTCAAGCAAATCTTGTGGCTCAGCCTCCTGAGCAGCTGGGACTACAAGTGTGCGCCACCACGTCCGGCTAATTTTTTTCTTTTTTTTTTTTTTGTATTTTTAGTAGAGACAGGGTTTCGCCATGTTGCCCAGGTTGGTCTCAAATGCCTGAGTTCAGGCAATCTGCCCGCCTCAGCCTCCCAAAGTGCTAGGATTACAGGTGTGAGCCGCCAAGCTGGGCCTCTGCAAAACATTTTTTTTTTTTTTTTTTTGAGACAGAGTCTCACTTTGTCGCCCAGGCTGGAGTGCAGTGGCGCGATCTCGGCTCACTGCAACCTCTGCCCTCTGAGTTCAAGCGATTCTCCCGCCTTAGACTCCCCAGTAGCTGGGATTACAGGCGTCTGTCTCTGCGCCTGGCTAATTTTTTGTGTTTTTAGTAGAGATGGGTTTTCACCATCTTGGCCAGGCTGGTCTTGAACTCCTGACCTCGTGATCCACCCACCTCGGCCTCCCAAAGTGCTGAGATTACAGGCGTGAGCCACCACGCCCGGCCTCTGCAAAACATTTTTTAAAAATTAGCCAGGCATGGTGGCACACGCATGTGGTCCTGGTCACTTGAGAAGTTGAGGTGGGAGGATTGCTTGAGCCAGGGAGGTTGAGGCTGCAGTGAGCCATGATTGTGCCATTGCACTCCAGCCTGGGCAGCAGAGCAAGATCTTGTCTCGAAAAATAATAACAATACATTTAAATTTAAATTTAAAAAACCGGCTGGGTGCAGTGGCTCACGCCTGTAATCCCAGCACTTGGGGAGGCCAAGGTGGGCAGATCACCTGAGGTCAGGGGTTAGAGACCAGCCTGCGCAACATGGTGAAACCCCGTCTCTACTTAAAACACAAAAATTAGCTGGATGTGGTGGCACACCCCTGTAAGCCTAGCTACTCGGGAGGCCGAGGCACAAGAATCGCTTCAACCAGGCAGGCAGAGGTTGCAGTGAGCTGAGATCGCTTCGGCCTGGGCAACAGAGTGAGACTTTGTCTTAAATAAATAAATAAATAAATTTTAAAAACCAACTCTAAGACCAGGCGCAGTGGCTCACGCCTGTAATCCTAGCACTTTGGGAGGCCAAGGCAGGCGGATCACCTGAGGTCAGGAGTTCGAGACCAGCCTGGCCAACATGGAGAAACCCTGTCTCTACTAAAAATACAAAAATTAGCCAGCCATGGTGGCGTGCGCCTGTCATTCCAGCTACTTGGGAGGCTGAGGCAGGAGAATAGCTTGAACCCAGGAGGCAGAGGCTGCAGTGAGCCAAGACCCCAGCATTGCACTCCAGCCTGGGCAACAGAGTGAGATTCCATCTCAAAAAAAAAAAAAAAAAAATCCAATAAATATAAATACAGAAAGAAAAAAGTAAAATTAATTTAAAAACACAAATGTAAGTTTGTTTTATTAGTTATGTTTTTTCCCATATGTAACTCAGTTTAATACTTTTTTTTTTTTTTTTTTAGATAGAGTTTTGCTCTTGTTGCCCAGGCTGGAGTGCAGTGGCGTGATCTTGGCTCACTGCAACCTCCACCTCCCAGGTTCAAGCAATTCTCCTGCCTCAGCCTCCCAAGTAGCTGGGATTACACCACCACGCCCGGCTAATTTTTTGTACTTTTAGTAGAGACGAGGATTTCTCCATATTGGTCAGGCTGGTCTTGAACTCCCGACCTCAGGTGATCCGCCCACCTCAGCCTCCCAAGGTGCTGGGATTACAGGCGTGAGGCCTGTATACTTAAGCCTTAATACTATTAAGCATATACTGCTATGTATGATCTATAATATCCTTGTAATAGCCCTATTAAAGGGTTAAGTACAAAAAAAGACAATGTTGATGAAAACCTAGATCATGCTAATTAAAAAATAAATGCAATTCAAACTGTGTTTTCCAATAAGTAGGCATATATGCACGCTGGGACTAGTGCTCATTGCTTAAAACTACAACTGAAAACAATCAATCATCCTGAAAAAAGAGGCTTCCTAGTTACCTGACACAATCAGCATTTGGCTTTTAAATACAACCAGGCAGCTGATTTATGACCAAAAGAAAAAACTTGTGACACAAAGTAGCAAACATCAGAAGCCATTTGCTCATTTCTGCTTACCAGGATAATTTCACAAAGTCCCTGACTCTGTGCTTATCTGCAGCTCTCTGAAAAGAGTTTTAAAGACAAAACAAGATAAAACACAGCACCTCCCACAGCCCCACATCTCTTGCTTGAATCACTATATTCCTTAAAAGATCAATGGCCCCAGTCCTAGCCAGGCGCAGTGTCTCACGTCTATAAATCTCAGCACTTTGGGAATCCGAGACAGGAGGTTCACTTGAGGCCAGGAGCTTAAGACCAACCAGGGGAACATAGCAAGACCCCTGTCTCCATAAAAATAAAATAACCATAGTCCTTGCCTTTTGTTGCACATACAATAATGTCTGACAGAGTTAGTGATTATACCTCCGTAATCTATAACCAATATACTGTTACAGCCAAATTTTGATGTCCTTTTGCACATACTGAACCCCCACTACCTATATATAAACTATAAGCTAAAACACTGATTTAAAACAGTCTGACAAAACTGTTTTAGGGCTGTAGGCCATGCTCTATAGTCCTCCGTAAGACTTCTAAATAAAACTAACTTTAATTCTTTAAATGGTTAATTTTTTTTTTAATCGACACTCTTAGAGGGTCGTTATGAGGATTACCTGAGTCAATATTTGCAAAGTGTTTAGCAACCAGGCATGTGGTAATCATTACATATGTTTGCTAAATAACACAAGTGTAGTCAATCAACAAGGTCCATCCTGCTGATGCTGGGTCTGGGAGGTTGGGACTGAGATTTCCACTTTACAGATGAGGAGACTGAGGACCCGGAGAGGAAGAGACTTGCCCTCAGATGGCACTCAAACCTGAGGTCTGTCTCCCTTCAACCTTCTCTCTTCCAGCACCCCCAGGTCACCTCCCTCCCTCCTCAGGCGCCTGGCCTGGCCCGGGTGGGCGCAGTGCCCCACACTGACAGAGGCCCCTTTGTCTCCCTGCCCAGTGTCACACCCAGAGGGCGGAGCACCGCCGGACAAGCGCCCTGTGTCTGGGTCTGTTTCACCGCCAGGTCTGCGGCCGCCTGGGCGGCTCCAGCCACGGGACTCGAGGTAGGTGGATCCCAGGGCCATTCCCATCCCTTCCATCCCCCACCCCAACCTCAGCAGGGCATCCCTGACTCTCCCTCAGTGCAAAGAAGGAGAAACCTCCAAGGGAAACGCCCCAGTTCTTGGTCTCGACTCTGTACAAACTCCAAGTGGCCAGAGCCTGGGTGTTGGGGGGAAGAGCTCCAAGCTGCCTCAAATACCAGAAGCAGGGAGCTAAGGGTGTGGGAATGGCAGCAAGGGCATTCTGCATGTTGCAGGAGGGCTGCGGTGGGATCCTGGGGAGTGGGACAGAGATTACCCTGCCCTTTTTTACCCCATACTCTATCTGTAACCCGTCACCCAGGCTGGAGTGCAGTGGTGCGATCACAGCTCACTGCACCCTCGACCTCCTGGCCTCAAGCGATCCTCCCGCCTTGGCCTCTCAACACACTGGGACTACAGGCACACGCATCACCATGCCTGGCCCGGTTCACTTCTCTTTACCACCTGGATTGGCAGAACAGCCACCTCACTGGTCTCCCTGCCTCTACTTCCCCACTTCCTCTCCCTCCCAGTCCCATCTTCACACAGCCAGAGGGAGACTATTAAAAGGGCAACTCTCCAGCCTGGGCAACTCCATCTCTACAAAAAATACAAAAATTAGCTGGGTGTGGTGGTGCACACCTATAGTCCCAGCTACTCAGGAGGCTGAGGTGGGAGGATAGCTTGAACCTGGGAGGTCGAGGCTGCAGTGAGCCGTGATCACACCACCACACTCCAGCCTAGGGGACAGAATAAGACCCTGTCTCTAAATAAATAAATAAATAAATAAATAAAAATAAAGGCAAATCTGATCAAGTCATGCTCTGGGATAAAAGCTCTAAAGGCTTCACCCTTTGCTTTAGGAGAATGCTTGCCCCAGCCTGGAAGATCCGGGCCTTTCCCCTCCCCCAAGCCCTTCTCTCCCAGTCCACCCCTTCCACCTGATTCCTCCCACAGATCAACTGAGATATAAATACAACTCTCCACCTAAAAATATTACGGGTAGAAGTAACACTGAGGATGGCTAGAAATGGATATAAGAAAACTCATTATTGACTAAAATGCACAAAAGAATCAAATCTTGACCACGAATCTTTTTTTTTGGTTTTAATTTAAATCTTCCAAAATGGAATGGGGTTACCCAGTCAATCACACAATGGCAGAAACTCGTGTCAAGAGCCTGCAGCCCCCACACTGATGGATGCCTCCAATCTCAGCAGCAGAATGTGTACGGAATCGATGCCGATGAAAACAGTTTCAGTAAAATTACAAAAGAATGAAAAACATGGACATTTGTTTAACTGTACTACAGGGGAAAAACAAAAATCTGATCAAAGAATTAAGTTGGATGAATAGAGTTCAAGCTGGAGAACACCTTCTTAAAACATTTTCAGGGTTAGTATGTTTTGGTTTAAAATGTTTGCATTCAAAACATCCTTCGGGTCAAAATATCCGTAGTGGTTAAAATATCCTGTGTCCCTCTGATCTGTTTCCTATAACTCCCCACCTTCCAGCCACACTGGGCTCTTTCTGTCCCTGGAGCACAGCGAGTTTCCCCTCACTTGGGAGCTTTCTCAAAGCCTGTTCTCTCTGCCTTGAGTGCTCTTTTCCTTCTGACCCCTCCCTCCTCCTTCTCATGGCTGATATTTAACTATCACCTCTGAAAGACGCCTTCCTGCATTGCTCTCTCTAGGGTAGTTTTCCTTCCTTCCCATTTCCTCTTATTCCCTTTTTTTTTTTTTTTTTTTTTTTTTTTGAGATGGAGTCTCGTTCTGTCGCCCAGGCTGGAGTGCAATTGCGCGATCTCGGCTCACTGCAACCTCCACCTCCCAGGTTCAAGCGATTCTCCTGCTTCAGCCTCCCGAGTAGCTGGGATTACAGGCTTGCGCCATCACGCACTAATTTTTGTATTTTTAATTAGTGATGGGTTTTCACCATGTTGGCCAGGCTGGTCTCGAACTCCTGACCCCAAGTGATCCACCCACCTTGGTCTCCCAAAGTGCTGGGATTACAGACGTGAGCCACCACACCCAGCCTCTTATTCCCTCTTGAGAACCTATCTTAGGCTGGGCACGGTGGCTCACGCCTGTAATCCCAGCACTTTGGGAAGCAGAGGCGGGCGGATCACGAGGTCAGGAGATCGAGACCATGGTGAAACCCCATCTCTACTAAAAATACAAAAAATTAGCTGGGCACAGTGGTGGGCACCTGTAGTCCCAGCTACTCGGGAGGCTGAGGCAGGAGAATGGCGTGAACCCGGAAGGCGGAGCTTGCAGTGAGCCGAGATCCTGCCACTGCACTCCAGCCTGGGCGACAGAGCGAGACTCCGTCTCAAAAAAAAGAGAACCTATCTTGTTCCCTCTTGGAACCCTGTCTTGTTCCTCCTGAATTCCCAGGGCAGAGGCTAGCAAGTATAACACATAGTAGGTGCTCCATAAATATTGGTTAAATGAATGAGTAAATCAGTGTCACTGGGATGAGAGCTAGGACAGTAGGCTGGGGCTTGGGGGTAGGGGCTGGGACAGGGTAGAGACACACCCACTTATGACATCAAGTTCCAAGGAAGCCCATTTCAGTGGGAGAACAAAGAGAAGACTGGCTGCGCATGGTGGCATTACAGGCATGAGCCTGTAATCCTAGCACTTTGGGAGGCTGAGGCAGGAGGATCGCTTGAGCCCAGGAGTTTGAAACCAATCTGGGCAACAGAGGGAGACCCCTGTCTCTACAGAAAATGTAACAAAATTATCCAGGTGTGTGCCTGTAGTCCCAGCTATTCGTGAGGCTCTGGACTGAGGGCTGGGGTGGGAGGATTGCTTGGGCCTGGGAGGCGGAGGCTGCGGTGAGCTGTTATCGCACCACTGTACTCCAGCCTGGGTGGCAGAGCGAGACTTCATCTCAAACAAAAAAGAAAAGAGGATACAAAACCAGTCCTGCTCCTGATTTTTGCCCTATGCCCAGCTTCCCAAGGGTCAGGCCCATGTGCCAAATGGACAGCTCCCCCTCCACCCCTTCATCTAGGCCACCTTCTTGGGGCTTGGCTCCCACGTGTGGCTTCAGGCCAGGCTATTTGGGGAAACTTCCTGATCCCCCCTCTGGCCTCTCCACCCCCACACCTCATCTTGCAGACCCAGAATAGCTGTCCCCAGTCTCAACCTAGGGAGAGTCTCATTCCCAATTAGCACCCAGAGGGTTGAAACCATCTCTAAAAGCTTCTTGTGTCCCTCTCCCCTCAGGAAGCTGCTAACTAGGACAGCAAATTTCAGAATAAGGTCACAAGAATGCTACCTGCCCCTATATTCACCTCCCAGCCAGAGACTCAGGGACCAGGAGTCTTGGTGTGTGAAGGTAGAGGAGCTTTGGGTGAGGGGGAGATTCAGGAAGAGCCAGGGGTGACTGCAGCCTGTGACTCTTTTAATCAAAGGAGCAGCTCCAGCATGGTCTGGCAAGGAGCCCTGGCTGTGAGGGGTGAGGAGACCCAGGTTCCAGTCCAGGTTCTGCTAGAAGATTGATTCTGCGAAAGTTCCTTTGCTCTCTGAGCTTTCATCATCTACAAAAAGAACTTTGATCTTAGCCAGGCCCAGAGGTTCATGACGGTAATCTTAGCACTTTGGGAGGCCGAGGTGGGTGGATCACCTGAGCTCAGGAGTTCGAGACCAGCCAGGACAACATGGCAAAACCCTGTCTCTACTAAAAATACAAAAAATTAGCTGGGCATGGTGGCATGTGCCTGTAATCCCAGCTACTCAGGAGGCTGAGGCACGAGAATCTTGTGAACCTGGGAGGGGGAGGTTGCAGTGAGCTGAGACTGCACCACTGCACTCCAGCTTGGGCAACAGAGCAAGCGAGATTCGTGTCAAAAAAAAAAAAGAATTTTGATCTCTGCAGGTGCTCATAGGATGGGATGAGGCAGTTCTGTATACTGCAAAGTTCTGTACAAAATCAGGGGATAGGAGGCCCTTTGGGGTCCTAGGGAGATTGTTCTGGAGATGGATTCTTACAGGGGCCCCGAGCCCATCAGAGAATTATTCCTCTGCTAAAGTCTCACTGGAGGACTGGCTCAAGCCTCTGCCAACAGGGAGAGTGGGCAGGCTTCTCCCACATTCCAAAGACCACACCCCATGTGTCCCTCTTTAGGAACCCCTAGAAAACCCAAGGGTTCCTGTTCCCAGTGCCTTTTCCTGGCATTTCCTCTCCTCTCAGCAGGGAGTGGGGGAGTGTCCCATCCCCATCCTGCCCTCCAGGGCCAGAGCACTCAACTTTGGGGCTGGGGAGGGGGTCAGCTGGCATCAGATGCGGGACTGAACAGAGCTGAGATCAGAAGGGTAGAGAAGTCTGGGGCTTGGGATGTAGGAGAGACATCTGGGAGCGGGGGGCGGGGGTCCGGGGAAGGCTGGACAGGGCAGGGGGCAAGGCCAAAGCTGGGTCTGGCCTCTAGCCTGGGCATCTAAAGTGAGAAGAAGGACCTGTGGAGTCAGTCCTTGCCCCACCCAAGGAAATCTTAATCCAATAAACAAACAGCCAACACAGCCGCTCCTGTGCAAGAAGCCGTGGGAGCGATGGGGAGGCCACAGAGGTGGGGAGGCCAGGAGAGGGCAGGGAGGCTGTTTAAACAGGCCCCTCGGCCTGGGGCAGTTGGCAGAAATATTTGGAACAGGGTGGGGAGCACAGCTGTGGTTTGGAGCAGGAAGCTGGGGCCCGGGGTGGGTGGGCTGAGCTTGACTGCTTCCAGGAGAAAGAAAAGTGTCAATTCAGCCCCACTCTGGTCAACGCCTCTTCTGAGGGAGACTCCAAGTCCCAACACCCTTCCCTCAGTTCAAGGTCAATCAGGTCAACCAGACAGACAAGGGGCTCTATCCCTTATCTCCCAGAGTGATGACTCTGGACCCCCAGCCCTGCTCCCAGGCCTATGACCCTGGGCCTCATCACTGAAGAAAGTTTCAGAGTTCAGAGCCGAAACCCCGGAGTTCTCAACAGAGGAGTTAGAGGAGATGAGCCATCAGCTCTTTATTTTTTTTACTTTTTATTTTATTTTATTTATTTTTTTTTTTTTGAGAGAGGGTCTCACTCTGTCGTCCAGGCTGGAGTGCAGTGGCACGATGTTGGCTCACTGCAACCTGTACCTCCCAGGCTCAGGCAAATCTCCTGCTTCAGTCTCCCGAGTACCTGGGATTAAAGGTACCCATCACCAAGCCCGGCTAATTTTTTGTACTTTTTTAGCAGAGACGAGGTTTCACCATGTTGGCCAGGCTGATCTCTAACTCCTTGACCTCAAGCAATCCACCCACCTTGGCCTCCCAAAGTGCTGGGATTACAGGTGTGAGCCACTGCACTCGGCCCATCCACTCTCCCTAGGACGTGATATTCCCTTTCCTGCCGCCTTGCCTGGCAGTGGAGGAGCCCAGAAGTGATCGTGGCCCCCTGGGAGGCATTATCACCTTTTTTTTTTTTTTTTGAGATGGAGTTTCACATTTGTTGCCCAGGCTGGAGTGCAATGGCGCAATCTTGGCTTTCTGCAACCTCTGCCTCCCAGGTACAAACGATTCTCCCACCTCAATCTCCCAAGTAGCTGAGATTACAGGCATGCGCCACCGCGCCCAGCTAATTTTGTATTTTTAGTAGAGACGGGGGTTCACCATGTTGGCCAGGCTGGTTTCGAACTTCTGACCTCAGGTGATCCACCCGCCTCAGCCTCCCAAAGTGCTAGTATTACAGGCGTGAGCCACCGTGCCTGGCTGTCACCTTCTTTCAGGACTCTTGGCTCTCCTTTTGCCGAGACTCCTCAAGAGACTAAGGCAGAGAGTCAGAGGGATACATGTCCAGACTGACAGGCAGATATAGAGAGAGGTGAAGATACAGAAAGACCCACCCAGAGAGATAGCCACGCAGTCAGACACTGAGAGTGGGAGTGTGAGAGAGAGGGACAGAGAGAGAAGGGGTAGACAGAGGAGGCAGAGAAAAAGGAAGAAGAAAAGACATAGAAAGACTCACAGAAAAAAGAGCTAGACGGGTGGAGAGGAGAGACAGAGATAACAAAGGACAGGGTCAGGAGAGGGGAAAGGACACAGATGGGGAGCACACAGGAGGCGCAGGGCCAGACACACTCACAGGCCGAAGCAGAAAGAGGCTCACGAGAACTACACAAGGACAGACAGCCTCAGGACCCAGAGACACTCTCCTGGGAGACGTGGGGGGAGCCAAAGTGCTTGGGGGTCGAGCCCCACTGGGGGTGGCCTCACCAGGGCAATGCTGCTGCCTCCTGTCCCAAAAGCTTAACCAACCGCTGCCGGCATCTGGCCCCCAGCCACCCTCTAGTAAGCCAGCCCTTGGCCACTGGAGCCAGTGGGTCACCCAAGGTGAATGAAAAGTCACCAATAAGGGACAGTGAGAGTGTGACTGGGGTGAAGGTATGGGTGTCACAAGCCATGTGTGTCAGGGTGGGTCTGACCTGGGGTGGGGTTTAGGAGCGCACAACCCTATACACAGACCTCTGGGGGTTAGTGCAGGCGGGCATGCGTACCTGAGTGAGTTTGTGAGTGTCTGTACACGTGTGTGGATCCAGTTCCATTAAGAGCCTCACGATGCTAATGAGGCCAACGTGGCAGGCTGTTCCTCAAATAGCCCAATCAGAAACAATGAGTGAGCAGAGACAGCCACAATAAAGGTTTCATGCCTCTTCTGAACAGACGGTGTGTCCAGGTGCCACAGGGCACTTGACTACAGTCAACACCAGCGTACCATTCATTCCCGCTGGGGATGACCCCCGCCGCCTGGCCAGCTGACCCCACAGTCTCCCCTGTCCCAAGCCCAAACTCCAAACTCATGGGAGAACCCACATGATAGACACATGGGCCCTCCCGGGTGGCAGGCGCAGCTCCCTCTGAGAAGGGCAGCCAGAGGGATGGTGGGGTCCAACCCTGGCTTTCCCCCAGGCTAGCTTCCATCCCTCCTGCTGCTGCGGCCCCATTTAGCTCTCTCCTTGCTCCTGGGGTCCAGTGACCCACACCCTCACCACACACAGGAGAGAAGTAACCTCTCCTCCCCAGCCCTTCCCTCTCAAGCATCACAGGACATTAAAAAAAAAATTGTCCCAGTTTTGTGGTGGATAATGAGGTCAGGAGGCCCACAGGGGAACTGCTTGTTGATGACAACTGACAATCTTCATTTCACCTTGAAACTCCGTCCTGGTCCAGGTAAGCATGTTCTAAGCCCAGTTTTATAGGGGTGCTACTCTACTGGGGGACAGGGAGAGTGGGGAAGGAATTAACCAAATGGCAGCTGAAGTCACAGGCCCAGCCAGGCCCACCTGGAACACTCACAGGGCCTGGGGCAAGGGGACAAATGGCGGCCCACAGACATATGTCTAAATATTTAAAAGTTATAAATCAAGCCAGCAAACTGTGAAATATGTTCTAACCTCTCACCCTGACAAATACACCTTCATTAACAACCTGGAGGACCAGATACAAATTTGGATTTATCTGCCTCCTGAGCTTTACACATCAGAATGACTCTGTGCAGAGGAGACAGCTCCACTCGCACCCTGGCCACCCCCCTTCCTGCTGCCGGGTCCTGTCTGCACCACAAGGGACTCTTGTGCATGTATAAGGACACCCAGCCTCATGTCCTTGCTCCATCCACAGCCCCTGCAAATAGCTGTCCCTTCACTGTCCGTAGGGGTGCACACACTATTGGCATAACCTGTCCTGAGGCAGACAGGCCCAGGGAAGAGGCTGGCATGGGCTGGGAGCCAGATGGTGACCATCTAGGCAGGGACCTCCAGAGTCACAGGTATGGAGAATGTGGTCTTGGAGGGGACTCACAGTCTCATCCCCTCGGCCCTGCTGATGCCTCATCCCACAGGGAGAGGACTGGCAGCAGGAGGGCCAGAGTGGAGCCTTTGAAAGCCCCCAGCTTAGGGCATGGGCACTCCCTCCCTTGCCCAGGTTTAAGGGTGCTACTGAACTCAGCCTTCCCTGGCAGCCTAGAGATCAGGCCAGGGCCTGAAGCTGTCCTTTCACTGGAGGACAGCTTGGACAATCCCCAAACAGGACTTTCAGTCACTCGTATTATTTATCTTCCTGGAAAAATTTAGTGCGGCTTGATCCCAACTCCTGGAGGTGGGAGGGCAGAGCAGTGATGACAAGAGGGCATTTTTTTCAGGTTGGGTCTCCAAGCCAGAGCTTGTTCCACTGAGGCACAGCCCAAGTGAGCTCCTGCTGGTACTGGTCCCTGCCTTGGGCGGGGGCGGGGGGACTCTCTCCCCTCTACAGAGACAAAAGGCAACACAAACAAGGTGACTAAAAGAGGAGGAGGTGAGGGGCCCTGGGCAGCCCAGAGAGGTCCAGAGATCCAGGAACCAGCAGGGGGCAGGTTCCCCCTGGTAGGGGGGCATGCAGTGAAGGGCACTCTTTCTAGCCAAGCTTAGCTAAAAAAAAAAAAAAAAAAACCCTTCCACTCCCCCCTCCCCTGCTCGCTCTCACTCCCTGCAGATCGGCTTTGCTGTCCCACACATGAGGGGACACTGGTACTTTCTGAGCCCTCGCCAGGCTCCAGGCACTGTGCTAAGCGCTCTACATGTGTACCCTCATTTAACCCTTGCAGCCACTCTATGAGGTGGGTTCTATTATTATCCCCATTTTACAGGTGATTAAGTGAACTCAAAGAGGTTAAGAAACTTGTTCAAGGTCACGCAGTAGGTAGAGGTGTCAGAACTCAGCTCTAACTGACCCCAAAGCCCCCACTCTTTCCACTAGAGCACATGGCCTCCCAGAAGCAAGAAGCTGGCACAGACCCAGAAGGGATGAAGGTCGGATATGAGAACGAACTTCTGCCTCTGATGGTTTGTGTGGTGAAATGAGGCAATGGAATGGGGAATCTAGACAGACAAGGAAGCCCCCCTCCCCCCATTGTCACCCGTGTCTGTCCAAAGGCTTGCGATGATCTCAGGAAGGTCCCTGGGGTCCCAGCTGGACCCAGACAGCAATGTCCTGACTTCCCTTTGTTCTATAATCCAGGGTCCTCTGCTCTACTTCAACCCAGCACCAAGACCCAAAGGCTGCCTCTCCTTAGTGGCTCAGAGCTCTGAGCATCACATTCAAGCTGTCAGCCCAGGTCCTCCTCCTCCAGGAAGGCTTCCTCGAGGTCCTGGGAGGCAGGACCCCTTTCCTACAGCCCAAATCCCAACACTGAGGGTGCAAATGCTCCCCTGTCTGCAATAAGGCCACATCTGCGATCACCTTCCCCAGCCGGCTCTGTGACACAGACACAGAAAAGATCTACTGAGTTCCCAGACTTTCCGGGTTCCCTAGGCCATCGGGGTAATCCCCTGCTCACCCCCTTGTACCCAGATGTAAATAAATGATGCAGGTGCCCTGGGGCTCATTAGAAAATCCCAGGCCCCAGCTCAGCTATGCGGCGGCTTTTACCTCATTAGCCCACGGAACAGAAGCCCAGTTTGGGTCAAGCCATCACCCCCTAGGGTGGGGAAGAGGCTGCCCTTGGATGAGGCATGGCGCACTCTCAGTCAACGAGGTTCCTTACTCCGGACCCCCGTCCTCACCATCCCCAACCTGCCCCACTCCAGAAAGCTGCGTGTCTAATGCCCGGCTCTTTCTTTTCCATCCTTTGGAGCCCGCCTGGCATCAGGGATAACCAGCCAGGACCCTCTAACTGCCCCAGAGTTCAGTCCCGCCCAGCAGATGCCCAACGTCGGCGCTCAGAGCCGAGATAGGGATATCCTCACTGTCCCTTGGGGTCCCCCAATTTTGAGGCGAGAGGACCGGACAGGTGGAAGAGGCTGCCTCGTTCTCCCGCGCTGCCCTCGAGGTCCTCGGCGTGGACTAGCCCGCGTCGCCGTCTTACCTGCGGGGCAGAGACGGAGCCCGCCGCGGCCACCTGCTCTCGCCTGGCTGGGAACGCTGCGTGTGGGGCTGGCTGGGAGGGGCGGGGCCCGGCGGGGCAGGGGCGGGGCTGGGAGGGGGAGCCGGGCCGGCCCCTCCCTCGAGGCCCCGCCGGTGGGGTGCGCGGGCTCATTCAGGTGGGAAGTCCCGGGAGAGCATCTGAGCCACAGGGAGGGCCCGGAGCTCGAGTTCTGAAGGCTGGGAAGTTAGGACTCCAGGGGGTGCGGGGGGTGGGTGGGAATTCCCCGCTTCAGACAGCCTCGCCCAGATGCCCTGGAGAGGGTGACTTCATATAAAGACCCCTCACACGAAGAAGAAAGCTCAGAAACCTCTCCTGGCCTGAGTCCCCTTCCATCTGAGCTCTTCGGGCCTGGCAGGGTTGGGTGTGAGACGGGACACTCCTCTAAAGTAAGGGTGCCCTCTCCAGGGCTCAGCTGTGTAGGGGTTTAGGCCGCTGAGGGGGCCATTAGGCAACCAGACCATCTTTATCCTCAGCCCATCTCCCTCCCTGCCACACAGCCCCTCCTCCGCCCCCAGCGCCAGCCCAGGTCCCCCAGCTGTCACTGTTTAGCCCTGGAATGACAGGCGTCCTGACTCCGTGAGTCTAGCCACATTCAAGGCCTTTGAGCTTAGCACCCCTGAGCCCCTGCCCCCTCCCTCTGCCCCCAGTCGCTAATTTTATTGACCTGTAAAAGGCACGTTGCTGGCAGGCAGTATACTAACTGAAGGCAAAGTGGGGAGCGGATGGGCAACTCTCCCCCCGGGAAGGCAGCTGGAGATGGGACAGGAGGGAGGAGGAAGGAGACTCCTGGATCCAGGGCCAAGGACACTTTGAGAGGAGGAAGAGGGGGGCCTTGGGAAAGAGAAGTACACTGTCTATGGGAGATGGTAGCCAAAAAGACGGGAACGGGAATTTCAGCCCTCAATCAGACAAGAGGCCTACAGAAAAAAGAAAATGCTGGGAGAAGACAGGGTGCATTTCTCATCTACCTGGGGACAGAACCAAGAATGTAGCAGGAGGGAAGGAGGTTGGACGGCAGGAAGGACTGCCATCCTGCTCTCAAATCTCTGCCCTAGCCCCCTCCCTTCCTCTTGAAGGTGTCTCCTGCCTGCTGGGCCTTGTACTACAGAAATAGCCCTTTCCCTGATGAAGCAACCTAGATCTTGCCTTTCTTTTTCTTTCTTGTTAAAATGAGAACAGAAAATTTAGGCCTTTGTAATTTTCCCCACCCCCGTGCCTACCTGAGCCCACCCCTCAAACCCTGGATCTCAGCCTTTCCCCAGCCTAGGGGAGATGATCTGAGGGTTAAGGGAAGGTGGAGAGGGGAATATCGGGGTTGGAAGCTATTATGGGGTAGGGGGAGCAGGAAGCCCTCACACTCTTGATGGGCCTCAAGTTTAGACTGTTGATACCCTTTATGAATAAGGCTTAGGAGGGCTATTAAAGAGGAGTGTTTAAAACTTCTTTTATTTTTTTATTTTTGAGATGGAGTCTTACTGTGTTGTCCAGGCTGCAGTGCAGTGGCATGATCTCGGCTCACTGCAAACTCCGTCTCCCAGGTTCAAGTGAGTCTCCTGCCTCAGCCTCCTGAGTAGCTGGAATTACAGGGGCCTGCCACTATGTGAGGCTAATTTTTGTAATTTTTAGTAGAGATGGGGTTTCACCGAAATGGCCAGGCTTGTCTCCAACCCCTGACCCCAGGTGATCTGCCCACCTCGGCCTCCCAAAGTGCTGGGATTACAAGCGTGAGAAAATGCGCCTGGCCTAAAACTTTTAACACTAGGTCAGGCACAGTGGCTCATACCTGTGATCCCAGCACTTTGGGAGGATCACCTGAGCCCAGTAGTTGGAGATCAGCCTAGGCAACATAGTGAGAACTTGTCTGTACACTGCCCCTCTACCCCCCAAAAATTAGGTGTGGTGGTATACATCTGTAGTCCCAGGTACCAGGGAGGTTGAGGTGGGGGGATTGCTTAAGCCTGGGAGGTTGAGGCTGAAGTGAGCCATGATTGTACTACGGTACTCTAGCTTGGGCGACAGAGCGAGTCCCTGTCTCAAAAACAAAATAAGAACAAAAACAAAAAAAAAAAGGCCGGGCCCAGTGGCTCATGCATGTAATCCCAGTACTTTAAGAGGCCGAGGTGGGTGGATCACCTGAGCTCAGGTGTTTGAGACCAGCCTGTTGGGCAACATGGCGAAACCCTGTCTCTACCAAAAATACAAAAATTAGCCAGGCATGGTGGCAGGCACCTGTAATCCCAGCTACTTGGGAGGCTGAGGCAGGAGGATCACTTGAGCCCTGAAGGCAGAGGTTGCAGTGAGCTGAGATCGCGCCACTGCACTCCAGCCTGGGCGACAGAGTGAGACTGTCTCAAAAAAGCCAAACACTTTTAACACTAAAAATTACAAAGCAGGTCATTGGATGGGGAAGGGTGAGAGGTATGGATTTCAATGGGGAACCAGGAAACTTTTGTTGTTCTTTGAAAATTCCACTGGAAGAAACAGGACATTTTGAGGGTGATGGCTATGTTCATTATCTTGATCGTGGAGGATATGCATGTTAAAATGTATCCAGGCCAGGGATGGTGGCTCACGCTTGTAATCTCAGCACTTTGGGAGGCTGAGGCAGGCAGATCGCCTGAGGTCAGGAGTTTGAGAACTACCTGGCCAACATGGTGAAATCCCATCTCTACTAAAAATACAAGAAATTAGCTGGGCATGGTGGCGGGCACCTGTAATCCCAGCTACTTGGGAGGCTGAGGCAGGAGAATCGCTTGAACTCAGGAGGTGGAGGTTGCAGTGAGCCAAGATCGTGTGACTGTACTCCAGCCTGGGCAACAAGAGTGAAACTCCATGTCAAAAAATAAAACAATTTTAAAAAAGTACCCAATTGCACACTATACAAGCAGTTTATTTTCTACCAATTATATTCCAACAAAATTAAGACACCACACATTTTCTATCCCATTTTTTCATTTATTTTTATGAGGAGCCTCAAAAAATAGAAGTGGCCTTGGTAGGGAAGGAATGTCGTGATTCTGAGTACAGTATGGCAAATTCTTTTGCCTCAGTTTCCCTAACTCCATCCAGTGCATATGAAAATGTCTATGTGCGTACAAGGTAGGTCTGGACTAAGCTCTGGCCCTCCGGTTGTTTTCCCATTGCGGGAGCCTAAGCCAGGGTGCCCAGGACTCCTGTGTGGCTGGTGGGCCTGATGCCCACAGCTGATGATTCAGGAAGGAGGGGCCTGGAGTCTGCTGCAGACTCTCCCGCCCCCTACAGCCCAAACCGGGCACTGCAGCAATGAGGTGGTCAGTCCAGGGAGAGGTCCGACAAGTTCTCGGCACAATGCTGCAGGAAGTCAAAGTCAGGCACGGAGAAGGGCACGCGGGACCACTTTTTGGCCTGGATCCGCCCCTGAGGGGTCTCCAGCAGCATGCTGCGGACTTTGAGCACTGGCAGCTTCACTGACTTGTAGATCATCTGCAGACCCCAGACCTGGAGGTGAGACAGAGAGGGTAGGGTCTGGGTCTCTGGCCTCAGACTGGGCTTCTCTCCTCAAGTTGGAATTCCCTGAATACAGGGCCTTTTCCTCCCACCTGAGATGTCACAGACTGTGGGCTCCCTTAGGGAGGGGCTGGACCTCCCTCTTCAGACTGGAGGCCATGGGGTGGGACTGTCTCCCGTGTCCTAGTGAGGGCTCCCTGAGGGCCTCTGAAGACTGGGGCTGAGGACTCTGGGGCCTGGGACGTGGCCTAAGCTCTTACCTCCCCACAGTTCCTGCAGCTGATGACACCCCCAGGCTTCCAGTCCTTGAAGACTTTGTTGATGACCACAGGATCCCTGGAGACATTATAGTAGTTCCTGGAGAGGAAGGGGGGTGGCCACAGCCCTCATTGACCCTCCTCAGCCCCGGATCTCATGCCCTCCTGCCGGCCAAGTCTCTGCCTGGACCTTGGGCCTTCCTGCTGGTTAAGAGGCACAGACTTCCCAGGCCAGGAAATCCAATCTTTGGTGAGTTCTACCTGTGTGGCCTCCATCGCACGTTCCCTTGTGCCCAGGTTCAAGCCTCAGCATCGGTTACCTGGTCTTCACAGTCTCCTTATGGGTCTCTCTGCCTCCATTTTTACTCCCAATCCCAAGCCATCCTTCCACCAACTGCTAGAGGGATCTAAAAATATAAATCTGCCCTGACATTCTGTTCCTTAAAATCTATCCAAGATTCCTAAGAGGAACCTCCTGGATAAAGGCTACACTTTCACACCTGACCTTTCAAATCTTCCACGGGCTAGTCTGTCTTTTTCTAAATCTCATTATTCACAGTCCCTTCCACTCAGGTCAACTGGTGTCGCTTTTTTTTTTTTAAAGGCAGAGTCTCACTCTATTGCCCAGGCTGGAGTGCAGTGGTGCGATCTTGGCTTGCCTCCCGGGTTCAAGTGATTCTCATGCCTCAGCCACCCAAGTAGCTGGGATTACAAGCATGGGCCACCACGCCCAGCTAATTTTTGTATTTTTTTTTAGTAGAGAAGGGGTTTCAATATGTTGGCCAGACTGGTCTTGAACTCCTAACCTCAAGTGATCTACCCACCTCCGCCTCCCAAAGTGTTGGAATTACAGGCGTGAGCCACTGCACCTGGCCCTCCATGGTTACCTTCTCATTCGCTCACATTCAAACCAGACCCATTGAGACCTAGCTGAAATGCAACCTCCTCAATTGAGAAAATCTGTGTGAAGATCCTTGGCACAGTGGCCCGGAACACAGAGGGTAACATAATGAATGGATGGAGGATGGGGGAAGGTTACTCTCTAGGAGATAGTGGATGGAGGATGGCCCAGGGATGGCCAAGCTCTCTTGATATCTTCGGAATAGGTAGGACCAGAGGGTCAATGTGTGGTCTTTTGACACTTAGTATCCTGAATTCCAGTTCTTGCTCAACCAGATAGTGGCTGTGGGAACTTGGGCAAGTCACATAGCCTCTCTGAGCCTCTATTTCCTTGCCTGTAAAATGGAGACAGGGATAAAACCTGTCTAACCAGATTATTGTGAAAATGCAAAGTACTTGCTACAATGCTCTTTAGCTTCCCAAAGCTTCAAAGCACTGTCTGGATGGGAAGGATTCCCAGGCCCCCATCCCAGTAGCCCCTTCCACAGGTCTCACGAGAAGTTGGGGTTCACATTGACATGGTGGGTGCCCTCCACCTTCCGCAGGTCGCTGCCATGGCCCACAGCCACCATGCAGTTGATGCAGAGTAGCTGCACGTGCTCCACTGGGAACTGCTGCCGCTGGTTCTCCCGCTGGGCTGCCTGGGCCGCCCGCTTGGTCAAGGCTGCCTGCTGCAGATCCCGGATCTGGGGTGGGAGGAGACACCAGGCATGGCTGGGGCCTAAGAGAACGTTCCTTGGGGGACAAAAGGTTCCCAAAGAACTAAGATCATTTGTACCTGGAAGAGACTTTCCTTAACCCTCCCTGGAGCTTAAAAGAAGCTCTATTGCTGTGATGATGCAGTAACTCATGCCTGTAATCCCAGCATTTTGGGAGGCCAAGGCGGGTGGATCACGAGGTCAGGAGTTCGAGACCAGCCTGGGCAACATGGTGAAACCCCATCTCTACTGAAAATACAAAATTAGCCGGGCATGGTGGCGCATGCCTGTAATCCCAGCTACTCGGGAGGCTGAGGCAAGAGAATTGCTTGAGCCCAGGAGGTGGAGATTGTGCCATGCACTCCAGCCTGGGTGACAGAGTGAGACTCCGTCTCGGGGAAAAAAAAAAAAACAGCTATGGAGAAAAACAGTATGAGTAGTCGGGGGCAACAGTGGGAGGGGTAAGCTTTCCTGCTCAATCTTGAAGGACTTTAGGCAAAGCTGCTTCTGTGAATCTGTCATGGGGCATCATTAACAATTATGCTGGGACAACAGGGAGCACCCTGGACAAGGCAGGATGGTGGTGGCCCTGCCTCAGGGGAACTGATGATATAAGTCCTAGTTCTGGGCTTATCTTCTGCACGTGGACTTATCTTGTCCCCTCTGCCTGGTTCCAGAAAGGCTGTAATGCAGCTCTTCCAGATACATAAAGTATCTCATGGCAAAGATAAATAAAGAGCCTTGGACAAGGCCTGTTCCCAAGGCCTTCTGGAGTCCAGGTACTGCCTTCCCTGGCAGCCCCACCCCGGCCCTTATTTAAACCTTCCCTAGGTGGCCAAAGTTAGCCCCGAGATGTAGAGGGGACAGGGGGACGTATGTGTGCAGTCAGAAACCTGCCAGGGAGGGGCTCCCTCCTCCCCATCCCTCCCACAGGGCATGCAGGCTGCCTGCAGACCTTGGCCTGGTACTCGGCCTGGTCCATTTTCTGCACAGCAGCCACTGCCTGCTCCATCAGCGTCTCCAGCGCCTCGTTGATCAGCTCCCGCTTCAGCTCCCGGCTACCTTCAGTTGCTACAAACGCGTATACACTCTGATCGGCCCGGGCACGGCCCCTGGCCTGGGAAGAGAGACAAGGGGTGTCCTGAGTTGGGCTGGGGCCCCACACAGGATCCTATAAGGGCGGCTGAGTGGAGGAGGATGTGAGTACCTGGACCATGGAGATTTCATTGGTCAAGAGCCCATAACGCACCACCACATTGCAATGTGGGATGTCCAGCCCCTCCTCCGCCACACTCGTGGCCACCAGAAGGTTCAGGGTTCCATCTTGGAACTTCTGGATCACTTCTTGCTGGTCCCTCTGCAGGCGGAGGGCAGGGAGGAGAAAGAGGCTGGTACATGAGGAGGCTCAGACTGACTCCACCTGCCAGAGTAGCCTCTTCTGGTTCAGCCCTCACTCCCAATCTTGGTCCATCTCCCTAGAGTACTTGAATCCCATCTTTATCCCCAGGTACCCCCAGGATCTTGCCCATCTTCCCAGGTAACTGTCCAACCCCTATCTTCCCTAGGGACTCCTAAGGGTCCCTGCCCCTCTAGTCTAGGAAAAACTCTCAAGCCATAGTCTTCTGCAAGGGACCCCAGACCTGATCCTGTGCCCTGAGGAACTGCATCACCCACCTCTTTCCCTACGGACCCCCATGCCCAACCTTCTGCCCCCAAGGACCTCCAGACTGGGAGAGGCTCCAGCACTGGGGAGGTCAGTGTCCGCCCCTCTCCCCTAGCTCCTTGCCCCTCTGCCTGGGGATAGTCAACTTTCTCTTTCCCCAGGGTCTCCCTGCCCCCACCTCTCTGTGCTGAAGACCCTGTTCCCCGCACTTCTCTCCTATGGAATCCCTCCCAGCGCCAGCATCTTTCCCCGAAGCCCACACCTGGGTCATGTGGGTGCTCTGGCTGCTGTTCCCAGCCCCAATCAGTAGCTGGGCCCGGATGTCCACAGTCTGCAGGCCCTGCTGCTGCTGGAGCCAGAGCAGGAGGGAGTGTGCGCTTTGGCGGGTGCGGGTGAAGATGATACCCCGAGGGCTGTTAGAGCTACTGAACTGCCTTTGCAGGATCTTTTCCAGCATCTCCAGTTTTGGATTCTCTGGGCCATGAGTTGCCAAGTGGGCCAGCTCATTCTTGCGGTCTGTCAAAAACCCCAAAATTTAGCTGGGTGTAGTGGCACATGTCTGTAGTCCCAGATACTTGGGAGGCTGAGGGCAGAAGGATCGCTTAAGCCTAGGAGGTCAAGGCTGAAGAGAGCTATGATTGCACCACTGCACTCCAGGCTGTGTAACAGAGTGAGACTCTGTCTGGGAAAAAAAAAAAGAAAGCAAGAAAGCAAGAGAAAGAGAGAGAGAGAAAGAGAGAAGGAAAGAAAGGGAGGGAGGGAAAGAAAGAAAAAAAGGAAAAGAAAGAGAGAGAGAAAGAGAGAAGGAAAGAAGGGAAGGAGGGAAGGAAGGGAGGGAGGGAGGGAAAGAAAGAAAGAGAAAGAAGAAAAGCCCCAGAGGCAGAGGATTCAGATCTTGGAGTGGGGAGGGCACTGGCGGAGGAGGTTCTCACAGCAATAGGACTGTAGGCGTGCAGAAGGTGGGGGGTGGGGGGTGGGGGAAGGATGGAACTCCTGCTCAACTCCCCCACAGCAGCACCAAGAACATATTTAAGGATGCCCTGGCCGGGTGCATTGGCTCACGCCTGTAATCCCAGCACTTTGGGAGGGTGAGGTGAGCGGATCACCTGAGGTCAGGAGTTCGAGACCAGCCTGACAAATATGGTGAAACCCCGTCTCTACTAAAAATACAAAAAAATTAGCTGGGCGTGGTGATGCACACTTGTAGTCCCAGCTACTCGGGAGGCTGAGGCAGGAGAATCACTTGAACCCAGGAGGGGGAGGTTGTAGTGAGCTGGGATGGTGCCATTGCACTCCAGCCTGGGCGACAGAGCGAGACTCCCTCTCAAAAAAACAAAAACAAAAACAAAAAAGGATGCCTCCTACCGAGCCCACTCTCAAGGCCAGCCTCACACCGGGGTCATACAGTACAGAACCTCAGACCAGAACCCTCTTCTCCCCAGTGACCAGGATGACCCTTGAGCTTTTAACTCTGACCTCTGCTACCCAGATCTCTTGAGCCCCAGCCTGTGCTGCGATTTGCAACCTTAAATTTCACCCTCTGACTTTCAGCTTCACTCTCTCAGTCTAAAGGAACCACTCCTAGCTAATCCTTTTAAAAAATCTGGGCCGGGCACAGTGGCTCACACCTGTAATCCCAGCACTTTGGGAGGCAGAGGCAGGAGGATCACTTGAGCCCAGGAGTTAGAGATCAGCCTGGGCAACAAAGCAAGACTCCGCCTCTTCAAAAAAAATTTTTTTTAATTAGCTGGGAGTGGTGGTGCCCACCTGTACGCCTAGCTACTTGGGAAGCTGAAGGGTGAGAATTACTTGAGCCCATTAGGTCGAGGTTGCAGTGAGCTATGATTGCACAACTGTCCTCCAGCCTGGGTGACAGAGCAAGACCCCGACTATTAAAAAAAAAAAAAAAGTCAACAATGTTAATTAATTTTAACAACTAAGCAAAAACCTTCACAAATGAGGAAATAAATCAGTCCTACCCATGGCCTTGGATTTTGGTTAGAAAAATAGGATCTCCACCAGTATCCTCACGGGCACCTTCCCATCCGACCTTGGCGCCTGTGCCCTGGCCTCTGACCTCGCATCCAGGTCCCATCATCCCCGGCCCCGAAGCCCCCTCCCGCCCCTCACCATCGAACAGGGCCAGCAGCCGGCGCTCGGCACACAGGATCTGGGTTTTAGTGACGTGCTCCCTGTGATAGAAATCCTGCAGCGCAGCCAAGGCATCCACGGCGCGGACGGTGTCATGGATGAGCAGCGCGTCATTGTAGCGCCTCAGGTGAAGCGCATACACCCGTTGCTCCTGAAGCCCAGCCAAAGCCGCTGCGGGAAGAGGGCGCAGGGTCTGAGCAGCCCACAGCCCCGCCCCCTGCCCTGCCCCATAGGGCCGTCCCACTCGACTCCACCCCTGGGGTGGATAGGCCCCGCCCCAAAGGCCTCCGCCCCGGCAGGCCCCGCCCCTGACCACTCCCACATCCTCGCCTCCGCCAGAAGGGCTGCCCCTCTCACCAGCCTCACTCAGCTTCACCACCTGCTGCTCATACATTTGCGTCCCAAATTTCCGGCTCAACTCAGGCATCTCCAGGTGGTCATGGATTTGGTCCATGAGCTTCTTCAGCAAGTCCCCAAACGGATCCTGAGCAAGAGGAGAGTTGGAGGGGATTCCCATACACGTTGGAGGATGGGCACCCAGTGGGGGTGCTGACCCCGGCGTGTAGCACACCGCGACTGCCTCACCCATCTGTCTTAGCTGTGGTGTGAGCTCCAGAGGGAGGCCGGCTAGGGTGTGGGGGAGTCCTGCCCTGTCTCACCCGCGATGTGCTCTTACCCTTTGGCCTGGGCACGGTGATGCCTAGTGTAAGGCACATGGACGTGCTTTGGTCAAGGAATAGGCCGAGGCGGACATCCGGGCCAGAGTGACTCAGCGAGTTTGGGGGGCAGGCACGTACTCCACTTGCTATATAACCTGTTTGTGTAAGTTCATACTGGACTCTACTGTCAGTAGAAGGTAAAACTGCCCTGCTGACGCTGTTCACGGAGCTTGGTTCAGCTCGGCACGGCAGGGCACGCTTGCTCGCCCAGAGAGAGAATAATGCTACTAACCCCTGCAAGGGACAGCCGGTCGCCTTGAAGGTGGGCAGTGGGGAGCCAGGAACCCGCTTGTGCCCAGAGGGAAAGAGTTAAGCTGCTGACCCTGACAGAGCTGGCCTTGCCGGCCAGGGAGAGCAGCTGCAGGCGTGGGGGCAGCAGGAGCCACAGGGCCGGAGCAGACAGCCCAGATAAAGGTGGACAGTGTGAGAGAGCCGCTGCTGAATAAAACTACATTTCACCTGCCTATGGCCCCCCAAGGGTTCTTTCAGCTATCTGCTCACTCACTCCCTCCCTCCAGACCACAGCATGGGCTCAAACCTGACCCCAAGTGTAACATTTGGTATAGTTATGGACCTGACACCTAGTCCTTGTCCAGTCCAGTCATGGCAGACACGAGGCCGTGTCCACACTAGAGAGGGCTCAGTAGAGCCTCAGCACAAAGTATCCCTGCTCTCTGGTTTGTAGTGCACTCCCCAGCATGACAGTGATGTGACAGACACCAGTGGTGCCTTCTGAGTCAATCCAAAGAGCGGGCTGTGGGCATGGGCTGTATCTGCCCCATTTCACAGAAAGGAGAAATTGAGGCTTGGATACATAGCAAGTGACCTGAAGTCACAGAGCTAGTGAGGGCAGAGTCAGGGCCCAAGCCTAGGTGTCCTAACTTCACACCGGCTCCCGCTCTCGCCGTGTCCCTGCCCCCGCGTACCTGGCTGCGCCTGTGGCAGAGGTTGTACTGTTTGCAAGGCTGTTGGCTGTGCTCCTGCAGCTGGGGGCAGCAGTTCTGGGGTGACATGATGCACCACGTGTCCAAGTTGGCACAGAGCTGGGGGCAACAGAGGACTTTACTGGAAAGGGAGGGTCTGTGGGGACAATGGTCAAAGATTTGGGGCAGGATGGATCCCAGCTGAGGACAGGAGAATGTGGGCATTCGTCTACTCAAATATTGCTCGCCCTCTCTGTGCCCGTCTTGTTCTAGGCACTGGGGATACAAAGGAACTCAGATTGGAGTTGGAGAGGCAGATAATAAACCAGTAAAAGAATAATAGAACCGGCCAGGCATGGTGGCTCACACCTGTAATCCCAGCACTTTGGGAGGCCAAGGCGGGCGGGTCACCTGAGGTCAGGAGTTTGAGACAGCCTGGCCAACGTGGTGAAACCCCACCTCTACTAAAAATACAAAAATTAGCCAGGCATGGTGGCACGCGCCTGTAGTCTCAGCTACTCGGGAGGCTGAGACAGAAGAATCACTTGAACCCGGGAGGTGGAGGTTGCAGTGAGCCAAGATCGTGCCACTGCACTCCAGCCTGGGTAACAGAGACTCCGTCTCAAAAAAAAAAAAAGAGGCTGGGCACAGTGGCTCACGCCTGTAATCCCAGCACTATGGGAGGCCAAGGCAGGTGAATCACGAGGTCAGGAGTTCGAGACCAGCATGGCCAACACGGTGAAACCCCGTCTCTACTAAAAATACAAAAAATTAGCTGGGCATAGTGGTGGGTGCCTGTAATCCCAGCTACTCGGGAGGCTGAGGCAGGAGAATCGCTTGAACCTGGGAGGCGGAGGTTGCAGGGAGCCGAAATCATGCCACTGCCCTCCAGCCTGGGCGACAGAGTGAGACTCCATCTCAAAAAAAAAAAAAAAAAAGAAAACAATAAAACCTTGCAGAGCGCATTAACAAGCTCTGAAGAGGATAGCACTGGATGATATGACAGAGAGCAGAGATCAGGGAGGACTTTCAAGAGGTGGCATTAAGCTGTTCAATGAATGACAAGGAGGAGGCAGCAGGAAAAGTTCAAAGGGAAGCGCATTCTAGGCAAAAGAAATGGTAAATGCAAAGGTCCCCGAGATGGAACAAGCCCTACATGTTCAACATGCAGAAGGCAGGCCAGTGTAACTGTAGGATGAGCTACAACAGGGAGGGCGCAGGAAATGAGGTGGAGAGGTAGATCACGTGGAACTTTGTAAACCACAGTAGAGTCGGGAGTTAATTCTTTGTACCATAAGAAACCATTGGAGGCTGGGTCTTAGGTGAGGAAGGGGCCAGACCCTGCCATGGAGAGCCTGGTAGGGCTGGTGGGGACGGGGTAGTGGCAGGGCAGGCAGGGAGGGAGGGAAGTCCCTGGTGGGTCTGGCAGTGGGAGGCCCACAGGGGCCAGGCTGACCTGCAGGACGTGGTTGATGGCCCCATCGAGTTTGGAGGCCCCGCCAGTGCCTGGGGAGGCTGTGAGACCCAGCACCTGGGGTAGCGGCTGTGCCCTCTGGAGTTTAAGTTCTAGGTACTGGCTCATGATGACGTTGTAGACGGTGTCCTTGTGCGTGTGGTGGCACTCATCCACCACGATCAGGGAGAAGACTGAGGGCACAGGGGGGAAGGCTGTGACCTATGTTTGCAAAGCCCTTCCTCCCATCAGCTTTCAAGTAGTCCCCACAATGATGTAAGAATTCCTTCTTCCCTTCACAACCTGCAGCTGGTCCCAGGATGAGGAGCCAGGCAGGGAAGACTTCTTTCCATTTCACAGATTAGTAAACCGAGGCTCAGCTGGGGAAGGGACTGGCCTAAGATCCTACACGATAGCCCGGCCTGTTTCTACTAGAGTGCCTGCAGGGGTTTTGTGAACAGGCAACCCCTCACTCCCACTAAAACTCCCAACACCTTGACTCCAGGAGGTGCCCTGGGGTTGGCGAAAGGAGGTACCCCAGATGCGTATCTTTTTCCTCCCGGCCATGGCCCTCACCAGTGAGCTCCACGTGCTCCTCCTCCTCGGGGCTGGTCAGTGCCATCTGCAGAAGCTCTGCTGTGCAGATGAGCAGGTCATGGCACCGGGCCAGGTGGCCAAAGCCAGCACGTGGTCCCATGTCCCCACTCAGGGTTGTCACGGTCCAGCGTCCATCCAGCATGCGCCTGAACTCTTCACCATGCTGGGTCACCAGGTGCACCTGGGGGTGGAGAATGAGCTGGGAAAAGAGAGCTGAATCTGGGGCCAGGGGTAGGGAGGCGGTAAGGTGACCCGCAGGACATGGCTGGGTACTGAGCCAGGGTGGAAAGACAGGTGAGCTTAGCGATGGCCACAGCAGCTTTGGAGTTCTGGTGGGGACTGGGAGATGCCTGAAGAGCTAAGACCCTGCTTGGTGGTGGGAGAGCGGGGTAGGGACAGACCACTCACCCTGTTGACCAATACAACCACCTTGGCTCCATCCACAGTCTCTAGGTGCCGCTTGGCCACATAAGCAGCCGCCCGGGTCTTCCCGGCACCCGTGGGCAGCCAGATGATGATATTCTTGCCCTCCAGGGCAGGCATGATCACCTCCCATTGGTAGGACCGAAGCTCCATTCTGGGAATGGCAGGGGACTCAGACCCACCGACTCCTCCACCCCTCCCAACTCCTGGCCAGACCAGTCAGTACAGAGACCTCCCTTTGCCCAGGACTCCACCCCACTTGAGGGAGGTGGGGCAGGACTCCCTCAGAACCCATCAGGACCCTGCTCTGCCCAAAAGGGGGAGGCGGGAGTAACACAGGCTACACCTGCCCCCTGCCCAGCCCAGGACTCACCTGCTCTAGTAGGTAGGTCTGCCCAGGGCAGTCCCACTTAACTCAGCCTGGTGCCACTCTGCTCAGCTCAGAGACCCAAGATGGAAACTGAAACTGAGGGAAGGAGCCAGCTGAGCCGACTTAGGAATCTCCCATCCCCGCCCCAGGAAAAAGAACCAAGAGAAAAGAACCGTTTGTGCTAACAGTCATCGCCAACTGCCGTGAGTACAAACTCCGGTTAAGTACTGCTGCTGCGCCAGCGCCCTGGCAGGCATGATCACCTCCCATTGGTAGGGCCACAGCTCCATTCTGGGAATGGCAGGGGACTCAGACCCACTGGGCCCTCCACTCATCCCAACTCCTGGCCAGAGCAGTCGGTACAGAGACCTCCCTTTGCCCAGGACTCCACCCCACTTGAGGGAGGTGGGGGGGGGGACACCCTCAAAACTCATCAGAAGCCTGCTGTGGCCAAAAGGTGGGGGTGGGGGGGGGTGGGAGTAACACAGGCTACACCTGCGCCTTGCCCAGCCTGGGTCTCGCCTGCACCACCACGTAGGCCTGCCCAAGGCGGCCCTGCTTAGCTCAGCCTGGTGCCGCTGTGCTCAGCGCAGAGAGCAGAAATCAGAAATGGAAACTGAAACTGAGGGGAGGAGCCAGCTGAGCCGACTTACGAATCTCCTATCCCTGCCCCAAGAAAAAGAACCACGTGTGCTAACAGGGAAGCACTCTTTCAGTGCTACAGGATCCTCTACGCTCTGGCCCTTCTGCAGTCAGTTGTAACCACATCCACCCAGGTTAAGGTGAAGGCAGGAGGTTCTGACCCCTGCTGCCCTGGCATCTGGATCAGGAGCAGCCTGGAGGAGGGAGAGGTGGGGGGCTGCAGGCAGGTAGGACCCATCACCCCAGGAGCACAGGACCAGGCCTGAGGCTTGCTGGGGAGAGCAGCCTCCAGTTTGCAAGAGGTCCCTGGGGGCCAAGGTGAGCCTGCTAAGGCTGGGACTACACCAAAGAAACAATCACACAGAGAAATAAAAAGCTTTATTATTCCCTCTAAGGGATTAATGCCAGGGAATGAATGGTCCCCATACCCCCCACCCCTGGGGGAGACTGACAGAACAGTGCTGGACAAGGCATGGCCCCCTTCAGTTTGGGCTGAACTTCCAACCCCTGAAGCCATCACTCAAGCTAAAATGAGCAGTTCTGGTCCTCAGGGAAACAGCCACCTGGGCCAGGCCCAGGAATCCAAGCCTCCAAAGCTCTTGGGGACCAGGCCTGGGGGCCACCACGGCTGGGCAAGGTTCATCCCTGGCCACCAGCTACTCTAGAGGGGCTGGGCCCCAACCCAGGAGACCTCTCACACACAGTGAAGGCTGGGACAGAGCTGCACGCTTGGGGGTGCCTGAAGGTCCAGAAAGAGCTGCAGGATCGGGTCCGGAGGACCCTTGGCTGGAGTGTCTCAAGCTGAGTCGGGTCCGTGGGGCCAGGGCACCCCCTAAGGATCAGATCAGAATCCGAGGTGGAGACATTCCAGGTCAGGGCTGCGGCCCAAAGATGGGCCTACTTGTCAATGAGGCCTCCCTCCTTGAGCTTGAAGTAGAAGAACTTCTCCAGGGCGCTGGCACAGCGGCAGTACTCGCTGTCCGGGGGGTTGTACTCGCGACAGTTGGCGATGACCCGCTGCAGGTCGGCCACAAAGAGCTTCCGGGTCACGTAGTAGCGGCTTCGCAGCCGCTCAGTCATGGTCTTCAGGTCTGGGGCAGCAGGAGACGGAGCACAGCTTTAAGAGGCTGAAGACCACGGCAGGGCTGTCCACCAGGGTGGGCCCCCTGGGGCTGCAGGGCGCAGTGAGGGCAGGAGCAGGTGTGGGGACAGAAGAGGAGGGAAGGGGATGGAATGGAAGGTCCTCACCAATGGGGAAGCGGATGACCTCGTAGTAGTCAGGGGCCTCCGACTTCTTCACAGGCTCCATGAAGGGCCAGGCACTGGGGTGAGACTGGAGAGAAGAGCCGGGCTGGGGACAGCCCTGCTGCGCCCACGCCAGCCCGAGACCACTACCCACCCCACACTGCATCAAGAGGCCACAGCCATTGGTGCAGGGGCCCTGGAAAGGAAACCTGGTCTCCCCACCTTGATTTGGGCCAGCAGGTTTTTGAGGGTTGTGTAGAGCTGGTCGGGGTCCTTCAGCTCCTTCCTGGGGCGAGAGACACCAAGTCTGAGGCTCCAAGTCCCTCTGCCCCACCCCCAACCCGGCTCCTTTGACACTCACCCCTTCTCCTTCCCCAATGGCTTCCAGCCTGTCTCTCCTGCAAAGTGGGAAGTGGGAGAATGTCTCTAAGAATGCCAGTCCACACCCCAAGCATCGTGCCCCCACTACCCTGCAACTGAGACCCCTGCTTACGAATGCCAGGAACGCTCTCCACAGGGATCTGCCTCACGCCCTCCTTGAAGCAGCTGAGCCCCGGGTAGACCTTGCGGATCTGGGCCTGTTTGCGCTCAATCAGCTTCTTGATGATCTGAGGGAAGGAAGGGACTGAGGGGCCAACTCCAGCCCCAACAACAACCCCTCCCAGGGCCACAGTCGGAGCCACTGGCTGCACCCACCCAGCTGCAACGCCACCTAATCCAGCACCTCCCCTCATAACTTCCCCAAGGGAGCAGAGCAAGAGCCAAGATCCTGGCCTGCCCCTCCTCACTCACACACATATATGCATGTAGACGTAGAACAGGTCTACACACGTGTGCTCGCCCTCTGCATGCCCATTCATGAAAAATCCCACAGATGCGCATGTGTGCACACCACCTCTTTCTGCTTCTTGATGATGTGGGACAGCTCCGTGTAGGGGATGCGGGGATTCAGCTCACACTCCATCAGCGTCGCTCCCTCGTAGTCCTTGATGTAGCCCAGGTAGCGGCTCTTGGGCACCTTGATGTCCTTGGAGAAACCCTGGGGGGTGGATGGTCATGACCCAGTCCATCCATAAGTATTTCCCAACTTCTGTCGTCCCTCACCTGGGAGCACCAGAGGAGTAGCACGTGCCACTTGCCACCTCCTGCTCCTGAACCTCCTCCTGGGGCACTGTGAGGGTTCAAACTGTCCCTGGAAAGGTCCCAGGTCAGCTGCCCACTCCTGACTCATCCCGAAGAGTCCCCCAGTTCCTCCAGCCTGCTCTACTGGCCCCCCAGTTCCTCTAGCCTCCTCTACTGGCCCCCCAGTTCCTCCAGCCTCCTCTACTGGCCCCCCAGTTCCTCCAGCCTGCTCTTGGCCCCCAGTTCCTCCAGCTTGCTCTACTGGCCCCCCAGTTCCTCCAGCCTGCTCTACTAGCCCCCCAGTTCCTCCAGCCTGCTCTAGTGCCCCCCCCAGTTCCTCCGGCCTGCTTTACTGGCCCCCTAGTTCCTCCAGGATGCTCTACTGACCCCCAGTTCCTCCGGCCTGCTCTACTGGCCCCACAGGCCCTCATTCTCCCCTGGGGCAATGGCAGCAGAGGAAAGAAGATAGGCATGGAGACTCTCCTGGCAGGTGTCAGGTGAAGTAGGGGACGCAAAGGGACTCCTACTCCATCCACAGAGGGGCTGGACAGAATTACCCCAGCCTCCAGGCAAAGGACCGGTGTGGGACGAGGCTACGGGTCACCTGCTTTTTGAAGTAGCCGATGGCGTACTCGTCGGCGTAGGTGAGGAAGTAGAGAATGTTGTGCTTGATGTGATACTCCTTCAGGTGGTTCATCAGGTGGGTCCCATAACCCTGCGGGGGAGGGAAGCAGGACTCACCAGGAGCTGAGGATGGGCCTGGTGCTGGAGAGGTCTCAGAGACCAGAGAAGAGCGGGTAGATTGGAAAGGAGGTAGAGAGAGCGAGAGCATCCAGGCAAAGAGGAAGAAAGGCAGCTGACAGAGGAAGGGGAGCTTATGGGGAGAAAGTGAAGGGTGCGGGCTTTCTAAGCTCACTCTGGGCTAGGTGCAGTGCTTCCTGTTTTACAGACCGATTCTCAAATTAACCCCAGAGGCGAGTATTACCACCTTTATTTTACAGAAGAGAAAACCGAAACTCAGCTACGTTAGGAAATGTGTTCAAGGTCAGGCTGCCAGCCGTGGCAGGGCCGGGTCCAAACCCAACACAGGCCACTGATTCCCAGTCCCTGGGCCTCAGAGTTGGGAGAAGCGGGAGAGGGAGTCACCAGAGGTCTGAGCAGCAGGAGCAATGCCTCCCACACGTCAGGGCCAATGAGGCACCACACAGATCTGAGGTATGCGACACACAGAGCCAGAGACCCTACGAGTGGGTCTGTTGTAACAAAGGACAGAAGCCAAAACTATCAGCATAGGGCTACTGTAATAATGATTAGTTTGGCTGGGCGCGGTGGCTCATGCCTGTAATCCCAGCACTTTGGGAGGCCGAGGTGGGTGAATCACTTAAGGTCAGGAGTTAGAGACCAGCCTGGGTGAAACCCTGCAACATGGTGAAACCCTGTCTCTACTAAAATACAAAAGTTAGCCAGACGTAGTGGTGCATGCCTGTGGTCCCAGCTACTTGGGAGGCCGAGGCAGGAGTATCACTTGAACCTGGGAGGTTGAGGCTGCAGTGAGCCCTGATCATGCCTCTGCACTGCGGCCTGGGTGAGAGAGACCCTCTTTCAAAAAAATAAATAAAAAATAAAAAGTAAAGTAATTAATTCCCCCATGTATGTAAATGTTCTTGTGATGCAGAAAACCCAAGTCCACAGGTCCACCAAAGTGTGGCTGCTGCTTGGGCTCCGTCTGTCAACAGGTGGTTTCCTAATCCACAGTTATCAAAGTACGGCTGCCACCTTGTGGGGATGTGAGGAACGGGCCGCTAACTAAGAGAAGAGCAACGGGCTGCTGCATGCCACACATCCTGCTGCTCCGAACTGGCCCAAACTCAGGAGTGGGCCGTGGACTGGGGCTGGGGCCGGGGAGCCGCGCTCACCTTGACCTGCTCATTCGAGGTGACAGCACAGAAGACAATCTCCGTGAAGCCCTGGGTGGGAAACATGCGGAAGCAGATGCCACCGATGACCCGCCCATCCTTGATCAAGGCCAGAGTCTTGTGCTTCCTAAGAGAGAGGGGGGCATGTCATAGCCCCTGACTGTCCCCTTCAGGTCCCCAGAGCCCTGGAAGTCTGAGCTGTAGTCAGGGTTGGGCAGTGAGAAGTAAGAATGCTCAAAGGATGAACCTCAGAAGTGGGGAGCAGGGGATCCCCAATTTTGAGGAGTGAAGAGGCCGAGGAGGAAGGGAACTGGGTGTGCTGCCCTGGGGGAGGGGCTCTCTGGGGGACGCACGGGTCAAAGACGAGGCGGGCGATATACTCCTTAGGCATGCGCGGCAGCTGGTGGGAAAAGACATTCTGCAGCCCCACGAGCCACAGCAACACCCGCCGGTTGGCCTTGGGCGTCAGTGAGTTGCCGATGACATGGAACTCGATGATGCCGCGGCGCTCCTCCAGGCGGGCTGTCTCATCCCGGGCCGCATTGGCCGAAAGCAGGCTCGTCTGGGCACAGAAGAGGGGTGGTGAGCCGGGGTCTCAGGTTGGTGGGGGTCCCCCAACTGGTCAGCAGGTCGGGCTGCCCACCTCAGGCCCCAGCATGGCAGCAGGGTCAGTGATGGTCAGCATGACCTCATTGACCAGCTCCATGGGGATGTCACCCATCACACGGAGCCGCTTGGCATCCTCCAGGGTCAGGTTCTCTGGGAGCGTCCTCTTCTCGCCTATTGGGGAGGCAGGCAAGGTTGCTCAGGATCAGTAAAAAAGGTTTGGGAAGGAGTGAATGAGGGTCAGAGGTCAGGGGTCAAGTATCCACCTGGCATAGGCTCGGCCCCTGCAGAATCCAGACTCAGGGAGCTGTTGCTGCCCCCACCCATGCTGGGGCTGAAGATGGGGGTGCTGGGAACAACCGCTGCACTGACTGAAGCTGAGGAGAGAGAGAGACGTCAGGGATGGGGGGCTGAAGCTGAGGAGAGAGAGAGAGAAGTCAGGGACGGGGGCTGAAGCTGAGGAGAGAGAGAGTCAGGGACGGGGGTGCTGAAGCTGAGGAGAGAGAGAGAGAAGGCAGGGACTGGGGGGGCTGAAGCCGGTGGCAGGTCCCTCAGTGGGATCCAGGGCCTCCGGCCCAGGTGAGCTCTCTTCCACCCAGGAGGCTTAGCTCAGCCAGGCAGGCCAGACACCCTACAGAGCGTACCATGGCACATACCTGGCCGGGGAACCAGCTGTGTCCCCTCTGAGGGTGGCATGGTGAAGCCTGACTCCCAGATTGGAGAGTTTGCCCCATAGATCTCCTCCTCCAGCATGGACAGGAATCTGTAGGGAGGACACAGTCTGTCCCACAACTCTGTTCTCCAGGGTGCAGCCTGGGCCAGGCAGCAGAGGGACTGGAGGCTGGTCAGAGACAGACCCTGCTCTTAGGGAACTGGGGACCTGAGAGAGGGGACAGCCCCTGTCTTCTGGGAGCCTCCAATTGAAGGTAAGAGGACAGGACACATCCAGGACAGAGATCAAACAGGCTCAGTTTCACCACGCTGTGTGGCACAGGGAGACAGGTCTGAGCTGATGTCATCCTGTGCTGTGTGGCCAGGCAGGGCACCTTGTCACCCTGAGCCCCCTCACTGCCCTCAGTATCAAAATGGGCTCAGACTCCACCCCACCTTGCCATCTCTTGTTCCCACCTGATGGCAGGGGGCACTAGAGAGCCAGGATTAGTCAGTCAGGGTTTTTTGAACAGGGGAGTTATGGCCTAGATTTTAAAAGGTGTGGCCGAACAGAAGAAAATGGTACAGAAAAGACCAGAACAGGAGTAGAAATTGGTTTCACTTCAAGCTTAAGGTCTGGTTTCTTGGAGAGTTGTGCAGGGAAGGAGTCTGAGGCTGTGTCCAGGCCCCCATGGGAAACAATTAGTAACATCTACTGGGGCGTAGGGTCGGGTGGGGGCAGCGTTAGCTTGGGCTATGTACCTGCCATCCCCAGACTAGTACTAGCAAGTTGCTTCTGGGCCATGGGCAAGTCTGCCAGGTAGACGCCCAGATCCCAAAAGGCCCATGGAGGGAGAGGAGGGACCAATCCAGGAAGCCTTCCTGGAAAAAAGGGGACAACAGGGAGGATGTGAACTTGGGGCCAAATCCTGGTAGGCCAGAAGGAGCCTTACTTGGGGAAGTGAGTGAGGATGAGGGTCCTCTTCTCGGGCACCAATTTGTCCTTCTCCACTCGGAACTTTTCCAGCAGCTGCCGGCGGGTAACGGTGAAAATGGACCGGAGAAGGCTTCGCCCAAAGACATGAGTGGTTTCGTAGCGGGGGAGGCTATCACAGCTCTGGGGCACGTGGCAGTAACAGAGCCATCTGGAGTAGGGGGTCGAGGGGGAGACAGGTGAGGGCGGAAACCACTGAACCCAGGCTGGGCCTGCAAGCCTCCCCCGAAGCTGCCCCTGGCTGGGCCTACCTGGTGTAATTGACCTTGTAGGTAGCCACGTCCTCAGCCTGAGACCTCTGCCGAAACTGGGCAGGTGTCTCAAGCTTCCAGTAGTTAAGGCAGAGCAAGAACATCTTTGAGAGCTCGAACATCGTCTGCCGCTCCCGGGGAGCCAGGTGACTAAACTTGTACTGCACAAAGTTCAGCACACCCTGAGAAGGGGTGGGTGGGGGATAAAACCAGGAATGAGGTGTGAGCAGCCCGCAGGGCCTTCTTAGACAAAGGAAGATGCTCCCTGGCCAGGGACAAGGTTCTCCTTCTCCTCTCTCTCTCGGGTGCTCTCTATAGAAAAGCTCTGCCCCCTCCCTACCACCATGCCCACCCTGAGGTTAGCACAAAACACCCTTCCTTCTCTGAACCTCCCCAGTGTTCTCAGCTTGAGGAGAATGGAGAACACAGGCTCCCCACTCCTCCAAGCTGTCCCCAATTCTCCTATCCGCTATCTCCAATTCCCCTATCTCACCTGCTCAATATTAGGTTTCTCAAATGGAGGGCTGCCCAGGGACCCCTCCACCACAGGCCGGGTCATCTGCAGGATGCATTTCCGCAGTAGCTAGAGAGAAGAGGAAGGGGGCATAGAGGGGAGGGGGGCAGAGCTGCAGACAACCCCTCAAGGCCCCACCTCCTTCACTCACACCCTCCTTTAGTGGAAGCTCACCTTGAAGAGGTAGAAATAGACCTGCTTGGTGTCTGTGTCCTCTTCCTTGTGAACAGACATGAAGAGATTCTCCACATCCACCACCATCCCCAGCAGTCGGTTTATCTCATCCTCTGACACATTCTCCAAGTGGGATACGTGGTCAGCTGCAAGACAGATGGCAGAGTTAGGAAAAATTGATAGAAGAAATCAACAAGGCTTCTTGACCCTCTTCACAGCCAAGCAAGATACACACTCTGTTCCTCCAACCAGTGTGACCAACAGTGAGACTGACTGCTCCGATATCAACCGTTGGGTTGCCTGGGCCTGTTCTGGGCTGAGAGATTTCCTTTCTCCCCCCTTGGTGCACACCCCCCCCCAACCCAATCCCTCCTTCGAGGCATCTTTGATTTTTTCAGAGATGAAGCTTTGTGGCACTTGTCACCCTGTCCAAGCAGGACCCAGCACCTGCCCCCAGCTCCAAGGGCGCTGCCTGCCTTACCCAAGGGGTGCTCACAACTGCGGCACAGCTCACTCAGGTTGGCAGCTGGCTGCTGCAGATCCATGCGGGGTGCAGTGGGGGGCTTGGGGTTTTTCCAGCCATTACACTTACAGGTTTCATTGGCCTGGAGGTGGAAGGATCAGTCAATGACCTATACCTCTGGGGCAAGAGCCGCTCCGCAGCCAGAGCTTTGACCCCATTCCCACCAGAGCCCTGGGATGCCCCAAGCCCCGCCCCTTCACCCCAGGCCCCGCCCCCACCTTGCAAGCCGAGAAGACCCCTAGCTTCTCAAGCTTCTTGGCGCGCGGCAGCCCCCGGACTTGCGCCTTCCTCTGACTGGCGCGCTGCTGCTGGCTCAGGCCAGGTCGAGCCGGATCCCCCCCGCTCCCGGCCCCCCCACTTCCTACCCCGGGCCCCCCAGTCCCTGTGCTGCCGGCTGGGGCTGCAGCTGGGGCAGGGGCTGGTGCCGGGGTGGGAGTCGGAATCGGGGCTGAAGCCGGGCTGGGTGCAGGAGTCGGAGTTGGGGCAGGGGCTGGGGACTGAAGGGGCCGGGGCTGCGCAGCCGGGGCCGGGGTCGGGGCCTGGGAAGGTTCCGCCATGGCCTCCCCCGCAGCGGAGAGCGGCGCCGCGCTCCCAGCCCTAGGGCCGCATGGGCAACCAGCGCTCAGTGCGCAGGCGTTGCTGCGCGGCGCATGACGGGAGTTGTAGTCTTCCCGCGCCTTCCCCTCACTGCCTCCAGCTTCCAGACTTTTCTGTCCTGTCTCTTGGCCCCTGACAGCCAAGTGAGGCCTGAGTGAAGGCCCCACATTGACCCCTCTTCACTTGTAATCTCTTTTAATGGAGTCCGGGAGAGTCACGATGGCTGTCCTCTTGGGGACAAGGAGTCTTGGGGAGAATCGTGGGGTCTGCCTCTTTCACGCGCCTGTCTCCCACTTAACCCCCTCCCCCAACTCCCGCACAGGCCCTGCCCCACGCGGCTCCGGACACGGAATTGCAGCTGCGGTAGAGATGAGATGTAGCAACAGTTCTGCAGTAGTGTGGTGGTGACTTGGGTGTGTTCTCCTCCTGACATTCACCTGCACCTTTTTCTGCGCTTTTCAGTATGTATGTATTTAATAGTATCACTCAACAAAAAGGAGTTTATCAGGCCGGGTGGCTGGCTCACGCGGGAGGAGAGCTTGAGCCCTGCAGGAGTTCGAGACCAGGCTGGGCAACATTGGGAGACCCCCCCCACCAATCTCTACAAAAAAATAAAAAATAAAGTTTATAGGCTGGGCGAGGTGGCTCACGCCTGTAATCTCAGCACTTTGGGAGGCCGAGATGGGAGGATCGCTTGAGCCCAGGAGTTCGAGATTAACCTGGGCAACATAATGATACCCTGTCTCTTAAAAAAAAAAAATTATCAAATAACAGCACCAGAGGCATAGCTGTGGTTATGATGGTCACCAAGAAGGCTACTGACGTGGAGGGTGAGGCGGAGGAGGGCTAGGTCTTTCTCTGTGCACTGGGAGCCACTCTCCTGAAGCCCCAACTGCGTCTTCATCTTTGTGGCCCCAGAGCCCAGACCACAGCCTGCAGCACAGGACGCCCCGGGAAGAATTAATGCAGCCGGAGAGACCAGTCCACCTCCTCGTGTCGCGTGTCCGCGTGGGGTTGTGGGTGGTCAGGGAGAGGTAGGGTGGATGACCCAGGAAGGCCGCCCTCCCCTGGCTCTGTCTAGGAACAATCCTTGCCCCAGGCCTGGTCCTTAGAAGGCAAGACAGCCCCCTTCCAGCTGGGGGATCAATCTGCTGTTGGCTGCGCCAGGGTGCGGCTCCCTCGGGTCTGGCCTGGTCGTGGATCCAGTTCCTTCACAGCTGCGGCCTCCCCGGGTCCATTAACGAAGGTGGGGAAGGGCGGAGAAAGGGTCGGAGTCTGGGAGGAGAGCAGCTGCGGGCGCGCCAGGGCGCTGACAGTCTGGCTCTTGGAGGTAAGATGGGCGTGGCTGATCCCGAACTCCGCCTGCGTTTGCAGAAGCGAAGGGAACCGAGCGAGCGGAGCTGAGCTCGGGTAGGCCGCGCGAGGTCCCTCCTCTCCGGGCGTCCGTGCGCCTAGCTCTGCGCTGGGAGCCTCGCGCCCTTTGACAGCAGTTAGTTGCTGACTCGGATGCAGAGAGTCGGTAACACCTTCTCCAACGAGAGCCGGGTGGCATCCCGGTGTCCCAGCGTGGGCCTTGCTGAACGGAACCGGGTGGCCACAATGCCGGTGCGGCTGCTCAGGGACAGTCCAGCGGCTCAGGAGGACAATGACCATGCCAGAGACGGTTTCCAAATGAAGCTGGATGCCCACGGCTTCGCCCCGGAGGAACTGGTGGTGCAGGTGGATGGCCAATGGCTGATGGTGACCGGACAGCAGCAACTGGACGTCAGGGACCCGGAAAGGGTCAGTTACCGCATGTCACAGAAGGTGCACCGGAAAATGCTCCCGTCCAACCTGAGTCCTACCGCCATGACCTGCTGCCTGACCCCCTCCGGGCAGCTGTGGGTCAGAGGCCAGTGTGTGGCGCTGGCCCTCCCTGAAGCCCAAACAGGACCGTCCCCGAGACTCGGGAGCCTCGGCTCTAAGGCTTCCAACCTGACCCGGTAAACAAACGACGCGATGTGCAGCAGCCTTGGTGTCCGTTGTCTTTTCTGGGGATGGAAGTCAGAGGTAGAGGGACTGGAGGCACAGGAGGCAGGAAAGGCACCCTCAAGGTGGTGGTCCACCAAGAATCAGGCCTCTGCGGGCAGATCACTTGAGGCCAGGAGTTCGAGACCAGCCTGGCCAACATGGTGAAACCCCATCTCTACTAAAAACACAAAAATTAGGCGTGGTGGTGTGTGCTTGTAATCCCAGCTGCTCGGGAGGCTGAGCAAGAGAATCGTTTGAACCTGGGAGGTGGAGGGAGGTTGCAGTGAGCCAAGATCCTGCCACTGCACTCCAGCCTGGGCCACAGAGTGAGACTCTGTCTCAAAAAAAAAAAAAAAAAAAAAAAAAAAAAATGCTGGGCGCGGTGGCTCACGCCTGTAATCCCAGCACTTTGGGAGGCCGAGGCGGGCGAATCACAAGGTCAGGAGATCGAGACCATCCTGGCTAACACGGTAAAACCCCGTCTCTACTAAAAATACAAAAAAATTAGCCGGGCGTGGTGGTGGGCGCCCGTAGTCCCAGCTACTCGGGAGGCTGAGGCAGGAGAATGGCGTGAACCCGGGAGGCAGAGCTTGCAGTGAGCCGAGATCGTGCCACTGCACTCCAGCCTGGGCAATAGAGTGAGACTCCGTTTCAAAAAAAAAAAAAAAAAAAAAAAAAAAAAGCCGACTGTGGTAGCTCACGCCTGTAATCCCAGCACTTTGGGAGGCTGAGGCGGGTGGATCACTTGAGGCCAGGAGTTTGAGACAAGCCTGGCCAACATGGTGAAACCCTGTCTCTACTAAAAATACAAAAATTAGCAGGGCGTGGTGGCGGGTGCCCGTAATTCCAGCTACTTGGGAGGCTAAGGCAGAAGAATCGCTTGAACCCAGGAGGTGGAGGCTGCAGTGAGTTGAGATAGCACCACTGCACTCCAGCCTGGGTAACAGAGACTCCGTCTCAAAAAAAGAAAAAAAAAAAAAAAGGGAATCAGGCCTCTGTGGCCCTGGGAGAAATTGGAGGAGAGTGTGGCCCTAGCTGAGCAGCAGCTCCAACAGGTAGCAGCAGAGAGCTGAGTGCCCAGACCTGATTCCAGAACCAGTAGAGAGCTGGACTGGGGCAACTTGGATGTGGTGTGGGGGGGTGACGTGGACAGAGGTGGTGAGGAAAGCCAGTGGCTACAGTCTTGGCCTTAAGACCAGTCCAGCGTTCCAGGGGCTGTTGGGATTCCTTCCTCTTCAGGAAGAGAGAGGATCCAGACCCTCTCACTGGTAAAGACCAACCAAAAAAAACCCAAAGAGGTTGTTTCTGGTGTTTCAGAGACTAATGATCATCAAATACACACTGCATGTCACCCCAGTATGATCTGGTAGGTGGGGGAGGGGAAGGGAGGTGGAGAAGTGAACACGGGCCCTGAAACTTCAAACTTGGTCAGCCCAGGTCAGCTACCTCATCGGAGCTGCTAACAGTAAGAGCCTCTTTCTCTTGGTTACCATGACCACCAGCATCCCCTCACATTAGAGGGGAAGATTTTGTTTAACAAGATTCAGTGGTTCATTTTAAATCAACTTCAACTACAGAGGGCACTGTCTGATAAACTGCCAGAGAAAGACAAGGAAGACAATTGTGAGGTCGATCGATCGGCTGACTATATTGACAAGATACTGATTGGTTACATGTTGAAGAAAACATACAATACAAAATACAGAAAAAGTTGGTTCCGTCCCCTCCCACTCCCCCCCTTACCCACCCACCCCCAAATACTCATCATCATGATTTGGTCAGAACAGGGCTCAGAGCCAGAGGTTGGGGTGACCGAGGGTGGAGGGGTTGTGGGCAATGGGTTCGTGGCTGTCACAATAATGCTGTGATAATGCTGTGGTTTCCCAGCAGGGAGGTGGGAGCGGGGAGGGGGCTGCAGCCTGATGAGAGCCAGCTGAAGGAAGAGCTGCCTCTCCCTTCCTAAGCCCCTTCCCAAGGTCTGCCCCACCGCCCAAACCAAAGACCACTCCGAACAAAGTGAGGATGTGGATGCTCTTGCTGGGTCCGCTGTTCCGCAGGAGGGAAAGAAAGGGTAGCTGCACTGACCCCACTGTCCCCATATACAAGGGTTGGGGGGCAAGAGCATGTGGCTACTCCCAGCAAGGGAAAATGGGAGAGCAGTAGAAAGGGGAGGAAGTGGGAAGAGCAGAAGATCATATATATTAAAAAAGTGACTTAAGACTTAAAATTGAATTAGTATTTGTACAGAAAGGTGCAGGTGGAATGACTCACTCCGGCCTATGATCAAAATTATATGGAGAAATCATGGTGGACCCCTCCCCCTGCCCCCCCAGTGGTGGCCCGAGTCGTTAAGTGCGATTGGTTAGAGTGGATTCCAGTCGGGTCATTCAGGCGGAGGAGGCGGGGGCAGCGGGCAGGCAAGGGGGGCTCAGTTGCTGCAGCACTGGCTCCGGCTGGCTGGGTTGTTCTCCTGGAGGTCCACACCTCGGTTTCGGCCTGGAGCACCAGTTGCATTCTGGGGCTCGTTCTTGGGAAGCTTCTTAGCTGTTTGGGAGGGGGAAAAGTGCATTTGTTGGGGGTACCCCAATAACTCTCCCAGTTCCACTGGAGCAGATTCTGGCCTTTATACCCAATCAGTGGTAACTCACATATTGAGGGCTTCTGTGTGTCAGGTGCATTCTGATTGTTTTCAGGAAACTGCGGCAAAGTAAGGTTAAATAACTTGCCCAAGACTACAGAGCTAATGAGTGGTAGAGCCAGGATCTGCAACCCAGGAAGGAAGATTCCAGAGCCAAATGAGCTAAAAACTCCTAGGCAGTGGGTAGGGGTAGTGATGGCAGGCTCTGAAATGGGTGGCAGGCTACAGGCTCAGAGAGTGAAATGTTGAGACTCTGGCCCAGGCTTCAGGAACTTCTCGGGTGAACAACCAACATCTACATCTGGGAGTCAGGTGATGATGAAAACAATTTTATCAGAAGGTTAAAAGTGGTGAAGGGGGCTGGGCGCAGTGGCTTACGCTCGTAATCCCAGCACTTTGGGAGGCCGAGGCGGGTGGATCACGAGGTCAGGAGATCGAGACCATCCTGGCTAACACCGTGAAACCCCGTCTCTACCAAAAATACAAAAAATTAGCTGGGAGTGGTGGTGGGCACCAGTAGTCCCAGCTGCTCGAGAGGCTGAGGCAGGAGAATGGCGTGAACCTGGGGGGCGGAGCTTGCAGTGAGTCGAGATCGTGCCACTGAACTCCAGCCTGGGTGATAGAGCGAGACTCCATCTCAAAAAAAAAAAAAAAAAAAAAAAAAAAGAGTGGTGAAGGGACCCCGCAGGCCCACTCTAGACCAGCAGACAGGTGATATGCCCTTGCTGTGGTGGAGAGAGGAGGGGAGGAGAAGCAACTGACCTATTGCCATGAAGATTTCGTTCACGTTCATTGCAGTCTTTGCTGATGTCTCCATGAACAGCAAACTGTTGTCGTCTGCATAGGCTTGTGCTTCCTGGTTTGGATGGAGGTGAGAGGAGGTGAGAGGGAAATGTTGGCAGGGGCCAGGGCCCAGGGCCCAGGATACAAACCTTCCTTATTCGAGCACCTTATCATAATAGAGATCAGCTGGACACACACAGGAGTTTTCAGGCCTAAGGCTGCCCTGATCTGGGTTTCCCCGCTCATGTATATCACCTCTCAGCTCACAATCACTAGCAGATGTCTTACCCGGGTTTCCCCAGGTCCACCCTGCCTTCTTGCTCTTCAAAATCACTAGGCTAGGAAATACTTCTAGAAAGTTAACCTACAAATACACTTACATGTTTGCACAAAAGCACAAAAGTATGTGGATGTCTACTGCAGCACTGTTTTCAGTCTTTTGCTATTATTAGGGATTGGTAAAAAATTATCATATACAGTATGTATAGCACACTGCCATCAATGTAAAGAAAGGGATTAAAAAACACGTGCATATTTCTGGAAGGACAAGAAACTGGGGAAATTAGAAGAAGAGAAGTTGAGTTTCTAGGGTTAGCAGAGACTTAAGTATTTCTTTCTCAATAAGTTTAATTAAAAAGTCAACTTACAAGAAAAGAGAAGTAGAAGGCTAGTGATCCATATATACACATACCCCTACCACCAAAGAAAGAGAACCAGGGAGAGACAGGTGACGGGCAATTCCTTTTAGGCCCATGCTTTTTTTATTCTTTTCTTTTTTTTTTTTTTGAGACAGGATCTCACTGTGTTGCCCAGGCTGGAGTGCAGTGGCACGATCACTGCTCACTGCAGCCTCAATCTCCTGGCCTCTAATGATCCTCCCCACCTCGGCCTCCTGAGTAGCACACCACCATGCCCAGCTAACTTTTGTATTTTTTTAGACATGGGGTTTCGCCACATTGCCCATGCTGGTCTCGAACTCCTAAGCTCAAGTGATCTCCCGCCTCAGCCTGCAGAGTATTGGGATTACAGGTGTGTGCCACCACACCTGGCTGTTTTTTTTTTTTTTTTAAAGAGATGGGGCCTCACTCTTGCTCAGGCTGGAGTGCAGTGTTGCAATCACTGCAATCTTAAACTCCTGGGCTCAAACAATCCTCGTGCCTCAGCCTCCTGAGCAGCTGAGACTACAGGTGCGTGCCACCAAGCCCAGCTAATTTTTAAATCTTTTGCAGAGACAGAGTCTTACTGTGTCGCCTAGGCTGGTCTCGAACTCCTGGCCTCAAGTGATCCTCCCACTCCAGCCTCCCAAGGCACTGGGATTACAGACAGGAGCCATGTTAGGCCCATGCCTGAGGCACGAGAGGACAGCAGATGGAAGCTTCCCTGTTGCCTCCTAGCATGGCCCTTCCCAAAGCCCCTGAGCATCCCAGGCGAGGCCGGGGGGAGCTGCTTACTCCACTCCTTCCCCCAAGTCTGTCATCTCCCCACCTGGAATTCCACGGCTCTCTTGCTGGCCAGGTCTGCCTTGTTACCCGCGAGTGCAATGACGATGTTGGGGCTGGCCTGCCTCTGTAGCTCCTTCACCCAGTTCTTGGCCCGTGCAAATGTATCCTGAGGAGACAGGGACAGAATGTCGAAGGGACAGAGAAGGCATTCTGCCCAGGGCCACCCATTAGAGACTCTCAAGCTGGCACAGCCAAATTATCTAAGACATTGCCACCTAAAGATTCTGATGCAATGTCCCCAAACAGGAAATCTGCCCACCCCCCACCCAGGAACAGAGGGTTAAGCGGCCTGAAATCAGGGCTCTGATAACCCAATCCCTGGGACTTTGAGAAGATGAAGGGCAAAGGAAGAAGCAAGGGGAAATCTTTACTGTGTTGGTGATGTCATAGACCACGATGGCAGCCTGGGCCCCCCGATAGTACATGGGGGCCAGGCTGTGATACCGCTCCTGTCCAGCTGTGTCCCAGATCTCAAACTTGACTGTTGTGTCATCCAGGCAGACAGTCTGTGTGAGGAAGGCCGCTGTAAGAGAGAAGGAGCGTCCATGGGCAAGAGCGAGTTGGAATCCACCCCACACAATCCCACTGTTGCTTCTAGGCTCTGGCACTCAGAAGCCCACCACTGAGATGGGCACAGAGAACCCTCAAGCCAGGAGCCAAAGCAGGCCTGAGTGGGGGGTGGAGTTTGGATTTTTATGTATGTGTCTGGGGGACGGGGTCTGCACAGGCTTTGCAGACCCAGCCCAGGCAACGGCAGGAGAAGGGACTCCTGCATGCACTGAGCCATCTCAGGACCACTCTCTGAAGAGCAACACAGCAGGGGCAAGAGAGGGAAAGCCTAGGGGAAGCCTACTCCAAGCACAGAAGGGTGAGCGCCCTCAGACCTCCTCCTCCGCCACTCAGAGAACAGACCAGCAGCTAGGGACCGCTCCACCCCTCAGTTTGCTCCAGCCCAGGGGTGTCACTGACCTTGGGTTTCCTAAGGACATTCTCACACACTTAGCTATGCTGGGGAAGTACACACTGTTCCACCACCAGGCTGAGGCTGGGTGGCCGGCTTCCCAACCACCCCTACCACCTCCAGGCACTCCAGCTAGCCACCGCCCCTAGCTCTGACCCAGACCTGTTCCTGTATGGCCACCCTGTGACCTGACCTTCAGTCACTAAGAGGTGACTCCTTAGGGGAATGCAGGGTGCCTGTACACATGCTTCAAAGGAGGAGTCCAGAGCTGGGACAGACAGCAAAAGGCCCCTTTGCCCCTGGACCCAGCAGAGAACCCAGGACAGCCATGTGTAGAAGGCTGCTTTCCTGGTCTGCCCTCCCCCAGCTCACTGAGGGACATGGGGCACTGCCTCACTTCCCCTCTCCAGCTCCTGACCCAAATGCTGAGGAGGCAGCAGGGAGACTGCTGACATGGCCCATTTTGTTTCCAGCTGCCTAGAAACCTCCTACCAAGAGAGTAGAGAAAGGATGACTCAAGGCCAAGGCCAGCGTTGGCCCCTGCCTCTTGATGTGTGTGTTAGCCACGGAGGCAAGAGGCCGAGGCCAGACCCTCACTCACATCCTAAATGCTGACCACTGGAAAATCAACAACAGGCTGTGAGCTCCAGAAAGGGTAAAGTCAGCTTCAGAAACACCCACCTATCACCCAGCTCCGACTCACCAGGCTGTTCCTTCTTCTGGAAGTGGGAAAGGCCAGGGCACATGGACCACCCATTATAGTAAGAAGGGGCCTCAAAGATCCAGAGTCAGCTCTCCCTCCATGAGGCCAGGGCAGTGAAAGGGCCTCAGCCAAGGCCACACAGATCAAGAAGGGGCAGAAACAGGATGGGAAGCTAGCTTTCCACTCCCAGCAAATGCTTACTAGCGATGCTTGAGGGGACTCTGGCATGGAGACCAGTTGCTGGGCTCAATTCCAGGGCCCAGGTGAGGAAGTGGGGCTGCCACCACAGACGCATTTAGTCCCTAATGCAGGCAGGCAGCTTCCCATCTCCTCAAGGTCAAAGCATTTCTTTGGCAACCTTCAGGCCCCTCCCCGACTCCCTCATGCCCACTCACCTCCAATTGTGCTCTCCTGGTACTCGTGAAACTGTCCCTTGACAAAGCGGAGGACGAGGCTGGATTTGCCTACCGCAGACTCCCCCAGCAGAACCAGCTTAAATTGACAGATCTTGTTCCCAGCAGCTGGTCCATTGGGTCGTGCTGCGCCTCCCCGACCCGCCATTGCCCGTCCAGCTGTAGTGGTCCAGAGAGCGTGCGGGTGGGGACTGGTGCTATGCAAAGAGGCACTTAGTGGGGAGGGGGACCTCCAACTGTAAGGGAGAAATGAGAAGTACTGAGTTAGTTCAGAGGCCGTCACCCGCTGTGTCCTTCTTAAATTACAGATCTTTCCCTCTGGCCTCACTGAAGACCTAGCTGACTGCTTCCCCTCACCTCACCTCCCTGCCCTCCCCACTAGAGGTCAGGAGGCCCCACTGGGCTATACTAGATGTCTACCGGCTCTACCACCATCTGAGCTGTAAAGAGGAGAATGGTCTCCCAACTTCAGGCTCATGGTTCTGAGCAAACACATTGACTTCTGGATCCCAAATATGTACATTCACCTACAAATAAACACACACAGGCGATGAATGAATGTGTGACAGCCTGGTGACAGTTAAGTCAACAGGCTTTTGGGGCAAAATTAAAACAAAACAAAACAAAACAAAAGCTCAGGAAGACACTAGGATTTAGATCAATAATGAAGTTCCAGTCTGGTAGCCAGGACCACAGTGGTGAGGCAGACAGGGGCCCAAGAGGTCCTGGTAGAAAGCTCCTCAGAGAAGGTGCTTGGCCAACCTCATGGCCATTCAGGGACCAGGGCCTGGCCAGCACAAGTTGTTATTAACATAGCCATTTTTCTCCTGCCACCTTCAGAAGGACTGACCGACTTTCAGTCTAGGGCTGGACTGTGTGCCTCTGTGCACCAGAATCAAAGCAATGTTTCACTCTCTCATCCTGATCCTTCTTCCCTAGTTCTCTCATTTTTGATGGGCCAAAGTCTCGCACCCATTAAAAAACAAAACACACACAGAAACAAACACATAGTAAAACACACACCGATACACACACACAAACACACACAGAAACACACACACCGGAACAAATACACACTGAAACACACACACACACACACAAAAACACATGCCAACACACACACAGAAATACACACCAAAACAGACACCAAAACAAAACACACACCGAAACAAACACACACAGAAACACACACCAAAGTCATAGCTCTGCCACAGTCAGCACAGCTACCAACTTTCCCTTTTTCAATAGAGACCTCAGTTCCATTCTCTACTGGCAGAGATGGGGCGATGGAGAGAAAGAAGAGGCAGGAGGTGTGGGAGGGCAGAGACCAAGTCCTGCATCCCCAACAGCTGGTGTTCCAGTCCCGACATCTGAATCACTTGGTTAGTGACAGCTTCAGAGGCTCAACTTTTTGTTTTTGTTAAGTTTTGGAATTGCAGACACATGAGGAGCCTATCTCTAGAAGCCTCTAGAAGACATAAGTGGATGTCTCATCAGACATATACATCTGATGTCAACAGACATCAGAATATATACAGAATGTTTTACAAACAGGTCCTGTGAGTAGGTATTAAGTACTGAACACTGTTCAGCATTTGAACCTGGGTTGGAAAGAAAAGGTTTTTATTAGGCTGCCCTTTGCATAATGGAGTCTAAGATCCCAGGGAGAGCCCCGATCTGCCCCTGAGCAAGGGAAGTACATTCCCTCATGGTTAAGGGACAGCAATGTGGATGAACAGGAGGTATCTGTGGGAAGCAAATGGTCCACATTCATGCAAGAAGCTGACAGCAAAGGGCTTGTTTTGTTCAACCTCAAATCGTTTTCCACATCCAAGTTCTCCCAGCAACTCATTTAAAAAGTGAGCTTCAGGAAGAATGATTCACTAGCCAGAAACAACAGTTTCCTTTCTGGAGAGAACCAAAGGAAAAGAGGTTTGAAATGGGGCCCACCTCTTCCCCAAAAGTACAAGGAAGGAAGTACGGGGTGGTGGGTCTCAATTAGCAACCAGAAATACCATGTAAATATTTCAAAGTTATGTCATTTCAATTTTTCATAGTTTAAGACGCTTTCTCATTTCACCTCAGTCAATGAAGAGACAAGGTCTGTGCTTTCTGCTTCTTAGAGATGCCTTCCTCACAGTGCCTATGTGCATACTAGGAACTCAAAGAGTGCTGATGGAAGGAAATAATTTTTTTTTTTAAAGAAACAAGGTCTCACTGTGTTGCCCAGGCTAGAGTGCAGCGGTGTGATCACAGCTCACTGCAGCTTCCAAGATCCTACTGCCTCAGCCTCCAGCAGGTATACACCACCACACCCAGCTAATTAAAATTTTCTTTCTTTCTTTCTTTCTTTTTTTTTTGCAGAGATGGAGTCTCACTGTGTTGCCCAGGCTGGTCTCCAACTCCTGGCCTCAAGCAACCCTCCCGCCTCAGCTTCCCAATTGCACAACTATTATCTCCTTCAAGCTTTACGACAACCTCCATTTTTCAGATAGATAATTTAACATTCATATATTAAATGTCCTGCTCATGGTCACCCAGCCTACAGGTGACAGAACCCCCCAGACCCACCATAGACATGATGCCATCCTCCCTGCTGTGGAAGAACAATGGAGGCAGTGCCTGCCCTATGTTTGGTTTAGGGCTGCTAGGTGAATGAAACTCTCTTTTTTTGTGGCAGCAACTTTGCTGGTCCAGGAAGGTCTAGCTCTAGCTGGCTCTAGCAACAGTCACAGTAATCTTGCAGTTTCTGAGTGCCCTCAACAGTGGGAGGAGCCGCCCAGAGCCAGGCAGGGCGACAGCAACAGAGGGAAAACCACAGTGGAATTACAAGTTGGTTATTACCATGAATCCACGTGACACAGAGTCTTGGCTGAGCAATGGTCTGTGGCTGGGGCACTGGAGGAGGAGGTATGAATGGACTGGGAGATGGTAATAGAAAACCAAGTCTCTGATTCCAAAAAAACCAAAGCAGCTGGTGCTTAGGGTACCGAGCTGGGAAGTAACCAGCACCTACAGGTCGAGAAAAATACAGGTAACAGATCTAAGTCTTGTCACTACCAAACCACAGGGTTAGAGGAACAGAATGTGATTTTTAAAAACAAGCCAGAAGGGGAGACAAATAACTCTCCTGCAGTGGTTCTCAACGGTGTCTGTACATTGAAGTCATCTGTGCAGCCAGCCCCTCGAGATTCTCATGAAGGTTTGGCACAGAGCCCAGCATCTGCAGGTGAAGCACACCCACTGAAGCACAGCCAGGGCTAGAGCATCTGGCAGAGAGAGAGTGAGCACAGGCACTGGCTTTCGGCACCACAGATGTGACTGTCTCCTGCCACTTCTGAATCACTTTGTAGAAGCCACCTGAGCTGAGCCTCAGTGTTCTCATCACTAATATGGGGCACACCAGGGTTAATGGCAGTGTTTGCCAGCTGTCTCACACACATCATGTTGAGTAAACAGTAGCTAAGAGTACTGACAGGGTTATTTGTAACACTTTCTCCAAGACTGTTGGTGAACAGACTCTGGCCATCCCAATGAACTGAGACAGGCTCTCCCTGGCATGAACTAGCTGGTGACATGTTCTGCCTGGTCACTGATCCTGCCTTCCAGAGATACCTGAGCAGGCACACCCAGCACTTTTTACGGTCTGTTGCCTAGTGGTTTGCCTGGCCCTGCTTGGTGATCAAATGAGCAGTGGTGTCCAACCTTTGCAGTCAATAAAGCCCAAGGAAGCCAATTTTGCTAGGAAGGGCGCACGGAGATATGAGGGTGTCTAAGCCAGGGGAAGGCCAGACCGAGAGCCCCAGGAAGCATTATACCCTCTCCTCCCAAGCCTGGGAAACTGAAGACATGGCAGGTAGTAAAGGTGAATGCATTCACTGAGCTGTCCTGCCTCCCAGGGATGTGTGTCTTACTGGCAATCTTTCTTTTTGAACCCCTGGCAAAAATTATCCACTTGTGCAGTCAGGTGATGGAATTATAGCCAAAACTGACATAGTTTTCAAAGTCTTCTTTGAGACAAAAATCAAATTCTCCATAAGAGCTAAAGTTACAGTCAAAGTTGATTTTTTTAAATTAGCCAACGTGGTGGTACACGCCTGTAATCCCAGCTACTTGGGAGGCTGAGGCACAAGAATTGCCTGAACCCAGGAAGCAGAGATTGCAGTGAGCTGAGATCGCGCCATTGCACTCCAGCTTGGGGCAAAAGAGTAAGACTCTGTCTCAAAAAAAAGTTGACTTTTTTTCACAAGTACAATGGCCGTGCTGGAGCTTCAGATCTAGGGAGAAAGATTCTCCTTGCCATGGACCCACCATCCAAATCAGAACCCTGGCTTGTTCAGAGGCCACTAAGAACAAGCACCAGTCCCAACCTCATGTCTTCCACAGGAAAGGGGAGAGAATGTATAAGGACTTGGAGTCACACTATTTTCCTATTAATACAATGCACATGAAAGCGCAGAAGGGATCTAAGCTCCTAAACACCCTGGCCCTGTGCACAGGCACTTCTGGGCCAAGGATGGAAGAGAAAGAGAAAGAAAAATGGGACACTGTTCTTCCCTGCTCCGGGGTTCCCTCTGCTCTGGACACTACAGGTCAGTGGGTCTCAAATTCTTTTTTTTTCTTAAGTTTTTTTTTTTTTTTTTTGAGACAGAATCTCGCTCTCTCACCCAGGCTGGAGTGCAGTGGCACGATCTCTGCTTACTGCAACCTCTGCCACCCAGGCTCAAGCGATTCTAATGCCTCAGCTTCTAGGAGTAGCTGGAACTATAGGTATACGTCATTACACCCGGCTAAATTTTTGTGTATTTTTTGTAGCGGCGGGGTTTTACCACGCTGGCCAGGCTGGTATCAAACTCCTGCCTCAACCTCCAAAAGTGCTGGGATTACAGGTGTGAGCCACCTGTAATTTTTTTTTTTTTTTTTTGGAGATAGAGTCTCACTGTTGCCCAGGCTAGAGCAGTGATGCAATCACGATTCACTGCAGCCTTGACCTCCCAGGCTCAAGTGATCCTTCTATTTCAGCCTCCAGTCAAACTCTTCTTCACCAGAATCACCCAGGGCCTTTAGAAAATACCCTGACCAACTGAATTAGAATCTCTAGAGGTGGAGTCCAGAAATCAGTATTTTAAAAATAAGTTCCCAGTGATTTTAAGCAGTTGATCGAAGCACAAGAGCTACAGTTGATATACGAAGGAGGGAGAAATCCAAGAGACAGAAAGGCACCCCCGATCAGTGCTGTGCACAACTCGTAAGTGTGCATGTGTAAGTCCATGAATGTGGGAGGGGTCTTCAGCTTCACTCAGCAACTGGAGCCTTCTCCAAGACACTAGATGCTGCTGCAATTCCTCCCCCTAACCTCCCTTTGAAAGTTTCACCTTTCCTCTAATCCACGAAGTCACCCACTTCATATGTTTTGTCCTTCCTGGTAAAAGGGTGAGCAATTCCAGCTGATGAGTGTCTCGTGTACTTCCTGTTTGCTTTAGAGACTTCCTCTAGCTGAGAGTCCTGGCACAGCCTGGAGAGCAAGCTGATTAGGGAAACCAATCAGACTGTTGACCAGGGCAGGCGGGGCGTAGAGACTAGCTCACTCAAGGTTAGCCAGGTGGCCTGAGAACCAAGTGACCCCGCCCAGGGTCCCCTGCAGGTGCTTCTGACCAGTGACTCTTCAGCTACATTTTACCCCGGAAAAGGGCATTCCTGAATATTTAAACAAGAGTCCAGCAAAACAAAACAAAATCAAACCAAAAAAACAACAGCAGAAAGGAGTTGTTAAAGAAAATGGAGCAAGAGACACAGGAGGAAGTAACTCGGTTCAAAGGCTAAAGTGGAAGACATTTGATTTAAAAGCCAACTGGAGTCAAGGTTTTGCAAATGCTTCCCAGGCTCCGATTAGTTGGGGAGATGATTTACCCATAGGCTCAAGAACACAGCTCTTCCTCAAAAGGGAAAACCACTGCCAGCACACAGAAACAGAGGACAGACTCACAGCAGGACTATCCAGGCTTCTAGCTGGTTGCAGACCCAGAGGAAAGAAGAATCTGAAGCAACGCCAGCCACGATCCACACGAGGTACCCACAACCTTCCCCAGCGTGGCTAGCAGGTTAGGACTTGGGAGGCTGAGCCGGGTTTGGTTCAAGCTCCACTCCACCGTTTATTAGCCGTGTGACCTTGGCCAAGTCACACAAGTGATCATTATCAGCTTCAGTTCCTTATCTAAAAATTGGTATTCTTTAATACTAATTGCATGGGGTAGTTCAGATCAAGTGAAACAATGCACCACAGTATCAGGCTGAAGGTGAGCTTTCAACAAGTGGCAGGTTTATTACCCCAGAGGCTAGAATTGGTAGTCAGAGCCCAAAAGGGCCTTAAAGACCCCATCCTACTGTTGACAATTAAAGAAAAAAAATGAAGGTGAGGAGAAGTGACCTGCCTAGGGTCACACAGCCAGCTAGCTGGTGGCAGAGCCCAAGCCTGCCCAAGACTCATAACTCAAGCAAGGCTCTCCTATTAGAGATAGAAAGAAAAACCCCAGAATATTAACAATCTCATTACCATAACCCCTGTTACTAAAAATAACAGGGACTGCGACCTTCTATGCATGTTTTTAAAAAATGTAGCTTTTAGCTAGGAAAAAATGAGTTTCTATCAAACTGAAAAAAGCACATTGCCGCCGGGTGAGGTGGCTCATGCCTGTAATCCCAGCACTTTGGGAGGCTGAGGTGGGTGGATCACCTGAGGTCAGGAGTTGGAGACCAGCCTGTCCAACCTGGTGAAACCCCGACTGTACTAAAAATACAAAAATTAGCTGGGTGTGGTGGCTGGCACCTGTAATCCCAGCTACTTGGGAGGCTGAGGCAGGAGAATCACTTGAACCCAGGAGACAGAGGTTGTGGTGAGCGAAGATCGCACCATTGCACTCCAGCCTGGACAACAGAGCGAGACACTGTCTCAAAAAAAAGAAAAAAAAAAAAAAGCACACTGCTGGATGGAGGAGTTATAACTTGATTTGAGAGGTAAATACATGAGTGTATAATAATATAAAAACCCATCGAGCTGTATTTACAATTTGTAAACTATTATACATAAGTCACATGTCAATAAAAAGGTTAAAAAATGCTGCTGGTATAGAATTTTGCATATAATCATGAAAAGTTAAAGCTTGGAAACGATATGAATGCAATCTAGCTCCTCTGTATATAAAATATTTTCTGCCTCTTTAGTATGAAGAAAATAATATTAAAGACAATCAAGGGCCGGGCACGGTGGCTCACGCCTATAATCCCAGCGCTTTGGGAGGCTGAGGCGGGTGGATCATGAGGTCAAGAGATCGACACCATCCCGGCCAACATGGTGAAACCCCGTCTCTACTAAAAATACAAAAATTAGCTGGGCGTGGTGGCGCATACCTGTAGTCCCAGCTACTCGGGAGGCTGAGGCAGGAGAATCGCTTGAACCCGGGAGGCAGAGGTTGCACTGAGCTGAGATAGTGCCACTGCACTCCGGCCTGGCGAGAGAGCGAGACTCTGTCTCAAAAAAAAAAAAGACAATCAAAAAGATGATACCTGAATTGGAAAAGACCAACGGAGAACAAAGATACCCAAATGTTAAACACAAATAAGGTGCAAGACAATGGGATTCCTCATAAAAAATAAGATTCCCACATATATATTAAGGATATATTTACTGTTTGGGCTTAACTGTGGGCTAAAGGATTTTCAAGTGGTTTAAAGCTTCACAATAATAAAGAGAAACTGATATTTATGTCTTTTCGATGGGGAGAAAGAGGTTATAACAGTATGATATTCTCCACTCCCCAACCAGTCTAGAGTATATCTGCAGAGGAAAGGGGGGTTTAGGGGTTGGGGGATGGAATCAAAGAGAAGGGTGTCCTCTGTGTGACCAGGCCTATGGAACTGCTTCACACAGGGCCTGTGTCTTACCTAAGAGTCTAACAGGGGAAGCTTGGCCCTGGCCCTGGAAGCCAGAAGCTTAAGAGCCCAGGGTGAGATCTAGCCGAATCCCAATGGGGGGTGTTGCAACAGGGTGGGCTCCACCTCCCACCTTCAGGAGGTCCAGCTCTTAAACCTAGACTTGGGGGAGGCAGCAGTAGGGAGGAAGGTGCTGCCTTTCCACAGCCACAGGAAGATGACCCTTTTTCCAGCGGAAAGGGAAGTAAATTATCCCAGAGGGGCACTGAAGGTGAGCTGGGTCCCCTTCCACAGGGAAAGCACCCCCACCTTCCTTAACTGAGATTGGTTTCATTTCATTCTTTTTTCAATAAGATTTCTGAGGCTTAGTGCCTAGACTTCCACACCACAATCAGGCCCTGATGGGGTCCACCAGAGCCCCAAGTGCAGACACCAACTCCACCAATACCTGCAAAAGGGGCCAGTGTGCAGAGGCATCAAGAGGCTTAAAGCCTGGATACACATTACCAAGTGATCTTTAATAAACACTATGCAGACTGAGCCTGGAACTTTGCTGAAGTCAGCCAGGACAGAGCACAGCTGGCTCCTGCAGCCCTTTCCCTTGTGTGGGAAGTCTTGTATCACTTAGGACAGATGCCAAGCTCACTCGGGTGGAAGACACCCCTGAGGGACAGACCCTTAGCTTTCCAGGACTCTACCCCAGCAGAACACCATGAAATCCTTCCCTGATCCCTGAGCTTCTTCCCAGCTCTCAATGACAGATGGGTTCTCTGGAGAGGCTCAGAGAGGAGCAGTCAGGGCTGGATGGAAACCTCCAGCATCCACTCCCTCTTTCTGCACCCACAGGGAGGAAGACTATTGGGGTGGGAGGACATCTCCATGGATCTGCTAGCACAGCTTGGCCAGTGTGGTCGGCCAGTGCTGTCCACAGAAGGGCCCCAGGCTTCATGGGCAGCTCAACAACTCTCAGTCATTGGCCCTGCTGGCCAACAGAGGAGACAGGTAGCACGGAAGGCCCACAGACAGGGCACTGCCTGCAGCTGCACCAGGCAAGGCTCTCCGCCAGCCTACCGATTCCAAAAGGCACCAGGGGGGCCAGGCCCTAACGCTGACATTCCTGAGACTGTTCTCCCTAAGAGGGCCCAGTGTCTAACAGCACACCTCAGTCAGCAAGGTTGTGGCAGATTCTTTTTTTTTGAGACGGAATCTTGCTCTGTCACCCAGGTTGGAGTGCAGTGGCGTGATCTCGGCTCACTGCAACCTCCAGCTCCCAGGTTCAAGCAATTCTGCCTCAGCCTCCTGAGTAGCTAGGACTACATACGCGTGCCACCACATCCAGCTAATTTTTTGTATTTTTTAGTAGAGATGGGGTTTCACCATGTTAGTCAGGATGGTCTCGATTTCCTGACCTTGTGATCCAGGCTGTGCCAGATTCTCTACTCCTGTCTAGGGCTGCTCTCTCAAGCCTCAAGCAAAAGCTCAACTTGGAATCTTTCTGCAGCCCAGAACCACACACACGTCCCAGCCACAGGGCTTGTTAGGGATGACAACATGGCTGTATGGTGGCTCACACGCCACCAGTCAGTTCTTCACCTGCCAATGCCAGGCAGGATGCTAGGAAGAGTGCCATCCAAGGCAAAGGTTCTTCTGGCCCCAGCCTACCCCAACTATCCTGTATTTCATTTGTTCAGGCAGTTACTATTTAGCTAGGACATTTCTCACCGGAATCTCATCAATGTAGGGCCCGTCTTCCCCCCGTCTCAAAAGGGGCTCTGCAGGGGTCAGAAGCACCAGCCAGGACAGCTGCCACTTCTGCTGCTTCCCTAGGCCCAGAAAGACTCCAGAAACCTCTGCTGAAAGTCAGGATCAGAAGCAGCACCTGTTCATCCAGCCACTCACACCAGCGGACACCTCTCCAAAACCCTTCCCGCCCTTACAAATAACAGAAAACAAAAGAAAGCCAGTTTAAATCACTGCCCCTTTGTTTTGCCTTCAGCTCCTAAACAGAGAGCAGAGGTCAAGTTTGAGAGGAAAGTGGGAGAAAAGAGAAATAGCAATCCAAATGCCTCCTGTTCAGACACCACACACACCGTGGTCAGCGGCTATGCAACCAACAAGAAAAAAGTCAAAGTTCTCAGTGGGAGACCTGAGGGACGATGGCTATTCTCAGAAGCCTGGGCACCAAAGAACAATATTTTAGAATATATATATATATATATATATATATATATATTTTTTTTTTTTTTTTTTTTTTTTTTGAGATGGAGTCTCGCTCTGTCGCCCAGGCTGGAGTGCAGTGGCACAATCTGGGCTCACTACCACCTCCACCTCCTGGGTTCAAGCGATTCTCGTGCTTCAGCCTCCTGAGTAGCTGGGATTCCAGGTGTGCACCACCATACCCAGCTTGTATTTTTGTATTTTTAGTAGAGATGAGGTTTCGCCATGTTGGCCAGGCTGGTCTCGAACTCCTAACCTCAGGTGATCCGCCTGCCTCAGCCTCCCAAAGTGTTGGGATTACAGGCATGAGCCACCACACCCAGCTCTTTTTTCTATATACATTTTTGAGACAGGGTCTTGCTCTGCTGCCCAGGTTGGATTGCAGTGACGCAATCATAGCTTACCGCTACCTTGACTTCCTGGGCTCAAGCAATCCTCCTACCTCAGCCTCCCAAGTAGCTGGGACTACGGGCGCATGCCACCATGCCCAGCTAATTTTTCTATTTTTTGTAGAGATGGGGTTTCACCATGTTGCCCAGGCTGATCTCAGACTCCTGGGCTCAAGTGATCCACCTGCTTCAGCCTCCCAAAGTGCTGCGATTACAGGCATGAGCCACTGTGTCTGCCATCTTTCTTAATTTTTGCTGAACAAACTGTAGAGTGGTGCCCAGTGAAGAAATCAAGCAATGAATAGGTCTAAACAAGATTCAATGAGCGAATCACACTTCTGCTTCCATGGCCCCAAATGTTCATAAGACTAGTGTAGGTGGCAAGGGGCTGGAGAACTTGGGGGACTGAGGGTTGTGAGAGAGAAAGCAAGAGAAATTAAAGGCACTGTTGCAGATGAAAACAACCACATTACAAAATTCTCAAAGGCTGGACAATGGGTTTCCTTTGTGTTAACAGCACATAACAGCAAGCCTGACCCATAGTAGGTGAGCACAGATACGGTGAACTGTGCATGTGAGAGGTACCGCCCGCTTACACTTGGCAAGTGAACGGGGGAAGTTGAGGGCTTAAATCTGCATTCATCTGCCAGACGGCTCGGGTCCCCTAACAGAGCCACAGAGCAGCTGAGGAGCTGCCTCACTTCCCCAGGGAGGACTTCCTCCATCCCTACTGCACAGAGCTTAAGAGCACAAGTGCTGGAGTCAGACAACTTGAACTTCAGTTCAAGTTCTGGAGGCACCACTTACTAGGGTGGCCTGGTGTTGTCACTGAACCCATTTCCTCACACGTAAAATGGAGAGACCAGTACCACCCGTCTCCAGGACTGCCAGGAAGATGATGCATGTGAGACTCTCAGCAAAGGGCCTGGCATCGGGAAGCATTCAGTACATGTTCTGTAGCAGGGGAGCCCCTGCGCCTTCACTTCCCTGTGAAGGAGCCGGACTCCTCACTTCATCTGTCAGACAACATTCACACATTCCTCTTACCTCCAGTTTCCCGGGACTCCATTCTTCAGCACCTCTCATTTGGAGAGAATGCTGAAGAGGACGTCTTTCCTCAGTTTCCTAGAAGATACTCAGTGTCCTGTCAACAACCCCAATCTTGTATCCTCCAGAGACTAGCTCCCAAAACCACAAAAATGGAGGGGAGAAACCATTACCATCCAATAAATCTGCATGGGGTGAAGGCCCCAACCATGCAAACCATAACCTCTTAAAAAAAAAAAAAAAGCCCCATTAACACAAAGCATCTTGGGTTTTTTTTTGGTAGAGATGGGGTTTCATCATGTTGCCCAGGCTGATCTCAAACTCCTGCGCTCAAGCAATCCCCCCGCCTTGGCCTCCCAAAGTACTGAGATTACAGGCATGAGCCACCGCGCCCAGCCCACAAAGCATCTTAAAGCCCAAATGCCCTTCCTTCCATCTCAAAGCCTCTTTCAGGAAAGGGAAGAAGCAGTTCAGTTGTTGAGAGGGCTAGGGGACAGGAATAGAGCAGCTGACAAAGAAAGCAGAGTTCCTTTTAAAAACCAGGCTGCAAATGCTAGAGGTTTGGAAACTGGCGTCATTCATCACCACGCTGTCTGAGCAGCTCAGAGAGCAATCTGATGTCTAGGAGAGCAGCCAGGGTTAGAGAGGCCACCCACGCCCTCCTCCATGCCTGGGATGCCTCTGACAGCCACCTGAAGGGGACATACATGGAGCTATGAATAGAAGGCAAAAGGCTTGTAAACCAACTCCTGTTAAGATCCCAAGTTAGTGTTTCCAGCAGGGCTCAAGTTACACATTTTCAGAGAGATGACAGTACAATGGAAGGATTTCAGCTATTCAATGATTCAGGATCACGGCACAAAGTGACAGCCTACCCTGAGCCCGCCAACAGCCACAAACCGTCCCATGGGGGCAGTCCATTTTGGAAGGGCAGCAAAAGACACTGACTGGCCCGGACCATGTGGAATCTCTTACAAGACCCAGAGTCCAGGAAGGTTTAGCTGGAGAACTTAGCACCTGAAATAGAGAACGATTATATACACATGCCTCATCTTCCCACACCTCCATAGGTAAATTCCAAAGGAAAGACCAAATCAGACCATTTTTTGGATCAGTCATAGCATCAGGCAGGGGTAAGAGCAGTATGAATGGGTGAGTAGAACAACAGCCAGCTACTGGGATTAACTCCCAGGACTGCAGTTGATTCTCAGGGGGTAGATTTCCCAGGTCCACCTCTACCTTTCCCAACTCCAGAGTCTCTAGTAACTATGACTAACCATCAAGAGAAGAAATAACTCAAGGCATCCACATCACTCTATGTCAACATACCTGAGAGAAAACATTTGCTAAAAAGGCAGTGGCCTTGGAGAGCCAGCTGAATCTACAACTCTGGCACGAAATACACAAAGTAAGCCTGGGGCCGGGAGTGGTGGCTCATGCCTGTAACCCTAGCACTTTGGAAGGCTGAGGCAAGTGGATCACTTGAGGTCAGGAGTTCAAAACCAGCCTGGCCAACATGGTGAAACCTCGTTGCTACTAAAAATACAAAAATTAGCCAGGCATGGTAGCGTGCACCTGTAATCCCAGCTACTCAGGAGGTTGAGGCACAAGAATTGCATGAATCTGGGAGGCAGAGGCTGCAGTGAGCTGAGATCGTGCAGCTGCACTCCAGCCTGGGGGACAGAGTGAGTCTGTCTCCAAAAATCTGGCAGTGCCAAAATGTAAAGAAGTAACCAAAAACCAAAAACAAAAATCCTCACAATGACTAGGCAGGTCAAAGGAGGCTAAAAGAGCAACCAATGGGCAAAGCTGAAACATTTTGGGCAATAAAACAAAGTAACATTGGATTATTTATTTATTTATTTTTGAGACAAAGTCTCACTCTGTTGCCCAGGCTGGGGTGCAGTGGCAGGATCTCTGCTCACTGCAACCACCACCTCCCTGCTTCAAACCATTCTCCTGCCTCAGCCACCAGAGTAGCTAGGATTACAAGCGTGCACCATCATACCCAGCTAACTTTTGTATTTTTAGTAGAGATAGGGTTTCACCATGTTGGCTAGGCTGGTCTCAAACTCTTGGCCTCAGGTGATCCGCCCATCTTGGCTTCCCCAAGTGCTGGGAATACAAACGCGAGCCACTGTGCCCGGCCTTATCGCTGGATTATAAACCAAAGTGTAAAATAAATATCCTGGAGTCCATACTGATATAAATAATTGAACAAATAAATGGGGGAGAATAGGCCAGGCGCAGTGGCTCACGCCTGTAATCCCAGCACTTTGGGAGGCCGAGGCAGGTGGATCACCTGAGGCCTGGAGCTTGAGACCAACCTGGCCAACATGGTGAAACCCCGTAGCTACTAATAATACAAAAATTAGCCGGGCATGGTGGCATGTGCCTGTAATCCCAGCTACTCGGGAGGCTCAGGCAGGAGAATCGCTTGAACCCCGGAGGTGGAGGTTGCAGTGAGCCAAGATCGCACCACTGCACTCCAGCCTGGGCAACAAGAGCAAAACTCATCTCCAAAAAATAAATAAATAAATAAAAATAAATGGGGGAAAATAGACAAGTCTCTCATATAGAAGAATTTAATAATTCAGCTGGGCGCGGTGGCTCACGCCTGTAACCCCAGCACCTTGGGAGGCCGAAACGGGTGGATCACGAGGTCAGGAACTTGAGACCATCCTGGCTAACATGGTGAAACCCCATCTCAGGGTGGGCGTGGTGGCTCACGCCTGTAATCCCAGCACTTTGGGAGGCTGAGGCGGGCGGATCACGAGGTCAGGAGATCGAGACCATCCTGCCTAACAAGGTGAAACCCTGTCTCTACTAAAAATACAAAAATTAGCTGGGCGTGGTGGCGGGCGCCTGTAGTCCCAGCTACGCAGGAGGCTGAGGCAGGAGAATGGCGTGAACCTGGGAGGCGGAGCTTGCAGTGAGCCGAGATTGCCCCACTGCATCCAGCCTGGGCGACAGAGCCAGACTCCGTCTCAAAAAAAAAAAAAAAAAAAAAAAAAAAAAAAAAAAAAAAAAAAAAAAAAAAAAAAGAAACCCCATCTCTACTAAAAAAAATACAAAAAAATTAGCCGGGTGTGGTGGCGCGCGCCTATAGGCCTGTAGTCCCAGCTACTCGGGAGACTGAGGCAGGAGAAAGGCGTGAACCCGGGAGGCGGAGCTTGCAGTGAGCCGAGATTGCGCCACTGCACTCCAGCCTGGGCGATGGAGTGAGACTCCATCTCAAAAAAAACAGAAAAAGAAAAAATAATTTAGTAACTCATGTAGCTACTCCGCCCTCAACAAGGGGAACATGAACATAAGTCCCTGTTCCTTAGGTGTGGGCTACACAGTGACTTTCTTCCAAAGGGTGCATGCAGCATGGAAAGGGGAAGGGGAGAACAACTTTACAGAGAAGCCTCACACACATCACCTCAGCCAAGTGATCATGGTTGACATCAGTCATGGAAAGGCTTGTGGATTGTATGTACCCTTGACATGATGTGATGAAAATAGCACTTTACCTCTCTGGTCCTCCTTCCCAAAACTTGGCACAGTCTACTTATGAAAAAAACACTGGACACAGCCAGGCGTGTTAGCTCACGCATGTAATCCCACCACTTTGGGAAGCTGAGGTGAGCAGATCGCTTGAGCTCAGGAGTTTGAGACCAGCCTGGACATCATGGTGAAACCTTGTCTCTACAAAAATTAGCCAGGCGTGGTGGTGCATTTCTGTAGTCCCAGCTACTTGGGAGGCTGAGGAGAATGGCTTGAGCCGAGATTGCACCACTGCACTCCAGCCTGGCTGACAGAGCAAGACTCTGTTAAAAAGAGAAAAATACTGGACAAATCCCAGTTGAGAAGAGATTCTCTTTATTTTTTATTATTTTTTTTGAGACGGAGTCTCATTCTGTCTCCAGCCCAGGCTGGAGCACAGTGACACGATGTTGGCTCACTGCAACCTCTGCCTCCTGGTTCAAGCGATTCTTGTGCCTCAGCCTCCTGAGTAGCTGAGATTACAGGTGCGTACCACCATGCCTGGCTAATTTTTGTATTTTTAATAGAGATGAGGCTTCACCATGTTAGCCAGGCTGGTCTCGAACTCCTGACTTCAAGTGATCCACCCACCTCGGCCTCCCAAAGTGCTGGGATTACAGGCGTGAGTCACCGCGCCTGGCCGAGATCCTCTTTAGATGCTTGCCCAGCACTCCTCAAAACTGTCAAGGTCATCAAAAACAATAAAAGTCTGAGAAACTGGCACAGCAAGAGGAGCCTAAAGAGACAATGAATATAGGTAACATGGGATCCTGGAACAGCAAAAGGACATCAGGTAAAAATCTAAGGAAATCTGAATAAAGGATGGACTTTAATGTAAAATACGTACTAACATAAGATGTTAATAACAGGGAAAACTATGTGTGAGGGATTGTGAGAAAACTCTGTACTATCTGCGTAACTTTTCTAAAAGTATTCTGAAAGAATAAGTTTATTAAGCCTCGGCAACATAGGGAGACCCCGTCTCTACAAAAAAATCAAAAATTGCCCAGGCACAGTGGCTCACACCTGTAATCCCAGCACTTTCAGAGGCCAAGGCAGGCAGACCACAAAGTCAAGAGATCAAGACCATCCTGGCCAACATGGCGAAACCCCGTCTCTACTAAAAATATAAAAATTAGCTGGGCATGGTGGCGTACGCCTGTAGTCCCAGCTACTCGGGAGGCTGAGGCAGGAGAATCACTTGAACCCAGGAGACGGAGGTTGCAGTGAGCCAAGATGGCATCACTGCACTCCAGCCTGGGAAACAGAGCAAGACTCCATTTCAAAAGAAAAAAAAAAAAGGAGGCCAAGGTAGGCGGATCACGAGGTCAGGAGATGGAGACCATCCTGGTTAACATGGTGAAACTCTGCCTCTACTAAAAGTACAAAAAATTAGCCAAGCGTGGTGGCAGGAGCCTGTAGTCCCAGCTACTCGAGAGGCTGAGGCAGGAGAATGGCATGAACCCGGGAGCTTGCAGTGAGCCGAGATCGTACCACTGCACTCCAGCCTGGGCGACAAGGCAAGACTTCGTCAAGAAAGAAAGAAAGAAAGACAGAAAGAAAGACAGAAAGACAGAAAGAAAGACAGAAAAAGAAAGAAAGAAAGAAAAAGAAAGAAAGAAAGAAAGAAAGAAGGAAAGACAGAAAGAAAGAAAGAAACAGAAAGAAAGAAAGAAAGAAAGAGAGAGAGAGAGAGAGAGAGAGAGAAAGAAAGAAAGACCAGCCTCAAGGTGAGCAGAGGATATCCAAGTACTGCAGGCACAGGACCAGGGAATGTTAAAGACCCCATCTGTGGAATACACATGTGAGGGCTGCTCATACCACTGGTCTGAACAGCTGCTGCCACCACTTTTTTAAGCCACCTTCACTCAGGAACGAGCCTTGTGCAGACATACAGAACAGTATCCACAGGCAGAGTCAAATTTGCTTCCACTGATCCTTGCTAAGTACTGGTCTGGGGTCGGTGCTGCCTCACCACACACAACTGCAGAAGCACGGTCGTTCTGTCCTGCCATCAGATACACACACGGCAGAAGCCAGTCAGCCGGACTGTGGCTAGTCAGGGCCGCGCCCTCATTGTCCCATTAAACCCTTCACCAGAAATGGAGATTTGGAGAGTCTTAACTTCTGGAAACTGAGTTTGTGACTTGCTTCCCATCATCCGTACTGTAACATTGATCCTATTGACCTGTTTGCTCTCCCATTTGTCTGTGAGCAACTTTCTGGGGGATGGACCAAAGATATGGCTCAAGCTGTGGGATCAGATGGATTTAAGTTTGAATCATAGGTTCACGACATCCAAAGTGTGTGAAGAAAGGAAGGGAAGTGTGTGTTAAAAGAAGTGGGCGAGGGCCAGGCATGGTGGCTTACACCTGTAATCCCAGCACTTTGGGAGGCCGAGGCGGGTGGATCACCTGAGGTTGGGAGTTCGAGACCAGCCTGACCAACATGGAGAAACCCCATCTCTAATAAAAATACAAAAAATTAGCCGGCCGTGGTGGCACATGCCTGTAATCCCTGCTACTTGGGAAGCTGAGGCAGGAGAATCTCTTTAACTCGGGAGGCGGAGGTTGTGGTGAGCTGAGATTGTGCCATTGCACTCTAGCCTGGGCAACAAGAGCAAAACTCTGTCTCAAAAACAAACAAAAAAAAAGAAGTGGGCAAGGCTGGGCACAGTGGCTCATGCCTGTAGTCCCAGCACTGGGAGGCTGAGGCAGGCAGATCATGAGGTCAGGAGTTTGAGATCAGCCTGGCCAACATGGTGAAATCCGTCTCTACTAAAAATACAAAACTAGATGGGCGTGGTGGTACACACCTGTAATCCCAGGTACTAGGGAGGCTGAAGCAGGAGAATCACTTGAACCCAGGAGGCGGAGGTTACAGTGAGCAAGATCGTACCATTGCACTCCAGCCTGGGTGAGAGGTCAAGACTCCATCTCAAAAAAAAAAAAAAAAAAAAAAAGAAGTGGGCAGGTGTTTGGTGTTTGCTTTAAGGGCAGGTTTGAATGTCTGCCCTCTCCTTTAACAACTTCAGTAGGGAGCCTACTATGCTGAGTGCCATGCCAGGTCCTAAACACACAAAGATCAAACAGGACCCGATCTGTGCCCCTAAAGGGCTCACCCACCAGAGAATGAGGCAAATAAGGAACAATGAGATAGCAGTTGAGAAGACAGCCCATGTAGGAGACAAGCCCTCAGCCCATTTGGGGCAAGGGAAGGCTTCACAGAGGAAGTGGCATTCAAACTGAGCTTTGAGAGAAAAGTAGGGAGATACAGTTTCCAGGCACGTGAGGTGCAGAAGAGCCTTCTAGGCAAAGTGAACAGTAGGCATTTAGCCCAGAGATGGGTCAAGGAGAGGCTGTATTGAATAGCGATAAGAGCACACCCCATCTCTGCCATTACTACATAGTCCCCCACTCTAACATGGGGATTAAACACAGAACCTACCTCCTGGGGTTGTCGGAGGATTAAAGGAGTCAACACATAGGGCTCACAAGAGTGCCTGGCACATGGCAAAAATAGAAGTTTAGCTTTTATTTGTATTACTGTTCTTATACATAGAGGATGGGGCTATTTAATTGGAAAAGTAATCTCTTACAATACCAAGCTATTAATGCAGAGGATGCCAAAAATATTCCGATTCTCCTCTGCCAAGGTTTTTGCAAGCATGATTACCTGGATTTTGGCACATCCTAGTTTATAAATTCTACCTAAAGCAGTGCTTCTCAAACAGCCCCAACATATGTACCCTTCACTCAAGTCAGGGGAGAGGAAACTCCCAGAAATCTGGGAGTTGAACCCAAAGCAGCTGGCTACAAGCAAAATACTGTCTTTGGCCAGGTGCAGCGGCTCATGCCTGTAATCCCAGCACTTCGGGAGGCCAAAGTAGGAGGATCACTTGAGCCCAGGAGTTCTGAGACCAGCCTGGGCAACATGGCAAAACCCTGTCTCTACTAAAAATACAAAAACTAGCCGGGCATGGTGGTACATGCCTACAGTCCCAGCTACTCAGGAGGCTGAGGTGGGAGGATCACTTGGGTCCACAAGATCAAGGCGGAAGTAAGCCATGATCGTCCCACTGCACTCCAGCCTGGGTGAGAGAGGCCCTGTCTCAAAAATAAATAAATTAATTAATTAATTAAAGTTTCCTGTGTTAGCTTCAATTCATGCAAACTTTGCATTCTAATCTATAATAGTTACAGGACTGTTTTAATATTAAAACGCTTACAACTAAGTAAAACTGAAGTGGCACAGCGTTCTCTTCTGTAAAATGGGAATACAACCCACATCAATTCTGTTCAATGTCTACAAAATGAGACAATTTGTGAAACCATCAAGCAATGTACAAGGCATCCCAGCAGACATTTTGTTTTTGTTTTAGACATGGGGTCTCATTATGTTGCCCAGGCTGGTTTTTTTTTTTTTTTTTTTTGAGATAGACTCTTGGTCTGTTGCCCAGGCTGGAGTGCAGTGGTGCAATCTCGGCTCACTGCAACGTCCACCTCCCAGGTTGAACTGCCTCCCAGGTTCCTGCCTAAGCCTCCCAAGTAGCTGGGATTACAGGCATGTGCCACCACGCCTGACTAATTTTGGTATTTTTAGTAGAGATGGGGTTTCACCATGTTGGCCAGGCTGGTCTCGAACTCCTGACTTCAGGTGATCTCCCAGCCTCAGCCTTCCAAAGTGCTAGGATTATAGGCGTGATCCACCACACCTGGCCCCCAAGCTGGTCTTGAACTCCTGGGATCAAGCGATCCTCCCAAAGTGCTAGGATTATAGGCATGAGCCACTGTGCCCAGCCCCAGCATACATTTGGTACACATGTTGAATCAGAATCAGTGTTGAGGCTGGGCACAATTACCTGAGGTCAGGAGATCGAGACCAGCCTGGCCAACATAGAGGAACCCTGTCTCTACTAAAAGTACAAAAATTAGCTGGGCATGGTGGCACACGCCTATAATCCCAGCTACTCAGGAGGCTGAGGCAGGAGAATAGCTTGAGCCCGGGAGACAGAGGTTGCAGTGAGCCAAGATCACGCCATTGCACTCCAGCCTGGGAGACAAGAGTGAAACTCCATCTCAAAAAAAAAAAAAAAAAAAAAAAAAAAAATCAGCCAGACACGGTGGCTCATGCTTGTAATCCCAGCACTCTGGGAGGCCGATGAGGCGGGCAGATCACCTCACCTGAGGTCAGGAGTTTGAGACCAGCCTGGCCAACATGGTCAAACCCCATCTCTACAAAAATACCAAAAAAAAAAATTAGCCGGGCATGATGGCAGGTGCCTGTAATCCCAGCTACTCAGGAGGCTGAGGCAGGAGAATCGCTTGAACACAGGAGGCGGAGGTTGCAGTGAGCCTGGGCAACAGAATGAGAATGAGACTGCCTCAAAAAAAAAAAGAACCTTCAAACCCCTACCTACCCATCAGAGGCAACTGCTATTTTGTGGGCATCCAGTCTGCCAGCACTGGACTAGCTCCTTTCTTTGTTTCTAATTCTGCAAGGTATTTAGCATCCCCATTTTACCAGAAGAAACACAGGCTCAGTGAGGTCAAGTAACAAGCCCAGGGTCACACAACTGGTAAGTGGGGGAATCAGGATGAGAACTCAGGTCCAACTGCCTCTGAAGTTCTAGTGCCTTCCACCCGACCACACTGCCTGTTTACTGGGCAAGGGTTAGAAGTAGAAGGTCTGGCCAGGCGCAGTGGCTCACGCCTGTAATCCCAGCACTTTGGGAGGCCAGGGTGGGCGGATCACGAGGTCAGGAGATCGAGACCATCCTGGCTAACACGGCGGAACCCCATCTCTACTAAAAATACAAAACAATTAGCCGGACGTGGTGGTGGGCACCTGTAGTCCCAACTACTCTGGAGGCTGAGGTAGGAGAATGGCATGAACCCGGGAGGCGGAGCTTGCAGTGAGCCAAGATCGCACCACTGCACTCCAGCCTAGGCGACAGAGCGAGACTCCGACTCAAAAAAAAAAAAAGAAGTAGAAGGTCTAAGAAGTACTTGCTTGGTGGGGCTGAATTTAAATGTATGATCTTGCTCTGTTTCCATGTAAATTCTAGTGACAGGAGCTCCTGGTGGCAAGCCACATTCTTCCCACTTGCAAGCAGCAGGCAGCACCACAGGAGAAACAGAGGACTAACCAGAGGCCCGCTCTGTTGCTTCCCCCTTAACCCTGCCCAGTGGGACCCCTGAGTTTACTCACTTTAACTTTCATTTTCTAGCCATTAGGACTTTCAGGTTCCCAGAAAAATTAATGACATGTAGATGTCAGCAAACTCTCAGGCCCTGAAGAGTACTGACTTGGGACTCCTAACTGTTTTGGTCCTCAGAGGCAGAGGTGAAAGGGGTCAAGAGAGAAGACAGGAGGTCGGGTAGACGCTGGGGAAGACAAAAAAACAGAGGAGCGCTAGTGATGAGGAGGGCTAAAGAGTTAAGAGTCTGCCCTTGTGCCGTGGCGCACTCAGTCTGCATGTTCATTCATTTAACGAACAAACCAGGCCGAAGAAGGGCCCACTGTTAGATCAGGTCACATCTGACCCCAAATCCAAGCCCCAGCTCTACTACTTTCTAAATGTATGATCGATCTTAGGCAAACTACTTAAGTTCCTTCTGCATCCCTTCTAAAGCAGGGACACTTGCCTTATCTTACTCAAAAAAAAAAAAGTAATAATAAAAATTAAAAACAAAGTGGGGAAACAAGCCCCACTATTTCCCAAGGCACCTATGAGGAATATGTATGAAAATAATTTTGCAACCTTAAAATGATTTTTAAAAATTAGTGTTACTGTCCCTCTACAGTTTAACAGCCCTCTAATTGTGAGAGGCAAGAGGGCAGGGGAGGAACAGCATCAGAAAGGAGGGGTTCTGTCGCACACGGAGCCATCGCTCTCTCTGCCAGGCAGAGTCAGACCTCTGCTTGGACTCTATAATTTCTAGGTGCCAGAAGTGGCTGCATAACGACCCAAAGCACTGGGGCCTGCCTCGTCTCTCTAAATGGCAGAGCTTCCCCTTCAAAGTCGTTTCAGGTTGGGTGCAGTGGCTCATGCCTGTAATCCTAGCACTTTGGGAGGCTGAGGTGGGTGGATCATCTGAGGTCAGGAGTTCGAGACCAGCCTGGCCAACATGGTGAGACCCCATCTCTACTAAAAATACAAAAATTAGCTGGGCGTGGTGGTGCATGGCTGTAATCTCAGCTACTCAGGAGGCTGAGGCAGGAGAATCCCTTGATCTCGGGAGGCAGAGGCTGCAGTGAGCCAAGATTGTGCCACTGCACTCCAGCCTGGGTGACAAAACAAGGCTCTGTCTCCAAAAAAAAAAAAAAAGTCGTTTCAGAGTCAGAGCTGGGAGAGCATGTCCAGACAAAGAAAAGAAGGTCTCCTCAGAAGGCTGGTCGGCCTCATCCCAGCACTCCTGAAGAGTGACAAACTGCGGTCTACTCCTGAAGACCTAAGTCTGGTCAGAGACCAATGGCCAGTGAGCAGTCAGGCCTCTCTGGCCCTGCCCCTCAGATGCCCAGGCTGACCAGATCAGAGAAACTAGGTTGGTTGAAGAAGTCTCCAATGAACCCCAAAGGAACCCACACAGATACAGAGCCTGTGATCCAGCTGTTGACCCTAATAAGGAAGGCTTCTTCTGTTGTCCGATAAAAAGTGAAATAAGTAGGCCGGGCACGGTGGTTCACACCTGTAATCTCAGCACTTTGGGAGGCTGAGGCGGGTGGATCACCTGAAGTCAGGAGTTCGAGACCAGCCCGGCCAACATGGCGAAACCCCATCTCTACTAAAAATACAAAAATTAGCCGGGTGTGGTGGCAGGCGCCTGTTAATCCCAGCTACTCAGGAGGCTGAGGCAAGAGAACTGCTTGAACCCAGGAGGCAGAGGTTGCAGTGAGCCAAGATCACGCCACTGCACTCCAGCCTGGGCGACAGAGCAAGACTCCATCTCAAAAACAAACAAACAAAAAAGTGAAGAAAGTACATCCTAGCTCTACTCAAAAGACTGTAGGAATCAGATACTAGCCACTGTCCAGAAGCCCTCAAACACACCTCAAGGCCAAAAAACACAGCACTTTTAAGTGGCAAGCGAGGGTGGTAAAGGTAGCCCAGAACACTGAAGAGCTACAGAAGTTCCCACAAACTGCACGGCTTTCCGTCCCTTCCTCCACTGTAGATAGCAAGGGTCAGTCATGGCCTCAGAGCCAGGCTACTCCTCGTTAAGGTACAGTCTCCGGCCTGTACTTTGGCCACATAACAAAGCTTGGTCTGAGACAGCAGCTATTTCACACACCTAAGCCCCAAGCAACAGACAAGGATCAGTCAATATGGTTGAGGGAACCTGCACTTTCTGGCATGTATCGGAATTCCTCAGGCTACAATTAAAAATCCAGAACTGCCATTGTGATCTTGACTTAGTCCTCAGTAATAAGTCCAAGCCCTGAAGGGATTGCAGACAGACCCTGGCGTGGTGTGGACCTGTTGCTCAGGGAGGTGTATGTGTGTGTGTTTGGGAGTGGGAAAGAGATGGCCCTTCAATTCCAGACTCCTCATTTTGGGTCTTATTCTCCTCCCTATAGACACACGGACAGCAGTCCCAAGAAAAGCAGTCCCTTTGAGGCGGCTGGGAAACCACTCACGTGCTCTGGGAGGACAGAGCTGAGCCTGGAGCAAGGGGGGAGGGGAAAGAAGATAATGAATGGGCACATCCACCCTGATCTGTGATCTGTAGCTAGGATTGAGCAAACCTCAGCTAAATTCTTCAGAGGCAGAAAGAGAGAGACACTCAAAGAACAACATAACTAGAGGACAGGGCTGGGAGACAGAAGGGGCAAAACAGGAAAACAGCTCATTTCTAGTAAGTGACTTTAAACTCAGCTGAGGTCCTGGTTGGTTCTCTGGCTTGAGGAAAGAGAGGAAGTAAGGAGTTGCGGGAGCGCACACACACTTCTGTGCGTGTGGAACGGTCTCACCCAGACGACCCCCCTCCCCCAAAGGAAATCGAGATATTCCTCTAGGGCTAGAGGGGACAACTGGTTTTGTGGGACAGGAGGAAGGAAAACGGCGACAGACAGCACTCCCTGTCACTTCTAAAAGAGAAGAGGGACAGGTTCCTTCACACCTAGCAAAGATCCTCCGATTCTGGAAGCAGGGGGAGCGGAACTTAGGGTACCTCTCTCCCACAACTAGAATGGACAGGCCAGAGGACAGTCATAGCGGTTTCCTTAAGGCTCACCAAAGGCAGGTAAGCTAAGGAAAGAAGCTCCCCACCTCCTATGGCCCGACGCCTGGGGAGCCCCTCAAGAGGGGGCTACGGGTCGGGGGAGGGGTCAGTATCCCCCTAAACTGGGGCTGGGCGGGAGGAAGGGCTGCCCTGGAGATGCTTCAACGCAGGCGAGACACCAGGTCCTGGGACAAGCATACTCACGGCGGCTCCGGGGCGGCGGCGTTACTTGGGGCCGGGGCTCGGACGGGATCCGCTTCTCTCCCCGCCGGCGGTGTCCCAGGCTCCGGCCTCCACTTCCGCCTTTCAGCCGCTCCGGATCCGGATCTCCACCTCCGCCCCGCCCCTCAATACTCCCAGGTGATTGACAGTGCGGAGACCAATGGGAGGCACTCTTGGCCGACCTACCCAGCGGCGCCGGTAGGAACGCGGGAGTGGCGGTAGGGAGCGCGCGAGGGATCGCGGGACTTGTAGTTCGCAGCGCTGGGAGGAGTCAGTGGCTGCCTGGGACTTGGGCTTAGGGTGGAGCCGGCTGACTGCGAGGCGGAGCCCGGCCGGAACTTTTTTTTTTTTTTTGAGACGGAGTCTTACTCTGTCGCCCAGGCTGGAGTGCAGTGGTGCGATCTCACTGCAACCTCTGCCTCCCGGGTTCAAGCGATTCTCCTGCCTCAGCCTCCCGAGGAGCTGGATTATAGGCACGCACCACCACGCCCGACTAATTTTTGTATTTTTTAGTAGAGACGGGGGTTTCGCCATGTTGGCCAGGCTGGTCTCGAACTCCTGACCTCAGGTGATCCGCCCTCTTCGGCCTCTCAAAGTGCTGAGATTACAGGCCTGAGCCACCGCGCCCAGCCTACGGCCGGGAACTTTTTAAGGCTAACCCTGCCATCCGCGTCACCGCCGGTTCCGGACGCCCCGAGGGAAGGCGGGTGGTGGAGCGTTGGAAGAAGGCAGAGGATTGTGTGTGCAGAATTGGGAAAGAAAAAACGTGGTGCGAATGAATATGCACGCGAGGCCTCAGTCCTGTGAACTCGCTGATCTGGAGAAGCCCTTGTCTGCACTGTCCGCCCGATTGCCAGGGGCGTCTGTGATTGGGAAGGTGAGGAAAGCGCTGCAGGAAGAGTTCTCTGCAGGATGCTGGGTGAGATCAAAGGGAGAGCTTCTGCCACCACCTCCTACTTGGTGTGTGCGGGGGCCGGCACAAAGACCATCTCTGCCTCTGCCTTCCCCTGCTCCTAGCCAGGGTCAGCTCTTCTCTCTGACGCGGAATACAGAGCTGGACAACCTCTGCCTCGGCCCTCTCCATCCGTAAATAAAGACTAGAACCACCCCCACTCTGCACTCTCCCCCTCTATGGATCAGGAATATTTGTTTTTTCTGCTCCTCTCAATATGGACTGGGCCCGCTCCTGATTCCTCCCACCCTTACCTCTCAACACAAACCAGTACCTCCTCTTCTTTTGCATCTCATCCTCAAGGGACACTACTGAAAACCTGTGTGGAATCAAAGCTCACCGGAGACAGCTGTGGCCATTGTGCCTATAACGCCAACACCAGGCATATCCTGGAGCCTCAGCTGGAGAATTTACCTGTCTTGGACAACCTGCCACAAAACTGTGCCCACATCTAGTTCCATCTGGTCATCAGGGCGTCTCTCTTTCTTACACCCATAACACACAATCCCCACTTCCGCGCCAGTGTTCATGAGAAGTGAAAAGGAAGAGGGAAGAGAGGGCTTGTTGGGAGGACAGAGGGGATGGGGCAGAGTGGGATTCCTAGCAGGTTCTGGCTGGTGACAAGCTCTTCCCCCAGCCCCCTTGCCATACCCAGTTCTGGAACAGTTCCTTATACAGGAGGGATGGGTAGTCCCCTAGGCCCACCTTTCCAAGGCTGGAGGTGGGCCAAAGCCAGGACTCTGTCCTTCCCACATACTGTGTGCATACATGGCTGTGACTGGGGTGCAGGGGAGAGAAGGGGGTATAATAGGCCCATAGTGACTAATTAAGTTTCTTCCTCAACCCTGGGGCCCCTGGTGGTGTGAATGTGGTGCCAAGTAGATTGGCTGGTGCCTCTGCCCTTCCTAGAGATAGCAACTGGGCCCTGGGGTACAACGAAGGTGAGGGTGGGGAGTGATTGCTGTGTTGGCTCCTCCAAAGCCCTGGGGCTCTCAGAGTAACCCCCAGAAACACCCAGAGCCAATAACTACAAAAATAAAGAGTTTATTTCCTATCCAAAAGTGAGCCCAGGGTGTTGGGTGGTAGAGGAGAGCTGGAGACCTGGGCGAGTTTTGGAGCAGTCCAGGCCCTGAGTGAGACCATGTTGTAATGGGGGAGAACAGGCTTGGCAGCGGTCTGGGGTCAGGGAAAGGATAGGGAGTGCTGTTGGGATTTTTGAGTTGCTAGCAGCAGAAGAGACCACCTTGAGAGACAGCCTGCAGAGAGACAGAAACAGAGATGTTGACAGACCCACGCCTAGGAGTAGAAGCAGACATTACTGGGCCCAAAAAGCACCTGTTGGGCACAGGGACCTGGGAACACACTGTTAGGTAAGGCAGAGGTTGCAAACTCAACCCCTGGGCTCCACCCCGGACATTCCAAATTGGATGAGGCCCAGGAATCTGCTTTTTATTTTTTTATTTTTTTGAGCCTCCGCGCCTGGCAGAATCTGCGTTTTAATAGGATCTCAGGTAGTTCTGATGGACACTCAAGTTTTGAGAACTCAAATACCCACAGAGACCAAACAAAAATTTCAAACAAGGGAAGCTAGCTGGGTGTCGGGAGATGATCAAGAAACGTGGTGACTGCGAAGTAGAGTGCAGAGCAGATCCCATCTAAAGAGGACAGTGGCCACCCAGCCCAGCTGATTGCCAGTTATTGCCAGATGGAATGTTGGCCCACGGTAGCCTGATGTCCTGAGGTTTTTTTTGTTTTGTTTTGTTTGAGCAGGGTCTCACTCTGTCACCCAGGCTGGAGTGCAGTGGTGTGATCACTGCTCACTGCAGCCTCAACCTCCTGGGCTCAAGAGATCCTCCCACCTCAGCTTCCAGAGTAGCTGGGACCACAGGCACACACCACTACACCTGGCTAATTTTTTAATTTGTATAGAGATGGGTGGGGGGGGTGTCTTGCTATGTTGCCCAGGCTGGTCTTGAACTCCTGGATTCAAGTCATCCTTCCACCTCAGCTTCTGGAGTAGCTGGAACCACAGGCACTCACCACTACACCTGGCTAATTTTTATTTATTTATTTATTTATTTTTGAGGTGGAGTTTCACTCTTATTGCCCAGACTTGAGAGCAATGGCACGATCTCGGCTCACTGCACCCTCCACCTCCCAGGTTCAAGCGATTCTCCTGCCTCAGCCTCCCGCGAAGCTGGGATTACAGGCATGCACCACCATCCCAGCTAATGTTTGTATTTTTAGTAGAGATGGGGTTTCTCCATGTTGGTCAGGCTGGTCTCGAACTCCAGACCTCAGGTAATCCACCTGCCTCGGCCTCCCAAAGTGCTGGGATTACAGGCGTGAGCCACCATGCCCAGCCTACACCTGGCTAATTTGAAAAATATTTTGAAAAATATTTTTCAAAATAATCCCAGCACTTTGGGAGGCCGAGGCAGGTGGATCATGAGGTCAGGAGATCGAGACCATCCTGGCTAACATGGTGAAACCCCGTCTCTACTAAAGATACAAAAAAATTAGCTGGGCGTGGTGGCAGGCGCCGGTAGTCCCAGCTACTCGGGAGGCTGAGGCAGGAGAATGGCGTGAACCCGGGAGGCGGAGTTTGCAGTGAGCCGAGATTGCACCACTGCACTCCAGCCTGGGCGACAGAGTGAGACTCCGTCTCAAAAAAAAAAAAATATTTTTATAGGCTGGGTGCGGTGGCTGACACTTGTAATCCCAGCACTTTGGGAGGACGAGGCAGGCGGATCAGGAGGTCAGGAGATTGAGACCATCCTGGCTAACATGGTGAAACCCTGTCTCCACTAAAAATACAAAAAATTAGCCGGGTGTGGTGGCGGGCGCCTGTAGTCCCAGCTACTTGGGAGCCTGAGGCAGGAGAATGGCATGAACCCAGGAGGCGGAGCTTGTAGTGAGCTGAGATTGCACCACTGCATTCCAGCCTGGGTGACAGAGTGAGACTCCGTCTATAAAAAAATATATATATATATATTTTTTTTATAGAGATAGGGTCTCGCTATGTTGCTCAGGTGGATCTCAAACTCATGGACTCAAGCGATCCTCCCACCTCGGCCTCCCAAAGGGCTGGGATTATAGGCATGAACCACTGTGCCCAGTGCTACATTTTGTAGAGAAATTGGAATATCTGTATTCCTATATAACCTGTCTCTTTTTTTTATTTTGAGACAGAGTCTCACTGTCGCCCAGGCTGGAGTGCAGTGGTGCGATCTTGGCTCACTGCAACCTCCGCCTCCCGGATTCAAGCGATTCTCCTGCCTCAGCCTCCCGAGTAGCTGCGATTACAGGCATGTGCCACCATGCCCGGCTAATTTTGTATTTTTAGTAGAGATGAGGTTTCTGCATGTTGGTCAGGCTGGTCTCGAACTCCTGACCTCAGGTGATCCGCCTGCCTTGGCCTCCCAAAGTGCTAGGATTACAGGCGTGAGCCACCGCACCTGGCCCTGTCTCATTTTTAATATTGGAACTAACTCATATTTTGAAAATAATGCTGCGCGAGCCGAAGAGTACATATCTGGAGCCATCCGTTTGTTTCCTGTGTGGGCTGTGGGATGAGGTGAGCCTCTCCAGCCTGGGCTCATGGTGGGCGGCCTAAGAAATCATGGGTTGCTCAAATTCCAAGCAACATCTCAAACCTACCCCTCTCTAGGTAACATTGCTCTTAAGGTCTTCAGCAGAGACCCAGGGGCTGAGACAGAAGACCTCACAATATCACTAAGCTATCTTCAGGCAAAATCCTACAACCTGTCTCTCTTGCTATAGACGCTAAGATCCTGTCTGGTCTTCCCTTCATGTCCTAGGCTGGAGCTGGGTCCCTTGCCCATCCCCTCTGCTCCCCCATCTCTACCTGCCTCCAGGTCCTGGGGAGAAAGTAGGATCTCATCTGCCCAGCCCAATGGGCACTGCGGTTCATCTCATGCCTGCTGGGTTCCACAGCCCTCAGGTGGCTCCCCTCACAGAGGGGGAGGTTGGGGAAGGCTTGGAAAAGGGAATAGCGTCAGAGGTAACCACGCTTCATTAAAAAGTCCAGAAATCCAGAGCCAACCAGGCCAGCTGGTGGCTGCTGACCCCAAGGCAGGAAGCCAAGGGGCCCAGGTCCTCCCTGAGTGGTGAGCGGCAGCGCCCACCCCAGACAGGCCTGGGCCCTGGGCCAGGGTCAGTGGAACGTGTCTGACCTGGACTGGAAACTGTGCCTCAAGAGGCTTGGGGTTGGGGGTGAGGCCTCTGGCACTGGAGAGGGTCCCAGAGGGTCAGGCTCTGAGGGGTAGGGGGGCAATATGGAAGGTCTCAAGTCCAGGAGCGCAGTCCCTGTCTCCATGGTCCCCACACTGGCTGGGCAGTGAACTTCAGCAAGCGTAGTATCCTGGAGGCTGGGTGGTGGTCTGGACGCACAAGGAGAGAGGCATGGTGGCCTCAGCTGTGGACAAGGAGGGTCTGGGGTCCAAGCGGAGCCTGCTGGGTGGCCTGGGGGACCCAGCCTGGCCTGCAGCAGGCCCATGATGTGCCGCAGCTCCCGGCTAAGCTGAGACACCTCCTGATTGAGACGAGAGATCTGTTGAAAACACATCGAGTTGTTTCACAGGTGCCACAGTAATAACAAGGTGCACCCCCCTCTCCAGTTTACAAAGCTCTTTCGCAGCCACTTTCTGCTCATGGCCACCCTGGGAAAAAGGCAGGATGAGGGTTATTTTTGCCTAGATGGAAAATGCCCCAGTCTCTTTCCAGAAAGGATTTGGGGCAGCAGATATTGCTATTCCTCCCCTACACACACACGCGCGCGCGAGCTTTCCCAAGATGTTAAAAAATGTGCTCAAAGAGGCCACACATCTGTGAAGTGACAGCCTTATTATTCTCAGCTGATCCCATCACACAAGCTCAAGGGTCTCTATCAGTGCTTTTCACACTTCAGCGACTAGAGAATCAACTAAGAAACTTTTGAAAAGGCACATTTCTGGGCTCCGCCCCAGACATTCCCAATCCTAAGAGGCCCAGAAATCTGCATTTAATAGGTTGTCAGGTAGTTCTTTTTTCTTTTTCTTTTTTTTTTTTTTTTTTTTTTTTTGAGATGGAGTCTCACTCTGTTGCCAGGCTGGAGTGCAATGGCGCGATCTCAGCTCACTGCAAGCTCCGCCTCCCGGGTTCACGAGATTCTCCTGCCTCAGCCTCCCAAGTAGCCGAGACTATAGGTGTGTGCCACCACGCCCGGCTAATTTTTTTCGTATTCTTAGTAGAGACAGGGTTTCACCGTGTTAGCCAGAATGGTCTCCATCTCCTGACTTCGTGATCCACCCACCTTAGCCTCCCAAAGTGCTGGGATTACAGGCATGAGCCACCGCGCCCGGCCTATCAGGTAGTTCTGACAGATACTTGTTTGGGAACCACTGGCCTAGAATTGAGGGATGCCTGAGGCCTTGAGCGGACTTGCCCTCAAGCTTGCTGAACAAGAGCCAGCCCCGCTCAGGCCCCAGGGCCTGAAACAGCCCAGGCACCGCCCCTCTGGGATGCCCGATGTTTATCAGAACACAGGGAAGGCTGGCTCCCAGGGGCTGGGCCTGGTTGCTCTGCGGTGACAACTCTGAGATCCCTTGGGGAGGAGGCAGAGGCTGAGCCTCAGCATATAGAATCTAGGTTCTTCCTGGACAGAGTTCAGACATCTGGATCCAGGTCCCCCAGGCCTGAAGGCCTCTCAGCCTCCCTGTCCCCTGCCCCTGCATCTGCTTAGCACTCATTACCCACGGCTGGGGTAAGGGAAAGAGGTAGGGCCTGGGCAGGAAAGAGTCCTACAGTGGTGGAGGGAGAAGAGATGCTCTTATCAGGCTGGGAAACTTGAGCCAGTCGGGGAGGAAGGAAACCAACTGGTACGGAGTGCCTATGACATGCCAGGGATTGGACCAGGCACATATGCACTCTCATTTCATCCTTAAAACTCTGGGAAGCACATATTACTATTTCCCCATTTTAGATGAGGAAGTTTAAGTTCAGAGCGGTTGTGGGACTTGCCCAAGGTTTAAGTTCAGAGTGGTTGTGGGACTTGCCCAAGGTCATCTAGCTAGCGTGAATATCTCTCTCTTTTTTTTTTTTTTTTTTTTCTGAGACAGAGTCTTGCCCTGTCGCCCAGGCTGGAGTGCAATGGCGCAATTTTGTCTCACTGCAACCTCCGCCTCCCAGGTTCAAGCGATTCTCCTGCCTCAGCCTCCAGAGTAGCTGGGACTACAGGTGCCTGGCTAATTTTTGTATTTTTTAGCAGAGATAGGGTTTCATCATGTTGGCCAGGCTGGTCCCAAACTCCTGACCTCAAGTGAGCCACGTGTAGGGTCTGAAATGCTGTTATATCAGGCACGTCTCTGAGCCAGCCCCAACCCACCTCCTGGTTCAGCCGGCAAACCTTTTCCTTCACCTCCTCAGCCTCACTGGCCAATTCTGGGCTGGGCCTGGTCCCTGCAGGGTGAAGGGATGCAGGTGAGTTCATGGAGCATTAATACCTGAGCCTATAACTTGGGCTGGAATCCTCCTGTCATTGGGCAGGCGGAGAGCAGGGGGAGACAAAGCTCTAGGGTCTGTAAGATGGGAAACCTAAACTCCTTAGCCTGGTTCTGAGGCCCCTGTGTAACTCTCCAGCCTCATCCTGCCCCTTGCCCCATCTTGGTACGGAGCTTCTCTTTGGTGTCTGAACACAGCATCCCTCTGGTTTTCATGCCTTTCAACAATTGTTTTTGTTTTTTTTTTTGAGATGGGGTCTCACTCTGTTGCCCAGGGTGGAGTGCAGTGGTGTGCTCTCAGCTCACTGCAACCTCTGTCTCCGAGGTTCAAGCAATTCTCCTGTCTCAGCCTTCCGAGTAACTGGGATTACAGGTGTGCACCACCACGCCTGGCTAATTTTTGTATTTTTAGTAGAGATGGGGTTTTGCCATATTGGCCAGGCTGGTCTCGAACTCCTGACCTCAGGTGATCCACCCTCATCAGCCTCCCAAAGTACTGGGATTACAGGCATGAACCACCATGCCCAGCTCAATAACTGTTTTGCTCCACTCTTCAAGATCCCACCCACCCTTTAAGAAGCAACCCAAGCATCCCCTCCTCTGCAAGGAAGTCGAGTGAGCACCTTCCTCTTCTACCACAGAGTCCTGTTCTTGTCTGTCATGGTATTTAGCATCTGGAATTGTTTATCTGTGTACAGAGGTGTCTCCCTGCTAGACTTACTCCAAGAGCGTGGGCCAGGTCTGTTTTATCTGTGTATTCCCAGGATGGCACCTGGCACATGGTAGGCCCCTACTACATATGGGATGGATGGACAGGTGGATGGGCAGATGGATGACGGGGTTGAAGTCCACTGTTGGCCCTTACCTGTAGGGGGCGCCTGGGAGCGGGGCCTTGGCAGTTCAGGCCTCCTGCTGAATCGGAATGAAGGGGCCTCAGCTGTGCTGCCAGAGTCCTCAATGCCATCCACTATCCTGGGAACAGGGCAGTGCTCATCAGCACCATGGGGTGAGGGTAAGGGCCAGAGCAGAGCAGACAGAGGGGGACTGGGGGCAGCAGTGCCAGGGGGCGGAGCAAGAGCAGCAGTCAAAGTGGGTTGGGGTTGCAAGCTGTGGTTGGAAGGGTGCGGTGGGCACACGGGCAGAGACGGAATGTAGCACTGTTTGGAACGCCAGGGATAGAGCCCAGAGAAGGTTCTGGAAGCCAATAGGGGTTTTGGGAAAGCAGGGGAGGCTGGCGTCTCACCGGGGACTGAGGTCCGGAGGTCCAAAGGTTCCCAGTGGGGGAATGAGAAGCTGAGGGGGCTTCCAGGCAGCAGAGCACCTGGGGGGGCCGTGAGGGGAGGCACTGTGGCCCTGGCCAGCCAGGGCAGGGGACAGGGATGGGGATAAGGAAGGAGAGGAGACAAGGGCTGAGAATGGGGGCAGCTCCTCGCCCAAAAGGCTGACCAGGGAGCCCCGAGGCCGTGCTGGGCTGAGGTTGGGCAGCAGGAGGGGCCGTCGGGGCCTGGGACCACCCCCAGGCTCCGCGCCACTCTCGGCCTCTGTGATGGATGGCAGCGTCTTGTCTGAGGAGGAGCCGAGGCTTTCTGAGCGGGGCTGCGGGCAGAGGGGGCAGCTGATGTCGCAGGACAGTGAACAACAGACCCCTTCATTAAGTAAGAGCCTTCGCCGGCGGATGCAGCTCCCCATCCATGGAAAGGGGGATGCTGCTACCCATCTCACCCTCTCCCCAGGGCAATTCAACCCCACCCAGGAAGTGGGTGTTACCTGGGAGAGGCGAGGGGATCGGGAAAAGCGGCTGAGGCCCTGTGGGGACATAGGAGAGTTCAAGCTGATTCCTGCCTTCCCGCGGCCATAGCGCAGACCCTCCCTGTCCCACCCAACAGTGTTATGGGGTTGAGAATGTGGAGTCTTTTGTGGAGCTGAGTCAGAAACTATAACCCTAACTCAAACAAACACTGCATATCAAAGTGAGACTGAAAAGCAGCAAAAGACCAAGGCCCAAGGTGTAATGTACAGGCCTGGCCCAGAGCCTAAAACAAAGTGGACTCAGGAGACATTTGGTGAGAGAAGAGGAACCCCCAGGGCATGATGCCCCGTCCAGAGAGGGGCTTGAAAGAGGAGCACATGAGGGGGTTGTTTCTAAAGGGAGGAGCCTGGCTGGGCATGGTGGCTCACGCCTGTAATCCCAGCACTTTGGGAGGCTGAGGCGGGTGGATCACCTGAGGTCAGGAGTTCGAGACCAGCCTGGCCAACATGGCGAAACCCCATCTCTACTAAAAATATAAAAATTAGCCAGGCATGGCATGCATGCCTGTCATCCCAGCTACTTGGGAGGCTGAGGCAGGAGAATCACTTGAACCCGGGAGGCGGAGGTTGCAGTGAGCTGAGATGGCGCCACTACACTCCAGGCTGGGTGACAGAGCCAGACTGTCTCAAAAAAAAACAAAAACGAAAACAAGACCGGGCATTGTGGCTCATGCCTGTAATCCCAGCACTTTGGGAGGCCGAGGTGGGTGGATCACCTGAGGTCAGGAGTTCAAGACCAGCCTGGCCAACATGGTGAAACGCTATCTCTACTAAAAATACAAAAATTAGCAGGGTGTGGTGGTACACACCTGTAATCCCAGCTACTCGGAAGGCTGAGGCAGGAGAATTGCTCCAACCCAGGAGGCAGAGGTTGTGATGAGCCAAGATCGCGCCACTGCACTCCAGCCTGGGCGACAGAGTAAGACTTCGTCTCAAAAAAAAAAAACAAAACCCAAAAAAACAAAAACAAAAACAAAGGGAGGGTCCTTTGAAGGAGTCAGGAGTCTGGGGTGGGGCTGAGGGGTGGTCAGCAGGAGATGGGGCAGTAGAGTTGGGAGTAGATGGCGATGAGAGACGGCCAGGGGCCTGGGTGATGGCCAGTGTAGTGTCAGCGGGGTTGGAAGGTATGAAGCAGGTAAGGGGCAATGGAGGAGGGTGCCTGGGCTTCAGGCATGTGTTTTTAGGGTGGAGGGAGGTTCATGGGACTCTCAGGCTGGGGAGGTCTGCTTTGGAGGAAGGGACTCTGGAAGGATGGCGGTCATCAGGGGTGTACATACACTGGTGTCAGAGCCCTGGCGCAGGTTGAAGGTGAGGTCCCGGGGCAGGCCAGCCCGGAAGGCAGCCCCATACTCAGGATAGAGCCTCAGGACCTCAGCCAGCCCTCGGCTGCTCAGCTGCTGCAGGCCACAGTAGGTCAGAGCTTTCACATCAGCACTGGTCTTTAGCACGAAGTTTGGGTCTGCTCCCAACCCAGGCTCCTGCCCCGGCTCAGGGATATCTGCTCCAATCAGGTCCCCCTTCCCTGTAGGTAAGGGATGGGGACAGTCAGCTGGGGCAGTGAGAACGAAAGGATATCAGCTGGAGGTGCTCAGTGGATTTGAGGGGTGGTCAGTGTGTTTGAAGGATGGTTGAAGGTGGGCCAGTCAATGGGATTGGTGGAAATAACCAATGGAATTGGGAAAAGGTCAGTGCAGAATGACTGGTAAGGCTGGGAGACAGTCAGTGGGAGTGAGTAGGGCCAGAGGAACGATCAGTGGAATTGGGTGATAAAAATCACAATGGCCGGAGGGGTCAGGTCAGTTAGAGGGTAAAAGTGAATGGAGTTTAGGGTCACTGGGGAAAGGTCAATGGGGTTGGGAAGTGGAGCAATGGGAAAGGATCAATTGAGCTGGGGGACAGTCACCGGGAAGGGTTGATGGGTTGAGGGATGCCCAAGGGGATTAGGGGGAATTGTCTAAAGGCGATGGTCGTAGGGCGGAGGGACCGAGAGAGTACTCCTCAGCAGGAACTGTAGGTATCCACGAGGGGTATCCCATTCCCTAGAATCCTGGCCATTCCCAAGTCCTCAGTGGGGGTTGCGGGGGGTGGTTCCAGGGTAGGTAGTAGAGGGTGACGGTGTCCTTACCCAGGATGGCCAGCACCATGTTGTCTCGGAGCACCTCAAGCGAGCCGGAGCAGACATAGTAATGTGCCTGCAGGGCATCCCCACGGCGCAACAGGTACTCGCCCGGAGCGCAGAACGAGGTCTTGATGTGCAGCGATAGGGCCCGCAGGCAGCCCCTGCTCGCTGCCCCGAACAACGGCAGCTGCAGGATCTCCCGATTCAGGTGCATAGCAATGTCAGCTCTCAGCTCGTCTGGGAAGTCACGCAGTAACTGCATAAGGGGCATAGGTCATTCTGGCCATCCCCCTGCAGCTACTACTTGAGTCTACAAATGTGCTGAGCTGTCTTCAAAGAGAGAATTCCTCTTGCCCTTGCTTTGAAGTCACCCATTCCAGACCTTCAGTACAACCTCTGTGTCTAACCTCAATTTTGCTTGCTGCATGTACCTCACAACCCAATTTCAGGGGCAGAGACCAGGTCTTCTCCCATCAGTTCCCTGCCTGTGGCTACATGCTGGTCACTTAACCCCATCGTTCAGAAGCCATCACTTGGGGGTCAGCCTTCAACTGGGAGTCAGGAGACCAGGAGTCAGCTCGGCTCCTAAGTCCCTGTGGACCTTGGGCAACCCATTTCCGCTCGCTGGGCCTCAGTATCCCAGTCTGTATCTCAGTCTGTAAAATGCAGAGTTGTTATTAGACCATGGGCACTACCAATGACCTCTTATGGCCACACTGCATGTTCACATCCTCATATGGAGCCCCTTGGCCACCCTGGCTTGTTGAACTCTCCCCTTGGTCCCCCTGGGCTCCTGTGAAGGGTTCCCTCCTGGTTCCTCCCACTGCTTACTTCCTCATTTCCTCTCAGGCTCCTCTTCCTCAGCCAACACCCTGGACTCTCACTTTCCACACTCTCCCTGCATCATGGCAACTGGCCCCATGGCTTCCCTACTACCTGAGTGCCCTGAGCCCTAACTCTGGGTCCAGACCTGATTTCTTTTTTCTTTTTTTTTGAGGCAGAGTCTCACTCTGTTACCCAAGCTGGAGTGCAGTGGCACGATCTCAGCTCACTGCAACCTCCGCCTCCCAGGTTCAAGTAATTCTCCTGCCTCAGCCTCCCGAGTAGGTGGGATTACAAGCACGCACCACTACGCCCAGCTAATTTTGTATTTTTAGTAGAGACGGGGTTTCACCATGTTGGCCAGGCTGGTCTCAAACTCCCAGCCTCAGGTGATCTGCCCGCCTCAGCCTCCCAAAGTGCTGGGATTACAGGTATGAGCCACCGCACCCAGCCAAGAGCTGATTCCCATCTACCTACCGGGCAGCCTCTCTCTGGACCTCCCCCAGGCACTATACCCTCCTCTTGGTCTGACCCGGGACTCTCACCTTCATCCCAAAGCCCATCTTCCCCCTGTTATGCCTCCATCCCCACCCTTGGCCTAAGCCAGAAAACTGGGAGTCACTCTGAGCTCCTCTCTTGCAACCAGCAGGAGATTACCACGTCCCACAGATCCCATCCTCAGAGATACCTCACCAACCCATTCCCTCCAAGATCCCCACACCACTCCCCAGTCTAAACATTAAGCAGGATAAAATCTAAATTCTAGGCCATCCCTGAGCTGGGCCTGCTGCCTCCCAGCCCATGTCGTGCCTTCCTGCCCTGCCTTCTCCCTCCGCAGCACTCACATGCCCATTCCTGCGGGCTTATTGAGCCGCTTTCAGTTCCCTAAAGCGCTCACTCTGCTCTTTTGTGCCATCACTTCTGGCCTGTGTCCCTAAGGCCATTTCTACCTGGCATTGCCACCTTCCTTGACTCCTCCCCACCCAGGCACAATGAGGACCTGAAGGCACCGACATCCCTCCTTTACAGCCCCATTCAGCGCGGCACTCTCTGTTCATCTTTCTGCCTCCCTCAATACTCTGGGTCTCCCTGAGGGCCAGGGCTAAGTGTCATCATCTCTAAGCTCTCTGTGCCCAGCACCAAGGCTGGCCCAAAGCAGGCACTCAGGAAATGTTGGCAGAAGGGAGAGTCGCATCAGCTGGGCCCTGAGCTCTTTCATTCCCTTATTCAAGTGCAAAGAAACAAGAATTTGGCCGGCTGTGGTGGTGCACGCCTGTAATCCCAGCAAATTGGGAGGCTGAAGCAGGTGTATTACGATGTCAAGAGTTCGAGACAAGCCTGACCAACATGGTGAAACCCCGTCTCTACTAAGAATACAAAAATCAGCCGAGCATGGTGGCAGGTGCCTGTGATCCCAGATACTCAGGAAGCTGAGGCAGAAGAATTCCTTGAACCTGGGAGGCAGAGGTTGCAGTGAGCTGAGAGCACACCACTGCACTCCAGCGTGGGCGACAGAGCAAGACTCCTTCTTGAAAAAAGAAAAAAAGAAAAGAAGCAAGAATTTGTATTTTGGGCAAATGTGTGCCCTTGTGAACAATACCTCACCCCCCGGGCCCTGTTTGCCTCCCTTTTATTTTATTTATTTATTTTTTTATTTTTATTTTTATTTTTATTTTTGAGACAGAGTCTCGCTCTGCCGCCCAGGCTGGAGTGCAGTGGCACAATTTCGGCTCACTGCAAGCTCCGCCTCCCGGGTTCATGCCATTCTCCTGCATCAGCCTCCTGAGTAGCTGGGACTATAGGTGCACGCTGCCATGCCCGGCTAATTTTTTGTATTTTTAGTAGAGATGGGGTTTCACCGTGTTAGCCAGGATGGTCTCGATCTCCTGACCTTGTGATCCGCCCACCTCGGCCTCCCAAAGTGCTGGGATTACAGGTGTGAGCCACTGCGCTCAGCGCCTCCATTTTATTTATTTATTTTTTTTGAGACAGAGTCTAGCTCTGTCACCCAGGCTGGAGTGCAGTGGCATGATCTTGGCTCACTGCAGCCTCTGCCTCCCTGGTTCAAGTGATTCTCGTGCCTCAGTCTCCCTAGTAGCTGGGATTACAGGCGTGCACCACCACAGCTGGCTAATTTTCATATTTTTAGCAGAGACAGGGTTTCACCATGTCGCCCAGGCTGGTCTTCAACTCCTGACCTCAAGTGACCTGCCCGCCTCAGCCTCCCAAAGTGCTGGGATTACAGGTGTGAGCAGCCGAGTTCGGCCTGCCTCCATTTTAAGCTACAGGGGCAGCGACTCCTTCCCCACCCCACTGCAGGGCCACGCGGAGGGCAAGGGCAAGATTGGAGACCCTGCAGGCTACCTCGTTGGCGTCGATGCCGCTGTTGACGGCCCACGTGGTCTGGAAGTATTCGAGCATGCGCTGCTTGAGCGGCCGCGGCAGGCGGTGCACACGGATGAAGTCCTTGAGGTCCTTCATGCGGCTGTGGTAGAGCGAGCGGCGCGAGTACATGCGCTGGATGATGGCTGTCACGTTCCCGAACACCACAGCGTGCATCAGGGCTGCAGCAGCAGCAGCGGGCCTGTCAGGGGCGGCCACCCCTCTGGCCACCTCCCCAGCTCCCAAACCCACCCTGTCCTGGACCAAGAGCCAGCGGGCTCCTGTGTGCCTACCAGGTGCCAGGCACTAGACTAAGGGTGGGGAATAGGGAGTGGTCCAGAGATGGGTAACACCCCATGCTCCTCTCAGGCCTCCCCACCATTAGGTCATGAACCTGGGTTTCCCATCCCCTTTGCAAAAGTCCACGCCTGTTTGTGGCATCCCCAGGGCCAGCACATAGTGGGCACTCAGGAAACGTCCGTGAATGAATGCGTGACTGTCTGGACTTGGGTAGACACCTCGGGCAGATGTCTTGCCCTCTCTGGGCCTCAGTTTCCCCGTGCATGCTGGGCTTCGCAGGGCCCCACTGAGGCGTGGCAGGTCTGGCCTCACCGCCTATGAGCATCGTGCAGATGGAGAAGATCTTCTCCGCGTCGGTGTTGGCACACACGTTGCCAAAGCCCACACTGGTGAGGCTGCTTAGAGTGAAGTACAGTGCCGCGATGTAGGCGCTGCGCCGTGATGGGCCGCCCACCGAGCCATTGACATAGGGCACCTCCAGACGCTTGCCCAACTCATGCAACCAGCCTGCAGGGTGGACGGATGCAGGGAGCCCTGGCTGTGCCAGCGGTGGAGAACCAGGGTTCCCTGAGCCACCTACGCTTGACCTTCGGCAAGTATTTATACACAGGTTGGCACAGGAAATGTGGGGAGTGGCCTGGGCCTGTGTCTCCCCATGGTGCATTGGTTACAGTTGCATTCCAAGGCCGCCAACTAACTACATTGCTGAGTGTTCAAAGGCTCCTGAAACTTTCTAATAGTTTATTGTGCACCTGCTGTATACAAAGTGTTGGGGAATTGACCCAGCCAAACACTCTCCCTGCCCTGGTGGAACCTATAGCCTGGAGGGGAAAGAGACATGACATAAATCATTACAGGTGGGAGGTGAGCTCCTGGAAGGAAAGTATTGTATAGGGTGTGTTAGGAATCCTAACAGGTTAGGGAAAGCCAACCCATTGGCAGTTGGGGGTTCTGGACATGGTGCCTGGAAGGCATGCTCCTTAGGACAGGACATTTTGGTTGAGACACATGGAACCGAAGGAACATTGTTCCAAGTGAGGCAGGGAACGGAAAATCCATCTAGGTGGAGAGGGAAGACAAAAGAGGAGGATTCCAGAGAGGAAAAGAACATGTTCCAGGCCCAGCATGAGAAAGCAGTATGTCCTGGGTCCAGGGGAGAGGCTGGTGTGGCTGCAGCGCAGGGAGCACGGGAGAACGGGAAGGCAGGTGGGGAGAGAAGGGGCACAGGGCCGCCCAGGGTGTGCAGTGAGTGTGGACTTCATTTGGAGGGCAGTGGGAAGCCACTGAAGGAATCCCAGAAGGAGTGTAGTGGGTCAACGTTGAATCCTGGAACACCCATTTGGCTGTGGTGAGGATGGTGGTTGTGGGGGGGATGAGAAGGGGATTGGGAAATCAGTAGGGAGGCTATTGCACAGGCCTGGGTGAGAAAGGGAGGTGGAGTGGACTGGGAAGGGGCAGAGAGGATGGAGAGAAAAGGTCAAATTCACGGGACATTTGAGAGGTGGTATTGATGTGGTGGGCTAGGTGTGGGGTAAAGGAAAGGGAGGTGTCAGGGACCATGCCCGGGATCTGACAGGCCTTTCAGAGGGATTCCAAGGGCCTGGGGCTGTCTCCTGGCTCATGGCCATGAAGCTTGGAGAAGAAGGGATTGATGGGGGCAGAGATGCTAAGCTCTTTCTGGGACTTTTCACGTGCTGCTCCTTCTGCCTGAAACACACCCCTCCACCCTCAGAGTGTTTCCTGCGTTGTACTTTGATCACTATCACTGGTCTTGCTCCCCCACTAGGCTGTGAGTTCCCCCCAACCTGCCCCCAAAACAGAGCCCTTGTCTGCAAATCAATATTCCCATGCTTGATCCAGAAAGAGCTCAACGCATGTTTGTTGGATGGATAGAGGAATGTGGGATGAGGGGTGTGGGTACTGGTGGAGGCATCAGCTTGGGGATGGGACAGGTGGACAGGTGGTCTGTGAAAGTTTGGGGTCGGTGGCTCACCAATGTCCCAGAGCAGCGGGTCATTGGCCTCCATCTCCCGGCGCCCGATGACATACCAGATGCAGGCCATCCAGTGGGCAAGGAGCGCAAAGACCGACATGAGCAGCGTGAGCACCACAGCACTGCACTGAGAGTACCGCTCCAGCTTCTGCAGCAGCCGCAGCAGCCGCAACAGCCGCACTGTCTTCAGTAGGTGCACCAGCGAGGTCTGCAGGAAGGTGGCGGGGGAGGCTGTCAGCAGGCACACCTCCTCCGAGCCCTCAGAGTCCCCTCCCAGGGCCTTCCCACCAGACAACCTGGAGCCAGGGCAGGCTGCAACAGGAAAGACATCTTTGCTGTCCTGAGAAAGTGGCCAAGGAATGCAGCAGCAAGGGAATAATAACAATAAAACAAACAGTGGCTAACACTTTGTAATTACTTTTTTTTTTTTTTTTGAGGTAGAGTCTCGCTCTGTAGCCAGGCTGGAGTGCAGTGGCGAGATCTCAGCTCACTGCAACCTCTGCCTCCCAGGTTCAAGCGATTCAAGGCTGCCTCAGCCTCCCTCCCCAGCTAATTTTTGTATTTGTAGTAGAGACAGGGTTTCACTACATTGGCCAGGATGGTCTCGATCTCCTGACCCCGTGATCCACCTGCCTCGGCCTCCCAAAGTGCTGGGATTACAAGCGTGAGCCACTGCACCCGGCCTTAGTAAGTACGTTCTATGTGCTTAGCCAGGCACTGTGCTAAGCATTGGTAATCCTTATTTAACAACACACACACACACACACACACACACACACACACACACACACACACTTATACCTTTAGTTCAATTATCATCATTCCTAATTTGCAGATGAATGAACTGAGGTTCAGGGAGGCTAATGACTTGTTCAAGGTCACAGACCAAGGACACGATAGAGTTGGAACTCAGGGTGGGCATCTGGGCTGACTGACACCACAGTCCACCTTGTGCTCTACAGCCACTAAGCACTGGGAGATGGTAGGGGAGCCGGCCCTAGTCAGAGTCAGGGGATAGGCAACAGTCTCTGCAGAGCCCCAGTAGCGACGGCAGCAATTGTGATGGGGACCCCCCTTTAAGACATGGAGAAGCATAGTGGAGTGGGGACAGGCAAGGACTTGAGGGCTGGGGGAGGTTTATGGACACTTCTTCTTGTGGATCGGCTGCAGATGAAGAGTCAAGCAGAAGAGTTGAGGGGGCAGGAGAGCAGGGACTGAGGGAGGCTGGGCTGTGCTAGGGGTTGACGGAGATAATGGTACCTGGTAAGTGTCCCATATTCACTAATATTACCCCAAGTACCATCTGCATTGTGGTTATCAATATTGATTAGCCCTTCAATCTTGGAGATGGGCAGGGCTTATCTTCTGGGTGGGAGCAGCCTGGCAGCTAGGACTGGAGGCTCTGGGGCAGTGCCTGGGGAACTTGGTATGAAAGCCCCTCATTGCCCCTTCCTGGGCCTCCAGGAACATTCCCCACAGCCCTGGCCCTACACTGCTCCTGGACCACCTCGTGCAATTTTTCTCTAATTTTAGGTGAAGGAACTGGAAAGGAGGTGGCTCTGATTCCTCCATATGGACCCTCGCCAGGGTTTAATGCCTACCCCCAGCTCCCAGAGCCCTTGACTGCAAGCTTGAGTTCTTCAGGGCTTCCCTCAGTCAGCTGCCCTTGGGCCACTCTCTTGGGGATACTCCTGTCATTCTCCTTGGACTAGAATATCCAGGCCTGGCTCCTTCAAGTCTGCAGCTCTGCCAGTGCCTGCTCATCTTCTGTCTCTGCTCTACCTCTCTCTGGCCCCCAGTGGTATTCCTCATCTCACCAGACCATCCACTCAGGGGCCCTGGTTACCTGGGAAGCAGGGTGGTATGTTGGAAAAAATACTAGACTGGAAGTTTAGCGATCTGGTTCTTTTTTTTTTTTTTTTTTTTTTTTTTTTTGAGACAGAGTCCCTGTCGCCCAGGCTGGAGTGCAGTGGCGCAATCTCGGCTCACTGAAAGCTCTGCCTCCCGGGTTCAGACCATTCTCCTGCCTCAGCCTCCCAAGTAACTGGGACTACAGGCACCTGCCACCACGCCTGGCTAATTTTTTTTGTATTTTTAGTAGAGACAGGATTTCACCATGTTAGCCAGGATGGTCTTGATCTCCTGACCTCGTGATCCGCCCGCCTGGGCCTCCCAAAGTGCTGGGATTACAGGGTGATCCACTGCGCCCGGCCAAGCTGGAGTGCAGTGGAGCTATCTTGGCTCACTGCAACCTCCACCTCTGGGACTCAAGCAATTCTTGTACCTCATCCTCCCGAGTAGCTGGGACTACAGGTACGTGCCAGCACACCCGGCTAATTTTTTGTGTTTTAGTAGAGAAGGGGTTTCACCTGTTGCCCAGGGTGGAGAGACCTGGTTCTAATATCCTGCCTGCCCCTGCTAGGTATGTGACCTTCAGCAAGTCACTGAACCTCTCTGAGCCTCTGTACCTACCTCTGAAAAAGGATAAGCCTCTGCCCTGAAGGGTTCCCGTGGGGCTCCCATGTGATGATGAGTGTGAAAGAACATAGGGAACTGTAACGTGCTCCCAAAGGGACCTGAGAGGAGGGGCAGGGGGCTCTCTGTAGTGTCCCACTCCCCAGCTGATGGTGCCTGGTGGGCATAGAGGGGTGGGCGCACCCCTGGGGAGGGGTAGGGAGATCTGCTCAGAATGGTCAGAGCCTCGAGGCAGACGTACACACATGCACGTGTGTGGGAGCACGCACACACGTGTGCACAGCCAGGAGAGGAGGCCCACAGCCCGTTGGCGGCTAGTTAAATTCGGCTGCGTGTAGGTGGTTTCCTGCTATAGCTGAGTGCAGGGAGAGAGCACACAAGGAAACTGCTCCCCACTTGCCCGCCCCACACCCAAGGGGGCCTGGGGACACGGGGTAGCACTGCCCCACCCTGGACTTGAGAAGACCTACTATCTGCTGGCTGGGGCCACAGATGACCACTCAGGGCACCTCCAGAGTGTCCCCAGGGATCTGTGAGGACTCAGGTCCTGGCATTCTTTGCCTCTGAATTCACCCCACAGCCTCTACCTTCTTGTCTAGGTTTACTATGCTCCCCCAAATGCTTGCTGTCCTCATCTCCTTCCAGCTAAATCCTACTCACCCTTTAAGGTCTAGCTATACCATCTCCGCCTCCCTCAGGAAACCTTCCCAGACCCCTCCAGCCTCTGCCCAACAAGGGCGCTTTTGCTTCCCAGGTGCTGGCCAGACTTCAGATCATTTTTACACACACTCATGTTCCAGCCTGGAACTCCAAGGTCAGCCCAGCCCCTCTGTAGCATACCCGGGCCCCATCTTCCACCCCCATTCACCTCTTCTGTCCCTGATGTGCTCTGTGGCATTCCTGCCCCCTCACCAGTTTGGCTGTTTAGAGGCTGAATCCTTGTTCCCTTTCCCCACAGTGGCCATGCCCCACACAGTGCTTTGCAGACAGCTAAATGCTCATCAGTTGTTTGTTAAATAAAAATGTGAAAAGTACCACTCATTTGGCATCAGACCAATGCCGCCTTGGTAGCCATAGTTAGCTTTTCATTTGTCTCAGCTTCCCTCAAAGATTGTGAGCTGAGCTCCCCAGGATCACAGACCCTCGGGATCCTCCCAGTACCTAGCACAGGGCTATGCCCAGAGCAGGTGCCTGATAAATATCTGCAGATGGATTGATGGGAAGGGGCATATCTGGGTTTGGGGTCAGTCCCTTCCTGGAAGATGCTGTGCTGAAGTTGGGAGGTTGGACTGGATGGCGGGATGGAGGTCACTCACCACGGTGATGTTGAAGATGTAAAGCAGGTCAAAGGGCAGAGCAGCAATAAGGTCGATGAAGAACCAGGTGGCCAGGTAGTGGAGGCCAATGGAACGAGGAGCAGAGATTACCTGGCCGGACTGGGACACATAGGTGGTGCGGAAGTTCAGGATGATATCTGGGGGTGCAAGAGGCTATTACTGGGGGGCCTTGGCAAAGGGGTCAAGAAACCGACAAAGCTGGGAACAAGCTTTGGAGACTGGAGGAGGAGGCAGGCATGGAGAGATAGATTGGGCTTCTGGCTGGTCCTTAGGGAGGATAGGTTACAAGGCTGAAGGCTGCGGGGAGCAGGACACATGGGCCATTGGGACTTAAAGATGCAGAAAGGAAGGGGCTCTGAATGTCTGGGTCATGTGGGCCCCAGGAGTGGGTGAGGCTTGGCCAAGTGGATCCCCCCAGCCGACCCACCAGGGTGGGTGAGGCAGAAGGTCTGACCTAGGATGAAGAGCATTTCCACGGCGATGTCGCTGACAAGGGTGTGTCGCGAAGTGATGGGGGTGTCATCGTCACCCGAGAAACAGACATTGTAGGGGACGGTGACCGCAACGTAGAAGGTGGCAAGGAGGATAAGGCCGTCCCAGATGGCCTTGGAGACGCTGTAGTGGAGGAGGAGGCAGCGAGACCCCCCCACGGAGGCCACCTTGTACTCGGGCACTGATGGCTTTGGCTCAAACACGTTCTAAGGGGAGAGGGGTGGCGGTTGGGGACACTTGAGGGAAAGAGGAGCCAAGATGGGGGGTGGGAAAGGCAGGGGATGGGGAAAGTTAGCAGGTGGGCACTGCAAGGGCACTTTTGACCATGAATGAAAGGAGATAGAAGGCCAGGAGAGGGGCGCAGAGGCTGACACCTGACATTTTCTTCTCCTGCCAAGTATTTCCCAGGCCCTCCTCCTTTTTTTTTTTTTTTTTTTTTTTTTTTTTTTTGAGATAGGGTCTTGCTCTTTACCCAGGCTGGAGTGCAAGGGCATGATCTTGGCTCACTGCAACCTCCACCTCCTGGGTTCAAGTGATTCTCCTGCCACAGCCTCCCAAACAGCTGGGACTACGGGAACATGCCACCACACCTGACTAATTTTTGTATTTTTAGTAGAGATGGGGTTTCGCCATGTTGGCCAGGCTGGTCTTGAACTCCTGACCTCAGGTGATCCACCCACCTCAGCCTCCCAAAGTGCTAGGATTACAGGTGTGAGCCACTGTGCCCGGCCCCAGGCCCCTGTTTGAACCAATCATGTCTTGTCAAGGGTATTTATGAGGCTTGACATTCACCCAACTTGATTTTTACATTTTTAAGTTTAGAGACAGTCTCACTCTGTGCCCAGGCTGGAGTGCAGTGGCACCATCATAACTCACTGCAGCCTTAAACTCCTGGGCTCAAGCTATCCTCCTGCCTCAGGCTCCAGAGTAGCTGGGACCACAGGCATGCACCACCATAGCCAGATAATTTTTTTTTTTTGAGAGTTTCACTCTTGTTGCCCAGGCTGGAGTGCAATGGTGCAATCTCGGCTCACCGCAACCTCCACCTCCCGGGTTCAAGTGATTCTTCTGCTTCAGCCTTCCAAGTAGCTGGGATTACAGGCATGTGCCACCATACCCATCTAACTTTGTATTTTTAGTAGAGATGGGGTTTCTCCATGTTGGTCAGGCTGGTCTTGAACTCCCGACCTCAGGTGATCCGCCTGCCTCAGCCTCCCAAAGTGCTGGGATTACAGGCATCAGCCACTGCGCCTGGCCTCCAGATAATTTTTAATTTTTTTTTTTTTTTTTAGAAAAGGGGTCTCACTATGTTGCCCAGGCTGGTCTAGAACTCCTGGCCTCAAGCAATCCTCCTGCCTTGGCCTCCCAAAGTGCTGGGATTACAGGCATGAGCCACTGTGCCTGGCCCAACACTCATCCTACTTGAGAAGAAGACTATGACAAATCGGCACATGCCCTAGCTTGAGGGGTACCTAACTTCTCCCTTAAGTTCCTCTTGGGTTCTGGGGGCCCAGTGGGGGCTGGGTATATCCCAGCAGGGAGCAGAGGCTGGCATAGCCCACCGCATTCCCTGTATCCCTAACAGAGGGTTGGGGACTCAATCCCCTGGCTTGGTCAGGATCCTAGGAGGTGGTACACAGGTCTAGATGCCAGGCCTGCAATGAGGGCTTTCTCCCTAGAACTATAGCAGCTTGCAATTTCACCACCCATGGTATAACCCTATCACCCCCGGGCAGGTGAGGTCATTGCTGCTAGAGCAATGTGACATCATCGGAGCAAAGTAATGTCAATCACCTAAGGGAATGAGGGAGATAGGGATAGAAGGATGTTGGGGGAGGATATAGGATGGAGCATATACCATATAGAGTAGTATATGGGAAATGGGTGGGCAGAGGAGCAAGCCAAGGAGGGACACCAGACAGACAGGGAAGTGGGGAGACAGTGGCAGGGGTGCCTCAGAATCAAGGCTGGAGGACTTGGGAGATGTTGGGTTGGGGGTGGGACTCACATTATTGGCCTTCATGCCTCCCTGGCCCCGGCGGCCAAAGTGGCCGGTCAGTCGGTGTAGGACAGTACGGCTCCGTCTTCTGGCAGACCGAAATTTCCAGGTGGCTCCCCTTCTACCAAGGGAGTTTTCTGTTGGGAAGAAAGGTGCAGAGATACGTTGGGGCACATCCCTTGCGGCTGGTTAGGCGAAGGCTTCTGACCATTCACACTGCCCGTCCGGACTTGCTGTTACCGTGATTACTGTCCCCGCGGCCTCCTTGGGGGCCAAGTCCTGGGCTTCCACTCTGAGTGATATCCTTGAAGGAAAAGAGGAACAGCACGACCTCCCCCATCTCATTCTTGATGGGCATCATGTCCAGGAGGCACCAAAAGGCTGAGCCTGTAGGCATGGAGAGAGGGAAGGGAGGAGCATGGGCAGCCCCATGGCATGCCTTTCTCCTCATCCCTCTCATCCTCCTAGACATAGTTAAGAGCTTGGCAAAGCAAGAACCAAAAGGAACCTCAGAGATTCTGTCAGCCGATTCCTTCATCTTTCAAATGGGGGAACCCAGGACCAGAGAGGTCAGGGATACGCTCCGTCACAGTCAGCTTTTGGCAGTGTGGGGACAAGCACTCAGACTCCTACTGTGCCCAGTGCCCTCTGGATAAGGCTAGGGGTCTAGGCAGAGCTGCAGGGTGGGGTGAGCCCCCTCACCATCCTTGCGGTAGAAGCAGATTTCAGCCCGGTGCTCCTGGTGGCCCTCCAGGGCTTTGTGCAGACGCTGCAGGGCTGGCTCACTGGTCTCTGGGCCGTAGAGGAAACGGCAGCTGCAGGTCTTCTGCATGACCTCGGTGCGACCGTAGCCTGTGAGCTCGCAGAAGCCGTCGGAGCAGTAGACGATGGGAAAGCCCCGTGTGCCCTGTGCGTTGGCCAGCAGGAAGTTGCTGTCTGTGGGAAGAAGAGGTCAAGGTCAGGTCAAGGCTGGGAGGCGAGCTAGCTTCCAGGTGGGCAGCACTTCCTCTAAGTTGGGGTTAGAAGTCACAGAGCCAGAAGCTTCCCAGGTTTCCATGTTGCTCCTGACCCCACTTTGGGATATTCTGAATTGAGAATTGGAGAAGTTGGAGCAAAGAGACAAGGACTTGAGACAGGACTTAAGCAGGGTCTAACGGGGAGTTGGAGAAGGACCCCAGGAGGTCATGCCATCCATCCCCCTGCCTTCCAACTGGTGAGCTGTCACTGTAGAAGGCAGTATAGCATGGTGAGTAAGAGCCTGGGCTCCTGCAACCCTCCACTGCCACTTACTAACTGTGTGACCTTGGGCAAGTTGATGACCTCTTCTGTGCCTAAGCTTTCCTTATTTGCAAAGTAGGGCATAATAGGCCTTCCTCACATGGTCGTTGTGAGAGTTACATGAGTTAACTTGGGGAGAACAAGTCCTAGCACATGGTAAGTGCTACTCTGAGAAGGTGAAATTTTTTCCCCACATTCACTTGGCTTTCTTCCTATTACAGAGTAAGCAGGGCAGAGATTCTGATGACACCACACCCATTTATTGATAGGAAACCAAAAGGCAGAGATTATCCAAACTCACAGATCTCCTTAGTGTGGGGGCAGACAGTGATGAGTGCTGTCTTCCTTCCCTGCCTTCCAGAGAAGGTCCACTTTTTAGCATTCTTGTAGCTGCTTTCAGGGGATCTGCCCCACTGCTCAAAGTCTAATGGGAGAGGGCATTGAGCGTATAGCTCCAGCAACCCCCAGCAGCAGAACCCGAGCTGTCTCCCTCCAGCTCCAATGGGTGGGAGGCCAGGGGGACTCCTGTGGGCCATCCAGGGACAGAGACTCAGCTAAGAGATGGGGCCTGTGACACAACCAGTCCTGGTGCTCTAGGAGGGATGACTGTCTGGGGGCAGGGAGGCTGATGGGGACACTGAAGGTGCCTGGGAGGCACTGGGCTCTGGGCACAGCCTCCTTCTTCCATCCCAGGGCCTGTTGCCCCGGTGATGGGCGCTATGGAAACAAGGTGGTGGGGAAGAGGGTAGGGCCCGGCGGCTCAGTTTCCGCCCTCGGGTACCGCTCCCCCACCATCCAGATCCCGGCCAGGGTTCCCGAGGGAATGGCGGGGTTGGGGGAGGTGAGGGCGGGGAATCTCTGGGTTCCAGAGTGGGAAGAGGGAATGGCGGGAGAAGAGGCGGGGGAGGAGTGATGTGGCTGTCCAAGGTGCTGAACCTGAAACCCAAGCTACGTTGGGCGAGCTGGGAGTTCCCACCGTCGCACAGACCGCTCCCCTCCTCCTGCCTCACCCACCTTAGACACTGACGCCCCACGATTTGGGGGCGCGCGACCTCAATCCAAACTAGGTCCTGCTGAAGTCTGATCTTTTCTCCTTTTTTTCTGGAGGTAGTGGGAGCTGGAGTCTGTGAGTAGACCCCAGAATGCCCGGCCACTTTGCCCCACTTCTGTGTCTCGGATACCCCCATACACGCCCCCAGCACAGCTCTGCCCGAGAGTGGGCGGCTCCGAAGGACCCTCCTCCGCTCTGCCGCACAAAGAGCCTCTTCTGCCTCGAGTCACACCCCCTAACCTTGGCCCCCGTGCTCTCGGCCCTTTCCCCTCCTCCCCTCGCAGGGCACTCCCCGCCCTGTTCCTGCACCGCGGCTTTGGGAGTTCCTAGACCCGCACCTCCATTCTCTCCCCTCGCCTCGGGTCTCACCATGTCCAGGAGATCCGAGACGGCCCCGAGGATACTTGCCCCCCAGCTCGAACCTCAAGCCCCGACCTCCGTCCCACTCACGCGTTCCGTCAAAACGGGTGGCGATGGTGTCCAGGAAGGTGTTTTGCGGGGCCAGCAACCCCTTCATGACCGGCATGGCCCCGGGGCGTGGGTTCAAGGCGCGGCGCTGGGGAGCTTTCAGCGCGGCCGGGCCGGAGGGGGCGCGCTGTCGGAGGGGCCGGGGCGCCCCATGCGCCCTCCTGCCTCCTCCCCTCCCTCTTACTGCCGCTGCCGCTGCCGCTGCCTCTGCTCCGAACCCCGTAGCTCTCGGCTCGGCTCAGCGCCGTTTCGGTCCCCCCCACCTCCCCACGGGCCAGGTTCTTCCCCTCGGGCTCGGCCCGCACCCGCCACGTGGCCCCACACGGGGAGGGGCCGCTAGCGACACCCGCACCCCTCTGGGCAGCCCTCCTCCCAGAGGGGAGCGGCCCACGCGTGTCTCTCGGGGAGAGAATTCGGGGCACGCCCACCGGGAGGGGAGGCCTGAAATGATGGGCGGGGCTTGAATAACAGACCCGCCCTCTTCCAGGCTGGCCACGCCTCCACACGTGGTTCCCTGGCTGCTCCTTGTGGCTCCACCTCGCGGGTTTTCCCGCGCGGCGTCCACGCTGGGCTGGTGTCTGGTTCACAGTGCCGCCTACTGGAGTTGACATATTTCGCAGCACCCACAGGCCAGTAGCTCCAGCGTGAGACAGCAAGGGTTAAGAGGCTAGTTTGCTGGTAGAGAATGGACAATGGGAAGGCTTGAAACCCCAACTCTAGAAAGCACCATTCTTACCTCCTGCCTCAGTTTTCCCAAGACACCCTGGCGAACTCTGCCTACTGAGACACAGCATGGTGGAATGAAAAGAGCTTTGGAGTCCACCAGGTAGAGTCCCAGCTCTAGACACCAATCGTGTGATATCCTCTCCAAGCCCACTTTCCTCATCTGTAAAATGGAGCTGATAATTCTTACCTGATGCAGTTACCGTGAGAATGTAATACCATAATGCATGTCTTTGGTACAAAATAAGTGTCTTGAAGGGCAGTTGCCTGCCTGTTTTCCCTCTTCCTACTGTCTTAATCCTCCTCTCTGCTGCCCTTCAAGTGGAAGAGAGGCTGGAGGCAAGTTTGGGAGAAACTACCTCTGAAAAAGATAGTTTCGAGGTGGGCAGAGTCATGGCTTGCAAATCTCCAAGGATGCACATGTGAACTTTGACCTCTAACTTCTCCAAGATGGAACCAGTACAGCAGCAAGAGGGACCAAAGTGAGACTAGACACAGGACTTTCTCACTACCTATGCAGAAAATTGAGGCAGCTGAGTTCTGTGGCTGAGGGTGGCTGCTTCCCACGACAAAACAGCTGAAGCAGTGAAAGTGGGAACCCTATGGGCAAGGAGGGCAGGCTAAATTCTCCCCACCCTCTGAGCTAGGTATTATCTGGGATGTTAGATTGCTAAGAAGTGCCACATTTTTCTGTGTCTCTACTTTTGTTGTTGTTGTTGTTCTTGTTGTTCTTGTTCTTGTTGTTTTTGAGACGGAGTCTTGCTCTGTTGCCCAGGCTGGAGTGCAGTGGCATGACCTCAGCTCACTGCAACCTCTGCCTCCTGGGTTCAAGCAATTCTCCCGCCTCAGCCTCCTTAGTAGCTGGGATCACAGGCGTGCATTACAATGCCCGGCTAATTTTTGTATTTTTAGTAGAGATGGGGTTTCGCCATGTTTGCCAGGCTGGTCTTGAACTCCTGACCTCAAGTGATCCGCCCGCCTCAGCCTCCCAAAGTGCTGGGATTACAGGCATGAGCCACGGAGCCTAGCCTGTGTCTCTACTTTTGGATGTTATATTAGTTTCCTAGGACTGCCATAACAAAGTACCACAAAGTGAGTGGCTCAAACAACAGAAACCTATTGTCTCACAGTTCTGGATGCTAGAAGTCCAAGCAAGGTCAGGTGAAGAGCGTTGGTTCCTTCTGAAGGCTATGAGGGAGAATCTGTTGCATGCCTCTCCCCTATCTTCTGGGGGTGGGGGTGCTGGCAATTTTTGGTGTTCCTTGGCTTGTAGGAGCCAATCTCTACCTTCATGTTCACATGGGTTCTCCCTGTGTGTGTTTCTGTGTTCCAATTCCCTTTTTTATAAGGACGCCAGTCACAGTGGATTAGAGGCCCACCCTACTCTAGTATGACCTCATCTTAACTAATTGCATCTGGAAGGACCTTATTTCCAAATACAGCCACATTCTGAAGTGCCACGGGTACGGACTTCAACATATGGATTTTGGGAACACCAGTAACAGGTGTCTTTGGCTGGAGTTGCAGTAAAATCTTGTACTGCCCCTGCTTAAGAATGTCCCATGACTCTGTTACCTACAAGATAAAGTGCAAAGCCCGATGATTTGTGAGAGCCTTTGCGAGCTGTGCTGCACTGACTGTAACTGTGTCCCTTCCTGAGCCTCTCCACTCCCCACACCCTATACCCCATGATGCAGCCATTCTGGATGACTCATTGTTGAAGTTCAAATTCCCTGCCTTTTCAGCAGGATTGACTCCCACCCCTTCCTAGCTGGATTCTGCTGCTCTATGCAGCTTGCCTGCCTTCCTTCCTTCCTTCCTTCCTTCCTTCCTTCCTTCCTTCCTTCCTTTCTTTCCTTTCTTTCTTTTCTTTTTTCTTTTTCTTTCTTTTTTTTTTTTTTTTGACAGTGCCTCCTTCTGTTGCCCAGGCTGGAGTGCAGTGGCCCAATTATGGCTCAAACTCAAACTCCTGGGCTCAAGCAATCCTCTCGCCCACCATACCCCGCTAATTAAAAAAACTTTTTGGAGAGATGTCTCACTCACTATGTTGCCTAGGCTCGTCTCGAACTCCTTGCTTCAAGGGATCCTCCTGCTTTGGCCTCCCAAAGTGCTGGGATTACAGGCGTGAGCACCGCGCCCGACCGCTGCAACCTTTCTTGCTTTCCTTCCCCTTCCGCGTCTCTGGGTAAAGTCCCCGCTACAGAATGCCTAGCAGAGCATCGTAGGAGTCCCGCATGGCCCGATCCAAGCATGCACCTGTGCAGTTCTCTCTGTGCCCCAGGGCCTTGCACTGGGAACTCCCCAACCAAGAGTGTTTCCGATTCAACCACGCAAAAGCTAAGGCTGGTGCCCGACAGCCGGGCTTCCAGGCCCAGCTGTCCTCCGCAAGACGCTTTGCCACCCCGGATGGGCAGGACGCGACCGCACAGGAACAGAGACCAGTCACACGAATGGAGACTCGTCTTTATTGCCTTTTTTCTGGGGGCTGACGCTGGGTGGGCAGAGGGCAGAGGCCTGGGCCAGGACAGGGCCCGAAGAACGACTCAGATCCCGGACTGTCCTCCGGGCGCGACGGAGGCGGCGGCCGGGGCGGAACAGCGGCGCCCGAGGCAGGGGCGCGGCGCTGGCTCTGCGCCTGCGCGGCGGCCCATGGTCAGGATGCCCGCGGCGTGGTTGCCGCTGGCCTGCAGGAGGCGCTGCAGCCGACCCTGGAGGCCCGGGGGCCCGGACCTCCGCTTGCCCAGCGTGAGGATGCCGGCCGCGTGATTGCCCGCGCCGTGCAGCAGCTCGTAGAGGCGGCAAGAGCAAGTCTTTTGACGACAGCAGTCGGGCAGGGGCTGTGCAGCCGCCCCGGACGACAACAGCGCGGGCGGCAGCAGCAGCAGCAGCAGCAGTAGCGTCACGGCGGCCCAGGAGACCTAGGGAGACGGAGACAGGGCGCTGGGGGGGTCTTCCCACGGCGCCCGCCACCAGCTCCCACGCCCAGGACCTGCCCCTCTGGCTCCGCGCCCCCTCCAAGCCTGCACTCCTTTCTGGCTGTCACTTAGTTCTCCTTGCTTTGCGCCCTTGCTGGTATCGGCCTACTTTCCCTGCTCCTCCTTCAAGACCCAGCAGAGCATCTCCCCCAGGAAGCCTTTTGAGACCCCCTGGGCAGAGTGAATCCCCCTTTTCTCTGGAGACTTAGGCCACTGTGCCACCACTAGGGCACTTGCCACTCCACCTGAAAACAGGAGTGTCTGTCTGCAGCAGAAGTTGTAAACTTGGGAAAAACCCGGGCCCTACTGAGTCCCCCCAACTTCCTCTCCACAGCAGGGAAACACATGGAAATCAGGAACTAGCAAGACTCCAGAATGCTCTCTCATCTGCCTGCCCCCTTGCAGGAGTGACTGAACTCCGTTGCTTTGAACCAGTTTCCTGCCCTTTCAGAGGGCACAGCTCCCTTACCTGTAAACTGGGTATACTAGAAATAATTTCTACTCTGCAAGGCTGTTGGGAGGATGACAAGAGATGACAGGTGCAAACGGAGCACCTGACACATAGAGCTCAGCAAACACAGGCTCTTAGCAAAACAGCACCCAACCCAATGTGAGCCAAGGCAGGTGCTCCTGCCTCAGAGCACACCCAGGAAAAGACCAAGAGTGGAGACACCTTTGGCCTTTCTTCCAGCCCTCTGAGCAAGCACTCTTTTTGCTTCTCTGGGATGGTGAGTCACCCCTCCATCCCTGGATCTTTACCTTTGTGGAAGGAAGGTTCATGGTGTCTGGCGCTCAGGGTGGGGTAGCCGGGAAAGGAGATGTCTGTGGTGGTTCAAAAAGCCAGGAACCTTGAGGCTGTCAATTGTGACCCACTCCCAGGGGTCTGGGGTTTATAGTGCTCTGAGGTGGCGGGGAATTGACAGGCACTTGCGTCCACACCCAGGCCAGACAAAGGCAAGTCTAAGATTAGCCTGCTGCAGGGGGGCCGTCTCCAGGCTGGGCCCAAGGAATGGCCGCTGCGGCGTTCAGAGGCCAGGGTTGGATCACTGTGCCCCTGATCACCCCCTTGTCTGTCTATCTGCTCCCTGGAGATGGGGCGGTCTCCGGGCACTAATGAGGCCACCTTGCACCCAGGAATCTGGGAGCACAAAAGAGGCGCTGGCCTGGGACAATATGGAGGGAGGCAGCTGCTAATTAGGGGCGGGAGAGAGGCAGACGCGAGACCCCACATTATGTGTGTGGGGGGTGGAGCAGCCAGCAGCAGTCCTCTCCCTCCCCTGCTTCTTGTCGCTGCTCCTGGGGACTGTCAGGCTCCAGGACCTTCTTCCTTCATGGAAAGGCTCCTTAGCTGCCCCCTCCCCCTAGCTTTTTTTCTCCCTTCTGCCCTTTCCACTAGCCTCTGAGATGGAAAACCTTGAAAACTCAGCCTAGACAGTGGGAGGTAAGAAGCCAAAACCAAGCCCAATTTCTCTTTCTTTCTTTTCTGTGTGTGTGTGTGTGACTAAATTTTGGTCTTGTTGCTCAGGCTGGAGTGCAGTGGTATGGTCATCTTGGCTCACTGCAACCTCCGCCTTGGGTTCAAGCGATTCTCCTGCCTCAACCTCCTGAATAGCTCCTGAATAGAATTACAGGCACACGCCACCACAACCAGCTAATTTTTGTATTTTTAATAGAGACAGGGTTTCACCATGTTAGCCAGGGTGGTCTCAAACTCCTGACCTCAAGTGATCCACCCACCTCAGTCTCCAAAAGTGTTGGGATTACAGGCGTGGGCCACTGCACCAGGCCCCCCCGCTTTTTTTTTCTTCCTTCCTTCTTTCCTTCTTCCTTCCTTCCTGCATTTCTTTCTTTCTTTCTCTCTCTCACTCTCTCCCTCTTTCTTTCTTTCTTCTTCTTCTTCTTTTTTTTTTTTTTGAGACGGAGTTTCACTCTTGTTGCCCAGGCTGGAGTGCAATGGCGCAATCTCAGCTCACTGCAACCTCCACCTCCAGGGTTCAAGCAATTCTCCTGCCTCTGCCTTCTGAGTAGCTGGGATTACAGGCATGCGCCACCATGCCTGGCTAATTTTGTATTTTTAGTAGAGACAGGGTTTCTCCATGTTGGTCAGGCTGGTCTGGAACTCCTGACCTCAGGTGATCCGCCTGCCTCAGCCACCCAAAGTGCTGGGATTACAGGCATGAGCCACCATGCCTGGCCTTCTCTCTTTCTTCATTTTCTTTTCTTTTTCTTTTCTTTCTTTTTTTTTTTTTTTTTTGAGACAGTCTCACTCTGTCGCCCAGGCTGGAGTGCAGTGGCGCGATCTCGGCTCACTGCAAGCTCCGCCTCCCGGGTTCACGCCATTCTCCTGCCTCAGCCTCCTGGCAGCTGGGACTACAGGTGCCCGCCACCACGCCCAGCTAATTTTTTGTATTTTTAGTAGAGACGGGGTTTCACTGTGTTAGCCAGGATGTTCTCGATCTCCTGACCTCGTGATCTGCCCGCCTCGGCCTCCCAAAGTGCTGGGATTACAGGCGTGAGCTACCACGCCCAGCCCTCTTTATTTTCTTTCTTGAGAAGGTTTCACTCTGTCACCCAGGCTGGAGTGCAGTGGGACAATCATAGCTCACTGCAGCATCAAATGCCACGGCTCAAGCAATGCTCTCACCTCAGCCACCCAAGTAGCTGGGACCACACAGATGCATGCCACAATCCCTGGCTAATATTTAAATTTGTTTGTAGAGACTGGGACTCCCAGGCTGGTCTCAAATCCCTGGCTCAAGCCATCCTCCCCCTTCAGCTTCCCAAACTGCTAGGATTACAGGTGTGAGCTACTGTGCCTGACCAAACTCAGTTTCTACCAGAGGCTGATAGAAAGCTTCTACCTCCCCAGCTTTCTCCCTGGCTCAGGCTACCTGGAGGGGAGGAATGTAGTCCCACTCTACAGTCAACACGGAGTGAGCCGCCATGCATTGAAGAACACATGTCATCTCCAGGCCCAAGCTTCTTATTCACAACCTCTTTTTTTTTTTTTTTTTTTTTTTTTTTTTTTTTTTTTTTTGGAGATAGAGTTTCACTCTTGTTGCCAAAGCTAGAGTGCAAAGGCACGATATTGGCTCATTGCAACCTCTGCCTCCTGGGTTCAAGCAATTCTCCTGCCTCAGCCTCCCAAGTAGCTGGGTTTACAGGTGCACACCACCATGCCCAGCTAATTTTTTGTATTTTTAGTAGAAACACAGTTTCACCATGTTGGCCAGGCTGGTCTTGAACTCCTGACCTCAGGTGATCTGACTGCCTCGACCTCCTAAAGTGCTGGGATTACAGGCATGAGCCATGGCACCTGGCCTACAACCTCTTTATTGAGCTCCTGCTGCATGCCACACCAGGCACTGGGCATGGGGGCAATTGTGCACAGGATCTAGCCCAGTTTCCAAGGAACTCATATTCCAGGTGGGAGGCAGTTCAGGCATAATGATAGTTCAGTGAAGGAGAGGACTACTGCCCACATGAGCAAAGCTGAGCCAGTCACTCTGCCTGGGGTGGGCCTGGTAGGGGGTCCTCAAAGGCCTTGCATGAAAGCTAGTTTACATCAGGGGCAGCGGGATAGAGGGCATTACATAGAAGGGACAACTTGAGCAAACTCCTGGAGTTGACAGTGCTTAACAACCCTTAGATGGGAGGTGAGGCGTGGTCCTTAGTCCAGGCCTTCTTTCAAGCAAGGGGAGAGAGGTAGCTGCACATGTAGGTGAGGGCCAAGGTCAAAGGGTCTAATAGGCCAAATTGATTGGTCTTAATCCTGTGGGCGATGGGGGCCACCATGGGAGGTTTTTTTTTTTGTTTTTTTTTCCCGAGATGGTCTCGCTGTGTTGCCCAGGCTGGTCTTGAACTCCTGGGCATGAACCATCCTTCCACCGCAGCCTCTTGAGTAGCTGGGACTATAGGCCCATGCCACTGTGCCCAGCTTCACAGGAAGATTTTAACAGGATGGAGTGACAGGCGGAGGTGGGGGCCGGGTGGGTATGCAGCCAGGACCTGGGTGTGGGACATGGAATGGAGAAGCTATTCAGAGGCATCTGGATCCAGTGCTGCCTCTACTGAGGAGGAGCTGAGGTCTGCCCCTCCCATCAGCCTCCAAGATGGAAAACCTTAAAACTCCAGTCCAGGCAGTGGGAGGGAAGGAAGCCAAAATCTAGCCCAGTTTCTTTCTTTCTTTTATTTTAGCCTCTACAACCTTGTGGAGGCTGCGTTTCCTCATTAGTATGGAACAGTGAACCCAGATGGTCTCCGGAGTTGCTTCCTGCGGCGATGCCTTATGATGTGAAGTAATAGCTCTCCCTTCCCCACCGCAGAAGTGGTTTGTGGGTGCTGGCCTAGGATGTGCCACGAGTCCTCCAAGGCTCCTGTGTGCGCATGCAGCCTTGCCAGGCCCAGAGCAGAATGTTGGGGGAAAGTCCTGGAGCTCAGTGGGGGAATGGCTGGGCCGGGGTCCACTCCCGTTTCCCCAAAGCAGACCCTGAGGCAAGAATCTGGGTGCAAGAGGTTTATTTGGGAGCCATCCCAGGAAGCCCAAGGCGGGGGAGTGGGGAAGAGAGGGAAGGGAGAGCCCCCGCAGGAAGTACATGAATGAGTGGGTTACTGCTGCGGGCAACTGGGACTCCATCCTGCTGGGCATCCTCTGAGAGTTTATGTAGAATACACTTCAGAATTGTCCTGCTCAAGGACAATGAAGCTGAGGTCCTGCTCCTTATTGACTCAGGGTTGCTGCTCCTGGGGACATTAACCCCCCAACACTTCTAGCTTGCCCAGTGCACTGACTGAGCACACAGCTGTGGCCACCAGAGAACCTCTTTGGGCTGTGATACAGGAAACCATCGGTGTGCATGGTAACTCTCTAGCAGTGTCCTTCATGCCGGGACATGGGGACACGGGCAGGCACTGCTGGCATCTGCTAACCCCGGAGGCCCATACTTCAGAACCGGTCAGCTGGGCCAAGGCCTCTCTAAGGCCCAGCGGCTCTCATGGGCAAATGTCAGGTGACACAGAGTCAGAGACCCTGGCCAAGGACTCCCCATCCGGAGAGGTCCCAGAGGGAGGGGCGAGGTGGCCTCTGGGGGGAGCTGGGCGGTGGGGCAGGACTTGACTCAGGACACCACCCTCTCCTGCAGACACTGGGCCAGGTGCCTGTGCCGAAGGACCCGGGGCATCGCAGGGGGGAAGGGGGAGGAGGGGCAGGCAGCGAGGGCTGCCCGGAGTGCTCGGAAGGCTCCCTGCCCCACCAGGTGGACTCTGGCAGGGCCCACGCTGCCCCAGAACCGCAGGGACTTGTAGCGGGGAGAGGCTTCCTGAAGGCAGTGGTCCAGCTGGGAACAGAACAGCCTGAGTGAGCTGGTGTGTGACTGTGAGTGTGCACACGAGGCGTGTGTGGCTGTGCCCAGGCTACATGTGTTTAGAAGTTTTGTGTGGACAGGTGTGTGTCTGTGGGACTTAGCCCTCCCCTCCCAGAGCCCCAGGGAGCTTCTCCTCCGCCACCCCTCTCCTTCCCATCAGCCCTGATCTCCATGGCACCCTGGGAGTGTGCAGAGTGAAGGGGTCTACAGTCAGACCCTGTCCTCGTCTCCTTTACCTTGTCTCGATTTTCCTCTGACAGATTCCTCAGCCCCCTCAGCGCCACAAACACCTCGTAGTGGGGAGCAGAGCCCGCAGAGGAATCTGTGAATAGACCCCATGTGCACACATACTTCCGGTGAATGGGCAGCTGCCAAGTCTAGTGTCCTCTGCCCTATCTGTTCTTCCCCACTCTGAGATTCATAGGGAAAAAAGAGTTTCTTGGTGGGGAGTGGGGTAAATGGAGAGGAACCTAGAGCTTGATCCTAAATAGGAGACAGATCAGGAAAGAAAATGGGTAGAGACTGCAGCAGGATGGATGAGAGTTAGATGCAGAGAAGGACTTTTGTAGGAGTAGTAAAGGAGGCTTATCTCTTTCCTAGCAGTCCCCTGGCAGGGGAGGTAGGAGTTGAAGGGTAGCTCAAGGATGGTAGGCAGGAGCCGGTGGGGAGGCTCACCCAGAATGCTGCTCTCCACACAGCCATGGTCCAGCAGCTTGGCCCCCGCCCACTGCCCCACTGCCCGGCCCAGGGCCTCAGAGAACAGGTCTTCACCAATATCTTCCCCTCGCACACTCAGGGTCTGGTCCAGCCTGAAGAGGAGGAAGGGAGAGGCAGTGGAGCCCAGGACACAAGGATGGCCCTTCAGCTCCCCGGGGTCACCTACCTGCAGATGAACCTGACGACTGGACACTGATTGTAGGCACCAACCACTCGCACCACATCACCCAGGCGGCACCTGATGGGGTGCAAGTGGGAGTGAGGTCGGGCCCAAGGTCTTCTGAGCTCATGCCCCAGGCCCCCAGCACGGTCCCATAGGGCCCCAGGTAGCAGGGGCTGTGCAGCTGATCACCTGGTGAGGCTGGCGCGGTCCGTCAGCACCAGCTCATACTCCTTGCCCTGCTGGGCCTCGGCCAAAAGGAGGGTGGAGGCAGCTTCCTCCTGGGTGCCTTCCTTGACTGGGAGCAGCTCGATAAAGGGGGCCCCAGGGGGCAGAAGGTAGAGCCCATGGGGCTGCTCTGGCTGTAGGTTTAGGCCCAGCACCCCTGTGAAAGCAAAGCAGCCTCCTCAGCGTCTGCTGGTGCCATCGCTTTCTGCCAGGCAATAGCCCCTCCTGGATCCCAGGCCTGATCCTCTGAGCACCTGATCCTCCTGCTGCCCTTCCACCACATCCTTCCTGGCTCCCCCAGCCTCAGCGGGCTGCCTCTTAGGCCCTCACTGGAAAGAGGCAGAGTGCTGTGGTCCTGGAGGGGGCAGACTTGGGAGTGAATCCTGGTGCCACATGAATTTGTGCAAGACTCTTTTTTTTTTTGAGACAGAGTCTCGCTCTGTCACCTAGGCTGGAGTGCAGTGGTGCGATCTCGGCTCAGTGATTCAGTGATTCCTGGGTTCAAGTGATTCTCCTGCCTGAGCCTCCTGAGTAGCTGAGATTACAGGCGCCTGCCACCACACCTGGCTAATTTTTGTATTTTTAGTAGAGACAGGGTTTCACCACATTGGCCAGGCTGGTCTTAAACTCCTAACTTCAGGTGATCCACCCACCTCAGCCTCTCCCAAAGTGCTGGGATTACACCCGTGAGCCACTGCCCCGGCCTTTTTTTTTTTTTTTTTTTTTTGAGACAGGGTCTTGCTCTGTCACCCAGGCTGGAGTGCAATGGCGCGATCTCAGCTCACTATAATTTCTGCCTCCAAGGTTTAAGCAATCCTCCCGCCTCAGCCTCCCAGGTAGCTGGGATTATAGGCGTGCACCACCATACTCCGCTAGTTTTTGTATTTTTAGTAGAGATGGGGTTTCGCCATGTTGGCCAGGCTGGTCTGGAACTCCTGACCTCAACGATCCATCCACCTTGGCCTCCCAAAGTGCTGGGATTACAGGCGTGAGCCACTGCACCCAGCTACAAGACTCTTAACCTAGAGAGCCTGAATTTCTTCACTTGTAAAAGGAGGCTGCTGGCCCTAGCATGCAGCTTGTTGGGGAGGATTAAATGAGATGATTATGTAGGGCCCAATGCATGGCTGCTTGTCATGTGACCACTGACCGTTGCCCCCACCTCACTGCCCTTGAGTCCCACTGACCTCCCGAGGCAGCATAAGCAGGAGAGAAGAAGGCTAGTCCTTGGCACCACAAGGCCCCGAGGGCAGCCACAGCCTCGGCCTGGCCTCCTGCATCCAGAGTCACCACCACCTGCAGCTTTGGCCAGAGCCGAAGGGCCAGTCCCCGTGGCCCCTGCTCTAGGGCCTCCCGGAGCTCAGCTGCCCGTTCACGGAGAGGCGCTCCAGGGTTCCCGGCAGCTATCGCCCCAGCTAGCTCTTCACCATCAGTCTCCAGGCCCAAGAAAACATCCAGAAGTTCGACAGCCGTCCCAGCCTCCAGTGCCCTCAGCCCTGGGGACCTCAGTGCGTCCAGCAGCAGGGCCCTAGGGTCCTTGGTTCCAGGGGTGCCCACCTGGCCCAGGGTATTCCCAGGCCAAGGCAGGGGTCGGGGCCAAGGGGATGTAAGCGTCACACGGGCAGTGCGTCCCTGAGCCAGCACTTCTGGGTAGGCCTTGTTTAGGGCTGCCAGACCCAGCAAGGTGGCCTGGAGGAGGAAAGAGAGAATGTTGGTCTGGTGTCAGAGCCAGACCCAGAGCCCCCATTTGGGGGTTCTTTGCCCACCATGACTGGAGGGTTTGGCTGCAAGTCAGAGGTCTCTGGTGGGACTGGGCTGTGGCCAGGACTGGGCTCTGGCCATCCTAGATTACCTGCAGAGAGGCCTCCCCAAGGTCCTGGTTTGAGGTCGGGGGCAGTGGCTGCTCTCCACTGTCTTCCTGCTGGGTCTGGCTGGCCTTGGTCAGAGGGAGATGATTCCGGAAGGTGCTTATGTCTATAGCCCCAATGACAACAGAAACGCCTCAGGAAGCCAGTTTCCCAAGAGTTTCAGGCAAGACTGGTGAGACCCTTGAGGGAGGAACCGAGAATAGGCCTGGGGTAGAGAGGATGTAAGGACCCAGCATGGGAAATTCATCTTGGACAAGAAAGCCAGTCCTGGGTCTCTGGGTCAGGCCACTCCGTTGGCAGTGGAGGAGGTAAGGGGGCCATCAGGCTCTGGAATCTGACGGTCCTGTGGGGTTTCTTTCTCTTTGGGTCACCTCCCCAGACCCTGGGAAACACACCTGTGCTCCTTCTGAGGGAACAGTGGGGGCGCTGGGCTCCCTGTAGACACCACCTCAGGGCCTGCTGCTGGCTCTGGTGCACATGGAGCGTGCTCTGCTCCAGCCTCCGCCGCTGCCAGGTGGCTGCCCAGACCAGGGCCCCCCATGCCACTCGGTGCTGGAGGCCAGCAAGCCAGGACAGCCTGGCATCCTGGGACCGCTGCTGCCTGAGCAGGGCCAATGTTGGCAGCAGCAGCAGCAGCAGCAGCAGTGGCCACAGCAGCATCTCCAAGCAGCTCCTGGGAAGAGGAAGGAACCGAGATATGGGGGCATGCAGCAATTATCCATTTCTCCTCCCACGCTCTACTGCATACAGGAAAACCGAGGAAAAATGAAATTGGGAAGAAGGCAGGACCCTGTGGGGCAGGTGATGCAAAGGAGAGACTATCAAAGCTTTGGAGTCCCACTGACCTGAGTGCAGATCCTGCCTCTGCCGCTTGTTAGCTGTAGGGCCCTGAGCAATTTAGTGGGCTGCACTGAGCTCTGTTTCCTGATCTGCAAAATGGGAATAAGAATAAGAATGCCTCTTTCAGAAGGTAGGGGTGGGCCGGGTGAGGTGGCTATCATCTGTAATCCCAGCACTTTGGGAGGCTGAGGCAGGAGAATCACTTGAGCCCAGGAGTTTGCAACCGGCCTGAGCAACATAGGGAGACTCCATCTCTACAAAAAATTGAAAAACTAGCCCAGCGTGGTGTCACACCCATAGTCGCAGCTACTTGGGAGGCTGAGATGGGAGGATCCCTTGAGCCCAGGATGTCAAGGCTACAGTGAGCCAAGATCGTGCCACTGCACCCCAGCTTGGGCAACAGAGTGAGACCCTGTCAAAAAAAAAAAGAAAAGAAAAAAAAGGGAGAAAAGAAGGAAGAGGAAGGGAAGGTACAGGAAGGGTTTCGGACAGGGTCGGTCGGGCACACAGCAGCTGCGTAACGATATCTCTTGCCCACTCCCGAGTGGCTTTGCTTTCTCTCGGGATCCACCCTGTCCCAGCTCCTTGTCCCTCCTGAGCCCCAGGCTGTGGGGTCCATGCCCACATGCACCTGTCACAGCCCACTTCTGCCTACTCCTGGCACGTGACGGAGACCCCTGGGTGACTCTGGGTCTCAGCACACATCCGGCCAGAAAGAAGGAGCGATGGCTTTAAAAGGCTGGGCCCCAACTGGGAAATCCGGCCACCAGGCCTGAGGGAGGAGCTGAAGGAGGGGGGTGCTCTTAAAGGGGCAGGTCGCCTACAGGACTTCATGTCGGGTGCTAGCCCAGGCTGGCAGTTGGGGCAGTTAGGACCAGACTAGCATGGTCCTCAAACTTGCGCAGGTGAAGGAACAGAAAGGTGTGTGTGGGAAAGAACGCCATTAAGCCACTTGAGCTGGGAGAGGGGCAAGCTTAAGAACTCTTAAAACCCCAACTCAGCTGGGCGCGGTGGCTCACGCCTGTATTCCCAACACTTTGGGAGGCTGAGGCGGGTGGATCATCTGAGGTCAGGAGTTTGACACCAGCCTGACCAACATGGTGAAACCCCATCTCTACTAAAAATACAAAATTAGCCAGATGTGGTGGCACATGCCTGTAATCCCAGCTACTTGGGAGGCTGAGGCAGAAGAATCACTTGAACTTGGGAGGCGGAGGTTGCAGTGAGCTGAGATTGCGCCATTGTACTCCAGCCTGGGCAATGAGCGAAACTCCGTCTCAAAAACAAACAAAACAAAAACAACAACAAAAAAAACCCCATCCTCTCCCTCAAGGTAGTTGAGAAAGAAAACAATTTTATTATTGAATAAGCATTCAACCACAATGTGATGTACATGACAGGTGATCTGCTAAGAGCTTGCAAAGAAGGGAGGAAATCTTACTTTTTTGTATAGCCAAGCGCATACAACCCATTACATACACGTTTTCAAGATAAACAATAACGAGTCCTCAAGTAAGAGGACTTGTCACATATAGTTTATCTTTTTTTTTTTTTTTTTTTTTTGAGACACAGTCTTGCTCTGTTGCCCAGGCTGGAGTGCAGTGGCACAATCTCAGCTCACTGCAACCTCCACTTCCCAGGTTCAAGCGATTCTGCTGCCCCAGCCTCCCAAGCAGCTGGGATTACAGGTGTGTGCCACCACGCCCAGCTAATTTTTGTATTTTCAGTAGAGATGGGGTTTCACCATGTTGGCCAGGCTGGTCTCAAACTCTTGACCTCAAGTGATCTACCCTCCTTGGCCTCCCAAAGTGCTGGGATTACAGGTGTGAGCCACCACACCCAGCCAGTCACATAGTTTATCTTAACTTTACATGGTTATTAGGTGAACATCTGTGTTAGCTTGCTGGCTTTATCCCAAGGAAAATTACAAACTTCTTTTTTTTTGTTTTTTTGGCAGAGTTCTATTCTTGTTGCCCAGGCTGGAGTGCAATGGCACGATCTTAGCTCACTGCAACCTCCGCCTCCCAGATTCAAGCAATTCTCCTGCCTCAGCCTCCCGAGTAGCTGGGATTACAGGCACGCATCACCACACCCAGCTAATTTTTTGTATTTTTAGTAGAGACGGGGTTTCACCATGTCACCATGTTGGCCAGGCTGGTCTCAAACTCCTGACCTCAAGTGATCCACCTGCCTCGGCCTCCCAAAGTGCTGGGATTACAGGCCTGAGCCACTGCACCCAGCCAGTCACATATAGTTTATCTTAACTTTACCTGGTTACTGGGTGACCATCTGTGTTAGCCTGTTGCCTTTATCCCAAGGAAAATTACAAACTTCTCTTTTTTTGTTTTTTGTTTTTGAGACAGGGTCTTGATCTATTGCCCAGGCTGGAGTGCAGTGGTGCGATCATAGCTCACTGCAACCTCAACCTCCTGGGCTCAAGAGATCCTCCTGTCTCAGCCTCCCAAGGGACTGGAACTACAGGTACGCACCACTACGCTCAACTAATTTTATTTTTTGTAGAGACGAGAGAGCTCCCTATGTTGCCCAGGCTGGTGTGTTCTTGACCTAGGCTCTCAAAACACTAAAACCACTCCCTTTCTCCCCTTACTTGCCTCTGGATACCTTTGAGAAGAGAGCTACTACTTGCTGAGCACCTCTCTTCCCTTCACAGCTGAGCTTCTTTCAACAGGTCTGTTCTCACTCTGGCTAACTCACCTCACTTTCACGTTTTTTCTCGCTGAGATCTTGCATTTGCTTTTATTATTTATTTAAAGACAGGGTCTTGCTCTGTTGTCCAGGCTGGAGTTCAGTGGCCTGGTCACAGCTCATTGCAACCTTGAACTCCGGGGATCAAGCAATCCTCCTACCCCAGCCTCTGAGTGGCTAGGACTACAGGCATGTGCCACCACACCCAGCTAATTAAAAACATTTTTTTTTTTTTTTTGTAGAGACAGGGGGTCTTACTATGTTGCCCAGACTGGTCTGGAACTCCCGGTCTCAGCGATCCTCCTACCTTGGCCTTCCAAAGTGCTGGAATTACAGGTGTAAGCCACTAGACCTGGCCCAGTAACAGCTTTATTAGATATAATTCACACACCATACAAATCACCCATTTAGTGTACAATTCAAGATCTAGTATATCCAGAGATATGTGCAACCAACACCACAGATAATAACATTTTCCTTACCTCAAAAACAAACCCTGCAGAGTCTCTCTGAGCCTACTGTGCCTCAGGAGACTGCCCAATTCGTTAAATAAAATAAAATAAAATAAAATAAAATAAAATAAAATAAAATAAAATAAAAAACCCCAAACTCAGGCTGGGCGTGGTGGCTCACACCTATAATCCCAGCACTTTGGGAGGCCAAGGCAGGTGGATCACCTGAAGTCAGGAGTTCAAGACCAGCCTGGCCAACATGGCAAAACACTGTCTCTACTAAAAATACAAAAATTAGCAGGGTCTGGTGGCCGGCGCCTATAATCCCAGCTACTTGGGAGGCTGAGGTGGGAGAATCGCTTGAAACTGGGAGGCAGTGGTTGTAGTGAGCCGAGATGGCGCCACTGCACTCCAGTCTGGGTGACAGAGCGAGACTCTGTCTCAAGAAAAACAAACAAAAAAAAAAACAAAACAAAAAAACCCCCAAACCCTGTATCCTTTCACTATTACCTCCAAACTCCTTCCCAGCCTCTAGGCAACCTCAAATTTACTTTCTGTCTCCATAGATTTGCCTATCCTAGACATTTCCTATAAATGGCATCATATAATATGCGGTCTTTTGTACTTGGCTTCTTTTCTTTTTCCTCGCTCTGTCACCCAGGCTGGAGTGCAGTAGCATGATCACAGCTCAAGTGATCCTCCCACCTCAGCCTCCTGAGTAGGTGGGACTACAGGGGTGCACCACCACATCCAGCTAATTTTTGTATTTTTTTGTAGAGATGGGGTTTCACCGTGTTGTCCAAGCTGGTCTTGAACTGCTGCACTCAAGTGATCCCTCGCCTCAGCCTCCCAAAGTGCTGGAGTCCCAGTCATGAGCCACCGTGCCCGGCCTGGCTTCTTTCATCTAGCATGATATTGTCAAGGTTCATCCGTGACAACATCATGTCCTGTGTGTCAGCACTTCATTCCTTTTTATTGCCGTATATTCCATTGTACAGATATACCATAATACATTTTGTTTATTCATCAGTTGATGGACATTTGGGTTGTTTCTGCCCTTTGGCTATTATGCATAATGCTGTTATGAACATTTGTCACAAGTGTTTCTGTACATATATGTTCTCATGGTTCTTATGTAGATACCTACAAGTGGAATGGCTGGGTTTTTTGTTTTTTTTTAATTTGAGACAGAGTCTTGCTCTGTTGTCCAGGCTGGAATGCAATGGCATGATCTCGGCTCACTGCAATCTCTGCCTGCCGGGTTCAAGCGATTCTCCTGCCTCAGCCTCCCAAGTAGCTGGGATTACAGGCGCGTGCCACCACGCCCAGCTAATTTTTGTGTATTTTTAGTAGAGACGGGGTTTCATCATGTTGGCCAGACTGGTCTCGAACTCCCGACCTCAGGTGATCCACCTGCCTTGGCGTCCCAAAATGCTGGGATTACAGGCATGAGCCACCGTGCCCGGCCCTATTTGTTCCTTAAGAGCCAGCTCCAGGCTGGGCATGGTGGTTCACGCCTGTAATCCCAGCATTTTGGGAGGCCAAGGCAGGTGGATCACCTGAGGTCAGGAGGTCCAGACCAGCCTGGCCAACATGGTGAAACCCCGTCCCTACTAAAAATGCAAAAATTAGCCGGGAGTGGTGGCGCCTGTAATCCCAGCTACTCAATTAAAATAAAAAAATAAAATAAAAAAAAAGCTTGAGTTGCTCAGTGGCCTTCCTGCATGTTCTTTTGCATAATGACTTTGGGATGCCTTGATTGCAGCAGGAAGCGATATCCTAGCATAATCAGTTGTGGTAGCTGCCTTTCTCCAACTGTGAGCCTCTGCAGGGAAGGCACCATTTCTCATCCCACACACAACGCTGAACTCAGGGTCAGGTACTCTAAATGTGCTGAATCTTAAGGACAGGCTTTCAGCCGGGCGTAGTGGCTCACGCCTGTAATCCCAGCACTTTGGGAGGCTGAGGTGGGCAGATCATGAGGTCAGGAGATCGAGACCATCCTGGCTAACAAGCTTTCTGGAGTCAGGAGGCTAGGAGACCATCATTCTTATTTTCAAAACATCATATGAGCAGGAAGGTATGAAAGGCCCCATCTGCCATCAGAGCTAATGACGTGCCCTCTGAGGCAGCCAACTCCCAACCACCCAACCAGTTCCCTTTTTCAGGGTCACGCTGATGACTTGAAACTTTTCCGTGTTCAAGCTGCCCTCCCTTGGCATGTGACAGAAAAAAGTAAAAACAGGACTCAATACCATCCCTTCAGAGGAAGGCTTTATTGTAACATAAAATACACAACTTTGTGACTGTAACTCTGCATAGGATATATTTCTTTTTTTTGAGGCAGAGTCAAATTTGAGGCCCCAAATTGTACACAATACTTTTTTTTGGTGGCTAAATAACTAATCTGCCTTGACACTAAAATATGTATCTGAAATAATTTCACCAAGTTTTAAAAAGAAAAATTATAAAAAGTATACTTTCATTTTAAGTTATATTCGATTTTAGTCTCCCCCTACCCCCTAGAAAAAACCTGCACATCTCACACACGGAGCTGAAACTTTTGAGGACTTGTGTGTGTCTGGGAGTGGGTGAGAGGCTGATGGGGTCGAGACACACCACTACCTTTATCTTGTGGTTTGCAGGAACAAGGAGGAGAGAGAAGATAGAACGCAGAGAGCGAGCACACCTTTCATCAAAAATCTCCACTCTCTAGGCACAGCCTCGGTAACACCGAGGACAGCTCACAACTGGACAAGCAGGGAAACCCCAGCTCAGGGAAGCCACACTCATCAGCTCTCTTCCTCCCCAACCCAGTGCCAACTGCAAAGTGAGCCAGGACGGCCTGGCTGCTCTGTCCTCAGCAGGCCCTGGGGTGGGTCCACTCCCAACCTGAAAGTGTATCAAGTCTGACCCCCCAACCAGGGTTGCTGGAACAGAGAGCGAGGTCTCAGAGGCAGGTGCTGGTGAAGCATCTCTGGGAGACGGGCAGGGAGTGACTCTACGAGCCTGGATCCCTGAGCAGGCAGGCTCTCCTTCTCACCCTTCCCCGATGCACCCATCCTCATGGTTGGAATTTTCATCAAATCTTGAGGGGTAGGGAGGGGCTGAGTGGGATGCGGGTAGCCTGCTCCTCAGAGGCAGAGAGACTCTACTGCCTGGCATAGAAAAATAAATCAGTGTATGAAACCAAGCCAAGGCAAACGGCAGCTTTAAAAAAGTCATCTTCCAATAAATAATTTACTATAGAGGAATATTTTTAACGGCAAAACACTGATAAATTCAGAAGTTATTTTTGTAAAAAAAATATGTTTATTTACTCTCATGTATAAAAATAAGGTTTTTGGGGCCATCCTCTCCTGGGGGTGCCCATGCCCTTCTTTTGGAGAGGGGGCCGAGGGGTGACCTTTTAGGCCTTACCCGTAAGCTATTTTAATACACCTGCTCACCCCCCTCTTCCTCCACTACCTGCTGTAGCCCATTCCTTCCTTCTGGTGTAAAGCTACAGAAGAAGTCGTGGAACAAAATTATACCGAGGCTTTTTTTGTTTTGTTTTATACTTTTATCAAACTCCCCAGCAAACTTGCTGACTGCATTTCCACACATTACCAACACCTGCCAGGACTTCACAGCAGGGTGACCCGCTAAGCAAGCTGGCCTAGGTTCAGCCCACACTGCTGCTACCTACTCTTCAAGACATTAGGTGTGAACAGAGAAGGGGAATGAGGTGACCTGGGTTTGAATGACCCAGGGCCCAATGCACAAGAGAGAATTTTGATGTCAAATTAGGGTGGCAAGGAGAAAACAAAAAAGATCCAACTTAGAAACAGAACCATGATTCAACATTTGCAAAAAGCATCATCAATAAGCCTGAAGAAGGCCACGGACTGTGCATCCGCTGGCTCAGAGAAAGGCTGGGCAGCCGGAACAGCAGCTTCCTGGGTAACCAGGCAACAATCTCAGCGCCTGGGAGTCAGGGCTGCGCACTCCACTCTGGCCAGAACACAAACGGCATTGGCACTGTAAGCTCTCAGTTACGTGGCCCTCTTTTCTCTCCTCTATTTCTCCAAACATATGTGCACACCCAGAGGAACTGAGTGGCAATTCCAGGGTGCGGGCGGGCAGGAGGGGAGAGAGGACAAAGAGAGAATAAGATGAGCTAAATGTTTTGTGAAAAGCCACCGCCCATCCGAAAGCTTGTGACTTCCCTTGCCCCAACAATCTTTGTAGGTTGCCCCTTTTCCCATTCCTACCCAAGAACACAGGGGTGGGGGAGAGGGAAGGCTCTCTTTGTCAAAAAGCAGTTATCTACATTTCAGAAGAAAAGCAGAGACAATCACGGTTATATATCAATTGCTTGGCAGACAGAGTGACGAAGACTCACTGGAGCACATGTGCTTTCTCCTCCCTTTGTCCTTCTCTTATTCAAACAGCCACATGTCAAAGTCCAGCCACTCTTAAGACACATGGCCAACTTCCAGGCTTCACGAAACTCACTGCCTTTTTGCACAAAGTAAAAACCACCACAGCTTCTGTCTGTGGCCCCTCTGCTACAACTAAACTCTCAGACAGTGAGAGGGAGAAACACCATAACGTGCAAACACGCACACACACACACACACACACACACACACAAACACATACTCGCACTCCCTTCGCTGGTGCCACCATGCACAGAAACACTAAGGTCACAACTAGTATTAACACTTCACATTATGAGTATTGTTTCAAAAGAGAAGCGATTCATGGAATTAAAACATCCACAAGAGTGATTCCTCTGGTGAAGATGAAGAAGCTGAAGATGGAGAGGTCGCGGGGTCACGATTGTGCGTGCGGGATCCACTGACTGTCCATTGGCCGGCCCAGGAGCTCCTCCACACGCCGCGCTACGTCCATTGTGTCCTCCAGATCGAAGTCCCCATCGGTGTCAAGGACTGAGTCAGGGCTTGGGAGGGAAAGAAGAGGGATGAAGGGAAGGGGAAAGCCTGCCAGAGACCACCCCAAGCCCCACAGGCCACCAGGGGAGCAGTCTGAGCCAGCCTATGCCCTCAGCCTGGGGCTTCATGGGAAAAGAACAACCATTCAAACAGCTGGCTGTACAGCAACTCAGACTGAAATACCCTCCCCTGTTACCTCTCACACCGGCTGTCCAGACACATCACAACTCCACTCAGTCCTTAGAGCAAGAAAAATCTCCATATTGAGAGAGGGGAACAGATGACATTTGCCCAACCCGACTCTAAACCACCAATCACTTCTGGTCAAATCTCTCCCTCCCAAAGGCCAGAGCCCGGGCCAGGGCTGTGTGGTCTCAGACCTAGAGGAGCTCTGGATTCCTTTGACCCCAGCCCTCCAGGGGTCCAGCCTGGGGCCAAGCCCCCAGTTCCTCCCCTGTGGACCCCCACAAGAATGCCACCTACTTCTGTGGGTACATGTTATAGTGAGCCTGGGGACACACAGCTGGGGAGGGGGCCTGGTCCATGTACGTGGCGCTGCCGCCCCCGGCATCTGCAGATGCGTTCACAAACCTGCAGAAGGAAGAGAACAGAGCTTCAGCTGCCAGGGAGGCCAGGGCAGCTGACTTGGGGAGGGGACCAAGGGGTATCTTTGTCTTTCTCAGGGTGTAGAAGGACAAAGTGCCCCACTCGGCCCTGGGGCTCCAGCTACAGGAGTGGGGCCTCAGGTACTGGCATAGCATCACCAAGCCCAGGTCCTTCCCCAGGGCTGAGACAGTTTCCCCGGGGGAGCGGAAAGCTGGGCCAGGATAAGGATGGGAGGCAGGGTCTGGGGGAGGAGGAAAGAGGCAGAAGGAGAGCCACAGCCACCTGGACACTTACTCAGGGACCACTTGCTTGATCTGTGGCTTCACGTATCCATCAACAGCTTTAGCTGCCAAGGGAAGAATGTAGTAAATCAAAGTTCTCAAGTGAAACAAAAATGTGATCTTCCTTATGAATCACATCTTTTCTTAGGACAGAACACAACCACCTAACTTATCTAAGGATATGACACAAGCACTTAATATTTTTTTGTTTTGTTTTTTGAAACAGTCTCACTCTCTCATCCAGGCTGGAGTACGGTGGTGCAATCTCGGCTCACTGCAGCCTCCGCCTCCCAGGTTCAAATGATTCCGATGCCTCAGCCTCCTGAGTAGCTGGATTACAGGTACACCACCACACTTTGGCTAATTTTTGTATTTTTAGTAGAGATGGGGTTTCACCATGTCACCCAGGCTGTTTTCTAACTCCTGACCTCAAGTTATCTGCCCACCTTGGCCCCCCAAGGTGCTGGGATTACAGGCATAAGCCACCGCACTTGGCCAAGCATTTAATATTTCAATCTGTTAGGAAGACCTGGTAGAGGAGAAGGTCAGCACTAAAACTGAAATTCAAGATATCTTCCAAATTGGCTTGGATGTTTCAATAAATTCTTCAAACCATGGAAACTATGTACTTCAATACAAATCTAAGTCAAGCACTAATTGCATACTAATTAAAAAAAAAAAAACACCTTGAAAAGCTTAAAGTCCAAGATGCAGCAGAGAGACAGGATTTGTTCTACCTGACCCAGGGGATAAAATCAGGACCAGGAGGGGCAGGTCATAAGAGGACAAATGTTCAGTCATGCAGGGAAGAATGTTCTAAGTAGAACTGCCAGGAAAAGAAATGATTTATCTTAGGAAGGACTGATTTCCTTGTCACTGGAGGTTTTCTTTTTTTTCTTTTTTGACAGAGTCTTACTCTGTTGCCCACACTGGAGTGCAGTGGTGCGATCTCAGCTCACTGCAACCTCTGCCTTCTGGGTTCAAGTGATTCTCATGCTTCAGCCTCCCGAGTAGCTGGGATTACAGGTGCGCACCACCATGCCCAGCTACTTTTTATATTTTTGGTAGAGATGGGGTTTCTCCATGTTGGTCAGGCTGGTCTCGAACCCCTGACCTCAAGTGATCCACCCGCCTTGGCCTCCCAAAGTGCTGAGATTACAGGTGTGAGCCACGGTGCCTGGCCATCACCGGAGGTTTTCAAGCAGGAGGTGCATACACGTCAGGGATCTAATGGAAAGGCCTAGGCACTGGAGAGCCGCTGATCTGATCTGATGATGTCTGAGGTTCCTCTAACTCTGAGTGTCTAGTCTTTCAGGAAAGGGAAGGCTACTTTTCCCAGCACCTGCACGCTCCTTCACGCCTGGTGTTTCTGCATTTGGGGTACTTTGATGTCACTAGTCCCAGTGAGTGCTGTTGGTGCCAAGAATGCGATGTGTCCTTTGCTTCCCACAGAATCCCCACTGGGATGTGGCAGATGAGCAGATAAACCTGCACGTGATCTGGTCAACCACAGTTACCTTTTCAGAAGGCTGACTATGGAAATCCAGGTAAGCAGGTGGTAAGAATGTGATTATCTGACATGGGAGAATGAAGTCTTGTTTCTGGGTACGTGAATATGGGAATCAGTACAAAGTTAATTATACTAGGCAAGGACGATCACACTATGATTATAGGACAAGGAGCTTGTCATTTAAGTAGCCCAAGAGGGTGAAACGCTGCAGGGTTCACCAATTGCTTATTACCCTAATCTTCTTCTAGGGCTTCAAGTGTCAGGAGCGACCTTTTCATAACATGTTTTTTGTGCTTTACAGTGTACAGAGTATTTTATAGATTGGCTAAGAAGTTAAAAACAAAGAAATGCTGCCAGAAATAGGATTTTATTTTTTTCTGAGACAGGGTCTTACTCTGTCACATAGGCTACAGTGCAATGGCACAATCATAGCTCATTGCAGCCTCAAATTCCTGGGCTCAACCAATCTTCCAGCCTCTGCCTTCTGAGTAGCTGGGACTACAGGCATGCGCCACCAAGCGCAGCTAACTTTTTCTTTTTTGTAGAGATGGAGTCTCACTATGTTGCCCAGGCTGGTCTCAAACTCCTAGGCTCAAGCAATCCTTCCTCCTCCGCCTTCTAATGTGCTGGAATTACAGGCATGAGCCACTGTGCCCAGGCCCAAATTATAAGTATCTTAAATAACCAACATGTAACTCACCATACAGTGGGATTGTATGCAGTCATCAAAATGAGGTTGGAAGATTACATTTACTGAGCTGTAACTCTGCATAGGATATATTTCTTTTTTTTGAGGCAGAGTCTCGCTCTGTTGCCCAGGCTGGAGTGCAGTGGTGTGATCTTGGCTCACTGCAACCTCCGCCTCCCGGGTTCAAGTGATTCTCTTGCCTCAGCCTCCTGAGTAGGTGGGATTACAGGTACCTGCCACCATGCCCGGCTAATTTTTGTATGTTTTTTAGTAGAGATGGGGTTTCACCATGTTGGCCAGGCTGGTCTCAAACTCCTGACCTCAAGTGATCCACCTGCCTTGGCCTCCCAAAGTGTTGGGATTACAGGCATGAGCCACCATGCCCAGCTACCTAGGATATATTTCCAAGTAAAAAAAAAAAGTCACAAAAAATTACATATGATATGGTCTAGACTCCAACCTTTCACCCTGAACTCCAAGGCTGGAGTGTCCTGACCTCAGTTCCTACCACTTATCTTCCCTGCTCAAGAGGCTCCAGCCTCCCTGGCCCTCCTGAGGCTTTCCAGACATGGCCATTCTCAACCCAGGATTTTTGTACTTGTTCTCTTGGCATACAATGTTTTTCTCTAGATCTTTGTATGGCTAGCTTCCTCACTTCATTCAGGTCTTTTCAAACATCACATCCTGGCTAGGTAGAGTGGCTCATGCCTATAATCCCAGAACCTTGGGGGACTGAGGAAGGAACATTGCTTGAGCCCAGGAATTTGAGACCAGTCTGGGAAACACAGCAAGACCCCATATCTATAAAAATAAAATAATTAACCAGGATTGGTGGTGCATGCCTGTAGTCCCAACTATGTGGGAGGCTGAGGTGGGAGGATCCCTTGAGTCTAGCAGTTTGAGACTGCAGTGAGCAATGTACTCCAGCCTGGGCAACAAAGTGAGACCCCATCTCAAACAAACAAACAAACAAAACAACAACAAAAAAAACAAACATGTCCTCAGAGAAACCCTCCTTGACCACTCTAGTAAAATAACACCTCCACTCTCCTCCCTGCCACTTCTCTATCCCTCTACCTTGCTTTATTTGTCTTCAGGGCGCCCATCACTAAATTAATATATTTGTGTTTTGTTTGTTTTTGAGATGGAGTCTCGCTCTGTCACCAGACTGGAATGCAGTGGCATAGTCTCGGCTCACTGCAACTTCTGCCTCCCTGGTTCAAGCAATTCTCCTGCCTCCCTGGTTCAAGCGATTCTCCTGCCTCAGTCTCCCAAGTAGCTGGAATTACAGGCGCCCACCACCACACCTGACTACTTTTTGTATTTTTAGTAGAGATGGGGTTTCACCATGTTGGCCAGGCTGGTTTCAAACTCCTGACCTCAGGTGATATGCCTGCCTCGGCCTCCCAAAAGTCTGGGATTACAGGCATGAGCCACCGCGCCCGGCCTGAATATGTTTCCTTGTTTATGGTCTTCGTTCTGCTGCTAGATAACCTCCACACAGGAAGTTCAAGCAACGGGTGATGCAATGTATAATACATATCTATATATAGAGTGCAAGAATAGTCACTAAATCATCCATAGAGGTTAATCTCTAGATGAGAGATGTTGTGTGGTATCTGTTTTTTTGTTTTCTTTTCTTTTGTTTTTGAGACAGAGTTTCACTCTTGTTGCCCAGGCTGGAGTGCAATGGCACGATTTCAGCTCACCACAACTTCCACCTCTCGGGTTCAAGCAATTCTCCTGCCTCAGCCTTCCCGAGTAGCTGGGATTACAGGCATGCGCCACCATGCCAGGCTAATTTTGTATTTTCAGTAGAGGTGGGGTTTCTCCACGTTGGTCAGGCTGGTCTTGAACTCCCGACCTCAGGTGATCTGCCTGCCTCAGCCTCCCAAAGTGCTGGGATTATAGGTGTGAGCCACCACGCCCGACCTTCCTTTTTTTTTTTTTTTTGAGACTGAGTCTCACCCTATTGCCCAGGCTGGAGTGTGGTGGCGTGGTCTCAGCTCACTGCAATCTCCACCTCCTGGGTTCAAGTGATTCTCATGCCTCAGCCTCCCGAGTACCTGCGATTACAAGTGCCTGCCACCACACCTAATTTTTGTATTTTTTGTAGAGATAGGGTTTCACCATGTTGGCCAGGCTGGTCTGGAACTCCTGACCTCAAATGATCCGCCTGCCTTGGCCTCCCAAAGTTCTGGGATTACAGGCATGACCCACCGTACCCAGCCTGTTTTCTTTTTTATGCCTTTATGTGTCTTCTGAAAATTTTATAATAAATATGTAATACTTCTAAACTCAGAAAGCAATAAAACCATCTCTGTCATGAAAAACAAAATTTTACCTAATTTTGTTTGATCTAAGCTTGTATTAAAAAGAATTTGTTTTCTTCAATTTGATATTTGGGGTTAGTGGTAGATGTGTTTTCTGTATGACTGAAGAATCCAGCCCAAGGTTTACATCTGCCCTGGAAAATGCTCAAACTGCTCTCACTGAATGGTAATTGTGTGGGTTTTCACACAAGAGAGATAACACACGCAGGTATGCACACACACACACACACACACACACACACACACACACAACAAAATCAAATCAGAATGCGAACATTGTTACCAGTAGCAGACTCGCAGGGAACTGGTGTGTAGTATTTGGAGTATACTTCATCTTTTGGCCGATCAGGAAACACGTAGATAAGGTAATTCAAGTCTCCCAAGCGGTCGGCTAGGGACCGAATGGAGAAGTCTCTGGTGGTAAAAGGCATCAGATTCCAAAACATTCTTTCCTCTAGATCAATAAACAGAACAATCACATTCTAAACATGATTTCTGAATTAGGAAATCTTAAAACCCCAACATACTATAAATTCAAGCTTGCCATTATAATGGCTCCAATAGAAATCTCCATTTAAAAATAACCATGGGTTATAGATGAAATACTTTTATTTATTTACTTACTTACTTACTTATTTTGAGACGGAGTCTCACTCTGTTACCAGGTTGGAGTGCAGTGGTGCGATCTTGGCTCACTGCAACCTCCAACTCCCTGGTTCAAGCGATTCTCCTGCCTCAGCCTCCCAAGTAGCTGGGATTACAGGCACGCGCCACCACACCTGGCTAATTTTGTATTTTTAGTAGAGATGGAGTTTCCCTATGTCAGCCAGGATGGTCTTGATCTCCTGACCTCATGATCCACCCACCTCAGCCTCCCAAAGTGCTGGGATTACAGGCGTGAGCCACCGTGCCCGGCCTGAAATAGTTTTAAAAGCCATGGGTAGGGGCCAGGCATGTTGGCTCATGCCTGTAATCCCACACTTTTGGAGGCCTAGGCAGGTGGATCACCTGAGGTCAGGAGTTCAAGACCAGCCTGGCTAACATGATGAACCCTGTCTCTACTAAAAATACAAAAATCAGCCAAGTGTGGTGGCACTCATCCGTAGTCCCAGGTACTATGCTGAGGTAGGAGAATGGCTTGAAGCTGGGAGGTGGAGGTTGCAGTGAGCTGAGATCATGACACTGCACTCCAGCCTGGGTGACAGAGACCCCATCTCAAAAATAAATAAATAAATAAATAAATAAAAATAAAAGCCATGGGTAGATAAGCAGGTAATACAAAAATCACTTCCCAAGAGATCCAATGATCTCAGACGTTTCAAGTTCAAACAGTATTCTAGCCCTCAGTAGAAGAAACAGTTTTTACTGGCCCCCAATCCCTGATTTCCCATACAAAGATATATAAAAGCTAGGAAGCATGCCCACAACCAGAGAAAGCATAAGAGCTATTAAAAGTGATGAATTTTTTTTTTTTCGAGATGGAGTCTTGCTCTGTTGCCCAGGCTGGAGTGCAGTGGCGCGATCTCGGCTCACTGCAAGCTCCGCCTCCCGGGTTCACGCCATTCTCCTGCCTCAGCCTCCCAAGTAGCTGGGACTACAGGTGCCCACAACTACACCCGGCTAATTTTTTTGTGTTTTTAGTAGAGACGGGGGTTTCACTGTGATGGCCAGGATGGTCTCGATCTCCTGACCTCATGATCCGCCTGCCTTGGCCTCCCAAAGTGCTGGGATTACAGGCGTGAGCCACCGCACCCAGCCTTTTTTTTTTTTTCTTTTAAGAGACAGGGTCTTACTCTGTTGCCCAGGCTGGAGTACAGTGATGTGATCATGACTCACTGTAACCTTGAACTCCCAGGGTCAAGTGATCATCCCACCTCACCCTCCAGAGTAGCTGGGACTACAGGCGCACACCATGAGCACCACCATGCCCACCTAATTAACTTATTTATTTATTTATTTACTTAGAGACAGGGTCTTACTATGTTGCCCAAGCTGGGCTTGAACTCCTGGCCTCAAGAGATCCTCCTGCCTGAGGCTCCCAAAGTGCTGGGATTACAGGCATGAGCCACCGCACCCAGCCAAAAGTTATTAAAAACTTTAATTCACAGAAAATGAACCAGCAAGCTACCCTTATTGTGAGGGTCAGAGGAGAGAACTAACTTTCCTGATGCCCTGGTGCAGTGGCTCAAGCCCGTAATCCCAATACTTTGGGAAGCCAAAGTGGGGGATTGTTTGAGCCCAGGAGTTCGAGACCAGCCTGGGCAACATACAAAAAATTTAAAAATTAGATGGGTGTGGTGGTGCACGTCTGTGGTCCCAGCTAATCGGGAGGCTAAGGGAGGAGGACTGCTTGAGGCCAGGAGGTCAAGGCTGCAGTGAGCCATGTTTGTGCCGCTGCACTCCAGCCCGGGCAAAAGAGTGAGACCCTGTTTCAAAAAAAGAAAAGAACTAACATCTTGGGTAGAAATGGTTGATGGCAATATCCATATGTTAATTAGGATAAAGGAATATTTTTACTACTGTAAGAACTCCAAATCATCAAATTCTTCACTGAAATAAGCTTTATGCAGAGTAGTACAATAAGGCAAACATTTTAAGAGGGAAGCAACTGAGATTCTGCACGGACTCTTGTATCATAGGTAGCCATGTCATGGTTAAATGTTCATGTGTAACCATGCTGCCATATACTTTCATGTATAACCAAATTAGCAATTGTGTTTCCCATAATAGTATTTTTCATAGGCTGCCTTATTATGAGTATGTCATGGCTATACATTTATGTTTCCCATAATTAGTACTGACCTCAACAAATAGTAAGTACCCACTAAATTATTTGTTAAAATAATTTTGTAACGAAAGCAGCTAACTTTGGACATAAGAAGGGAGGGGCACTCACGAGAATCAAACTTCCAAGCAATGGTGATGCCGCCAATTTCTGAGTCACTGAATCTCAGGAGGAAGGTCCCATCTGGCTTGTTAATGAGTAGGTCATGGGCCTGTTGCTTGTTTACAAACCCCAAAATGGCCCTGGATCACCAAGGACAAAGGACAGAAGCAGAGTGTGACTTACGATGCCAGAGAGAAGACCTTCAGACTCTGTCGGCGCCTTAAGAAATAATGATTCTCACCCATCATTCCAATGAGGCTTGAGATGTTTTTTTAACACTTCCATCACACCGTCAAACCATTGCCAGAAAGTGTAATTCCGTCCTGGTAAATTCTCCTGGTTGGAGATACAACAGTGAACATAAGAACACCAGAGTAACACTTGGAATATTATACACATATTTAATTGGAAAAATTAAATGGGAAACAAACATCTACCCTTGTCAGAGGCATACAAATATCCCCGCCTACCTGAGTTTTACCTAATGGCCCCATGGAGAGGAAAAGAGGGAAGAAGGGGAAAATACCAAACTGCAGTTACCAGCACCCAGTGGGCTCCTGCTACAGACACTTTCACCTGGGACTGGGCTGACCCGTCCCTTGCTAGTTTCGATGTGTGGTCTGTGACCAGAAGCATCAGTGTCACCTGGGAGCTTCTGAGAAATGCACGTTGTTAGGCTCCAAATTAAACATTTAAAACACCTTGGGGGTGGGGGGTGTAGGAAAAGAAACAAAAATTAAATTCAAATCAAGGTGATAGCCGGGCATGGTGGCTCACGTCTGTAATCCCAGCACTTTGGGAGGCTGAGGTAGGCAGATCACTTGAGGTCAGGAGTTTGAGACCATCCTGGCCAACATGGTGAAACCCCGTCTCTACTAAAAATACAAAAATTGGCTGGACATGGTGGCGGGTGCCTGTAATCCCGGCTACTCAGGAGGCTGAGACAGGAGAATCACTTGAATCTGGGAGACGGAGGTTGCAGTGAGCCCAGAATGTACCACTGCACTCCTTGTGACAGAGCGAGACACCATCTCAAAAATAAATAAATAAACAAAAATAAATAGGGTGGGCACAGTGGACTCACGCCTGTAATCCCAGCACTTTGGGAGGCCGAGGCGGGCAGATCACCTGAGGTCGGGAGTTCGAGACCAGCCTGACCAACATGGAGAAACCCCGTCTCCACTAAAAATACAAAATTGCGGGGCGTGGTGCCGCATGCCTGTAATCCCAGCTACTCGGGAGGCTGAGGCAGGAGAATCGCTTGAAACCAGGAGGCGGCGGTTGCGGTGAGCCAAGATCGTGCCATTGCAGTCCAGCCTGGGCAACAAGAGCGAAACTCTGTCTCAAAAAAAAAAAATGAATAAAAATAAAATCAAAGTGACGTCTGAATTAGCAGATGCTAGAGGAGGAGTTTCTTTCATCAGCATCCCTCTTTGTGGGTTGAGGGTCCCATAGGAGCCTGATCTGGCATTACACATGGGGAACATAAGAGAGTAAAGGGGAGAGAGGCCCAGAGTTCGCATCCCCTCAAAAGCTTTGCTTCTCATGAGCTATGTTAACATCTGCTTTGCTCTATTTCCTTTACAAAGGAAGAAAATGCATTAACTGTAGACAAAGGTCAACTTATTTAAAATATGCAAAGATGTAATTTTCTACACGTGACCTGGGTAACTCTCAAGTTGTCCATCTAGTCAGAAGCTTCTATTACTTTCGGTACATTTTATTAGAGACATGAAGAATAAGGGCCCAGGGCAGGGAGACTCCTGAGAGCATCTGGTTGGGAAGGACTGATCTAACAGCGGCTGGCAGCTGGGCTCCTCACCCTGTTGAACTGGGACCAGGACACAGACAGGCCACTGTAGTCCTCCAGGTGGCTGCTGCTGTTGTTGAACAGTTTCTGCGCCAGGAACACGAGGTTCTCCTTGGTCAGGCCCCGGTTGCTCTGCACTTCGGCCTTGAATTTCATGTTGAGCGCCTCACACAGCTGTGGCCACAGCACTTTGTCAGGCACGGCAAATGGCACCCTGCCCTGAGAGGGAGAGAGGCCAGAATCTGATGAGAAAACAGTTGCATGATTTATTCCCTCAAGCCACAAAAGAAAAACGCTGATGGCTGGGAGTGGTTACACACATTTGTCTTGCAGGGCCTGAGGATAAATTCAGACTCTGCTGGGGTACACGGTTCTGTGAAATTCAGAAGGTTCCGTTTCACCTTCTTTACACACAACTAGAAGGTAACCCATGCTATCCATGCTGTTTTGTAAATGAGCTGCTGAACTAACAGTCAAATCCTATGTTCTAACGGCCACAAACCAAAACATAACCAAGGTCTGGCTCTTAGATTGTAAACACCTTGGGAATTTAGAAATCTGAAAGACTGGTCCTCTAGGTACAAACAGAGAGAGTGTGCGTATGTGTGCACACGTGTCGGCATGTGTGTACACACGTGGAATCATTGCCCTCGACTCCTTCTGCCAAGAATTCTAGCTCAAAGTAAAACAACTTGGTATGGAAGAGTGGAAATTTTGAGTTGGATGGCTTTATTGAGAAATAGGTTAGAAGATTAACTTTTAATAAACTGCTTTTCAACCCGTTCAGCCATAGTACTCCATTTTATTTTGTTACAAACACTTTTTTCAATAGGTGATTTTCACATGATTTAAAATTCAAAAAGCACAGACGGCTACACAGTGAAGTCACTCCCTATCCCTGTCTCCCAGCAACCCAGTTCTTTTCTTTAAAGGCACCTAACACAGTTTCTTGTGTATCCCACCAAAGATATTCTATGCATGCCAGCAATGACATATACCTTTTCCTTTTCTTCACAAATGACAGCACAAAATCCACATGTTCTGCATCTTCCTCTTTTCACTTAATCCTCTATCTGGGAGACCTCCCATCAGCACATAAAGAAATTTCACCAGACCCCCATAGATGGGCATCAGTGTTACAGCCTCATCTTTAGCTATTACTAACAATGCTGCAATGTTCTTATGTTATTTGACCCACAGGACACATAGGCAAATATATATGGAGAATAAATTTCCACAATTATTTTTTTTTTTAGGTAAGGTCTCGCTCTGTCATCCAGGCTGGAGTACAGTGGCCCAATCTTGGCTCATTGCAACTTCTGCCTCCTTAGCTCAAGTAATTATCCTACCTCAGCCTCCCAAACAGCTGGGACTACAGGCGTGCACCACCATGCCTGGCTAATTTGTGTGTTTTTTGTAGAGACAGGGTTTTGCTATGTTGACAAGGCTGGCCTCAAATTCCTGGGCTCAAGAGATCCGCTTGCCTTGGCCTCCCAAAGTGCTGGGATTGCAGGCATAAACCACTGTGCCTGGCCACAAGTCTTTATTATTTATTTTTTATTTTTTATTTTTTTGAGACAGAGTCTCACTGTGTTGCCCAGGCTGGAGTGCAGTGGCACCATCTCAGGTCACTACAACCTCTGCCTCCCAGGTTCAAGCAATTCTCCTGCCTCAGCCTCCCGAGTAGCTGGGATCATAGGCACGCACCACCACGCCCAGCTAATTTTTGTATTTTTAGTAGAGATGAGAGTCTCACCATGTTGGCCAAGCTGGTCTCGAATTCCTGACCTCAAATGATCCACCCACCTCGGCCTCCCAAAGTGCTGGGATTACAGGTGTGAGCCACCGTGCCCAGCTGAAAGTCTTTTTTTTAACATAGCATAAGGTCGGCTGGGTGCAGTGGCTCATGCCTATAATCCCAGCACTTTGGGAGGCCGAGGTGGGTGGATCACTTGAGGTCAAGAATTCGAGACCAGCCTGGCCAACATGGTGAGACCTGGTCTCTACTAAAAATATAAAAAATTAATTGGGCGTGGTGGCATGCACCTGTAATCCCAGCTTCTCGGGAGGCTGAGGCAGGAGAATCGCTTGAATCCAGAAGGCAGAAGCTGCAGTGAGCCGAGATAATGCCACTGTACTCCAGCCTGGGTGACAGAGCAAGACTCTGTCTCAAAAAAATTAAAAAAAAAAAAATAGCATAAGATGTAAGTAGTCATTAACATAGCTGAGAATGTTAAAAATGCTTATTTATTTAGACAAGATACTTGAGTAATTACATGGTGCAGGAGATGCCAAAGGTACACAGAGAGTGAGATCTGTGGACAGGCAGGGAAGGAAACAAGAGATGTGGCAATCTTATCTAGGAGGCTTATCAGGACAAGAGGCAGACAGACAGTTTCAAAAAGGAGCTTCTGATTCAGAGTTTGTAAGTGAAGTATGGTAAATCTCTTAAAAATCTCACCTTTGCAGTAAAATACTTTTTCTCTAAAGAGGAGTGTTGGGAAACGTTAAGCCTCTCCACGTGAGCCAGAAGGTTCCATTTCACCTTCTTTACACACAACTGGAAGGTAACCCATGCTGTCCATGCTGTTTTGTAAATGAGCTGTTGAACTAACAGTCAAATCCTATATTCTAACAGCCACAAAACAAAACATAATCAAGGTTTGTTGGATATACTTAGAGAAGGACATGCTCTTATGTCCCAAATGATAACCCTTTTATCATGCTTTTATGGACTAATCTCTATTGGAAATATGTAACAAATGACCTTTGCCTACTAAAAAAATTTTTTTCTTTGAGACAGGGTGTCGCTTTGTCACCCAGGCTGGAGTACAGTGGCACAATCTTGGCTCACTGCAGCCTGGACCTCCTGGGCTCAGGCGATCCTCCCGCCTCAGCCCCCCCCAAGTAGCTGGGACTAGAGGCTGGTGTACCATGCCTGGCTAATTTTTTGGTATTTTTTGTAGAGACAGGATTTTGCTATGCTGCCTAGGCTAGTCTGGAGCTCAAGGGATCTGCCTGCCTTGGCCTCCTGGAGTGCTGGGATTATAGGCATGAGCCACCGCACCCAGCCTATGAGATCTTTAAAATGCTCATCGAGCAGCATGCTAGTGGGATTCAGATAGCGTTTGGGTGCATAAATCCACCAAATTATATCTTCCTTGAGGCAAAGTATCTCATTCTTCATGAGACCTAGAATGAATCACAGAAACTAAAATTTGGAAAAGACATTTAACAGCATCTTCATTTATTGAAAGGAAGAGGGTATGAAGCAACTTCTATGCTAAAGTAAGCCTCTGGAGAGATCTAACCTCTGGAGTGAACCTAGGAGTCCCAAATCCCATTCATAGTTTCACCCAAGGATTCAAAATAATATTTACTGAGTACTGACTGTGTGGCAAGCATTTTCTATGTTATCTAATTTAATCTTCCTAACAATGCTGTAGAGCAAGAGTATCCCTGTGCTGCAGACACTTGCTGGAAACTCAGGCTCAGAGAGGTAAAGTGAACTGCCCATGTGGTCATGGAGTGAGGAAATGGTGGAGTCTCAGTTCAAACCCTGGCCCGATGTCAAGCCCATGTTCTTTCCACTTTCCACATTCTTTCTATTCTGCCTCCCACTAAAGAAAACAGCGTCTTTTTTCCTATGCTTTTTTTTTATTATTGAGATGGAGTCTCACTCTGTCACCCAGGCTGGAGTGCAGTGGTGCGATCTCGGCTCACTGCAACCTCTGCCGCTCGGGTTCAAGTGATTGTCGTGCCTCAGCCTCCCAAGTAGCTGGGACTACAGGCATGTGCCACCACACCCAGCTAATTTTTCGGTATTTTTTAATAGAAACAGGATTTTGCTATGTTGGCCAGGCTGGTCTCGAACTCCTGACCTCAGGTGATCCAACCGCCTCGGCCTCCCAAAGTGCTGGGATTACAAGTGTGAGTCACTGCACCCGGCCTTTTCCTATGCTTTTTAAAAGGATAATACATAAATGAGATTCATGACACCGGCATTGATTTTGGGACCCACATGCCCGAGGAATACACTCACAGGCTCTGCAAAAGCATTGTCCCAGAGAACAGTGGCCGTCGCATTGTTGTCCTGGCTGCCATGAACGATCACCACCACTGGCAGGGACAGGGTCTAAAAAGACACAAGAGAAGGCTGAGCGCCCACGAGCCTCAAGTTCTTCTCCTTCTCTCTTTTTTTTTTTTCTTATTATAACAACACTTTTATTTTCCAAGTTTCAGTTAATGTTCCTCTCAGACACAGAATCTAAATGGCCCCAGGAATAATATGACTTTTCATACTGGCACAATCTTAGAAATTTTAAATATTTTACAAGCAATGTTGCTTAGATATTTCTGAAGGATAAAGTTTCTCAAAGTTACATGGAGAACAGGAGAGAGAAAAGACTATTGGAGATATTTCTGGGAAGAAAATACAAATAACAAATTTAAAACTTACCACAACCTTTACTCAAATTCATCCCAAGTAATGTTTCTCATATCCATTTTGTAGTCTACCTCTCCAGCTAGTTCAGTTCATTATTGTTTGTTCATGTTTTATTTTTTATTTTTTAATTTGTTGTTGTTGTTGAGACGGGGTCTCACAACCAGCTCCAGGCTGGTCTGGAACTCCTGAACTCAAGCAATCCTCCTGCCTTGGCCTCCCAAAGTGTTAGGATTACAGATGTGAGCCACTGCACTGGGCCTTGCTTGTTCATGTCTTTTTTTTTTTTTTTTGAGACAGGGTCTCACTCTTTCACCCAGGCTGGAGTGCAGTGGCACAATCTCGGTTCATTACAACCTCAGCCTCCCAGGTTCAAGTGATTCTCCTGAGTAGCTGGGATTATAGGCACGTGCCACCACGCCTGGCTAATTTTTGTACTTTTTAGTAGAGATGGGGTTTCACTGTGTTAGCCAGGCTGGTCTTGAACTCTTGACCTCAAGTGACCTGACTGCCTCAACCTACCAAAGTGCTGGGATTACAAGCATGAGCCACTGTGCTTGGCCTCTGTTCATGTCTTAAGAGAACCTAAGTGAAACAGTTCTCAGGGTGAGGTCAGTCCATTTTCAGTTTACCAACAGTCAAAAAGAAGAAGATGCTATGTGATAAAAAAAAAATATTTTGTAACATAAAGTACACCACACACACACACGCACACGCACACGCAGAGCTGAGGGAAGGCTTTACCTTGACTTGAAAAACCAGCTCATTTCCACCAACACTGAACTGGGATTCAAACAGGATTGTAAATTTTTCTTCTGTCACCGACTCTGCCCCACGACGGTCTGACCTCTTAATTCGTTTCAGGGACTACAAAGAAGAAACATAAGATGAAACGTAAGATATAAGTTGTTCCCCTCAAAGACCAGGGAAAAATTCATTCTTCCTCTTCTTCCACCCTCACCATATTCCTGAAGTGGGCACTAAGGGTGCCTGTGGCTTGGTGGTACTCCATGACGCAGCAGTTGTTCAAGATCTCGCCACTGTAATCACTGCAAATCAGAGAGAGACCAGCTCCAAACCCATGCCAGGGTCTCAGGACATGCGGAGTAAATAATATAATTTGGGGTAGCAGGAAATAGAGAAGTTTGCTAAAAATGTACGTCATTTAGAGGAAATGTTAGCTACATAACACATACATGTAATCTTCTCGGACGTATCTCTACAAAATGAAACAAGATCAAACTATCTTCACAGAAAACAGTTCCTAAGAGAACTTTTTTTTTTTTTTTTGTGACGGAGTTTTGCTCTTGTTGCCCAGGCTGGAGTGCAGTGGCGTGATCTCAGCTCACTGCAATCTCAGCTCACTGCAATCTCTGCCTCCCAGGTTCAAGGGATTCTCCTGCCTCAGGCTCTCTAGTGGCTGGGATTACAGGTGCCTGCCACCACGCCCGGCTAATTTTTTGTATTTTTAGTAGAGACAGGGTTTCACCATGTTGGCCAGGCTGGTCTTGAACTCCTGACCTCAGGTGATCTGCCCACCTCGGCCTCTTAAAGTGCTTGGATTACAGGTGTGAGCCACCACACCAGGCCCAAGAACTTCCTTATATTCCTTTGCTGATGCCCAGAAGAGGCCAGAAGGGCAAACAGGGATCTGACACAGGAGGCAGAATTCTTTTTTTCCTGTTGCCAGGACATGAGACAAGTAGCAGGGAATGAGAGGAAGCTGCACAATTACTTGCGGGTGTTCTCGTTCTTGAGCAGAGACTTGGCCTGCTGCTCACTGATGATGGTGGCCTTCACCTGGGGGGGGTTCATGTGCACGTTCAGCTTCCCGCCCACCAGCAGGCGCACAGTGGCTGCAAACTTGGTCTGGGTCTTCAGGACCTGAGGAGGCTGCTTCTCAATGATGAACGTGCTGCAGGGGACACAGGGACAGATGCATGATGAGGGGCTGGTGCAGGGGAAAGGGCTCTCAGTCCCTCTGTGGTGGGGGTGGGGCTGCCTCCCGAGGGGCTCAGGAGGTGAAGAGCTCGGGCACAGCCTCTGTTCCTGGGGAAGCCGTGAGAGTCCAGGGAGAGGATGGAGAGGGGAGTGAGATAACACAGAAGCTGGCATGGGCTGCAGCCCAAGGGCATCTCTTGCAGTGTCCACAGGAGAAACTGGGCAAGGGCCACAGCAACTGGAGATGGAGTTGGGAGGGATGAGAGGCAGGAAGTGGATCTGCTGGTCTGGAAGGCACCTGCGGCTCCCCCCACGCAGGCAGGAGCTGCCCCAAGCTCCTGGGCATGGCAAACAGGCAGCAGTCACCTGGTCACCAGGGCTGAGATAATGTCCGTGATGGTGGCGTTGACCTCGGCCAGCATCTCCTCCACTGGGCCGGGGATGGGCAGCTGCTGGCAGAGGTGCTCAGCCCTGCGGATCTGCTGCCGGTTCTGCCAGATGATCTCGGCCAACTTCTCACACCTGCACGAGAGCCCCAAGGCCAACAGGAGGACAATGGCTCCTCCGCACAGACGCCAGGCCCCAAGACACAGCTCCCGTTCCCCCAGGAAGGCTCTGTGCTTTCGCCACACTTCCCACCCATGGGAAGAGCAGAGCTCCCTGCCTCCCAGAATTAGAGACGTACACAGGAGGGGCGACCCTGACTAGGCCCAAACAGCCCAAGCATCACCCCACACACCCGAACCCTGTCCCATCTCCAGGACAGCAGCCCCCTTCCTGGGGGAGGTGCACAGGATGGGGGCCAAAGTCTGATTGAGGAACCAGGCTCCCTGGAGAAACAAGAGCTGTCCCAGGATGGAGGGGGCCTGCTGCAGGAGCCAGCACAGGACGCAGAAGCAGCCGGGATCCCCACCAGCCCCTCCTGCCCTGCCCGCTGGCCGCCCCACACCATTACCAGGACTGTAGCACGTCCAGGCTGCCCTCGGGGGGCCCGCCGTTCCCGGCCAGCTGCTGCCGCCGCTTCCACTGGATCAGCTCGTCATCCAGGATGATGGTCTGCTGCTTCCGCAGCAGCTGCAGGGTCTTCTGGTGCTTCTCGGCCAGCTCCTGAGGGAAGGGAGGAGAGCAGCCCCTTCTGGGCTCCCAGAGAACACCGCAGGGCCTCGCTGGGAAATGGCAGGGCAGGGCCCAGGCCGTTCCCTCTCCCCAAGCTGCTCTGCCTCGCAAGGCCCCCAGGAAAAAAGGCCTCCTGCCCTCCCAGGTTCTGCTCTCATGCTGGTCCCAGCCCTCCCTCGGGTCCCCAGAGACTGACTTCATGGCACCCACGCCCAGGAGAGGCCCAGGACCCCACTCACCACGCGGTACTGCTGCAGTGTCTGTGCCTCACGCTGCAACCAGGCCTCCAGAGACACCTGCTTCTGCTGGAGGGCCGTCTCCCGGCTCAGACGCTCCTGGGGGCTCAGCTGGGCCAGCGGGCCAAACTGAGCTAGAGGAGGGGAGAGGAAACCATGACCATCACCTCCCAGTGTCCAACAGGAGGCCCAGAGAAGCCCACTCACCCGTTCTGGAGCGAGACCCTCCTGGGCTCAGATACTGCATTAAGGGCAAGTCGGGGTTCCTGACAGCCAGGGGGGCCAAGATGAATGGGTGCCCCAGGAGGCGCCTCTGGGCCCTGCTCGCCAGCCTCCTGACTCTGAGCCGTCCCCTCTGGGGGCACACGGGTGCTGGGGCAGCTGGGGAGGAGGCCTGCCTGCCTCCTGCCCGCCTGCCTCACAGGGCTGCCAGCCCTCTTCTCGCGGCCCAGCATGGGTCCAGGCTGTCTGGGGTGTAAGTGTGCCCATGCCCTTGACTGCAGGTGAACCTGGGCAAATCGCTTTCCTTTCCTGTGCCTTGGCTTCCCCACGTGTAAAACGGGAGATTCTCGGCACCTGCCTCAGTGGGGTGCATTAAGATTAAATACATGAGGACATGGAAGATGCCAGAAAGCTGCCTGACATGGGTGAGCTCTGTGTGAGGTTCGTGCTTCTTGGTTAACGGGGAACAGGACAGAGAGAAGAGGTGACAGAGACAAGCAGCTGCTCGGCCCCATCCCTCCCGCAGCAAGGCCTCTTCAGGGAAACCCAGCCCCGGCGGCTCTGTCTAGTCCCTGAGCACAGCAATCCCTCCTCAGGGGAGGATGAGATTCTTGAGAGGCTGGAAGGGGCCCAGCATGTTTGTCCAGGTGAGCTCACTGTGAACCCAGCCAACCAACCAGGGAACACGGACAGACAGACAGACCGCAGAGGGAGAGCATGTCCAGGGCCACTGGGGATGCAGAGCCACCAAGATTCTCTCAGGAAAGGGAGGCCGAAGGGAGGCGGCTTCCCTCCACACCATCTGTGAGGAGTCTCATTGATGGCGGGACAGGGAGTAAGTTAGGCCTCATTACCTTTTAAAAATTATTATGAAATAGGTAAGACACAGGGAACGTGGAACACAGGAGCACCTGTGTATCAATAACCCAGGCTAAGAAAGTAAACATGTCCACAGTTACAACCACCACCGCAGGCCCACCCCACCCTCCCAGCGACAGCCCGTCTCCACCACACTGGGACTATTAATCCCTTCCCATCACCTTCTCAACAGCCCAGAGTCCTTGCTTGAGCTGAGTCAGAAGATGCGCGCACCAGCATGTCTTGGTCGAGCTCCTGGCTGGCCCCTGAGGGCCACGTCACTCTGACCCCAGCCCTGACCCATGGGATGCACAAGCTGGGACAGACAAAAGCAACTCTATGTAGCCAGGAACAGCCCAGAGCTAGAACTCAGAAATATGGCTCCAATCTCACTGCAGGTATCGAGCAGGAAGAGGATCATCCAGGGACGGACAGATCCAAGGTATCTGCACGGCTACCTCAGGAATCCTGCCCAGCCACAGGGAGGGTGGTGGTGATCCCAACACCTGGGCCCAGCCTTCCTATGCAAGGGACCCACTTAGGGCTCTCCTGGAAATTTGCAGAAGCTTTTGGGAAGGAGGCCAGGGAGACGGGAAGCAATTTCCCTACTCCACTGGAGGCAGCTGAGCCTTCCCTGGCAAAAGCAGATCAATAGTCTGTGTTTCTGCTGAGTGAACTTGACAAATGGGACTGAGAAGACACTGCGTGATAGATCCAAACCCAACCTGAATCCAAACCTAATCCGCCACCATGCACAGGAAACAGAAAAGCCAGGCACGGGATCAGAAATACTGTTGACAGTCTAAGGACTTGGGTAGGAATAGCCATCCCAAATCTTCCGTTTCCATTCTCTGAAGGAGCTGCCCTTCTTCTAGGGCCAGTCTAGGATGGATTCAGATAAAAAAGGAAGACAGGCTAGAATCATCCTGTCAACCTTTACTCAATAACTGTTATGTTTCAGGCATTGTGCTGGCCTCAGGGTACAGAGATAAAAGATATAGTCCCTTCTCAAAGATTTATATTCCAGTGGAGAAGATAAAGAGTAAATAAGTAGTATCACTATAGACATAAAATGGAACCTACATACATGGAATTAGAGGAGCATGTGCTGTGTGTGTGTGTGTGTGCTGTGTGTCTATGTGTGTGTGGTGTGTATGTGTGGTGTGTGTGTGTGCTATGTGTGGTGTGTGTGTGCTGTGTGTGGTGTGGTGTGTGTGTGCTGTGTGTGGTGTGGTGTGTGTGGTGTGGTGTGTGTGTGCTGTGTGTCTGTGTGTGTGCTGTGTGTGGTGTGTGTGTGCTGTGTGTGTGCACTGTGTGTCTCTGTGTGCTGTGGGGGGTGTGTGTGCTGTGTGTGTGTGTGCTGTGTGTGTGATGTGTGTGGTGTGTGTGTGTGCTGTGTTGTCTGTGTGTGCTGTGTGTGTGTGTGTTTGGAGGGGCTGGGTGGTTGAGCCAAGGCTTCTCTGAGACTGAGCTGGGCATGGAAGCAGAGAGGAAACTATTAAAGCTCAAACTGCCAAACTGCTACAGGGTCAAAAGGGGGCGCTGGTGGGGCTCCACAGCCTCACCACAGACTGAAGCTCTCTGTGCCCCAACTACTAAGCAGGATTTATACCAGGCTAGGGAAGCTCTGTCCATAAGGGCTACCTAAGGGGCGTTAAGTGTACTCTGTTTCAGGAAGACCTCTGTGAATAACTGCATAGAACATTAGAAATCATATACAGGTCCTTAGTACTTACACGTACCTGCTTAGAAAGGTTTCTTTTCCCCCTTAGAGATAGGGTCTTACTATGTTGCCTAAGCTAGTCTGAAACTACTGGCCTCAAGTGATCCTCCTGCCCTGGCCTCCCAAAGCACCAGGATTACAGGTGTGCAAAACCACTCCCAGCTTAGAATTTTTTTTTTTTTTTTTTGAGACAGAATTTTGCTCTTTTTGTCCAGGCTGGAGTGCAATGGTGAGATCTCGGCTCCCTGCAACCTCCGCCTCCCGGGTTCAAGAGATTCTCTTGCCTCAGCCTCCCAAGTAGCTGGGATTACATGCATGCGCCACTGGGATGCCCAGCTAATTTTGTATTTTTAGTAGAGACGGGGTTTCACCATGTTGGCCAGGCTGGTCTCGAACTCCTGACCTCAGGTGATCCGCCTGCCTCAGCCTCCCAAAGTGCTGGGATTACAGGTGTGAGCCACCGTGCCCAGCCAGAAAAATTTTTAAACATGTAATTATATAATTTCCTATTTATCATTTCAATAAAGCTCCACTTATAATATGCCTACTATATACAAAAGTATTGTTTGCTAGTATTTATTTAGACTGTGAGCTCCTTCTCAAAAGAAGAAATGTCTTCCCTGGCAGCTCAGAAGCTCCCTGGATGTGGGGACCTGAGTGAGATATGCACTTAAGCGGGGGGTCCTGTCATCTCCCCTTCCTAAATCTCATCCTCTCAGCACTGTCTTCAATGCAAATAAGTCCCTGCTACTCAGAGAAAGGTCGCTGCCTCCGAATGGAAAGTGTGCTTTCTCCCAACCCCACCAGAGCTGCTTTCCAGTCCCCAGGCCCAATCCTCAAGTTGCACAATGTGCCTCCACCGCGCCTCACCTTGGATCCTCAGGCTCTCCTGGTACTGGATGATGAAGTACTCCTGAGTCTGCTGCAGCTTTTTTAACTCATTCTCTGTGTCCTGCGTGACCAGTCGCAGCTCCTCAAACGTCTGGTTGATCTGGAGGTGTTTCTGGGACATGGCATCAGCAAGGCTTCCAGCTGGAGAGCTACCCTGGGAACATATGGGGGGCAGTGCAAGGCAGTGCGAATGGGAGGAAGACTGAGGCCTTAATCCCCAGGAAAAGCCAGCTCCTACAACCAGGGTAAGACCCCAAAAGGTAAATTTTGAGTCGGGAGGAAAAGCAAACGTCATCATGAGACACAGGGTGGAGTGGGAAAAGTGAGAAACAGGTGAGCGGACAGATCATGGCTCAGATCACAAAGCATGGGAGAAGCTTCCATTTCAGATCTGACCTCCACCAGAGTATTCCAAACGAGGTCCATTGAATTACCTTTGGAGAAACTAGAACGTAACCTGGTCCAGTGTCACCTGGGTTTTCCTACTAATGAGGAGGTGGAGTGATTCCTCTTCCACTCACTGACCCAATGCAAGGACGGCATTAAGCATTAGGGAGGCCATGGGGAGCAGGGCCATGTGAACACACATCATCTGTGTCCTCACTCAAGATATTCTCGTGATGGAATCATTTGCTTCCACCATGGAAGAGGCCAAACCTCTTGCAGGCATCCTGGAGACCCCAGGGTGAAGTGATGGGGGAGGCATAAACAAGGTCTCTGTGGACCCAGCCCTGTAAGTGACCTGATCAGACCACTCCTTCCACACCTGATTCAGGGGCTAGGGAAAAGTCTTTCCTAAGTATTCTCACCTGAATATGAGCATGCCTTTACTAAAAAATTATTCAGCTGAGGTTGAATTACTTTGCACTTGTTCACATTGTCTTGTGGTTGCAATCTCATCAAGGTTATAAATCAGTTAAGATCAGAGACCACATCTTCTATTTCATTTTTTTTTTTTTGAGACAGGGTCTCACTCCATCACCCATGAGTGCAGGGGTGCGATCATGGCTCACTGCAGCCTCTACCTCCTGGGCTCAAGGGATCTTCCCACTTCAGGTTTTCGAACAGCCAGGACTACAGGCATATGCCACCATGCCCAGCTAATTTTTTTGTATTTTTGGTAGAGACGGGGTTTCATCATGTTGCCCAGGGTGCTCTCGAACTCCTGGGCTCAGGCAATCTGCCTGCCTCAGCCTCCCAAAGTGCTGGGCTGCACTCAGTCAAGTCTCCTATTTCTTTTGTGCCCCTTAGGATGAAGCTCTCTTTAAAGAGACACCAATAGTGCACCCTGAGTCACCTTGACAAAGGTGGGTCCAGAGGGAGGTGGGTAAGAAAAGACTTCCCGACTGCCCTCCCCATCCCTATGGGACACTCACATTGTTGGCTTCTCGGACCAACCTCTGTTCATTGTACAATATATGGCGGATGCAGCGGACCAGCTCCATGGGGCAGCGGTCATACGTGTTCTGAAAGAATCCAACAGCAGACATCACTTTGTGCCACTCCACACTATGGGCCCTAACCATGCCTCAGGATGGGGAGCCTCCTGAGGGACCTCCTGAATCACAGGAGGCACTGTTCCTCCAATACCAACAGGAACAAGAAGGCACATCATGGAAATCCAATTGCAGTGAAAAGGTAAGATTGTTTTACTTCTTTTTTCTTTTTTTGAGACTGAGTCTCACTCTGTTGCCCAGGCTGGAGTGCAGTGGCACAACCTCGGGCCACTGCAACCTCTGCCTCCTGGGTTCAAGTAATTCTCCTGCCTTAGCCCCCCGAGTAGCTGGGATTACAGGGGCCCGCCACCACGCCTGGCTAATTTTTGTCTTTTTAGTAGAGATGGGGTTCCACCATGTTGGCCAGGCTGGTCTCGAACTCCTGACCTCAGGTGATCCACCTGCCTTAGCCTCCCAAAGTGCTGTTTTACTTTTTGCATCTTAATTTGCCTAAAGTATCCGGGGAACATTCTTAAAAACGGAATAAATAAGTTTTAAAAGCCTCGCAAGAGGAGAAACTGGATGCCACTCTCAAATGGGCAATCAAAACTACTACCACCAATGAGGGGACGAGGGACACTGCCCCCCTCTGGATGTGATACCCGAGAAGGACAAGTCACCTACAATTGTCCCTTGGCATCTGTGGGGGCTGGTTCCAGGACCCACTTGGATACCAAAATCTGCAGATGCTCAAGTTCCTTATATAAAATGGCATCGTTTTGCATAGAATGCATACAATCCTCCCATACACTTTAAACCACCTATAGATTGCTTATACTATCTAATACAAAAGAAATGCTATGTAAATAGCTGTTCTGTCATATCTTTATTTCTATTTGTTTTTACTTTTTTTCTTTTCCTGAATATTTCTGAGCTGCGGTTGGTGGAATCAGGATGCAGAACCCATGGACATGGACAGCCAACTATATTTAGAAGTCTGCTCGGAGATGTGCAATGTTAACGTAATCATGAGGAAACATCAGACAAACCCCAAATGAGGAACATTTTATCTTTAAAAAGCAGGGGGTACATGAATTATTATTATTATTTTTTGAGATGGAATTTCACTCTTGTCACCCAGGCTGGAGTGCAATGGCACGGTCTCGGCTCACTGCAACCTCTGCCTCCCAGGTTTAAGAGATTCTCCTGCCTCAGCCTCCCAAGTAGCTGGGATTACAGTTGTCCACTGCCACACCCAGTTAATTTCTGTATTTTTAGTAGAGATGGGGTTTCACCATGTTGGCCAGGCTGGTCTCGAACTCCTGACCTCAGATGATTCACCCGCCTCAGCCTCCCAAAGTGCTGGGATTACTGGTGTGAGCCACTGCACCCAGCCTACATTAATTATTTTAAAATGCCAATGTAATGAAAGACAAAGTAAGGTTGCAAAATGGTTCCAGATTAAAGGAGATTAAAGAGACATGATGACTAGATGCAATATGTGATCTTGGGCTGGATTCTGGACTGCAGCGGGGAAAAATACCCTAAAGGACATGTTTGAATTAGTTGACAAAATGGAAATCCAGATGAGTACCTAAAAGTATTATATCAATGCTAAATTTAGTGAAGTTGATCAGTGTATTATAACCATGCAAGACAAGGTTCATTCTTAGAAAATGCACAGAGGGGCTGGGTGCGGTGGCTCATGCCTGTAATCCCAGCACTTTGGGAGGCCGAGGAGGGTGAATCACCTGAGGTCGGGAGTTCGAAACCAGCCTGACCAACATGGAGAAACCCCATCTCTACTAAAAATACAAAAATTAGGCGGGTGTGGTGGCATGCACCTGTAGTCCCAGCTACTTGGGAGGCTGAGGCAGGAGAATCACTTGAACCCGGGAGGTGGAGGTTGCGGTGAGCCGAGACCGCGCCACTGCACTCCAGCCTGGGCAACAAGAGTGAAACTCCATCTCAAAAAAAAAAAAAAAAAAAGACAATGCACAGAGGGACCGGGCATAGTGGCTCATGCCTATAATTTCAACACTTTGGGAGGCTGAGGTGGGCGGATCACCTGAGGTCAGGAGTTCAAGACCACTGTGGCCAACATGGCAAAACCCCGTCTCCACTAAAAATACCAAAAAAAAAAAAAAACTGCCAGGCATGGTGGCAGGAGCCTGTAATCCCAGCTACTTGAGAGGCTGAGGCAGAAGAATCGCTTGAACCCGGGAGGCAGAGGTTGCAGTGAGCTGAGATTGCTCCACTGCACTCCAGCCTGGGCGACAGAGCAAGACTCCGTCTCAAAAATAAATAAATAAATAAATAAATAAATAAATAAATAGAAAATGCACAGAGGTACTTACTGGTGCAGGGACACAAGGTATGCAACTTACTCTCCAGTGACTGAAAAACGTGTGTGTCGAGAGACAGCGAGGAGTATATGACAACATAAAAGTCAACAACAGGTGAATATGGGCATATGTGGGGAATCTTTGTATGATTCTTGTAACTTTCTGGAAGTATGAAATTATTCTCAAATAAAAAGTAAAAAAAAAAAAAAAGACCAAAACCACACAACAAGAACCTTATGCACGTGTAACTCAACAATGCTGGACTGAAGGAGAGAAAGAAAGTCTCTACAGGAAGAAGACCCCCAAGGGAAGGTAATTAAGTGTGACCCCAGAGCCCACACCCACCTGGAGCTGTGTGGCATAGTGCCCCAGCTTGATCTTCAGTAAAAACCCATCTTCCCCCACCTGGTGCTCTGCCTTCTTCTGCAGCTCCTGCACCAGGCCCTCCAGGAGCTGGGTGGCCTTAATGTTCTCCTGTGGATTATCAAGATCTACTGAGTCCCTAGGGGAAAAAAATTACATAATCTGTATACATACATGCACGTGAGCCTGTATAAATACAGCCTCAACACATCCTACTTTTTCTTCAACTAAAGTGATGTTTTTAATCCTCACTGCAAATTTTAAGAAACAGCCCAACAGAAATGGACTCAATGCCTATGTTAATCTATTTGTAATTTACTAAATAGTTGGATTATACAGTAGATTTCCTTCTTTTAAAAAAAAAAATTTTTAACAATGTGCTGCCCTTCTTCCTTTCTCTCAATGATGTGCTTGGTGCTTATGCTATTTGCTCCGAGAAATGCAAGGAAAAGGAAAGGGTTCTGTGTACTCTGAAGGAAATAAGGACTTGGATAATTTCCTATTTATAGTTACCCCTCATGGGTGTAAAGGAGGCACAAGGCCAAGACTCTTCTACATGTCCTTTCCAGCCTCAAGGAGTTTGGTATCTGTGGGTTTCTTAGGTAGAGACAGGTGAAACAAGTTATTGCTATTTCTAAGAAGCCCTGGAAATGAGACATTCAGGCAGAGGGTGCCTACAAGAATTTATACGAGTCAGACATTCATGTCACTAGTTGCAGACCCAGGACCTGAAGGCAATGCCAACTTTTCCAGTAAACAAGGAAAACCACGCTACAGACTTTGCATTGATTTCAAGCTACTGAACTGGTGACGGGGGTTGGATGGTCTCCCTCCCTCCTTTCTTTCCTTCTTTCCTTCTTTCCTTCCGTTCCTTCCTTCCTTTCTACTACTTAGGCAACAATTGACACTGGGAAGTACCAAATTACTTACTCACTGAAGAAACCAAACAGCTGTCGGACTGAAATAACATTCAATAACTGCTGACTGGGTCTGGAGCCAAACAAGATAGTGGTAGCTAAAAGGCTCTGCCATCCCTAAATCCCTGAAGATAGCAACTAATTTCAAAAAAGAGGCACCAACAAGTGTATCAAAACAGTGAGACCGGCCGGGCGTGGTGGCTCACGCCTGTGATCCTAGCATTTTGGGAGGCCGAGGCAGGCGGATTACCTGAGCTCAGGAGTTGGAGATCAGCCTGGGCAACACGGTGAAACCCCATCTCTACTAAAACACAAAAGAAATTATCCGGGCGTGGCGGCATGTGCCTGTAGTCCCAGCTACTTGGGAGGCTGAGGCAGGAGAACTGCTTGAACCCAGGAGGTGGAGGTTGCAGTGAGCCAAGATTGCGCCACTGCACTCCAGCCTGGGTGACAAAGCAAGATTCTCTCTACGAAAACATAACAAAACAAAACAAAAAAAGCAGTGATACCATAGTCCATCAAATAGTACACCCCAATCTGCGCCTTGAGAAGGCAGTTAAGGCAAGTCAGATTCTAAATATGTGTGCCCTATGTATTAAATAGAATACGTATTAAATGAAAGGCTGGAAGGAATGAGGGCAGCCCTGCACCTCTGTTTCAACTGGCAACAATGCCCTTGGTCTGGAAACCCACTCTTTTTCTTTGAGACGAAGTCTCACTCTGTCACCCAGGCTGGGATGCAGTAGCACGATCTTAGCTCACTGCAACCTCTGCCTCCCGGGTTCAAGTGATTCTCCTGCCTCAGCCTCCCAAGTAGCTGGAATTACAGGCGTGCACCACCACGCCTGGCTAATTTTTGTATTTTTAATAGAGACGGGGTTTTACCATGTTGGCCAGGCTGGTCTCAAACTCCTGATCTCAAGTGATCCACCCACCTCAGCCTCCCAAAGTGCTGGGATTACAGGCGTGAGCCACCGTGCCCGGCCAGGAGCCCACTCTTAAAAGGATCCAGTCTCTGAGCAAAACTCACAGAAGTCAGGTATTGGTTCTTTACTTGAAACCTTAATTCTCTGTTAAAAAAAAAAAAGACTTGCTTAGATGGCTTAAACATAAAGAACTAAAGATTTGGCTGGGCCCGGTGGCTCAAGCTTTTAATCCCAGCACTTTGGGAGGCCGAAATGGGCAGATCACAAGGTCAGGAGTTAGAGACCAGCCTGGCCAACATGATGAAACCCCGTCTCTATTAAAAATACAAAAATTAGCTCGGTGTGGTGGCGGGCACCTGCAGTCCCAGCTACTCGGGAAGCTGAGGCACGAGAATTGCTTGAACCCGGGAGGCGGAGATTGCAGTGAGCCGAGATCACGCCACTGCAGCCTGGTGACAGAGCGAGACTCCATCTCAAAAAAAAAAAAGAATTGAAAATTCTTCATTAAAATCTTTATATTCTGAAGAAAACCAAAGCTAAAAAATTTCAAGTTTTCCTTAATATCAACACAAGTCTTTTAATTCATTCAGTGAGAACACCAAATGAGAACTCTGCTAAGTGAAATCTGAAATTAACAGCAACTTCCTACTCATGTTTTTCTAAATCCTCCACATCAGAAAACAGGAGAGAAAATGAAAAGGGAGTGGAAAGCACTAAACGAGGTACAGCTGACATTCTCATATTTAGCTAATTTTTTTCCCTCACTTAATTACATGAAGTTGAGTTTTTTTTTAATTGCCTAGAAAATTGCCTTTCTTTGGTGATCTTTAGTTTCTGAACAGAAATTTGCTACTAACACGCATTGCGATTATTCTAAGGCAACATTACAGACAGGTATATGGCCCTTTGCAAATAGCAGCATCAAAGCTGGTTCTCTCAGGGACTGTCAAAGAGGACCCATGGCTAAGACGGTGAGGCTTGAAGTATCAAATGAATATGTCAGATCGACTGACAGACTGTAACCAACCAGCAACCTCCCAGACCTTGAGCAGAGCAGTGTACATCCTGCTGCCTGGTGTGTAATAATGATACCAATTAAAAACCTGTGCTGTTAGTCGACTGCACTGTACTAATTCTAAAAGAAATTTAAAACAACTCTCCCCTCCCCCAAGTATGTAATCAGTAATCTGGAAAATAAAGAAAAATTAAAATGCTTATCAAATCTACCACCAGAATGTAATTAGTGTTAACATTTGGGTATATTTTCGTTTAGTTTTGTTTTTTTTTTTTAAAGGCAGTCTCACTCTGTTGCCCAGGCTGGAGTGCAGTAGTGCGATCTCGGCTCACTGCAACCTCTGCCTCCCGACTTCAAGCGATTCTCATGCTTTAGCCTCCAGAGTAGCTGGGATTACAGGCGCCCGTCACCACGCCCAACTAATTTTTTGTATTTTCAGTAGAGATGGGATTTTGCCATGTTGGCCAGGCTTGTCTCAGAACTCCTGGCCTCCAGTGATCTGCCTGCCTTGGCCTCCCAAAGTGCTGGGATTACAGGCATGAGCCACAACACCCACTCAATTTTCTTTTAGTCTTTATGTGTATATATAAAATACATATAAATTAAAAACACCAATGTCTCCACTGTTAAATTATTAATTTTTAGTTTTTTGTTAGATGTAAACTTATTAAGAAATGTAAAATAATTTATATTTAATAAACTATAAGAAATAAATTATAATTAAATTATATGCATATTCACACCTATCTGCCCCATTAAACACTAAATTATTATTATTATTTTTTGACATAGGATCTTGCTATGTTGCCTAGGCTGGCCTCAAACTGCTGGGGTCAAGCAATCCTCCCACCTCAGCATCCTGGGTAGCTGGGATTATAGGTGTGCACCACCATGTCCAGTGAAACACTGAATTATCTGGAGATGAGGGCTTTAATTTTGTTTGTTTGTTTGTTTTGAGACAGGGTCTCACTCTGTTGCTTAGGCTGGAGTGTAGTGGTGTGATCATGGGTTACAGCAACCTTTGCCTCCCAGGCTCAAGTGATCCTCCCACCTCAGCCTCCCAAGTAGCTGGTACTACAGGTGCACACCACCACACCTGGCTAATTTTTGTATTTTGTACAGAGACAGGGTTTTGCTATGTTGCTCAGGCCTTCCTTGAACTCCTGGGCTCAAGCAGTACACCTGCCTTGGCCTCCCAAAGTGTTGGGATTACAACACAATGTTGGGCTTTAATTTTTTTCATATAAATTCTACTACTTAGGACACTGCTAGGCATCCCATGGGCACTCGAAACATATTTGTTGGCTGCTCTTTCTTAGCAGTAATATTCTAATGCTTTTAGACAGTATTTACTATTAAAGGGGAACAAATCCTGTTTTAAAAATCCCAAGAGTTATTCCATCCCCTCAATCTAAGATGGGCTTAAATACCTTTCACCTATAAAAAGAAAAAAAATTTTAAATACCTTTTTATGGATCACATTTAAAAATGTTTAAAAATACAACTTTGAAAGTTGCCATCATGACATCTTTCTAAACAAACTCCAATATTCTTGTGTTTCACAAAATATGATGCAAACATCCTTGTTCACCTACCATGCTTGGCTTTCAATCCACTGGGATAAATAATGCCGCACCTCAATGGGAAAATGCTGGCCATATAACGCTTGCATCTGATGAAGGGCTTCTCCTTGGAGCTGCTGAGCTTGTATCCACACAGCCATGGTTTACAATCTGTTGAACAAACAATCAGTGCTTTGGGCGTTTTTTCTTTATTTTCCCCTTACATCCACCAGAGTAAATATTCACTTAGTTACCAAGGTAAATGTTTTTATTTTATTATTTATTTTTATTTTTATTTTTTTGAGACAGTCTCGCTCTGCCACCCAAGCTGGAGTGCAGTGGCACAATCTTGGCTCACTACAACCTCCGCCTCCCCGGTTCAAATGATTCTCCTGTCTCAGCCTCCTGAGTAGCTGGGATTACAGGGGCACACTACCATGCTTGGTTAATTTTTGTATTTTTAGTAGAGATGGGGTTTCACCGTGTTGGCCAGGCTGGTCTCGAACTCCTGACCTTAAGTGATCCTCCCACCTCAGCCTCCTAAAGTGCTGGGATTACAGGCGTGAGCCACCACGTTTGGCCAAAGTAAATGTTTTTAGCCCTTTTGGTAGACTAAAGACAATATTCTTGAACTGAATTTTAACTTTAAAATGTTTTCAAAATGTAGACACTCAGCCTGGCCATGGAAAGATACACAGCTGGGTCTATGAAGCTCTGACTATGAAATGTACTAAGGTCTTATAAGCAAAAGTACAAAAGGAGAATTAGGGAAAGAATTGCTAACTTTGACATCGTAGACATATTCTTTACTTTTGTTCAAAATTGTCAGCCATGGTAAGCAGCATTTCAACAGTAATAAATAATTAGCAGAGAGTTTTTTTTTTTTTTTTTTTGAGACAGAGTCTTGCTCTGTTGCCCAGACTGGAGGGCAGTGGCAAGATCTCGGCTCACTGCAACCTCTGCCTCCCGGGTTCAAGCAATTCTACTGCCTCAGCCTCCCAAGTAGCTGAGATTACAGGTGCCCGCCACCGCACCCAGCTAATTTTTGTATTTTCAGTAGAGATGGGGTTTCACCATGTTGGCCAGGATGGTCTCAAACTCCTGACCTCAAGTGATCCATCTCAGCTCCCAAAGGGCTGGGGTTATAGGTGTGAGCCACTGCGCCCAGCTGAGAGATTTTTTTTAAAAAATCACTTGTTTTAGATTTGGTATTTTGACTTCAGAAATATAATAAACATATGCCATTTTGAAAAAGCCCAGTAAAAGAAAAGTGAAAATATCTGAAGTGTTGATTGAACCCTATGCATTATCACTAGTTACCTAAGCAGCAATGCTTTGCACACAAAGAGCACAGATTTATCTGGAAAAATGCCCGAAGGTTCACCTCCTGAGTTACTGCTAAGGAATTTATGAAGCAATGTTGTTAAATTATAGCATTTACAAATCTTTCAGACACAAAAACAATACATTCCACCTAAGAGTTGGAAATATGAACCATTATACTCCAATAGCAGGTAGTTTCTTTTTTTTTTTTTTTAATTTGAGACGGAGTCTTGCTCTGTTGCCCAGGCTGGAGTGCCGTGACGCGATCTCAGCTCACTGCTAGCCCCGCCTCCCGGGTTCACGCCATTCTCCTGCCTCAGCCTCCCGAGTGGCTGGGACTACAGGCGCCCGCCACCACGCCCGGATAATTTTTTGTACTTTTAGCAGAGATGGGGTTTCACCGTGTTAGCCAGGATGGTCTCGATATCCTGACCTTGTGATCCGCCCACCTCAGCCTCCCAAAGTGCTGGAATTACAGGTGTGAGCCACTGCACCCAGCCGGTAGTTTCTTTTTTTAACATGCTCTTGATTTTTTAAAGAAAGGCTTTATAAAACTACCATGATGCCCCCCTCAGACTCACCTGACAATTTTTAACTCATCTGGCAGATGCTCTTTGAGTTTAACCAGATTAGGGCAGAAACATTTGGGTAGACTGGGAAGGGACTTCAGGTAACTCTAAGGACTGAAAATGAATCTTGCTCTAACACTATTTTCCATAATGTAGAGTTTGGTATAAGGCAGGGTTATCTTGAATTCCATCCCACATGATTTGGCTACTGATTTGCACAATTCTTCTAAGAACTAGGTTACAGTTAGGGGCCGGTGACTTGGACTTGGATTTTGTTTACTACCAGAGACTGTACAAGTGTGTCAGGAAATAAAAATCTCTTCTGTTAGTTGTAGTTGTCTGATCACGTAACACTGGGCTATTTATGGGACAAGTCAGTTAGCCAACAATGAGGTGTAGGGGAGTGCCAGTTATCTATTTTAGACTAGTGCAATGCTATAGAACACTTGAGAAGTGTATTATTTAGGGCTTTTAGGCATTAAGGCTGGGATCACTGTAGACCCAATTTGACCCAAGACATCAAATTTCAGTGGTTGTGAGTTCACCAAAACACTTAGATAAAAGAGCTCTCTCCAGAAGCAATTCCACTTTATAATCAAACACTGGAAGTCACTTAACTGCACAATGTATTTTTTAATCAAATAAATCATATCGCAAGATTTTGGAAAACCAGAACAGATACCAAATCATGATTTTTGGATGAAGGATAAGGAATGGATGGCCAGGCATGGTGGCTCACGCTTGTAATCCCAGCACTTCAGGAGGCTGAGGTGGGTGGATCACCTGAGGTCAGGAGTTCGGGACAAGCCTGGCCAACATGGCGAAACCCCGTCTCTACTAAAATTACAAAACAATTAGCCAGGTGTGGTGCCATGCGTCTATAATTCCAGCTACTTGGGAGGCTGAGGCAGGAGAATCGCTTGAATCTGGGTGGCAGAGGTGGCAGTGAGCCGAGATTACATCACTGCACTCCAGCCTGGCAAGAGAGCCAGATTTTGTCTCAAGAAAAAAAATTATATAAGGGATGGATGAATGAAGGTGCTTAGGCACTTAAGTATATGGAAGAGTGATAAAAGAATGAAGAGAAGAATCTAGGTGTTAGTATTCCTAAGTAGTAAAGAGTAAGAAGTAGGCCCTCACCATAGCTCTCAATGAATATGTGAGTGATACCAACAGATACAAAAATTCTCTTGCATCTGCATTCATTAGGTGAATTGACTTCAGAGACAAAAGAAGGAAAGCTATGAAAACTTTTATCTCCCCAGAGACTCCTTCCCAGCCCACTCAAATAAAACGGCATTCTGGTCACTCTCTATCCTCTTAATCTGCTTTATTTTTCTTATCATTTATCAATTCCTGATATTGATCATATATTTGCTTACTGACTTCCCACCAGGGTGAAATCACCATGAACACAATGACTTTGTTTTGTTCACCGTGCTTTCTCCTGGGTCTAGAACGGTACCTGGCACATAAGCATCATAATTTTTTTGTTGCATAAATAAATGTATACACACAATTTGACCGATTCTATTGGCTCTTTTCAAAGTTATAATTGAACAATATATCAGTATGAAACACCAAGGCATGAAAATGGAACAGATTTCCATTTAAATAATCAATTACAATTTTTTTTTTTTTTGAGACGGAGTCTTGCTCTGTCGCCCAGACTGGAGTGCAGATATCTCAGCTCGCTGCAGGCTTTGCCTCCCGGGTTCAAGCAATTCTCCTGCCTCAGCCTCCCGAGTAGCTGGGACTACAGGCACACACCGCCACGCCCAGCTAAGTTTTGTATTTTTAGTAGAGATGGGGTTTCACCATGTTGGCCAGGATGGTCTTGGTCTCCTGACCTCGTGATCTGCCCTCCTCGGCCTCCCAAAGTGCTGGGATTACAGGCGTGAGCCACCACGCTCGGCCAGGAGCACATCTTATTCACGACTGTGTCCCCAGTGTCTAGTACGGTGGCTTGCCTATGGAAAGTGGTCAAAAAATACTTGCGGAGCGAATAAATACACAAACAAATATTTAACATTCCCTGCTGGTCAAGCATATTTAGGAGCCTATTACTGTTTTAGGAAAGAAATACTGTGGTGATATACTATGCATGTAGGGGTATTAAAAAATGTCACTCTATTTTGCCTTAAATTTTAGATTATTTCTTAGTTTTCATCAAAGAGTAGAATGCTGAGCTCTTAGAATTTGTAGAATATTTTTATGATTCTAGTTATGAACATGCCATAATAATTATTTTCTAAAATAGCATCCCATTTGAAGGATAATAGCTGGTAAATACCAAGTGGCAATCACCTTATTTTGATAAATACAATATAGTTTCACTACACATAAGTGCTTTGATAGAGCTGGAGAGTAGATTCTGCTCACTGCTATTCAAAAGTGTAAAATAAAAGTACACTAACTAGTACAGAGTCATTTTTATTTTACTGTTAAACTGAAAATTATCTATATGTGAAATATGAGATGACTTACTGAGATTATCATTATAAATTCTAAACACCCAGTTTAGGAAAAAACCAACTGTTCTCCCAGTTACGTGAATAACACCTAGAAGCTATGTAGTGGTTTTTTGTTTGTTTGTTTTTTGAGACGGAGTCTCACTCTGTCGCCTAGGCTGGAGTGCAGTGGCATGATCTCGGCTCACTGCAGCCTCTGCCTCCCGAGTTCAAGCGATTCTCCTGCCTCAGCCTCCTGAGTACCTGGGACTACAGGCACTCACCACCACGCCTGGCTAATTTTTTTTAGTAGAGATGGGGTTTCACCATGTTGGCCAGGTTGGTCTTGAACTACTGACCTCAGGTGACCTGCCCGCCTCGGCCTCCCAAAGTGCTGGGATTACAGGCGTGAGCCAGCGTGCCTGGCAGTTAAGTAGTATTTTTCTTCATACATGTCACAACTCTTCACCCCATTATCAGGCTATGTCCACATGCCTGATATGAGTAGCATTCATCTAACCGGCATTCATCCTTCTAACTGGCATTCATCTAGCCATCGAACGCTACTCTGCATCTACAAAGACTGTACCTCTGTCCCCAGTACCCGCCATCTTCTGCTTATTTACGGGCAGCTCCAATTTCAGTGCGTGATGCTCAGACAAGGGAAGTAGTTTGTTCTTTGGTAAATCATCACAGGGGATTCTCTAAAGACTGGGAAATGGATTCACAATCTTATTTTTAGGCCAAAGATGAGAACTATTTGAGCTCGGCTGAGTTGCACTCTGTGTTCACAGACATTTCAGAACAACCTAAGACAGCCCTGGATGCAGAACCCTGTACTTTCTGAAGGCATAAAGCACCTACCTCAACCTTATATATCTGGATATACCCATGGGCTTGGAGAGCCAAATAAATCAGTCGGGCCCTCAGGCACTTGTTAATAAAAGTTTCAAAGTCTAATAGCTCATAATGTTACAGGCTTACTGAAAACCATAAAAATGAATGTCCACCACATAAATAAATGATATAAGTGAGTGGGATTTGGAATAATTTTGTCTCAGTCATAAATATCTTTTCTCAGATGCTTTTCCTTTCTAAAAGTAAAATATAAACTATAACAAAGAAAAACATTACTCTCTCTCTGAAGACTTGTAGAACACTGTGACCAAGGTCTTGCCCTAGCTAAACTGCAGTGGAGAGTAGTGTCTGACATTAGAAGGCCCACTGTGTATCTGCCAACTCAGTGAATGAATTCTAGTGTGGGGTGGGAGTAGGGGGTTAATATGAATAATATTATGCATAATATGAATAATATGAATCCAGCAGATTTGGTCTGCTGGATTCATATGTATAATTTAAAGCATTTTGTAATTCCGATTCTCCATCCTACCCCCCATCCCAGGGCCAAAGTCTCTAAACTGGGGTTAAACTTTTAGAGATGATGCTGAACTCACCTAAATACGGTTCTGCCAAAGACAGCCTGTTAAGCCTCTCTGTGCCTCAGTTTTCTTATTTGTACAATGGGAATAATAATACTTATGCCCCTTAGGGGGCTGCTGTAAGAATGAATTAGTTTTATGTACATACCTAAAACAGTATCTAGCTAAGAGCAGGTGCTCTGTAAGTACTCACTACTGTTCTTACTGTTACCTTAAACTTACAAAACCGGCTTCTTTCTCCCATCTCTAATTTTAACTCAATTTAATAAACTTTCCAAAAATCAATCCTCCACAAATAGCTCTTGCTATCCTTCTCCTTAACCAATATCCTCCAGTATAAACTTTTCTATCCATCCATCCATCCATCCATCCATCCATCCATCCATCCATCCATCCATCCATCCGAGACAGGGTCTTACTCCATCACTCAGGCTGGAGTGCAGTGGTGTGATCATGGTTCACTGCAGCCTCAAACTCCTGGGCTTGAGGGATACTCCTACCTCAGCCACCCAAGTAGCTAGGACTGTGGGCACATGCCATCACACCTGGCTAATTAAAGAAAAAAACTTTTTTTTTTTTTTTTGTAGAGACAAGGTCTTACTATGTTGCCCAGGCTGGTCTCAAACTCCTCACCTCAAGTGATCCTCCCAAGTCAGCCTCCCCCAGAGTGCTGGGATTAGAGGCACAAGCCATTGTGCCTGGCCTTTTTTTTTTTTTTTTTTTTTAAGGCAGAGTCTCGTTCTGTCACCCAGGCTGGAGTGCAGTGGCGTGACCTGGGCTCACTGCAACCTCCGCCTCCCGGGTTTAAGCAATTATCTGCCTCAGCCTCCTAAGCAGCTGGGATTACAGCTGCCCGCCACCACGCCTGGCTAATTTTGTATTTTTAGTAGAGATGGAGTTTTACCATCTTGGCCAGGCTGGTCTTGAACTTCTGACCTTGTGATCCACCCACCTCGGCCTCCCAAAGTGCTGGGATTACAGGCTGTGCTGGGCCCTTTTAAAAGATGGCATTCCTATTTCTTAATCAATTTCACTGGCACAAGGACTTCTGCAGACAGGAACTCTTGGGAGGTGGTGGTGGAAAGGCACCATGAAGTCTGTTCTCTCATCTTTGAATGAAAGAATGGAGAATTGTGAAGGGTGAGGGTGGTACAGTAACAGCAAGGCTTTGATTTTGCCCTATGCATACTAAACTCTTAAAAAAAAAAGAAAAAAGAAGAGGCCGGGTGCGGTGGCTCATGCCTGTAATCCCAGCACTCTGGGAGGCCGAGGTGGGTGGATCATGAGGTCAAGAGATCAAGACCATCCTGGCCAAAATGGTGAAAACCCATCTCTACTAAAAATACAAAAATTAGCTGGGCGTGGTGCCATGCTCCTGTAGTCCCAGCTACTCAGGAGGCTGAGGCAGAAGAATCGCTTGAACCCAGGAGGCAGAGGTTGCAGTGAGCCAAGATCATGCCACTGCACTCCAAGCTGGCGACAGAGCAAGACTCTGTCTCAAAAAAAAAAAAAAAAAAAAAGGAGAAGAAAACTACCTATTCCATTCCTTCTAATATGTTGTTGAACAGAGAGGACTAAGCCAGCAGGGAGCCATGCCTTTACCTATTCCTTCCAAGGACATATCTGACTTTTAATAATTAAAGTACAAAAAACAACTAATGAAATTTGAAGTTTTCATTTATTATACTGCTTTATGAATTATTAGCAACAAATATTTCAATTCATCTAATAAATAAAAATAAACTTCAGAAATAGGATAAGAAATAAATAACATTTATCAGTGTTATTATTATCCCCCATCCAGATTTAAGAGCTAGCTAAGCACTTAGTATATTACTTATAACAAGTGCTTTTATGAATCTACTCTTTATCCTAAATCCCTCAGACGTAGGCACTATTATTATCCCCGTTATGGATGAGGAAATTGAGGGTCATCAAGATTAAGTAGAATTGTAACATGGTGAAACAGTTTTGGAAAACTATCTGGCAATTCTACAAAAGGGTAAACATAGAGTTACTACATTATCCAGTAGTTCCACTCCTGGGTATATGCCTAAGAGAAGTGAAAACATGTGTCCCCAGAAAGTGGGTACACAGGCCAGGTGCAGTGGCTCACGCCTGTAATCCCAGCACTTTGGGACGCTGAGGCGGGTGGATCACCTGAGGTCAGGAGCTCGAGACCAGCCTGGCCAACATGGCGAAACCCCATCTCTACTAAAAATTAAAAAAGAAAAAAATGAGCCGGGCACGGTGGCGGGTGCCTGTAATCCCAGCTATTTGGGAGACTGAGGCAGGGGAATTGCTTGAATCTGGGAGGTGGAGGTTGCAGTGAGCCGAGATCTGTGCCACTGCACTCCAGCCTGGATGACAGGGCAAGCACAGCAAGACTCTGTCTCAAAAACAAAGCAAAACAAAAAACAGGTACACAAATGTTCACAGCTGCATTATTCATAATCACCTCATAATCGCCCCAAAGTGGAAACAACTCAAATGTCCACCAAAGGATAAACAGATAAATATGGATAGGAATGGATAAATACAATGAATAAAATGGAATATTATGCAGATGTTAAAAAGGAATGAAGTACTGACGCATGCTACAGTGTGGATGACCTTGAAATCATTATGTAAAGTGAAAGGCATGCAAGGGAACATACTGTAAATTCCATTTTTATGAAATATCCGGAATAGGCAAATCCATAGAGACGGAAAATAGATTGTTGGTTGCCAAGGGCTGAGGGGAGGGAGAAATGGGGAATGATTGCTAAAAGGTAAGGGCTTTTTGAGGGGATGATGAAAATGTTCCGGAATTAGATAGTGGTGATAATTGTATAACTCTGAGAATATACTTCAAAGGGTGAATTTTATAGTGCGTGATTATATCTCAGTAAAGCTATTTTTAAAAAGAGAAAGAGGTGAAACACTTGCTCCAGGGTCGGTCCATACTACTAAGGGGTACTATCTGGGCTGGACCTACCTGAGAACCTGCACTTACTTGCACCACTGCACCAGGCTGCATGCATGTTGAGGACTTAAGGTGGTTTGCCATTTTCTATGTACTTTTCTGCCTGTTTGTTATATTTCATAATTTAAAGAGAGCAAAGAATGAAAAATTAAAGTAAGAAACCTAATACTGAGGGGCTCTGATTTTGGCAAAGGCTAGGGCTGGGTGACAGATCAAAGAGATGACGTTTAAACATTGCTTCTGATCTGAAAAGTACAAGGCAAGGAGCCAGGGTTCAAAACTGTTAAACCTATCAGCTCCAGTGAATGACTAAGGATTCTGTACAGAATATAAAGAGCAAGTTCCAGCCAGGCGTGGTGGCTCATGCTTGTAATCCCATACTTTGTGAGGCAGAGGCGGGCAGATCACCTGAGGTTGGGAGTTCAAGACCAGCCTGACCAACATGGAGAAACCCTGTCTCTACTAAAAATACAAAAAATTAGCCAGGCGTGGTGGTGCATGCCTGTAATCCCAGCTACTTGGGATGCTGAGGCAGGAGAATCTCTTGAACCTGGGAGGTAGAAGTTGCGGTGAGCTGAGATCGCACCATTGCACTCCAGCATTGGCAACAAGAGTGAAACTCCATCTCAAAAAAAAAAAAAAAAAGAGCAAATTCCCTAATTATGTTTACTGCTTTCTGTTGATACCAACATTATTAAATATATTAAATGGTGGTGGTCACCTAGTACAGCAATTTTTTTTTTTTTTTGAGACAGAGTCTTGCTCTGTCACCCAGGCTGGAGTGCAGTGGCATGATCTTGGCTCACTGCAACCTCTGCCTCCCGGGTTCAAGAGATTCTCCTGCCTTAGCCTCCTGAGTAGCTGGAATTACAGGCATGTGCCACTGTGTCTGGCTAATTTTTGGATTTTTAGTAGAGGCAGGGTTTTACCATGTTGGCCAGGCTGGTCTTGAACTCCTGACCTCAAGTGATCCACCCACCTCGGCCTCCCAAAGTGTTGGGATTACAGGCCTGAGCCACCATGCCTAGCCTAGTATAGCGATTTTGAGGGACGGAAAAATATTCAATAGCAGCAATAAAGGATTAAGACTTCATTCATATTAAAATTGGACTAATATCAAGTAAGAAGGCTATCACATCTAGAAGCAGGTTAATACCAGAGCCATCTGCTCTTTAATTTTTTTTTTCTAAATACTACCCTATATGCAATCAGGAAGCCAATTCTCTTTTTAAAAAATCACATTATTAAACAGATGGGAAGAGAACAGAAAGAATAAAAGCATTTGGCTCACAAAGAAGCAAACAAGGAAAAATGTGCCCAGGCAACATAGAGATGATAGTATTCTGGGAAGACAATCCGCCATTAATCTTTATGTCACAGCCAAATCACTGCATATTACAATAGGAAGAACAGAGAATGGAGGAGGGGAAAAGGGTAAGGGAGGGAATAAAGGAGAAGGTAGAGAAAGGATCTACTTACTAAATATAAAAATCAGGTTTCAATCAGCAGGTTACTATATATTTAAAACTCTCATCTAAATATAGGATATAAAGTCTTGGCCAAAGATGCACAATCTCAAAAATAAAGAGAGTAGACTCAGACAAGGATCATCACAGCTACTAAAACCATTAGGTGACAGTTGTTGGGGAACAGCATTTAGTCTCAAAGTACTACTCACATATTACTTATTATTCAAAGGGGAAAAGGTGCATTTCTGTGGATAAATCTGGCGGACAATGCCTTAACCGAGTGATCAAACATCCCCAATCATGGCATAAACTGACATTATGTGCCTCCAGATATGATTTGCTGAAAAGAATACACAAACTAAATCATGAAGAAACAATCAGACAAATCCAAATTGTGAGACTCTAATCAATGATCCCACCCCCCACCCAAAACAGGTGGAACTGTTCTAGGTTAAAGGAGACTGAAGAGACACAACCAAGAGCGTAATTCAAAAACAAAAACACGACTGGGTGTGGTGGCTCATGCCTGTAATCCCAGCACTTTGGGAGGCCAAGCCCAGAGGATCACTCAAGGTCAAGCATTCGAGACCAGCCTGGCCAACATGGTGAAACCCTGTCTCTACTAAAAATACAAAAATTGTACCCCCAACCCTGTGCTCTCTGAAACATGTGCTGTATCCACTCAGGGTTGAATGGATTAAGGGCGGTGCAAGATGTGCTTTGTTAAACAGATGCTTGAAGGCAGCATGCTCCTTAAGAGTCATCACCACTCCCTAATCTCAAGTACCCAGGGACACAAACACTGCGGAAGGCCACAGGGTCCCTCTGCCTAGGAAAACCAGAGACCTTTGTTCACTTGTTTATCTGCTGACCTTCCCTCCACTATTGTCCTGTGACCCTGCCAAATCCCCCTCTGCGAGAAACACCCAAGAATGATCAATTAAAAAAAAAAAATGTTAAAAATAAACTTTAAAAAATATATGTGTTTATACTTAAAAAAAATAAATAAAAAAAAAATATAAAAATTAGTTGGGCGTGGTGGCACACGCCTGTAGTTGCAGCTACTCTGAAGGCTGAGGCACAAGAATCTCTTGAACCCGGGAGGCAGAGGTTGTGGTGAGCTGAGATTGCGCCACTTGCACTCCAGGCTGGGCAACTGAGTGAGACTCTGTCTCAAAACAAACAAAAACACCCACAGCTCTAAAGGCCATTATATCATTATATATTAGATATTACTTTATCACTGCTAAATTTCTTGAGAGTGACAATGGCATTCAGGTTGCGTAGAAGAATGCCCTTGCTGGGAGTAGATACACTGTCAAGTATTTGAGGGTAAATGGCCATGTCGTCTGCATCTTACTTTGGCAGGAGAAACGGAAGAGTGACAGTGGTGGGGAGTGTGGGAAAGTAAATCTAACAACTGTGAACACTGGCTCAACCTAGGTGAAGTATATGCGAGTACTCATTGTTCTATTCTTTCCACTTTTAAGTCATGTACACTTTTTTCAAAATCAAAATGAAGGGCAAACATTCCAAAAAAGAAAAACAAAGCAATGAAAGCAGAGGTTTGACTCTCACTTTGAAACTGTCCCTGGTGGTCAATAAAAATCTGGACTTCTTAGGCGTTGTGCTGCAGCTTGCAGGCCACCAGCATGCAAGTTGGGCTCTCTTGTGCCATGGTGGCCCACAGTGTACATGTGTTATCATTATCTCCATGTCCAAATCCATGGAGATAATGGATTTGCGATCCCTTTGGGAAGAAGCTACATCTGTATCACTTTCCAGATGACTAAAAGCACTTGCTGTAGCCCAAAATTAATGACCATCTGCATTACGGAAAAATAAGAAATGATTTGAAGCTGCCATGTAGTCCTATCTTACCTTCAGAATTTTTTTCTTTCTTTTCTTTTCTTTTTTTTTTTTTGAGACAGGGTCTCACTCTGTCACTCAGGCTGAAGTGCTATGGCGTAATCACTGCTCACTGCAGTCTCAACCTCCTGGGTTCAGGTGATCCTCCTCCCTTAGCCCCCTGAGTAGCTGGGACCACAGGTGTGTGCCACCATGCCCGGCTAATTTTTTTTTTTTTTTTTTTAGAGATGGGGTCTTGCTATGTTGCCCAGGCTGGTCATGAACTCCTGGGCTCAAGTGATCCTCTTACCTCGGCCTCCCAAAGTGCTGGGATGACAAGTGTGAGCCACCACACCCAGCCAGCCTCAGAATTTCTAGTGAAGGTTTATATTTGTACTGTAATTCAAGATCAACTCATCTTAGAATCTGTCTCTTGGACAATTCAAATCTTTTAGTTCAGGAAAAAAACTCCTCAGCTACTACAATACCCTGTTTCTATACTGCTTAAATGAAATATAATCCCTTTCCTCTTGTTTGAAAGTTAAAAACAAACAAAACAGGCAATTTATTAATAAATCCACACATGTTACCAATATTTTCCCTATTAAAGTTCATGGCCTCCCTCTTACCATTGAGAATTACAGTGTTTAGTTTCTACCTAGCAAAATTTTCTTTGACAAGTGCCTTGATTCAGGCCAATTCCCAGGGATATATACCGTCGGGACAAACAGAAATAACCAAAATGTCCAAAATAGGGGGATGATTAGACTATAATGTATTAATCTAATGGGATATGGTGCAACCAGTTAAATGAAATATAAAAGCTATGTTGAAATATAAAAACCATGTAGACGCATTTTTAAATTTTTATTTTATTTATTTATTTTTTTGAGACAGAGTCTTGCTCTTTCAACCGGGTTAAAGTGCAGTGGCACAATCTTGGCTCACTGCAACCCCCACCGCTCGTGTTCAACCAATTCTCTTGTCTCAGCCTCCTGAGCAGCTGGGACCATAGATAGGCATCTGCCACCAATGCCTGGCTAATTTTTTTTTTTTTTTTTTTTTTGAGATGGAGTCTCACTCTGTCACCCAGGTTGGAGTGCAGTGGCGCGATCTCGGCTCACTGCAACCTCTGCCTCCCAGGTTCAAGCGATTCTCCTGCCTCAGCCTCCCGAATAGCTGGGACTACAGGCACGCGCCACCATGCCCAGCTAATTTTTGTAGTTTTAGTAGAGACAGGGTTTCACCATGTTGGCCAAGATGGTCTCGACCTCATGACCTTGTGATCCGCCCACCTTGGCCTCCCAAAGTGCTGGAATTACAGGCGTGAGCTACCGCGCCTGGCTGAGTCTTGCTCTTTCAACAGGGTTAAAGTGCAGTGGCATGATCTTGGCTCACTGCAACCCCCACCTCTCGCGTTCATGCAATTCTCTTGTCTCAGCCTCCTGAGCAGCTGGGACCATAGGCATCTGCCACCAATGCCTGGCTAATTTTTTATTTTTATTTTTTTGAGACGGAGTTTTGCTCTTATTGCCCAGGCTGGAGTGTAATGGCGCGATCTTGGCTCACTGCAACCTCCGCCCCCCAGGTTCAAGCAATTCTCCTGCCTCAGCCTCCCGAGTAGCTGGGATTACAGGTGCCCACCACCATGCCCGGCTAATTTTTTGTATTTTTAATAGAGACGGGTTTTCACCATGTTGGCCAGGCTGGTTTCGAACTCCTGACCTCGGGTGATCTGCCCACCTCGGCCTCCCAAAGTGCTGGAATTACAGGCGTGAGCCACCCCGCCCAGCCCTAATTTTTGTATTTTTAGTAGAGATGGGGTTTCACCATGTTGGCCAGCCTGGTGTCCAACTCTTGGCCTTGTGATCCTCCCACCTCGGCCTCCCAAACTGCTGGGATTACAGATGTGAGCCATCACACCTGGCCTGTAGACACATTTTTTTAGAGTAGAAATAAAAGAATGTTAAATGAAAAGTGTATGCAACACGTATGCAAGAGGGCAAATAGAGAAAGGTCAAAGAGAAGTGTAAACAGTTGTTACATTTAGGTGAAGGGGCTTTTTGGTACAATTTTTGTAAAGTTTTTGATTAAATTGTGTTTAAAATGTAAAACTTAAGATATAAATTTAATAATCAATGGGGAATTGGTACTACTGACTATCCCACAGGAACCAAGTTTAAAGAGACATAAAACACAGGAAGAAATATTTCCTAACATGATAATATCCAGGTTATGACACTGTCTTACCTGGGCAGCCTTGATTTAAGTAGAACATTCAGAATTATAAAGTAAAAATTCAGAATTATAAAAAAATTTTAATTTTAAGTAGAACATTCAGAATTATAAAGTAAAAATTCAGAATTATAAAAAAATTTTTTTTAAAATGCAATTCTTTCACTTTCAAATATATAGTGCCTTAAATGTGTTTTCAAATAGTGATTTAAGACTGTTAATAGCAGATTAATTTGTAATTCTGACATATATTTATATATATTAGTGGCCCTCTTTCATCTTTGATGTGACTAAGCAAACTTGTACCAACTGTAAATAGAACGAAATACACAGAAAGTCACTCACAACGGTACCAGAATTTCTTTAAAATAAAAAACTTTCTAGCTGGGCATGGTGACTCACTTCTGCAGTCCAAGCTACTCAGGAGGCTGAGACAGGAGCGCTCCCAGGAGGTCAAGGCTGCAGTGAGCTATGATCACGCCGCTATGCTCAAGCCTGAGCCACAAAGTGAGACCCCATTTCTAAACACAAACAAACACATCCCTTACCTCTAATCACATACCTGAACACAACTGGCTTACGTGAAGGCCGTTGACAGTTCAAGAGTAACAATTCAAGGTGTCTAGAAAGCTATCATTACAAGAGCAGATCACAGGAAACCTCAGCTGTTGGTTCCTAACTTCGCTCCTACTCAAAGGCCAACAGAACCGGGGAGAAATCTTCCTGTTTTGTTGATATCAATTTATTTTGTGCCAAGAACCTATACCTAAAACCAACGCAGGGTTTGTATTCCCCCTGGATTCTTCATTACCCCAGGAAAGTGGAACAGATCAGACCAGTTTCCAAGAACAGAAGCACTGCAGGGCAATCTTGCTAAGGGGGCCCTGAGATGTTTCTCTCTGTACTAATCTCTATGTCTTTTATGTACATCAACACAAACCTTCACCCAACCATCTCTGCCATCAACAGCAAATCTAGGGAAGAGACCAATAATACCTTAGAAAAGCACACCTATCCACCGAACCAAAACTAAATACAGAAGGATATGGCAGTTTGCCCCGTTTTCCAGGTAGCTGTGTTCTCTTAATTTGCCATGAATTAAAATGTTTCATTTTTACTTAGACATAACTTGAATATGTCATTTCAAATAACAAAATAAAAACTGAACTGAATATGTTTTAGTTAAAACAATACAAAACTGAAATCTCCTCTTTTAAGAGAGAAACGCTTCATCAGCTGGTTAGTTCCCTTGTTTGCTTACTGGGTGATATGAAACCCAACTACAGCTTTCCAAAAATAATCCCAAGTTGTGGGGTGTCCTACTACCTGTGTTTAAGTAAAACAAGTCCTGCAGAAAAAGTGGATCCAACGAGTAGCAGGTTTGTTAAGAAGCTAAATCTTGGCCAGGTGTAGTGGCTCACACCTGTAATCTCAGCACTTTGGGAGGCTGAGGCAGGAGGATCACCTGAGCTCAGGAGTTCAAGACCAGCTTGGGCAACATATCAAGGCTCTGTCTTTACAAAGAAAGCAAAACAAAAAGTAGTAGCGTGTGGTGGCGCACACCTGTAGTCTTAGTTACTTGGGAGGATGAGGTGGGAGAATCACTTGAGCCTAGGAGTTAGTAGCTGCAGTGAACTATGATTGCGCCACTGCATGCCAGATGGATGACAGAGCCAGACTCATTCTCTAAAAAAAAAAAAAATGTATGAGAAAAAGAAGAAGATAATTCTGGGCCAGGCACAGTGGCTCATGCCTGTAAACCCAGCACTCTGGGAGGCCGAGATGGGAAGACTGATTAGGCCAGGAGTTTGAAACAAGCCTAGGCGACATAGTGAGACTCCATCTCTACAAAAAATTTACAAATTAGCCCAGTGTGGTGGCGCATGCCTGTAGTTCTAGCTACTCAGGAGACAGGCAGAAGAACTGCTTAAGCCCAGGAGTTTGAGGCTGCTGTGAGCCGTGATTGTGTCGCTGCACTCCAGCCTGGGTGACATTGTAAGATCTTGTCCAAAAAAAAAAAAAAAAAAAAAAATCTTATTCTAATTCTGAGAAGAAATGACATTTAATAAGAGCTCATGTCTTAGCAAATCAAAATGTTTGTCCTGCTGGGGAAAAAAAAAAAACAACAACGGTTATCCAGGTATAAAAAGCAATTACCAGGACATTTAACATTAAGATGAACTAAAATTGTGCACAAAATAATTGTCCACATTTACTACAGCACTCATAGTGGGAGTAAATAAAATGCAATTACTTTTGCTAAAGCAACCTACTTTTTCTGGTAACAGACCGTCTCTCACTATACCTCTAATAGTAGATCTACACACAACTTAGCATGGTGTAGGAACTTGAGTGCATGCTCCTACAGCACACAACAGATGCACTGAAAGGCTCCCACCTCTTAACTAACAGCTTATGCTGCAAGGCATCAGCCAGGATAACGGCAGAGCCCTTCTGTGTATGTGTTCTTTCACAGGCGGCACTGTTACCGGAAGAAGCGAAGAGCAGCGATTTCCTTCCAAAAGGTCAGCTGCCTCAGACAGACCAAACAGAAAGCAGCGAATTCTTGCCAACTTCCCCTCCTGCTTCTGCAGCTAGTACGCAATAGCATTTAGTTTCCAGTAAAGCTCCAGATAAAAACAAAGCAAATGTGAGACCCAGAATCTACACAATGTCAGTGTCTCGCTTGACTGAACGAAGGGCAGTAAGATCATATGGAGCTACGCTTTTTCAACGTGGTGGAAGTGTTAGGAAGGTGAGATTAAACATGAAGAAAAGGTCAGGACTGGAACCATCCAGATTTTATACCAATGTCCAGAAGTCTCCATCTAAAAATAAGATGGTAGGCTGGGTGAGGTGGCTCAGGCCTGTAATCCCAGCACTTTGGGAGGCCAAGGCCAGTGGATCACTTGAGGTCAGGAGTTTGAGACCAGTCTGGCTAGCATGGTGAAACCCCGTCTCTACCAAAAATATACAAAATTAGCTGGGTGTGGTGGCGCGTGACTGTAATCCCAGCTACTCGGGAGGCTGAGGCAGGAGAATTGCTTGAACCTGGGAGGTGGAGGTAGCAGAGAGCCAAGATTGCACCACTGCACTCCAGCCTGGGCAACAGAGTGAGACTCTATCTCAAAAAAAATAAAAAGAAAAAGAAGATGGTATTTTAGAGATAATAAATGCAACAACAGATAAGGTCCCTAGTCAACTGATAAAAAAAGAATAAATTTTGAACTTATTCTCAAAATAAAGTCAAGTCAGTCATTCTGCAACATGCTAGGGCACAGGCAAGGTTCAATGCTGACAACCAGTAGATATATATACAATGAATATATAAGTTTCTTAGATTAGACATGGAGAAAAGACTGTAAAACACATAACAAAAAGGGGAAGAGGATAGAAAATATAATTTTTTTTTTTGAGACAGGGTCTCACCCTGTCACCCATGCTGGAGTGCAGTGGCGTGATCTCAGCTCCCTGCAACCTCTGCCTCCCAGGCTCTAGCAATCCTCTTGTCTCAGTCTCCTGAGTAGCTGGGACCACAGGTGTGTGCCACTATGCCTGGCTCATTTTTTGTATTTTTAGTAGAAACGGGGCTTCATTATGTTGCCCAGGCTGGTCTCGAACTCTTGAACTCAAGCGCTCCACCCACCTCGGCCCTCCAAAGTGCTGGGATGACAGGCGTGAGCCACTGCACCAAACCCAGACTTCTTTAAATTAAGAGAGTGTTAAACTACATGAAAGCCTACGCATTCAATCTTCCCAGAGGAGCAAAATTAGACCCTTTTGAGTATAAAAGTGAAGGAGAAGGAAGGGAAAATGATGATTTTAAACATTTTTCTCAACCAGATCGGTTCCCGGCTTAACTATCTACACAAAACTTGCGAGAAAATGTTACGAGCTCCTACCCCATGTCGTTGGCTCTATGTGGTTTCTAACTCGTTAGTTTCAGGTTGTGGTGGCAACAGAGACACCAGGCTTTTTGTGAGACAAGCTCTTGTTCTAAAATGTCTGGGCTTTGATGATGGAGAGTATTTTAACCCCACTCTGAGAATACCTAGTTTGAAATGAAGATAGTATGGAGTTCAAGGAAAAACGTATTAGTTTGTTATGTTAAATTAAGCCACCCACACACCCACACTAGAAACTGTTTTGTGTTGGAAACAAAATAAATGACTTCATTTCCAAGCCCTTCCTATACTTCATCACCAAACCTTAAATAATAGCAAAGGAATAAGCATGGGAAATGAGAAAAATAAAGTACTAGCAGCAGTAGTAATAGAATTATAATAACAGTAGTAGTAATAAATATTCAAGGAGTTTTGTCCACCTTCGGAGCTCAGGCTGTGAACCACAGTGGTTTACTTATTGAAAATCATCACGAGGCCGGGCGCGGTGGCTCATGCCTGTAATCCCAGCACTTTAGGAGGCCAAGGCGGGCGGATCATGAGGTCAGGAGATCGAGACCATCCTGGCTAGCATGGTGAAACCCCATCTCTACTAAAAATACAAAAAATTAGCCAGGCGTGGTGGCAGGCACCTGTAGTCCCAGCTACTCGGGAGGCTGAGGCAGGAGAATCACTTGAACCTAGGAGGCGGAGGATGCAGTGAGTGGAGATCATGCCACTGCACTCCAGCCTGGGTGATAGAGGGAAACTCTGTCTCAAAAAAAAAAAAAAAAAAATCATCAGCTAGTCAAATGAGTTTCTCCTGACAGTGATACCTGCAGTTTAACTCCTTTATAACACGAGCCACAAAATGAATTATCATAAAATGCAATTCACAAATGAATACAAAAAGATTATTTGACAATCCAAAAAAAAAGGCTTTAAATAAGACTCCCTTCCCTGAGGGTTAGCACTAAGAAGACAAACCTTCAAGCACAACCAAAGGATGCCATATTTGGGGGGTGGGGGTTCACCTTCATTCTTTTAAATCAATCAGAAATTAGCCAAAAGCTTTAGATTGTAAAAGTGAGTGGGAGGAGAATAACGAGAACTGTCCTGGGCTTGGGTAACTTTCCCATAAGGCCAAAACCTAGATCCTGACCACTTGTGGTCAGAATTAGCAATGCAACATTTCCTATAAGAAGCTGAGTTGTTAACTTTGTTAAACTTGTTCGCAAATTCCTTAAGGGGCTTCCATTAGTTACATTATTATCCATCACCAATATTTATCACAGAACATCTGAAACTTAGGCTTTCTAATGGCAGAAAACATTTTACATACAGGGGGAAATGTCATTAATAGAAATGAGAAAGCAACTTGTAAAACACCCCAGTGTGTAAGACAGGATAACAAAGGATACTGAAGTTAGCTGCCATCTGGATACCTGTTCACATGATACCTATAACTAAACAGCAACTTACCTGATGCTACTGTGCATTGGGTTGGAGACAAGGTATACATGATAAATTCCTACTATAATTAATAAATGTTCAAATGAAAATATACAAATAGATTGGGTGCGGTGGCTCACACCTGTAATCTCAGCACTTTGGGAGGCCAAGGTAGGCGAATCACAAGGTCAGGAGCTCAAGACCAGACTGGCCAGCATGGTGAAACCCCGTCTCTACTAAAAATACAAAAAATTAGCTGGGCGTGGTGATGCGTGCCTGTAATCCCAGCTACTGGGGAGGCTGAGGCAGGAGAATGGCTCGAACCCAGGAGGTGGAGGTTGCAGTGAGCCGAGATCGTGCCACTGCATTCCAGCCTGGGTGACAGAGCAAGGCTCCGTCTCAAAAAAAAAAAAAAAGAAAAAAAGAAAAGAAAATATACAAATAACTATGTTACTGTTGATGTACATTAAGTATGAGTTGAATGCTAGAAGATCATCTGGGTTCTCCAAGCTATGCCATCAAGAAATAGACACTCTGATACAGAAGGCAACTTCTGAATTTAACAGTGCTGTGCGATATATCAAGGGGAAATTTGGGACAAGGATGCCTGGCAGTTCCACAAGCCTAGGAAAAGTGCCTCAAACAATCTTTAACACCTTTAGGTAGAAATAGAATCAGTACAATATTTGTATCCAATGTCTTTGATCATTTTGATAATCTTATTTTTAAAAGATGGGATGTTTTCCTCCTCTAGAATTAGAATTTACCCTACACTCTGGACATAAGAACCAAGGCAACTAAGTTATCTGCTGGCCAACTAATAGACTGTAAGCCATCCTGGAGCAAGGACCATGTCTCTCTGATTCATTTTGATTTCCCCAATATAGTACTTGATATACATGGTTGGTATTTAGTAATTGTGTATTGAATACAATTTTTATAGACCTCCATGTTACAAAAAGGACCTAAATTGGGGGAAATGGATGGTAGGTCAGTTATTTCCTTCAGGATATTTTTAACACTGTGGAGGTCATTAATCTGAATCCTTATTACAGGAATAATGGGAGTGAATCACACTTTATAGAAACCATGACGGAGGTTTTGACTCATCATTGGTGCTAATCAAGGTAAACATAATAGCAAGTTGTGCCACCCTCATAAACATCGTGACAAGTTTGTAAAATAGAGCTAACACTTTATTGCAGCAATTTCAAAGAGAAGAATTACATGAAATATGATGATGCTAAGATGAGCTAAAATTCCAAAGAAAGGATCTTCTCTAAGCAAACTAACCTTTCTTTTAATTATATCTCAAGAAAGAAGCTGAGTATAAACGAAAAGCACATTTGTCAACAATTCACTCATTCAGTTACCATGTATGCCACTAACTACAATCCAGAAAGATTTATGATTGTGCCAAAACAAGATGATGAGGTTCTATACCCAGAATGTAGATTAATGTTAGAAGGATGACTCAGGACTTATGGCATCAGTCTGATAGACGTTGAACCTTTCTTTCTTTCTTTCTTTCTTTCTTTCTTTTTTTCATCTCTGTGAGTTCTTCAACTACAGGACAGAATGCCAACTCAGGAAGATAATTCAGTAAACACAGCCACCTTTGACTACAGACTATTTTTTATCCAAGATGTATTTCCATGTAGCAAAGTAAATTTAGCAAATGAAAATATAGTCTTGACTTGCTATGGATGTCCCCTATCTCTGCCAAAAATGACAAGCTGCTTGCTCAAAAGCTGTCACTAATTAGCAGCTGCTGCTGTAAAGAAAACCAAAGTAAGTGCCAATAAAAGCATATTGAACTCAAAGAGGGCCCTATGACAAGAGATGGGAAATGCAAGAATCTATTTGTGACTAGTAAACTTACATAAATACTAGCAATCTAAATTTGGGAGATGTAGGGGCAGGGCAATAATGGCAATACATATCCATTCATATTTAAACAGGAAGGACTGAAAGAGTCTCCTAACATCCTGAAAGTCAGAAATACCAAGGTATTGGTGTTGCTGAATTCCATCACAACCATTTCCACCTTTCCAATAGGAGCCAGTCTTGGTTTTGGATGATGATGATTATTTTTAGAGACAGGGTCTTGTTCTGTGGCCCAGACTGGAGAGCAGTGGCATGAACACAACTCATTGCAGCCTGTGACTCCTGGCCTCAAGTCATCTTGCCACCTTTGCCTCCCAAAGTGCTGGGATTACAGGCGTGAGTCACCGCGCCTGGCCTGGTTTTGGATAATTTCTCATTGTCAATACTTCTGTCTCTGGCACTTTAACAACTGCATTTGTAGACATTGTAAAAATAAATTTTAAAAATAACTTTCATATTCTATGGGCTTCGGCCTAAACTCTGATGGTTCCGAATCTACCTGTTGACCCCTCATGTTATAGGTTGAAACTATGAAGTCAAGCAGAAGTGATCTGCCCAATGTAAATGAGCACAGATACAGTGGTAGAAAATCACTTTACTAGCCCTATTTCAAGAGGCTCTAAAGGAGTCCACAACATCCCAGCACTTTGGGATGCTGAGGCAGGAGGATCACTTGAGGCCAGGAGTTCAAGACCAGCCTGGGCAACACAGCAAGACCTCATCTCTACAAAATAAAAATTAAAAAATTAGCCAGGCGTGCTGGTATGTACCTGTAATCCTAGCTACTCAGAAGGCTGAGGTGGGAGGATGGCTTGAGCCCAGGAGTTTGAGGCTACAGTGAGCCATGACTGCACCACTGCACTCTGTCTCTTAAAAAATAATAATAATAAAGTAGTCTACAGCCCAAGATCCTGCTTTAAAGCTAAATTCCATAGATTACTTTTCAAATCATCCTTCGAAGCTGTCCTCTCTTTGTTCCTATCAGTCAGAACTCCCAGTATATTTCTCTTTTTCCTCAACAAGTTAGTTTCTGTCCTTAAAAAAAAAAAAATTAAGAATATTTCCCCTTCATTTTGGTTCTCTTACTCTCTTTTTCTCTCTCCCTCCAGGTGAACTGCTAGAGAGCTATGATTGTTTCATCTATATTTGGACCCCTAGGGTCAGGCTGTGTCTTCAGCAACTACTCAGAAAAATGAGAATGAAAAAGAAAGAAAAAAGGAAGAAAGAGAGAGAGGGAAGGACAAACTGGAAGGGAAGGGAAGGAAAAGTAGGGAGAAAGGAAGATGTAATGAGAATAGAAAATTTTTAAAAATGGAAAAAAAAAGAAGGTCGGTGCGGTGGCTCATGCCTGTAATCCCAACACTTTGGGAGGCCTAGGCAGGCGGATCACGAGGTCAGGAGATTGAGACCATCCTGGCCAACATGGTGAAACCCTGTCTCTACAAAAAATACAAAAATTAGCTGGGTGTGGTGGCATGCGCCTGTAGTCCCAGCTACTTGGGAGGCTGAGGCAGGAGAACCACTTGAACCCAGGAGGCAGAGGTTGCAGGGAGCCGAGATCGTGCCACTGCACTCCAGCCTGGCAATGGAGCGAGACTCCGTCTAAAAAAAAAAAAGTTTCTTAACTGTCGTTTCTTAATGACACGCAATCAGAACCTCCCCTGCAGCTGAGGTCCCCTGTGGAGAGTATGTCTCATTGTCTGTATAAACAATTACAACAATGTACCTGTAATTTTCCAGTTCATAATCAGGCTGTAAGAATGAGAACAATTTGTTTTATGAAACATGGAGAAAGACTAATCTTTGCTATTACTCTCAGTGCAGGTTTATCAGCAAGACTTGGAGTAGATAAGCCACAGGCATACAGATGAGGAATCACATTTTGAAAGCTTTAATAACTCCCTAGTGGTATGCAACAAGCTGCTGAATTAACTTGTCTTTGCATACTCATTGCACATGCATCACTGGCCAGGTCTAGGTACAAAGCAAAAACTAAACAATCAAAGGAAAGAAAAACTGTGAAGTCTCCAACCAAAAGAATTATGTTGCAAAAAAAGGAATAAACACAAAGGGGCAGATAGTGTATGATTCCACTGATATAAGATGCCTGGAGTAGTCAAACTCATAGAGACAGAAAGAATGAATGGCGGTTGTCAGAGCCTGCGGGGAGGGGCAAATGGAGAGTTTTATTCTCATTACTGTTTAATGAATACAGGATTTTAGTTTAGGATGAAAAAATTCTGGAGATGGACCAGGTGCTGACGGTCACACAACAATGTGAATGTGCTTAATGCCACGGAACTGTACTTTAAAACAGTGAAAATGGCCGGGCACAGCGGCTCGCGCCTGTAATCCCAGCACTTTGGGAGGCCGAGGGCGGTTCACCTAAGGTCAGGAGTTCCAGACCACCCTGGTTAACATGGTGAAACCCCACCTCTACTAAAAATACCAAAATTAGCCAGGCATGGTGGCGTGCACCTGTAATCCCAGCTACTCAGGAGGCTGAGGCAGGAGAATTGCTTGAATCCAGGAGGTGAAGGTTGCAATGAGCTAACCTCCAGCCTGGGTGACACAGAGAAACTCCATCTCAAAATAAAAGGTTAAAAATGGTAAATTTTATGATATATATACGTAACTCCACAATCTTTAAAATGGGGTTAAAAAACCAGTTTTTGCCTAATAAACTCACATTTTTTCTATCTTTAATGCTGAAATCCAAAGGAAACAAAGAGATATTTGCTGTCTCCTCTCTCTTCTCCCCCATCCCCCCAACTTTTTTTGAGACAGCGTCTCACTCTGTGGCCCAGGCTGGTCTCTAACTCATGGGCTCAAGTGACCCTCCTGGCTCAGCCTCCCATAGTACTGGGATTATAGGCATGAGCCACTGCACCCAGCCCCCTCTCTTTTCTTTCTTCCACAGTAAAAGGCACACTTTCAGTCCTTCTGAGGGTTGAAGTTCTCTGGATACACCTGCTGTATTGAGATTAAAGGGGAATACAATAGTCTTTCCTTATCTGAGATTTTGTTTTCTATGGTTTCTGTTACCCACAGTACAGCATAGTAAGATACAGTATTTTAAGATAGACTACATTCGGCCAGGCACAGTGGCTCACGCCTGTAATCCCAGCATTTTGGGAGGCTGAGGCGAGCAGGTCACGAGGTTAGGAGATCGAGACCATCCTGGCTAACATGGTGAAACCCCGTCTCTACTAAACAAAATACAAAAAATTAGCCGGGTGTGGTGGCAGATGCCTGTAGTCCCAGCTACTGGGGAGGCTGAGGCAGGAGAATGGCATGAACCCAGGAAGCAGAGCGTGCAGTGAACGGAGATTGCGCCACTGCACTCCAGCCTGGGTGACAGAGCGAGACTCTGTCTCAAAAAAAAAAAAAAAAAAAAAAAAAAAGACTACATACTTGTTCTATTTTATTATCATTGTTCTTAATCTCTTACTGTGCCTAATTTATAAATTGAACTTTATCATAATTATATATGCATAGGAAAAAACAATATATATATGTAGGGTTCAGTATTACCTGAGGTTTCAGGCATCCCTTGGGATAAGGCAGGACTACTATACTTATTTAACAGATACTTATTGAGTAACTATTACATGTTGGGCTCTGTTCTAGGTACTAAGAATGTGGCAGTGAACAAAACAGACATGCTTTATGTAACTTAGATTCTGGTATGTAATATTAAATACTTTAAAGTTTAAATAAATAATTGTGCCCCTGCTACACTTTCTAGTTTTTGTTTTTATTCTTCTTCTCTTTATTTCTGTTGGGAGAAAACAGATACCACCTGACAATTGAATCTTACAGGTCAATGACAAAGTCTGTGTGTTCAAACCAGTATCTGGGAAGAAGTTTTAAAAGCACCTCCACAACATCAAACAGGGGGATTACTGGCTTTTGTGAAGTCTTGGTGATGCAAAAGCAATTTCTGATAAAACCAGAACATCTGTTCATCCCTGCTGAAAGCCTATCATCTTTATGGAGCTATTGTATGTGCAAAACAAATCGGGTCCAATCAAGGATTCCACAGTTAAGATCATTTCAGTGTGGCATTATTCCAGCTTTGGTCCAGGACATACAGTTTTATTTACAGGATAACTTTCATGATTGCCACAATCAAATCAAATCCTTTGTCTTTCAAAGGTGATTTGCAGATTCAATCTTCACAAAGCACTAAAAATATAGAGCATGGAGTTAAAAATTCACAATGGGACCACACACAAATAGCAGTACAGGGTGGTAGATAGCTAGCCAATGTTTACTTTCTTCTTTTTCCCATAGAATAAAATATAGGTCAAATTCTACTAAAACAACAAATACCACCACAGTGAAAACCTAGGTATAACAAAAATATTTTGAAACACTTAAAAATGTCCATGTGTTTCTTAATCCAACACAATATACTTTTATAGAATCAATATAATGAATTTTATGAGAGTGCTGAATCCTAACCACTAGACAACCAGGGAATTATAATGAATTTTAAATCAAAAGAATGACTCCTTAGAGCATAACAACTTTGTGTCCGCTCTTTAATTTTCATCTTTAGGGACATATTTTAAATATTTCAAAATAGGCTGTCACAGTATATTTGGAAGAAAGGAATTTGTTTCCCTTTATGGAAATCATCCTCAAATGTATTGAGGAATAATTTTACATTCAATAAATTACATCAGGATGTTTCCAATGTTATAATGAACCTACTTTTGGCAACATAGTAAAATAAAGGGGTTCCTAAAGCCCACCCATTAGTAAAAGTTATTGAATATTTTATTTAACATTAAAAGGTCAACTAATTTGGCTTAGATGTCAGGCAATATCCAAAGAAACACAGAAGTTCTAGCCATTTCTTCAAAGGTTCCTTCTGAAATCAGGTATCCTTTAAAAAGACCATTAAGGCTGGGCACGGTAGCTTATGCCTGTAATCCCAGCACTTTGGGAGGCTGAAGCGGAAGGATCACCTGAGGTCAGGAGTTTGAGACCAGCCTGACGAACATGGTGAAACCCTGTCTCTACTAAAAATACAAAAATTAGCTGGGCATGGTGGAACTTGCCTGTAATCCCAGCTATCTGGGAGGCTGAGGCACGAGAATCACTTGAACCTGGGAGACGGAGGTTGCAGTGATCTGAGATCACGCCATTGCACTCCAGCCTGGGAAACAGAGCGAGACTCCGTCTCAAAACAAACAAACAAACAAAACCATTAAGATAAACTAAGTAGGAAGTGGCATTACCTAGATTCCAGAATCTCTGCAAGTCTCCCTTCTGAAGCTCCGTTTGTTCAGTATTCCTCACACAGTGGTGTTACCAGTCATGGTGTGAACTTGGCAGTTTAGGGAGGCTACCACCTCACCTAGGGGGAACTAAAAATGATTCCCCTCCCTTAAGTATCTCCTAAGACTACAGCAAAACTGGGGGGAACTCTCTTTTGAAAGGAAAAATTTCATCTGTAACTAGATCCCCAATTTTAAGCATCAACTTGATGTATTTTATAAAAATGAAGAGTAGCTAAGACCAAAAGGTGAATATGATTCTTTTCTAGACAAATTCAGTTTCAAAAATAAAGTTAAACAACACTCTGAAACAAAACAAAAATAACAAAACACCCTGCCTAAAAGTGATTTGACAGTTGAGGTATACCTGAAACAGGGTGGGCTGTTTATTTTTATTCAGAATTTTGTTTTCAGAGATGGGATCTCACTATGTTGCCCAGGCTGACTTGAAACTCTTGGGCTCAAGCGATCCTCCCACCTTGGCCTCCCAAAGTGTTGGGATTACAGGCGTGAGCCACTGCACCTGGCCAGAGAGGGCTTTTCTACTCCCAAGAAATGAGAGGTCCTCTGAAAGCAGGAGCTTCAAGGACATGGGTAATGCTTCAGCCATGCAAGGATGCAGCAGTTTTCAAACAAGAGGGTGCATCTGTGGGTGTCTGGGTGTGTCTTGGGGGTGAGGGAATGGTAGGAAGCTTTAAGGGCATCACTTTCTTTAGGTAAGAGACACTTTTGTGCTGGGCGCGGTGGCTCACGCCTGTAATCCTAACAGTTTGGAAGGCCAAGGTGGGTGGATCACCTGAGGTCAGGAGTTTGAGACCAGCCTGGCCAACACAGCGAAACCCCGTATCTACTAAAAATACAAAAATTAGCCGGGCGTGGTGGCAGGTGCCTGTAATCCCAGCTACTTGGGAGGCTGAGGCAGGAGAATTGCTTGAACCTGTCGGGGGGAGGCTTCAGTGAGCCAAGATCATGCCACTTCACTCGGCAAAATAGCGAGATTCTGTCTCAAAAAAAAAACAAAAAAGAAAGACACTTTTATTTCCTACAGAGCAGTGGCTTCAGTTCCCACAGGGCAAGAGACCCTATTTGTTTTGTTTTATTTTAAGTTCCAGGATACATGTGCAGGATGTGCAGATTTGTTACACAGGTAAACATGTGCCATGGTGGTTTGCTGCACCAAGCGACCCTATTTGTATTTGTTGATTGTAAGCCAGATGTTATAAAGCAGGAGACAGCCCTATATTTCATTTCCCTTCGTTAGAAGGCCTATAGCCACACTGTTTATTATGGTAGCCTCTAGCAGCATGTGCTACCTAAGCACTTGAAATGTAGCTAGTGCGACTGGGGAACTGAATTGCAAATTTTATCTCATTTGAATTAACTTAAATGTAAACCTGGAAACTGGTGTTCAATTTAATACTTGGAAAACCTTTCAGTACGTTTGGAACACCTTCAGTATGTGAATCTACTTTATCAACTGAAAGTTTTATGAAATCTGAACACAGTTCATGCATTTCTGGTGAAAATTTGGTGGCTAAATTGAGAGATTTTATAACTGTAAGATACACACCAGATTTTGAAGCATTCGTACAAAAAAAGGAATGTAAAATATCTCAGTGTTTTTGTGGGCTTTTGGGTTCGTTTGTTTTTTTTTGAGACAGGGTCTCACTCTGTTGCCCAGGCTGGAATGCAGTAGCACGAACACGACTCACTGCAGCCTTAACCTCCTCGGCTCAAGTGATCCTCCCACCTTGGCCTCCCAAGTAGCTGGGACTATAGGTGCACATCACCATGCCTAGCTAATTTTGTTGTTGTTGTTGTTAGAGACTGGGTCTCACTATGTTGCCCAGGCTGGTCTCGAACTCCTGGACTCAAGTGATCCTCCTGCTTTGGCTCCCCAAACTGGCCCAAAATACCTCATTAATCAATAATTTTTATATTGATCAAATGTTGAAATGATAATTTTTATATATTAAAGTATATTGTTAAAATTAATTTTATTTTTACTTTTTATTGTGATACAGACTAAGAAAATTACAATTGGAGCTCACATTATATTTGTATTGAACAGTGCTGGTCTAGAACATAAATATTCCACATACTGTACACAATTATTGCTTAGTTTCCTAGTTTATATGTCTTACCTTTTTTTTTTTTTTCTTGAGACAGAGTCTCATTTTGTCGCCGAGGCTGAAGTGCAGTGGTGCAATCTCAGCTCACTGCAACATCTGCCACCTGTGTTCAAATGATTCTCCTGCCTCAGCCTCCTGAGACTACAGACATGTGCCACCACGCCCGGCTAATTTTTGTATTTTTAGTAGAGACAGGGTCTCACCAAGCGGGCCAGGCTGGTCTCGACCTCCTGACTCAAGTGGTCCGCCCACCTCAGCCTCCCAAAGTGTTAGGATTACAGGCATAATCCACCATGTATGGCCAGAAAACATAATTTTGAATTAAACGAGATTATCATGTTTTTAGGAAGTAGAGGAGGTAAGAGGTGATAAGCAAAAAATAACCAAAAAGAAGAGAATGATTTATTTATGTAGGCATATTGAACAATATATGTTTATAGTTTTATCTTTAATACAGAAAAACACTTATTTACTTCATGCATTTTAATTAACTACTTTATGGATTTAGGTTTTAAAAGCACTAAAAAGTACTACGTGATTTTTAAAAATGTTTTGGTATTCCCCAAACTGGCTTAAAATAAAATTCTGTTATAGCAATTTCACTATAATAAATTACAATGCACAATCCAAGTTAAGATAGATTTTTTATTTTTTATTTTTATTTATTTATTTTTGAGACAGGGTCTCACTCTGTCACCCAGGCTGGAGTGCAGTGGTGCAATCTCAGCTCACTGTAACCTCTGCCTCCTGGGCTCAAGCCATCCTCCCACCTCAGGCTCCCAAGTAGCTGGGACTACAGGCACACACCACCACGTCTAGCTAATTTTTGTATTTTTATAGAGATGAGGTTTCACCATGTTGCCCAGGATACTTTTGAACCCCTGGGCTCAAGTGATGAGCCCACCTCAGCCTTCCAAAGTGCTGGGATTAAAGGCATGGGCCACCATGCCCAGCCAGATTTTTTTCTAATATAAAAATAAAGATGGGATCTCATTACGTTGTCCAGGCTAGTCTCGAACTCCCGGCCTCAAGCAATCCTTCCCCCTCAGCCTCCCAAAGTGCTAGGATTACAGATGTGAGTCATCTCACCTGGCCTAAAATAGATTTTTACTTAATTAAATTTTACATGAAATAAGTAAGTCTACTGGGCTCAAAATTGTCTATTTTTAAGGTTGTAATTTTATTTAAATTCTCTTAAAGTATCAACTCATAATTTACTTTCATTCCTCTTCTTTAAACTCTGTCAAGTGTTAAAATTCTTTTATTTTTATTCTGAGACAGGGTCTTTCTCTGTCACCCAGGCTAGAGTACAGTGGAGCGATCACAGCTCACTGTATCCTCCACCTCCCAGGCTCAAGCAATCCTCCGACCTCAGCCTCCTGAGTAGCTGGACTATAGGCATACACCAGCACCCCGTGCTAATATTTTTATTTTTCGTAGAGATGGGGTCTTGCTATGTTGTCCATGCAGGAAAATTCTTTTAAACACTAATTCTAGTTACAAAGAAACTATTTAATGTAAATTTAATTAAGGCAGAACATAAATCTCTGGTATTAGGAATGACTTATACCCAAGAGAAAATATCTTTCACTAGAGATTTCCTTTACCAGATATTCCCAAATGAGTACCATAATAAACATTTAGAGAAGTCATTAAGTGTGACTAATGGAATTATAAGAAAAAGAAATCCATAGCCTAGCAGCCTTCATAGGTATCACCATGAAGGGGAAAAGCCAATGCAGAAAATATATTGAAATAATACAAAGTTCAGGGTTAAAACAAACTCAACCATTTTTTTCAAAACATCTTCAATATGAAATGAATAACTTAGCAGAGTGTGTATATATATGTGTGTATATATATACATATATGTATATATATACACATATATATGTGTGTATATATACACACATATATATGTGTATATATACACACATATATATGTATATACACACATATATGTGTGTGTATATATACACATATATATGTGTGTATATATATGTGTATATATATGTGTGTATATATATATGTATATATATGTGTGTGTGTGTGTGTGTGTGTGTGTGTATATATATATATATATATATATATATATATATATATATATATATAAAAAAACAAAAACAATTTTTTTTTTTTTTTAAAGAGAGACAGGGTCTCTGTCCATTGCCCGGGCTTGGGAGTGCAATGGCACCATTATAGCTCACTGCAGCCTCCACTTCCCAGGTTCAAGCAATCCTTTCACCTCTGTCTCCCTAACAATTTATTATATTATATAACAATATAATTCTCCATAAGCTTCTGTGTAAAAATATACAGGCTACCACGAAGCACAGGAAATAACACAGTCCTGAAGTTCAAATTATTTAAACTCTAAAAATGTTAAATGAAATTATGATGATTTTAACATAGTTCAACAAAAGATGTCAAAAAACAGGATACTATACCAAAAAATTAACAAAAACATCACAAACTCTTTTTTCTGCTTCTAAAAAGAAAACACTGATAACAAAAAACAAATTCTACGTTCTAAGACATATCAATACACACAGCCATTTTAAAGATAACTTTTTTTTCCTGATTACAAAAGGATTCCCTGTATTATCATCTGTTTTTTTGTTTGTTTTTATTTGTTGTTTTTGAGACAAGGTCTCACTCTGTCACCCAGGACGAATGCAGTGGCTCAATCACAGCTCATTGCAGCCTCGAACTCCCAGGCTCAAGTGATCCTCCTACTTCATCTTCCCAAGTAGTTGAGACCACAGGCATGTGCCACCAGGCCCAGCTAATTTTTTAATTTTTTGTAGAGATAGGGTCTTGCTATGTTGCCCAGGCTGATCTTGAACTCCTGGACTCAAGTGATCCTCCCACCTCAGCCTCCCAAAGTGCTGGAAATATAGGCATGAGTCACTGTGCCCAGCCATAATCTGTTTATTATAGAAAAATGGAAAGATACTAGAAAGCGCGCACACACACACACACACACACACACACACACACACACACAGGGAACTCCACGACCCAGAAGAAATCTTTTTTCAGCGCCTGTTCTTTTTTCCAGGCACAATTGTATATGATTGTTTGTAATTTCATTTTTCATTTAGTAATATATAGTGAATTTTGTGTAGGTCATTAAATATTGTTTTATAACATAATTTAAATAGCTGGACAGTATTCTATTGGACAGCTATACACAGGTGTAATAAATGATTTAGTTTATTAAACCTCTAATGGAAATACCAAGATTTTTCCAATTTATTGCTATTTTAAGTAACACTCCTTTTGTACAAATCTTTTTTTTTTAATTTATTTATTATTATACTTTAAGTTTTAGGGTACATGTGCACATTGTGCAGGTTAGTTACATACGTATACATGTGCCATGCTGGTGTGCTGCACCCACTAACTCGTCATCTGGCATTAGGTATATCTCCCAATGCTATCCCTCCCCCCTCCCCCCACCCCACAACAGTCCCCAGAGTGTGATGTTCCCCTTCCTGTGTCCATGTGTTCCCATTATTCAATTCCCACCTATGAGTGAGAATATGTGGTGTTTGGTTTTTTGTTCTTGCGATAGTTTACTGAGAATGATGATTTCCAATTTCATCCATGTCCCTACAAAGGACATGAACTCATCATTTTTTATGGCTGCATAGTATTCCATGGTGTGTATGTGCCACATTTTCTTAATCCAGTCTATCGTTGTTGGACATCTGGGTTGGTTCCAAGTCTTTGCTATTGTGAATACTGCCGCAATAAACATACGTGTGCATGTGTCTTTATAGCAGCATGATTTATAGTCCTTTGGGTATATACCCAGTAATGGGATGGCTGGGTCAAATGGTATTTCTAGTTCTAGATCCCTGAGGAATCGCCACACTGACTTCCACAATGGTTGAACTAGTTTACAGTCCCATCAACAGTGTAAAAGTGTTCCTATTTCTCCACATCCTCTCCAGCACCTGTTGTTTCCTGACTTTTTAATGATTGCCATTCTAACTGGTGTGAGATGGTATCTCATTGTGGTTTTGATTTGCATTTCTCTGATGGCCAGTGATGGTGAGCATTTTTTCATGTGTTTTTTGGCTGCATAAATGTCTTCTTTTGAGAAGTGTCTGTTCATGTCCTTCGCCCACTTTTTGATGGGGTTGTTTGTTTTTTTCTTGTAAATTTGTTTGAGTTCATTGTAGATTCTGGATATTAGCCCTTTGTCAGATGAGTAGGTTGCGAAAATTTTCTCCCATTTTGTAGGTTGCCTGTTCACTCTGATGGTAGTTTCTTTTGCTGTGCAGAAGCTCTTTAGTCTAATTAGATCCCATTTGTCAATTTTGTCTTTTGTTGCCATCGCTTTTGGTGTTTTAGACATGAAGTCCTTGCCCATGCCTATTTGTACAAATCTTTAAACATATTTCAGATGTCCTAGAATGAAATTCATCTAAATGAAACTGCTAAGTCAAAGGGTATGTACTCTTCTTTTTTTTTTTTGAGACGAAGTCTCGCTCTGTCACCAGGCTGGAGTGCAGTAGTGTGATCTCGGCTCACAGCAACCTCTGACTCCCTGCCTCAGCCTCCCGAGTAGCTGGGATTACAGGCACGTGCCACCATGCCCAGCTAATTTTTGTATTTTTAGTAGAGACGGGGTTTCACCATGTTGGCCGGGATGGTCTTGAACTCCTGACCTCGTGATCCGACTGCCTTAGCTTCCCAAAGTGCTGGGATTACAGGCCTGAGCTCCCATGCCCAGCTTGAGTATGCACTCTTTTAAGCTCTCAATACATGTATCAAACTGCCATCCAAAAAAAGCACCCATTTACATTTCAACCAATGAGTATGAAAGTGCCAGTTTCCCACATTCCCAAGCAACACTGCTCTTATTTTTCAATATTTTTAGTCTTCATAAATCTGTTAACTGAAAAAACTTGTCATTTTTATTTGCATTTCTTGATTTCCAGTATGGGTGAACACTGTTTCATATGATTATCGGCTATTTGTAGTTCTTCTTTTGTTCATTTTCTATTATGGGAATCATCTTTTTCTTACTACTTATATAGATTACTTATATATTACGAATATTTACCCATAATGCTTTGTCATATATATTAGAAATATTTTTCTTATTTTGTCACTTAGCTTTGGTTTCTGGCATTTTTTGGCATAAAGAAGTTTTAAATATTTATGTATACATATAAAAAGACATATGTGTATCTATAAGATGTATCTTCTTTTATTAGTTATTAAAGCCACTTATATCCTGTTCAAATTTACCAATAAAACTGGAATGTAATGTTAAGTTCTGTGCAAACTAGACCTCTTCACATTTGGGTAATAAAAATTCAAAACTAGCCAGGCTCAGGGGCTCACACCTGCAGTCCCATCTACTCTGGAGGCTGAGGTGGGAGGATCACTTGAGCTCAGGACTTTGAGACCAGCCCGGGCAACATAGTGAGACCCCACTCTTTAAAAAATAATAATAATAAATTAAAATAATAAATAAAATTCAAAACCATAAATTTTGAGAATATCACATTTTTGGACAAAATTTTAAATGTGTGTCTAAAGTAATACGTTTTCTTACTTAAGGACCCACTCCTGGCACACTTCACTCATCCTGGGCAACAGAGCAAGACACTGTCTCAAAAAATAAAAAAAAAAAAAAAAAAATCATTCCCTTAAAATTATATGCTTTTTGGCCCGGTGCAGTGACTCATTCCTGTAATCCCAATACTGTGGAAGGTTGAGGTGGGAGGTGTGGAGGTGGAGGTGGGAGGGATCACCTGGAGACATAGCAAGACCCCTGTCTCTATTTTTTTTTAACTATGTGCATTTTTCTGGTATTGCAAAGTCAAGGGATCTTGCCTCATCACCAACTCAGCATGTGAATTGTAGCCATGCCACTCAGGAAGCCAAATATTTTCTATTTTGTTTTGATACCTTCAACATGAGGAGAAAGGCCAATCTCTTCATACATTACAATGAAATTAGTATTTTTACTTGATATTTAAACTCACTGCAAGATAAACTCATTTGTAAAACATGACTACACTCAGAGTTTCCATATATGTAGTCAGGCACCACATAATGACGTTTCAGTCAATGACAGACCACATATATCACTGTGGTCCCATAAGATAATAAAACGTAGCTGAAAAATTCCTATCCTCTAGTGACGCTGTAGCCATCATAATGTTGTAATGCAATGCATGACTCACATGTTTGTGGCAATGCTGGTGTAAACAAACCCACTGCACTGCCAGTCATGTGAAAGTCTAGCACATACAATTGCGTGCAGTACATACTTGATAATGATAATAAATGCCTATGTTACTGGTTTATGTATTTACCATACTTTTTATCGTTATTTTAGAGTGTACTCCTTCTACTTAAAAAAAAAAGTTAACTGTAAAACAGCCTCAGGCAGGTCCTTCAGGAGGCATTGTTATCACAAGAGATGACAGCTCCATATGTGTTACTGCCCCTGAAGACCTTTCAGTGGAACAAGATGTGGAGGTGCAAGACAGTGATACTGATGACCCTGACCCTGTGTAGGCCTAGACTAATGTGTGTGTTTATGCCTTCACTTTTAAGAAAAAGTTTTTAAAGTTTTGAAAAATTAAAAAGTTTTTAAAGTTTTGAAAAATTAAAAATTATTTAAAAAGAGAAAAAGTAAAAGAATAAAAACATAAAGAAAATATTGTTGCACAGCTGTACATGTTTATGTGTTAAGCTAAGTGTTACTACAAAAGAGTTTAAAAGTGTAAAAAAGTAAACAGTTGGCCGGGCACGGCGGCTCACACCTATAATCCGAGCACTTTGGGAGGTCAAAGTGGGTGGATCACCTGAGGTCAGAAGTTTGAGACCAGCCTGGCCAACATGGTGAAACCCCGTCTCTACTAAAAATACAAAAATTAGCCAGGCGTGGTGGCACACGCCTGTAATCCCAGCTATTCGGGAGGCTGAGGAAGGAGAATTGCTTGAACCGGGAGGTAGAGGTTGCAGTGATCCGAGATCACGCCACTGCACTCCAGCCTGGGCCACAAGAGCAAGACTCCATCTCAAAAAAAAAAAAAAAAAGTAAAAAGTTTACAAAGTAAAAGTATTACAGTAGGCTAAGGTTATTATTGAAGAAAGAAACAATTTTCAAAATACATTTAATGTAGCCTAACCAGACAGTATTTTTAAAATCTACAGTAATGTACAGTAATGTCCTAGGCCTTCACATTCACTCACCATTCACCCACTGAGTTGCCCAGAGCAACTTCCAGTCCTGCAAGCTCCATTCCTGTTAAGTACCCTATATAGATGTACCATTTTTTATCCTTTATGCCATGTTTTTACTGTAACTTTTCTATATTTAGATATGTTTAGATACACAAATACTTACCCTTGTGTTACAATTGTCTACAGTACTCAATACAGTATACATGTTCCACAGGTTTGTAGTCTAGGAGCAATAGGCTTTATCATACAGCCTAGGTGTGCAGTAGGGCTCACCATCTACGTTTGTGTAAGTACCCTCTATGATGGTACCACAATGACAAAATCGCCTAATGCATTTCTTAGAACTTTGTCACCATGTATCATTAAGTGACAAACGACTATAGTTACGTAACAATAACCAAAGAAAAATACAAAAAGAGGGACTATTTACATTGTATCCTTACATATTAAACCTTCCATGCCTTCGGAATAAGAATCTAGTATCCAGTTCTCACTATACATAGCTTTCCCTCACTTTCTATCAGAAATGAGATAGGAGTCCCACCTTCCTGGCATCAGAAACAGATCACCAATCCTGCAAACAAATTCACAGGGTGAACTGTTTCATTTTTAAAGAGCTGTAGATTTCTGTAGATCTCTAATTTGCTACTTTTCCTAAACCTAAAAGATGACCAAAAGATTTTTAGAAACATTAAACAAAAAAACAGAATTAGCATTATTTCTAACAGAACATTTTACCTATTTAAATATACTGTAGAATGAATGCTATATTACAAAGCTGATGAATTCCAATTTTTAGTACTTTAAGAGATCAAGTGTTCAAGTTTCTTTTTATATAGGCTACAATGACATGTATGAATGTAACTTAACATTTAGCCCAGGTTAGATTTTTTAAAATCCCACTCCTTCAAAAACAGTGACTTGCCACCAGCTATAGGCTCTGAATTTATTTAATTTATTTATTTTTTTGAGATGGAGTCTCGCTCCGTCTCCCAGGCTGGAGCACAGTAGTGCGATCTCGGCTCACTGTAACCTCTGCCTCCTGGGTTCAAGTGATTCTTCTGCCTCAGCCTCCTGAGTAGCTGGGATTACAGGCGTGCACCACCACACCTGGCTAATTTTTGTATTTTTAGTAGAGACAGGGTTTCACCATGTTGGCCAGGCTGGTCTCCAACTCCTGACCTCACGTGATCCGCTTGCCTCGGCCTCCCAAATTGTTAGGATTACAGGCGTGAGCCACTGGGCCCGACCTAGGCTCTGAATTTTAGACAACAAAAAATAGTTTCTCACAAACTTTTTAACTTACTCTCACCTAAAGGCTGGAAAACCCCAGTGAAGGCTTTTAAAACTCATCAGACATAGAAAAAAAGAAGCAGCTTTAATTGTAGGATCTCACTGACACAAACATAAGGAAATTCTGAGTTATAGATACCTCACATTAAGCTTTTTCCACTGACATTGTAACTTCTGTCAACATTCAAAGAAAATTCAACCCTGGTCAAAGGTGACAGTTGACAATCCTGGAAGCTAACATCCTCTGTTTATTTGAACAAGTTTATACTCTGCACAGGGAATTGAAGTTCTTCTTGTCTGTGACTTGATCTCCCAAAGTTAAAGCACTACGCTTTAGGGTTGTGAATTCTGTTTCCAAGACTTAACTTCACAATCCACTCCCAAGGAAAAGTGCTGAGAGAAAGTAAGCATCATAAATGAAAAAAAAAAAAAAATCTGAGACTATTTTCTAATGGCCTTTGCAGAGCTCTAGACATACAATAGTTCAGTTGCCTTAAAAATTCGCCCAAATAGGCTGGGCATGGTGGCTTATGCCTGTAATCCCAGCACTTCGGAAGGCCAAGGCAGGAGGATCACCTGAGGTCAGGAGTTCGAGACCAGCCTGGCCAACATGTCAAAACCCCGTCTCTACTAAAAATACAAAAATTAGCTGGGCATGGTGGCACATGCCTGTAGTCCTAGCTACTCCGGAGGCTGGGCAGGAGAATCTCTTGAACCCAGGAGACGGAGGTTGCAGTGAGCCAAGATCGCGCCACTGCATTCCAGCCTGGGTGACAGAGCGAGGCTCTGTCTCAAGAAATAATAATAATAAATTAGCCCAAATAAGTAAAATTCTTAAATCTGTCTCAGAAATCATGACTAATGCTCTAAAAAGCTTTAATGCAACAAGAATAGGACAGAAATCCCCGCAAAATAAAGTTGTAAATAAAATGAGTGGGATTGTTGAGTTCTCAGTACAGACGTGCATGTCAACACAAACCCACTACATTGGCACAAATGATCCCTTTGTTTGTAAACAGAGGCCAAGGAGACAGCTTATAGCTCTTCTTCTATGATGTACACGGTAATGCTAGGGGAAGAAGAATGAAAGACAACTTATAATAAAAATTAAGACTTTCTCTTCTTTAATATAATTTCCACCAGAAGTATATACTTTAATTGGAAAAATATTTATCACCATCTTCATCAACATTTAAAAAAATCCTAAACATATAAAAATATTTTCTATTCAAAAACCAACGAGACTCCATTTGGGAACACAAAGAAATACAAGCCTCAAAGAAACAAAATGTCTTATAACAAAGTGGCAGTGGCCAGCTCGCTTTTGCTGTACACTAGTTAGGGATGCAGTCTCTGGAATCAGCCCCGCCAAGAACAGTAATGTGACCTTGGACAAATTACTTAACTTCTCTGTGGCCATTTCTTCATCTTCCATCTGGGAATAATACCCACTCCTCTGAGAATCACGAGTTAACACAAGGCCAGAGCTGAAAACAATGTCTGCCCAGCACACTGTCAGTGAACGGTAAGCATTAGGTAATGTTTTTATTATCTTCACACTTGAAGGCGTTGGAACATTTTCTCAAACTCTGGGTTTTGAACATAATTTGAAGGACTTGTTAATTGTCTGCTCACCTCTCGAAAGGTGGCATCATAATGATTAGATACATAATCAGAATATCTTCCCAGGTGAGCCATGGTAAGCAGAGCTCTAGCCCAGAATGATGAATAGTTATTTTTAATACAAATCATGGATGTGGCTGTTACTGGCAACTTCGGCCTGATTTCCCATATGCAAAGAAATCCCCTACCAGGGGAAAACAAGCAATGTTAGAAACCCGTTGGGTTTGTCCTGTTATCATTACAGGGTAAAGCCAAATTCACATTTAGTAGCCTGATGGGCATTAAAAATATTAGTCACCAAATTAATCCCAACAAATAACAATAATTGATTGGCTCATTGATGTATTTCCCCTTGTCTTCCCCAACCTTTCTCTAACTAGTCAGAAAGGAAAGTTTTCATATTTTCTGAGAATCTCATTACTGCTCTCAAACCATGCTCTATATCTTAGTATAATTTAAAAAATGAGTCAGCACAAGCACCTCAGAAAACTAGCATAGAATATGAAGCTACTTCTCTTCATATTAGAAAAGTACAAAAATTTTTAAAAGGTTATTCAGGGTACCAAAGGTAATAGAAGGATACATGAAGAGTGAATGTTGCAGTAGATTTTGCAAGCTAGCTTCCAAAAGTAGGTAGAAAAAGATAAATGTTCTTCATCAATCAATCAATACAGGTATTCATCATCTCAGTGGTGTCATCCATGTGAAAATGGACATAGTTATTAAGAATAAACCTAAAGAAGAAACCATCTTGTATGTGACAAATTATAACTTCTCCTTTCTTGAATATTGGGGCAGCAGGGGAATAGGAAGTCAAGATACTCCAAGTATTAACTTCATTTGCAAATTGAATTGTACATAATTGTGCACCATGCTAATGCAATACTGCTTTTAGTAATGGGATCCAAATGAAAATTTAGAAGAGGTAAACTCCCCCTAAACTGCAAACACATCTGAATGTCAATTCAATTAGGAGTCTATTTAGTTATTACACTTCTTAGCATAAAGCGAGTTAAAGGCCAGGAAAAGAACACTTGCTTTAATCACTGAAACAATCTACACATATTTCTCAAGGCTCCACTTAACTCATCCTGCAACATTTATATTAAAAGTGACCTATCACTTAAGTGATCCAGGAGAGTAAAGGAAGAGTTTTAAGGCTGAAGGTGATTCCTCCTGAGCTCTAATACCATACCCTGAATTTCACCTTGTTCTTAACTCTTTTCCATGACACTGTGTATGGCTTTTAAGCGAGTCCAGAAAAACGGCTATCATTACTACTTAATATAAACCATGGGGTTCTGTATCATGTAAACCCAGAGCAACTCCTCTTTGAAGCACCGACATTCAAGGCTCTACATAACATGTTTCAACTCTATCTTAGTGCTATACATTTTCCAAGTACCTGCGAGGAAACAGATAGCAGCACCTCCATTTTTCTGTAAATTGTGCTTTTGTTGCTGTTCTAAGACTCCTTCCAAGGCTGTTAAACTTTGAAGAGAGTTGGGAAAAGACAAGAACATCTTGCCTTCCCGATTGGGTATTCAGGCTTCACTCAGTAAAGCTGTCATGAAGTAGCGCAAAGGGTCAGAGACAAACCACATGGCATCTGATGTTTGTCTGTATAAGTTTAAAATAAAAATGTGACACTACAAGAAGGTTAACATGTGGACCTAATTTTGAAAATACAAACAGGAAGCACCCCCACCCCAATATTACCATTTAAAAAAAAAGGAAACCAAACCTCAAAGATACCTTCCAAGGAAGTGATGGGTGTGACCCAAACTAACAAAAGTAATAAAACGTCACTTCAACTCTGAAACCATCAAAAGTGAGGGTCTCATTCAACCAACTAAAAATCTAACACCTGTAAATTGCTCTTCTCTTTTGATTAGTAAAAACAGCATAGATTTAGATGTGCAAAATCTTCTCCAAACTGACATAGGCTTTTCAGTAGCAGAGGATCATCATTAATAAAACACCCAATGTCAAGATTTTACTTCAAATAAGGCCACTATAATTAACAGTGAATACAATTTTAAAAAGTATTTATCACTCTGATGCTTAGAACTTAAATTTAAGTACAAAAACTGTCTGATCAATGGAAACTAGATTGTTAAGTTTGACTTTCTTATTCCCAGAAATAAGCATAAAACTGTTGTGTTTCCAACACTGCAGGAGAAAAAAAAAAACTTCTGATTTTAGAAGAGTTCTATTCACAAAGCTCAGAATTAAAAACATTTTCTTCCTTTAAATACCACACATTTGAGGACAGCGATAGTGCAGAGCTAACTTTGAAGCATTATTTTTATTAAGTTGCACAGTTAAAGTATTTTGATACTTTGATATTTTATAGTATCAAAATAAAAGGATATTCTTCTCAAGAGTCCAGTAACCTGGAATTGCCAGATAGCTTTTTAAACGAATAAGTTTCAAATTATCAGAAAAATCATACAAACTAGGGTTATTTTGCTTCCTTTTGTAGGAATAATGCAGTAATCTGCACTCTTAACAGAAAGGGAAAAAATGTGTCACAGATAGAATGTCCAGAAATCTGTGAATAACTTTATGAGATACAGACATTTTTGTAGGGCACGAAAATAGTTAGGCTTCCTTCGATTCCACCTGTAACCTGCATCTAATCTTGAGCATGTTATTTACCTATCTATAACGTCTTCCTTTTACAATAAGACTACCTGTGTCACCTACCTACATAACAACAAGCCAAATAAACCACAACAAATGGATTCATAATATATAAGCCTAACAAAAATTACAGACAATTTGAATACTAACAATACTATGATTTGAAAAAACTCGACTTAAGTATCAAAAAGTAATAAATGGCAACTTTAGTCTTGATGTGGCTTTTACATATGTAAATGACATAAAAACAATCAAGAGAGGAAGAAAATGGAGATGAGATGAAAAGTCAGAGCAGGATAGGAAGTGTTGACCAAAATATTTATGTTGTAACACTCCAAACGATGATAGCACATTTTTCTCCTACAATCATACATACTATGAAGTACACACCTTAAATTTCTGAACACAATCCATATTAATATCCCGTGGGCAAAAAATACAAGCACCGAAAAGGTGAGAACTGATGAGAAGGTGGGATAGTTTACCTAGTTGGGTATATAGCAAAGATTATTTTGTGCAGAGTTTAGCTTCAAGTTATGCAATAACCAAACTACTGGTGATAGAAATCAACTTTTTTTTTCTGATGGTTTGCTTTACAAAAAAAAAAAAAAAAAAAAAAAAAACCTCTCCATTCCTTCCCTGTGTCTCAATCTGGAGCTTGAAATTTCATCTTCCAGAGGCTACAGTAGCAAACAAGTCATCTCCTAGATAACGCGCTTACCTGACCCAAGGTGTGGACTTGTTTGAATTAAACGTAACAGATACCACAAATTGTCACATAGGAAGTTTTTCTTAAAATCAGCAGCCCCTTCTCTTATTTAGCCATGTCCATTCTAACAACTGTGATCTTCCATGAGATGGAAACTGGTACCCAAATGAATAAACAAAACAACCCAAAGCCTTAAAATAAAATCAATCAATAAGATTCTCCCCATTTGAAGTGATCAGAACCACTCCAATATTTACAGTGTTACAAAATGAAATTTTAAAACATGAAAGGCACACTCAATAAAATACATCCTCACCTAGGAACTCACAGGCAATGAACATAACGCAATATAACATAAGCAAATGGACAACAATAGAATGTTGGGGAGAGAGGCACAGTTCTATTACCTTAATTGAAAGATAACAAAATTATTTGAAATAATGTAGACCCAACAGCTGAAAGCTTATTATGGCCCAGGCGGCTATCCAACAGCTTTGGAAACCTAAGATCCAAGCAGACCATAAACACCACTTGAAGACTGAAAAAAATGACATAAGCCCAAGTATGATATTCAGTGTCACGCTGGCCCTTTCAAAGGGCATTCCCTGAGGACACTGCAGAGAAAATGTATGGAATTGTATCTAGGCAAAGATCTGTATACTGCACGATGCTTTGGGAAGAGCACGAATCTCAGAGTCCTTGAAGTTTCAATCCCTGGATACTCAACAAACAGCCGTGTCACCTGAGCAGGCCACTTACTCCACCTATCTGGGCCTCAGTTTCCTCATTTGTACAATAAAAGAATGGCATCATCGCTGGGTTCCTTTCCAGCTCTAACATTCTTTGACCCACTTTTGGCACTATTTATTTGATACGAGGTATGGCGGGATCACAGGGACCAAGAAGAAAAGAACTGACTCTGGCTCTTTGGCAAAGAGAGAATCGGTATCTCTTTTAGTCTTTAAAATTCTTGTGCTTTTCATTAATCCCGTCTTTCTAAAAGCTGACACTTGGTTTTCTTCTTTGGCTTTTCCATCACTGCTGGCTACAAGTGTTTGCAACCGCCTCTTGCTCCGTGTGAGTTCTTTCCTCTTTGTTCACCCCGACCATCTTGCCAGATTCCTTTAGCCTCAGACCAGCTTTTGTGATACAACTCCCCTTCCGACTCTCCATATCTACCCCCCGACACCAGGAGCACTTTTAACCCTTTATCCCTGACTAGAAAGAAAAAGCACACTGCATCCCACGGCCACACGCACGAGCCCAGGCCTGGCGGGTCCTGATGTGGGATCCCGCCCCCCAGAGTCTTATCGAAACGTTCGTATTTGTTGTCTTGATTCCTTATAAGGCCCTGTTTCTTGAAGCTTTGCTAATACCCCCCACCGCACCAGGCACCCCCGCAGGCTCATCCCATCCCCGGAGTCCCGGGAACCTCTTTTGAAAGAAAGAAGTTAAAGCAAGGAAGACGGCTGGGGATATTCGGAATTGCAACGTGAAGGTGTGAGGCGGCTGACAGCAGCCCCCTGAGCTCCTATGGGGTCGGCGCGGGGTCCCCACACACCCACTCAGCACACGCGCACGCAGCCTTTAAAGCGCACGCCCCCCGCGGCGCCGCGGCGTTCGCAAGTCCCCCTCGCGCACCCCGCATTGCCCTCAGCCTCCCCGGCAGCCAACCCGGACCCCCTCTCCCCGCGCGCGCCCCTCGCCCAGCGCGCAACCACCGCGGCCCGGGAGTGATGGCGGCGGCGCGGCCCTGACGGGCGGCTGAGCGGCTGGAGCGCGGGCCCCGCCCGGGCTGGCTCCCCGGCCTGGCTCCCCCGGCCCCGGGCCCAGGGCTCGCCCCGCAGCTCCTACCTCGCTCGGCCCCTCGGGCGCCCGCGGCTGCTCCGGCCCAGCTGTCTGGCTTGCCCGCCCGCCCGCTCGCTCCCTCCCTCGGCCGGGCCGCCGCGCGGAGTTGCCTGCGCTGGGTCCCCGCCCGGGGTGACGGCTCCGGCCGCCGACTCTCCTCCCGCCGGGGCCCGCGGGGGCGCGCGCGCCGCTCACGCGCGGAGGCCCAGGGACGCGCGCCGCTGGCAACCCGGAGCGCGCCCCGCTTCCTGGTTCCGCCCGGCGCGCGCTCGCTAGCCCGCTGTCCCTCGCGCCCCCTCCGCGACCGCCCTTGAAGGACCCGGACCCCCTCGGCACACCCGAGGTGGCGGCGCGCTCGGCGGTGCCGGTGCCGGCGCCGCGCGCACCCCCTTTCTGCGGCGGTGGGGTGTCTTCCCGGCTCGGCTCCCTAGCCGACGCCGCACCGCAAGCACATGCTGCTTTGTTTGGGTTGGGTCGACCACCACTAGCAGGGCTAGGGCGCACTGTCGTGGTCGTTTTGGTTGGCCCCCTCCGCGGCCCGCCCACCTCTCTCCCTGGGAGCCCAGGCCCGCGTTCCGGGTCCTCTCCCGCCGAGGCCGAGGTCAGAAGTCCACAGGGGCCCCGATCAATAATTATCCTGGGTTTGCCCCCGGGAGGGCGTCTCAGCCAGGGCTCCTGCCGCCTGCATGGGCACGGCAGGAATTCACATTCGCCCAGGCCGAATTCACCTGTCCGAGTTCCAGGGTGAACCTACGGGGGACGGGGCGCCTGGGGCCGGTTCCCTTCCTGGGAAAATCTGGCTGGCTCCCACCAGTCAGAGCTGCGGGAGGGACTGCTCTCTCTAGAGAAGAAAGAATAAACAGGGTCATCTGTAGGATCCAGGGGAAGGGGGTCCCCCAGATCCTTTCCACGTGCTGAGGAGGGGGTTGCGGTTGTGGGAAGCCAGGCTGAGTCACCCACTCTCCTTTCCTCTGCTACGTCTATCTCCCGGAGCTGGCCAGCGGTTTCCCTGGCAACCCTCCAAGGGCTAGCACTAAAGCAAGACATAGGAAAGCTCCAGAAGCCAAGCTGCAGGGGCCAAAAGAGAGAGAAGGACCCCTCCCGCCCCCACTCAGACACACAGAGCTCCCCTGTGTGTATGCAAAACGTTCATGTCCAGAGATGGCCCAGAGCTGCAAGTTCTCCCATAGTCCTCCCTGGGCAGCTCTTTCCAGCGGCCTTCTCTTCACCTCCAGAATGACACCAGCCACAAAGGTCTCCAGCTGGTCAAAAAACCCTTCTCCGCTACCCAGGCCACTGCTGCAGTCCCATACTCTGGGCCAACACCTGGCACAGTGCTTTGCACAGAGTAGGTTCAGGGAGCTTGGAGGCCAGAGAAGGAAGCAGGAAGCAGGATGGATGCGCCAACCAACCCCGAGCTCTCTGGCAATCTCCCTGACAGTTACTGCCCATGATGTTTTGACACTCAGGTGCTCCATGTTCTCCATATTTCTCTTTTATCTTTTCTTTTTCTTTTCTTTTTTTTTTTTTTTGAGACGGAGTCTCTCTCTGTTGCCCAGGCTGGAGTGAAATGGTGCGGTCTCAGCTCACGGCAACCTCCACCTCCTGGGTTCAAGTGATTCTCCTTCCTCAGCCTCCTGAGTAGCTGGGATTACAGGCGCACACCACCACATCCGGCTAATTTTTGTATTTTTGTAGTAGAGACGGGGTTTCACCATGTTGGCCAGGCTGGTCTCGAACTCCTGACCTCGTAATCTGCCCGCCTCAGCCTCCCAAAGTGCTGGGATTACAGGCATCAGCCACCGCACCTGACTCATGTTTCTCTTTCTTGTGAGCTTTCATCCCTGCACACATGCTATTCCCTCTGCCTGGAATGTCCTGCCTTCTTGATGTCTGCCCTTCGGTGACATTTGCTTCAGGCAGCATGACCTCCCTCCTTGTTTCCCACCGCGTTATTCATGCCTCTATTACAGCACTTCTTGTGTTGAAGGACAATTTCATGTTTTCATGTTTCTGTCTCTGTCCCCAAGGGCAGACGCAATATGCTATTCACTTTTAAATCCTCCTACTCGTGTTCAAGCCCAGAACAGACACTCAATAAATATTTTTGGAACAAATGCTATGCTCTAGGAATGCAAATGGAGGTTACAAGGACTATGCAGTCATTAAGAGGACAGGGTCTAGCCCGGTGTGGCGACACACACCTGTGGTCCCAGCTACTGAGGAGGCTAAGGTGGGAGGATCACTTGAGCCTGGGAGGTCAAGGGTGTGATGATTTTTTTTTATTTTTATTTTTTGGAGACAGTCTCACAGAAAAAGGTCTCATGGTGTGGTGGCACAATCACAGCTCAAGGCAACCTCCTGGGCTCAAGCAATCCTCCTGCCTCAGCCTTATGAGTAACTGGGACCACAGACGTGCACCACTACTCCCAGATTAATTTTTTAAAATTATTTGTAGGCCGGGCACGGTGGCTCACGCCTGTAGTCCCAGCACTTTGGGAAGCCAAGGTCGGTGGATCACGAGGTCAGGTGTTCCAGACCAGCCTGGCCAATATGTTGAAACCCTGTCTCTACTAAAAATACAAAAATTAGCTGGACGTGGTGGTGCGCGCCTGTAGTCCCAGCTACTGGGGAGGCTGAGGCAGGAGAATTGCTTGAACCCGAGAGGCAGAGGTTGCAGTGAGCCGAGATCACGAAACTGCACTCCAGCCTGGGGCGACAGAGTGAGACTCCATCTCAAAAAAAAAAAAATATTTGTAAAGACAGGGTCTCATTATATTGCCTGGGCTGTTCAAGAACTTATGGCTCAAGCAACCCTCCCTCCTCAGCCTCCCAAAGTGCTGGAATTACATTTGTGAGCCACTGTGCCCAGCCTGAAGCTGTAGTGAGCCATGATTGTGCCACTGCTCTCCAGCCTGGGCGACAGAGTGAGACCTGTCTCAAAAAAAGAAAAAAAAAAAAAAGTACAGGTTCTCAAACCAGACTCTGTCAATTCCTTGAGCTGGGTAATCTTGAGTGTGTTTTCCTCTATCTTCTCGTTTGTAATGTGGTGATAGAGACAGTACCTACCTCATCGGGTTGCGGGAAATAAGTGTTTACTACATGTAAAGTGCTTCACTGTAAAGCACTGTATAGCGGTTAACTACTACTGTGGTGTTTAGTAGCAGCTAAGATGAATACTCCTCTTCCCAAGACCGGCGGTCTAGGACTCAAGCCAGCTGGTTTGTGGCAGCCACAGGGCGCTAGTTTAAATGTCCTGAAGGGGGCCGGGCGCAGTGGCTCACGCCTGTAATCCCAGCACTTTAGGAGGCCGAGGCGGGTGGATCACCCGAGATCGGGAGTTCGAGACCAGCCTAACCAACGTGGAGAAACCTCGTCTTTACTAAAAATACAAAATTAGCTGGGCATGGTGGTGCCATTACAGGATTACATGCCTGTAATCCCAGCTACTTGGGAGGCTGAGGCAGGAGAATCACTTGAAACTGGGAGGCGGAGGTTGCGGTGAGCCAAAATCACACCATTGCACTCCAGCCTGGGCAGCAAGAGCAAAACTCCATCTCAGAAAAAAAAAAAAAAATGTCCTGAAGGGTGGGTGGGAATGCCTCTTGATTCTTGCAGCTCTAGGCACATCTCTGACTGATGGTCACCAGGCACCAAGCTAGACCTGGCTGGGTGTGTGCACAGATGCTGAGGACAGAATGTTCTGGGTCACTACCTCAGCAAAACAGAATGTTGTCATCCTGGGATGGGAAGGCCTGACACCTGCTTCTCTGCTTGACAGTTCTGATGGGGTGGGACCCTCTTCTTCTAGGCCTCGGGGACATATTCCCTTAAATTGAGGGGACACCAGACTTAAGACATGACAGAAAGAAAGAAACTGAACAGGAAGCTAGGATCCTGAAAGACCCCACAGTCCAACCCATCAGGAATGACCCAAGAAGGTACCTGGAGATGCAGCAATGTCCACTGGAGGGTCTCATCCCTTAGTGCACCAGCCTGACCCAGGAGAGAGGCTTGGGGGAAGAGCCTGGGGGTCTAGTCCACAGCCCTTGTCCATGCATGCCCCTGCTCCCATCCTACAGCCTCCTCCCCTCTCTCTCTCATAGATGAACACATGGCTTTCAGAGGGGGCAGCTTCCCTGCTTCACATCCTCCCTCACTCCTGCCCCAGAGATCATGAGGCCATTTTCTGGGAACGTCACTGAAGCCACAACCATGATCCCCTCTGGCCAGAAACCAGAGGCCTTCGTTATTATGGCTTCCCTCCTGCATCCCAGGAGTCAGGCTGACCCTGGGCAACCACCGGCCACACATTTGCTAAGAAAGGGCACTGTGGGAATGTCCCTTTTTCCCTGTGGGGATGAATCCTTCCATAGGGGGATAGGTCAGTACAGGACCCTGGAGCCATGTGGAGAAGGTATAGGATGCTCAACAGAAAAGAAGGCGGGGATGCCAGATCTCCAAGGCCTCAGAATGGCGTGGCCTCGGTTTGGAATGGGCTCTGCAGTTTCGGAGGGCTCTGTCAGTGCCCCTGCTTACTTCTGCCAGAGCATTGGTGGTGAAAAGTTAGATATGGTTCTAAATCCCAGCTCTGCTAACTTACTAGCTGTTGGCCGGGCGCGGTGGCTCACACCTGTAATCCCAGCACTTTGGGAGGCCGAGGCGGGTGGGTCAGGAGGTCAGGCGATCGAGACCATCCTGGCTAACACGGTGAAACCCTGACTCTACTAAAAATACCAAAAATTAGCCGGGCGTGGTGGCGGGCGCCTGTAGTCCCAGCTACTCCGGAGGCTGAGCCAGGAGAATGGCGTGAACCCGGGAGGCTGAGGTTGCAGTGAGCAGAGATCGCGCCACTGCACTCCAGCCTGGGCGACAGAGCGAGATTCCGTCTCAAAAAAAAAAAACAAAAACAAAAACAAAAAAAAACTAGCTGTGTGACTTTGGTCTAGGTACTTAATGTCTCTGAGGATCTCAGTTTCCCATCACGTGTAAATCATAGTTAGGGGGTAGAGTGTAATATATGTTTCAAATCCACAGAATCCTTCCGTGCATTTAAATGCACAAAAGACCCCAGCAACTGTTGTTGCCCCTCCAGAAGGGCCCTGGGGGACAGGAAAGGGCAGAGACTAACTTTTCACCACATACCCTTTTGAATCTTTTGTTACAAAATACATATATCATGTGCAGATGCTCCCTATTAAAACATTAGTAAAATAGACAGTTTTTTTAAAGGAAAAAGGAGAGCATTTGTGAAGGCAACTAAGCACTGTGCCTGGCACTTGATAAAAAAGCATTTTCTCTCTTTCTTTCCCTCAGCCTAATCCCAGCCAGTGTGCTGGCCAGGAGAGAGCTGGTGCTTTGTCACATGGAGGGGAGGGGAGAGGACGGGAGCGATGGATGTGCAGGTGCATGGAGGACTCGCCACCTGGAGAGTCTCACACACCTGCTCTCAGTCTTGCTCCTGTGTGCCTCACCAATCTGGGCTCCCTTCCAGCCAGAGCTAAAGGCTAAAGGGTGGGCTCTCTGGAAAGGCCAAGGATCCCCCGACCCCGCCTCTTGGGACAGGGTCACTGGGCTCTCTCCACCCAGAGTCCTGGGGGATGCAGCATTATCCAGGGAGGGTGGGGCGGACGCAGAGGAGGGAGCAGAGTGCCACTGCAGCCAGTATCTTGCTGGCTTGCCAGGCAGGTTAAGAACTCAAAATTCAGCCCAGCACCAGGCAAAGATGAGGCTGCTGCTGCCACTGTGTGTAGAAAAGCAGCTCAGTGGGACCAGAGCAGGCAGAGGCCAGGGCAGCAGGGGGAGAGTCTTCTGGGAACCATGGTGGGGGTGGTCAGTGAACAGGGGGCTGCCCTGAACCGTCAAAGCTCCGGAAGTTCTGTGCTGGTTTAGGGGCCTTCATTAATCCAACAGATATTTATGAAGACTCTATTGTGGACAAGCAGTGGGACATAGCCCTTTAGGCAATGTGTTAGGGCCATAAGAAGGGGCCTGTAATACAGATGGGATTGAAGGGCAGAGGAAAAAACACCCAGCTCTACTGGCCAAGGCCTCTGAGCACCTACAATGCACCAGCCACTGTGACTGAGTCTTTTTTTTTTAGACAGAGTCTCGCTCTGTCACCCAGGCTGGAGTGCAGTGGTGTGATCTCATCTCACTGCCACCTCTGCCTCCCAGGTTCAAGTGATTCTCCTGCCTCAGCCTCCCAAATAGCTGGGATTACAGGCATCTGCCACCACACCTGGCTAATTTTTTTATTTTTAATAGAGACAAGGTTTCACCATGCTGAGTCTGTGCTGGCTTGGTCAGGCTGGCCTCAAACTCCTGACCTCAGGTGATCCACCTGCCTCAGCCTCCCAAAGTGCTAGGATTACAGGCTTGAGCCACCGCACCGGGCCTGTGACTGGGTCTTAACAGAAATCCCAGCAGTGGGTCTTGCTATTTCTTTACAAGTGAGGATGCTTAGATCCAAGAGGCAGACTCACTCACTCAAGATCCTACAGCAGAGCCAGGGTCTGCACCAGGACCTTATGACTCCAAAGCCTTTGTGTTTTCCTCTAGGCCACACTAACCCTAGGAAAGATGAGGCCAATTTCACCAGGTGGCCAAGGGAGGAATGACATTCCAGGTAGATGGAATGAAAGGGGCTAGTGCTTGGAGTTGAGAGGCCAGCGTAAGGGGAAAAGCCTGGCCGAAGCACTTTTTTGAGGCTTGGAGCAAGGAAGATGTGGGTAGATCTGAGACTTAAGAAACGAAGAAACAATGAGAAACAGATTCTACAGAAAGGAACCCCCTCCAGTCATAACAAAGGAAAGTGGCAGAGTACTGGGAGGTGTCGTGGAAGATGCTCAGCCCCCTCGCACACAACCCCCAGAGGGCTTGAGGTTGGGTACTGGGCTGGCCAAGGCACAAAAGATTTCTTGTTGGGCTGGAAGGAGGAGAAACTAGCTCAGCGGGAAGAGCGGCCTGATAGTCATCATGGATGAGGATGAGAAGCCAGGCTTGACCCAGGGCTGCCCAGGACAGTGCCAATTCCACTCAGCTGCCTGGCTCTGTGTGCCCTCTCTCCTCTCTCCAGGCTCCTGGGCCTGGCCCTGCAATGAGGGGGCTGCAAAGGGTGGGCTCCTCCTGCCCACCTGACTGGCTGGGAAATGTGAACCTGGCACAGACTCTGCATCCTCTTCTCTTCGTCCAGAAAGAAACCGGCCTACAAGCCTCTCCCCCAGGGCAGGCAGGCTGGGCAGCTGGGCAGAGGAAGCAGGACTCCTCTCCTACCCACCCTGTCCAGCCCCACACCCTTCCCCTCATGCTATTCCCAGAAACAGAGGACAGTCACTATGCCTCAGGCAGGATGGCCTTGTGTTCTCTTGGTGACTTCACTGTAAAGTGACTTCCCTGAAGAGTGGTGGATAGGGGACAGCGGCAGGAACGGGCTTCACCCAAGCTCCGGCAGCTCCTTCCCTTCCCCCAGATTTGCACAGAAGTCCTCACCCTGTGCATATAAACACACACCCTCCCTAGGTCCTGATCTGTCTTCTTGGACAAGAATGGGGGTGGCATTTCTATAGGGAGGTACCAGGGCCTGGCCTCAGAGGTGGGGTATACTCTGAGCATGGGCCCATGGCCCCACTTCTAGAAGCCTTCTCCGGTGGGGGCTGGAGTGCAGGTAGGCTGTCCAAGCAGAGGCAAGGTGGGGGTGAAACAGGATGTTTAAGTGCTCCAGGGCTTCTCCCCTTTGCCGCAGGGTGAAAAGATACTTCCTAGAAAGCCTCCAGCTTTCTTGGGAAGGCCCTTCACCCCTACCCCACCTCCCCTCTGGCTCCCATGTAACAGGAACTCTCCTTGAAGAAGGGACTTGGAGCACAGGAAACAAAGGCATCTCTGTACCACCTCCCTCCACCCCCCAAGGAAGGTCAAGTCAAGGTGACCTCAATCTGTTCTCCCCAGGGTAGGGGCATGGGCAGACCTGATCGTCAAGGGCAAGGCAGAAAGGGGACCTGGGATAATTCTTTCTCTCTCCCTCTTTTTTTTTTTTTCTTTTTGTGACGGAGTTTCGCTTTTGTTGCCCAGGCTGGAGTGCAACGGCGTGATCTCAGCTAACTGCAACCTCCACCTCCCTGGTTCAAGTGATTATCCTGCCTCAGCGTACTGAGTAGCTGGGACTACAGGTGTGCACCACCACGCCCAGCTAATTTTTGGATTTTTAGTAGAGACGGGGTTTCACCATATTGGCCAGGCTGATCTCGAACTCCTGACCTCAGGTGATGCACCCGCCTCAGCCTCCCAAAGTGCTGGGACTACAGGCGTGAGCCACCATGCCCGGCCCTTTGGGATAATTCTCTTAATCCATAAACTCAAACCCACCTTCATGTAAGTGTGCACAGAGCACACTGTCCCATTCAATAGAGCAGGGGTGTAGGCTGGGCGAGAATGGAGATGCCATGCTCCGCACCGCAGAAAAATGGTGGGCTAGCCCAGCCCAGGGAGGCCTCTTCACTCCGCCGGTGTGTGCTGGGCTTGGGGAAGCTTAGAAAGGTTATACTGAGACCCTGCCCACAAGGCCCGGCAACTTGGATCCTGGTGCCATCTGTGCACTTACTGGCCAGACAGCTTTGGGCAGGTTTCTTTCATGGACTAATCAAAGGGTGTGATTCTGGCCCTGACTGCCTTCAAGGTTATTGAAAGGATCCGTTGAGTTGAAGAGCACAACCATGTCTGTACACAAATGTGCCTTGATGTAGTTCAGGATACGAATATAGTGTGCCAACTGAAGCCTAGGCTGCAGACTATTATTATTCCTAATAAAATATAGGAGGTCTTCTTTTGGAGAATATATTGCTTTTTTTTTTTTCTTTTCTTTTTTTTTGAGACAGAGTCTGACTCTGTTGCCCAGGCTGGAGTGCAGTGGTATGATCTCGGCTCACTGCAACCTCCGCCTCCTGTGTTCAAGAGATTCTTGTGCCTCAGCCTCCCGAGTAGCTGGGATTACAGGTGCGTGACACCACGCCCAGCTAATTGTTTTGTATTTTTAGTAGACACGAGGTTTCACCATGTTGGTCAGACTGGTCTCAAACTCCTGGCCTCAAGTGATCCTCCCACCTCAGCCTCCCAGAGTGCTGGGATTACAGGCGTGAGCCACTGCACCTAGCCTGGGGAATATATTTCTGTAAGATTTCTAAAATCCTTCCTCACTCCCCATCTAATACTGTGACTTGGATTTGGGGGTGAAGAGCAGTTAGGGGCAAGGAGGCCAGCCTCGGACCGCAGCTCAGTCAGACCCTTGACAGTTTCTGATCTTCCTGAACCCCCATCCCGTGGCCTCAGTTTTCTCCTCCACAGCCTGGTTCCCCAAAATCACCAGGGCACTTTGTGGTGGGAAATCACCCACACAAGGGGACAAACAAGGGGACTGAAAGCAAAAAGAAACCCCAAATTTGACATTTCTGGGTAGTTGTGTTATCTGGAGCCACGACTACAGTCACCTCTTCCCAACCCAACTCTGACACCCTTCCCTCTACTCCCTTGGGTGCCCTTTGCCCATCCTGGGAAAGTTCCATAGCTCCTCCTCCTCCCCACTGCATCTCAAAGGGAGAACAGGCCTGAAGAAATGGAGAGAAACCCAGACAGAATCAGAGAACCAGATGGAGACCTAAGGAGACAAGGGAGAGACACAGAGAGAATAAAAGCCAGAGTGGGGGCCGGGCATGGTAGCTGATGCCTGTAATTCCAGCACTTTGGGAGGCCGAGGCGGGTGGATCACCTGAGGTCGGGAGTTCGAGACCAGCCTGACCAACATGGAGAAACACCGCCTCTACTAAAAATACAAAATTAGAAATACAAAATTAGCCAGGAGTGGTGGCACATGCCTGTAATCCCAGCTACTCGGGAGGCTGAGGTAGGAGAATCGCTTGAACCTTGGAGGTGGAGGTTGCTGTGAGCCAAGATCGCGCCATTGCACTCCAGTCTGGGCAACGAGAGCGAAACTCCATCTCAAAAAAAAAAAAAAAAAAAAAACCCAGAAGGGGAAATGTGCAATGAAAGACACAGATATTCGGGGCCTTACAGTCAGAGACCAAATGAGGGATGGTCAACCAAGGGCACAGCCACTGGGCACAGGGTCAGGGTGGGAGGCACGGGAGGGCTCTGAAAACACAGCCACACACCCTTTTAGGCCCATCCTTCCCATTCTGTACTCTGGCACCTCAATGCTAGCTTTTTAGGACCTAGGACTACCCACACTAAAGCCAAGCCCGGCCCAACCAAGACAGATGTTTGGTGGGTGGGGCTGCCTGCTGGAGCAACAGGCCTCTGCAGGCCCTGGAGGAGAAGTCTAGAGAGGTGGCTGCCTGGAAGAGAGCAGGCAGGACCCCCTCTCTTAAGCAGGCACCCCCACCCCATCAGGTGCCCAGATGTCAGTGCATGGCAAGGGTGGCCCTCTGCCCTCCAGACCTGGGTGAGAGGACTTGAAAACCTGAGGAATCTGCTCCCATCAACTGACTTCCACACCTGCCTGAAGGGAACTGCTGGAGGGCACAGGTGCCAAGTGGGACCCACCCAAATGTGGCAATGGGTTTGTATCCAGCCACCGACAGGCTGCATGACGGTGGCAAAGTCACTTCCCCTCTCTGGCCTTTGTTTTTCCACTTGTAAAATCATCTTTATGGTCACTTCCAGCTGTGGCACTTGGCTTTCATTCCAGTTGACCCCCTAGCTCTGTGTCTGACCCTCCCCTGCCAAATCCATTGCTCAGAGTGGGAAAGGAGAGGAGAGGGACTATACTTCCTCCTCCCTGGGGCCCCCTGCAGAGCATCTGGGAAGCAAGGCTTCCCTACATCCTCCATGCACCCCCTTAGAGTTTTCAATTCCTTTCCTCGTGATCCTGCCAACTAAGACACTGTGACCACACAGAGAAGGTGGGGAGAACGCAGACATTTTGGCTTCTGCAGCTTTGAAGTTCTTTTTTTTTTTTTCCTCTGAAGTTAAAAGAATGAAACTGGGAGAGGTAGTAAGGGGCAAGAAAGGAGAGTGGAAATGGAGAGAAAAGGGCAGCTCTGAGAAGCAGCTGGGGAGGGAGGCAGATGAGAATGCACCCCCCCCAACAGAACATGCAGTCTTGGCCCAGCTGTGCTGTGAGTGGGCAGCTGGGCTGGCCCCTCCTCTGGTGCTGCCAACCCGCTGCCAGGCAGAGGGGAGGCCCAGAGGAGAGGGAAGCTGGGCAAAGGGGATGGAAGGCGTCCAGCCCGACCTTACCAAACCCCTTGGGCCTCGTGGGAAGGGGCCTCTTGGAGAGGGGGACTGAGGCTCTAGACAGGATATTCACTGCTGTGGCAAGGCCTGTAGAGAGTTTCGAAGTTAGGAGGACTCAAGACGGTCCCTCCCTGGACTTTTCTGAAGGTAGAACCAGCCTCATAAGTAACTAGGCTGGGTGAACGGGGGCGCTGGCTAGTTTATGGATCACAGTCGGCTGGTGAGGCCACGTGCCTACTGTGTGGCCCTGGGTGGCCCCGGGCAAGCCCCTTTCCCTCTCAGGACTTCCATTTCTTACCTGCAAAATTGTGGAGAGGGGGAGGGCTGAAACACATGACTGCCAAGATTCTTTCCAGTTCCTCCGTCAGGGTTGAGTTTAGATGGCCGGAGTAAAAGAAGGAGGGAGGTGCTGCGGTGGTGGGGGTGATCTTGGCTTCACTAGAATCCCCAGTTCTTCCCCTCTCTACAGTTTTGTCTCTGAGGTCACAAAACCTGTGGCCCCCAAGACACACATGCGCACACACGCGCGTGCACACACACACCCCACACATTTATTTTTTAATCTAGGGGCTCAAAAGATGACACGCGCCAGAGCTGGAAGGCGTCGCCAATTGGTCCACTTTTCCCTCCTCCCTTTTTGCGGATGAGAAAACTGAGGCCCAGGTTTGGGATTTCCAGAGCCCGGGATTTCCCGGCAACGCCCGACAACCACATTCCCCCGGCTATTCTGACCCGCCCCGGTTCCGGGACGCTCCCTGGGAGCCGCCGCCGAGGGCCTGCTGGGACTCCCGGGGGACCCCGCCGTCGGGGCAGCCCCCACGCCCGGCGCCGCCCGCCGGGAACGGCCGCCGCTGTTGCGCACTTGCAGGGGAGCCGGCGACTGAGGGCGAGGCAGGGAGGGAGCAAGCGGGGCTGGGAGGGCTGCTGGCGCGGGCTCGCGCGCTGTGTATGGTCTATCGCAGGCAGCTGACCTTTGAGGAGGAAATCGCTGCTCTCCGCTCCTTCCTGTAGTAACAGCCGCCGCTGCCGCCGCCGCCAGGAACCCCGGCCGGGAGCGAGAGCCGCGGGGCGCAGAGCCGGCCCGGCTGCCGGACGGTGCGGCCCCACCAGGTGGGTGACCCGGTGGCGCGTCCTCGGCGGCGCGCCGAGAGGGGACACTCTACTGCCGCCCCGGCACCTCCGGCACCCGGAGCTCGACGGCCGGGCGCAGCGCGGGGATCAGTCCCCGGCACTGCGAGGGAGTTGGCCCAGCGCAGACGAGGGACGGGGGGACGTGGGGACAGGGGTCGGGGATGAAAGGCAGAGGCCAGGGAGGGCGCCGTCCTGGCACGCCTCGGAGAGGGAGCACCTGTCGGGCTGGACCCGGGGAGGCACTAGTGCACAGATGGGGGAGCAGCCGAAGAGGGGAGCGCCCAAGTCCTCAGCCCTGTCTCCTGAACAGCCCCAGCCACGTGCCCGAAAAGCCCTAGCCGTCGAGTGGGAGCCGTCGTGGCGCTGGCCTAACTTCGGGTTGGAATATCTCCCCTTCCCAGAAACCGGGCCCGAGGTGGGCTGGGGGATCCTTGCAGCCCTCTCCAGGGGGCCTGTGGGCCTCCCGCCGTCAAGTTTCTCTTTCAGTTTCTGGCCGTCCCCCTCACTAGGGAAGCTCCGGTGGGGCGAGGGGAGAGGAAGACGGGGAGGGCACCTGCCTCTGCAGAGCACCTTCCCCTCCCCTTCAGCGGGTTCCTTGTTGGAGGGGATGGGCGGCCCTCCACTCCTCACCATCTCTGTTCCCGCACAGGAAAGCTATCTGTGGGAGGGGAGGGGCCTGGCCTGGCCGCGGTCCAGGGATAGGTAGGCATGGCAAGGCCAGGGGCAGGCCCGGTTCCTTGGCCTCTGCAGAGGAGAGCGCTTCAGCGCTCGGCTCGCCCTAGGTGAACGGCCATGGCGGGCTGGATCCAGGCCCAGCAGCTGCAGGGAGACGCGCTGCGCCAGATGCAGGTGCTGTACGGCCAGCACTTCCCCATCGAGGTCCGGCACTACTTGGCCCAGTGGATTGAGAGCCAGCCATGGTAGGCACGTCCCGCCCTGCCCCTCCTCAGAGGGTCCCTACCATCCAGGCCCTTTGGCCTCTAGTTTTACTCATGGTGGTTTGGTGTGACTCTGGTCCTGCCTGTCCTTCTTTGTGCGGAAGGGGTGGTGCCCCTGGGAAAGGGGAAGCCTGGGAGGACAGAGAATGTTTTTAGACTCGGATGTCTGTGGAGCTGCTGGGAACAAGTCTTGTGGGCCCTGGAGTGCCCTCGGTCATGAGCCTGGGGTTTCCACTTTATTCCAGCTCCCTGACCTCCTTGCCCAAGGAGGTGCCACAGTAGGTTTTTCTCTTCTGCCCTGCCCCAAGGGATGCCATTGACTTGGACAATCCCCAGGACAGAGCCCAAGCCACCCAGCTCCTGGAGGGCCTGGTGCAGGAGCTGCAGAAGAAGGCGGAGCACCAGGTGGGGGAAGATGGGTTTTTACTGAAGATCAAGCTGGGGCACTACGCCACGCAGCTCCAGGTGGGTGTAGGCTCTGGGCCACCTACGGGGAGGAAGCATCATCTTGTTCCAGCATCAGAACCCCTGGGTTTTTTCCTGGCCTGGCCACTGACTCACCATGTGACCACGAACTTATTGGGAACTTTTCTTCGATTTCCCCCACCCCCTCTTTCTAAATTCGACCTGTCGGATTTCTTTAGCATATTGCAAAGCAAGGGTGGGAGGTGTTTGTTGCCAACAGAGAGAGATGGGTGAACTGGCCTTATGGAAGCAGCAGAAGGGATGGAGGGAGACTGAGTCAGGATTCCTATGTTGGAGAAGGGAAGACCAGCAGACTCTAGAAATGAGGCCACCAGACCTCCCTCTTGGGGTCTTTTAAAGGTGAGAGAGGAGCCATCCCAGAGACAAGAGCTGGACACAAGGGCTTTGAATTGAGGGTTTAGAAATAAGATGTAGCTTCTTTACTTGAGGGGAGTGGGTATGGAGGAAGAGAGGGAGTTTTTGTGGAAGCAGGAAAGGGGTGTGGGTAGTGATGACAGTCAAGCACTTATTGGAACTCACGTATGTTTCCTAGAGAGCCCTTCAATACAGACAGCAGGGTGCCAGGGAAATACAAGTCCATCCCAGAAGAGGGGGAAAACAGGAGAAGCCTGAGGGGAAGCAATATAGGAGGCCAGGGGCAGGATGGTGGGAAGTACCTTGACCTTGGCATCAGATGCCCTGAGTCTGGAGTCATCTGCTCTCTCACTTGGTTGCGTCTGGACGAGTACATAATGTCTGAGCATCAGTTTTCTCATCTGTGAAATGGGGATCATAGTTTCTGCTTATGTCCTAGAGTTTCCATGCTGTTAGTGCCTTGATCCCCCACCACTTTTTGGCACCAGGGACCGGTTTCATGGAAGACAATTTTTCCATGGACCGGGATTGGGCAGGGAGGTGGTTTCTGGATGATTCAAGAGCATCACGTTTATTGTGCACTTTATTTCTATTGTTATTACATTGTGCTATGCAATGAAATAATTATAGAACTCACCACAATGTAGGATCAGTGGGAGCCCTGAGCTTGTTTTCCTGCAACTAGACAGTCCCATCTGGGGGTGATGGGAGACAGTGACAGATCACCAGGCATTAGATTCTCTTAAGAAGTGCATAACCTAGATCCCTCGCATGTGCAGTTCACAATAGGGTTAGCATTCCTATGGGAATCCAGTGCCATTGCTGATCTGACAGGAAGCAGAGTTCAGGCTGTAATGCGAGCAATAGGCAGCAGCTGTAAATACAGATGAAGCGTCACTCACTTGCTCACCGCCGCTCACCTCCTGCTGTGTGGTCCAGTTCCTAACAGACCACCGACCTGTACCAGTCCATGGCCCAGGGGTTTGGGACCCCTGTGTTACAGTCAAAAGATACGGTAGATTGGAAGTGCTTCATAAGACTGGGTATGATGGCTCACACCTGTAATCACAGCACTTTGGGAGGCCGAGGCGGGTGGATCACCTGAGGTCGGGAGTTCGAGACCAGCCTGACCAACGTGGAGAAACCCCGCCTCTACTAAAAATACAAAATTAGCCGAGCGTGATGGCACATGCCTGTAATCCCAACTACTCAGGAGGCTGAGGAAGGAGAATCGCTTGAACCCGGGAGGTGGAGGTTGCAGTGAGCTGAGATCACACCATTGCACCTTTAGCCTAGGCAACAAGAGCAAAACTCCATCTCAAAAAGAAAAAAAAAAAAAAGAGAAAGTGCCTCATAAACTGTGGGTTTTTAATTCGCTCCAAACCAGATATGAAGATCTTGGAGGGGAAGATGAGGATGAGGAACAGAGATATAGAGGTGTCTGGGGATAGTTCCTGAGGCTCCCTGGGAAAAGCTGAGGCAGAGGCTGAAGGAGAGGAAGGGCTGGGCATAGCATGGGGCTGGCATGGCTGGAGCAGAGGATGGCGCTGGAGGCTACTGTTGGATTCTTTCAGAAAACATATGACCGCTGCCCCCTGGAGCTGGTCCGCTGCATCCGGCACATTCTGTACAATGAACAGAGGCTGGTCCGAGAAGCCAACAATGTGAGTGTCCCTTGGGGATGGGGAGGAGTGTTGAGAAGTCCCTCCATATGCCTTTCTCTCCAGAAACAACTGTGTTTATATAAAACAGCAGCACGAGGAGAGCACCAAGAAGATGAGGGACGTGGGCAAGTGTAAGAGGTGGCAGCATTGCACGCCGGGGTGGAGTGACCCCCTGGATCCAGTCCCTGGCTCTACCACTTACTAGCTGTGTGACTTGAGCAAGTTGCTTAATCTCTCTGAGCCTCTGTTCCTGTTTTTTTTTCTTTTTTCTTTTTTCTTTTTTTTGAGACGGATTCTTGCTCTGTCACCCAGGCTGCAGTGCAGTGGCGTGATCTCGGCTCACTGCAAGCTCTGCCTTCCAGGTTCACACCATTCTCCTGCCTCAGCCTCCCGAGTAGCTGGGGCTACAGGCGCCCACCACCATGCCCGGTTAATTTTTTGTATTTTTAGCAGAGATGGGGTTTCACTGTGTTAGCCAGGATGGTCTCAACCTGACCTCGTGATCCGCCCACCTCGGCCTCCCAAAGTACTGGGGTTACAGGCGTGAGCCACCACGCTTGGCGCCTACTGTTTTTTCCCCCCCGAGATGCAGTCTTGCTCTGTTGCCCAGGCTGGAGTGCAGTGATGTGATCTCTGCTCACTGCAACCTCTGCCTCCCAGGTTCAAGCAATTCTCTTGCCTCAGCCTCCCGAGTAGCTGGGATTACAGGTGCCCACCACCATGCCCGGCTAATTTTTTTTGTATTTTTAGTAGAGACGTGGTTTCACTATGTTGGCCAGGCTGGTCTTGAACTCCTGACCTCATGATCCACCCGCCTCGGCCTCCCAAAGTGTTGGGATTACAGGCGTGAGCCACCGTGCCCGGCCTGTTCCTACTCTTGTAAAATGGAGATAGCAATCATACCTATCTGTGTCAGAAGAACTAACACAGGCAGGCTCAGAGAAGTGAGGCCCAGGGAGGGGTAACAGGGACACATCTCCCCAGTTCTGAAATAATAAAGGCACTGGGCATCTACATGGACAATGGCACAGTGCTGTACTATCTGCAATAGAGCAAAATGAATTTCACAACATGACGTGACAGAAATCTTAGAACAGTGACCGGAGCACAGGTCATATTTATTATTTCTTTCTTTATTTGTTTGTTTGTTTATTTATTTTTGAGACTGAGTCTCACTCTATCATCTAGGCTGGAGTGCAGTGGCGTGATCTCGGCTCACTGCAACCTCCACCCCTTGGGTTCAAGAGATTCTCATGCCTCAGCCTCCCAAGTAGCTAGGATTACAGGGGCCCACCACCATGCCCGGCTAATTTTTGTATTTTTAGTAGAGACAGGGTTTCACCCTGTTGGCCAGGCTGGTCTCGAATTCCTGACTTCAAGTGATCCACCTGCCTCGGCCTCCCGAAGTGCTGGGATTACAGGCATGAGCCACCACGCCCGGCCTATTACGTATTTATTGTTGTGGACATGGATTTCAGGATTTACTCAGTAGACATTTATTGAGGTCTTACTGTGTGTCCGATGCTGGGCTATCATCAGAGAAACACATAAAGGCCTGGTTCTTGCCTGGAAGGAATTCTGGCAGTGATGGATTCTCTAGAGATGAGCTGAGTGCTAAGGGGGCCTAGGTGGAAAAAGCACCCAACTCAGATTGGGGCAGGCTGGCAGGGGAGCGTCCTGTGGACAGGCATGTCTGAGCTACAGTGGAGAAAGGCAGGAGAGGAGGGATGAATTTTCTAATGAAAAGACAGCAGCTGCGAGAGCAGGAGGGCATGAATCTTCTTATCACATTGGAAGACTTGTAAGTGGTCAGTGTAACTGGGGAGAAGGAACCAAGTGGGGAGTTGCCATGGATAAAAATAGATAGAGAGGGCCAGGCGTGGTGGCTCACATCTGTAATCCCAGCACTTTGGGAGGCCAAGGTGGGCGGATCACCTGACGTCAGAAGTTCGAGACCAGCCTGGCCAACATGGTGAAACCCAGTCTCTACTAAAAAATACAAAAATTAGCTAGGCGTGGTGGCGGGCGCCTGTAATCCTAGCTACTCGGGCGGCTGAGGCAGGAGAATTGCTTGAACCCAGGAGGGGGATGTTGCAGTGAGCTGAGATTGCACCACTTCACTCCAGCCTGGGCAACAGAGCGAGACTCTGTATAAAAAAAAAAAAAATAGGGGTTAGAAACCAGGTCACAAAGGGTCTTCCAGCACAGCCCCTGTGTCCCTGACTTGTTGCCATCACAGAGCTATCTGCAAACCTAAAAATGACTTCAGCCTCATTGACAAATCCATGTCCATGGTGCTGGTGCTGTCATGGTCTGGGAGCTCATTCCTTCCTCCAACCATACAACTGTTCCTGAACACCCCTGGCATTCTAGGGCTTGGGGATTCTGTAGTTCACAGGAAAGGCAAGGTCCTAGCCCTTGGGAACCTCACATCCTTGTGCAGGGAGACAGACAGAAACATGTAAGCAAATACAAGAACAACACACTTTTAGATAGGACTACTGTGAATTGGCTCGTCAGAGATGACCCCTCTGCAATGGTACCAGTTAAAGTGCTTTGCCTCAGGAGGATCTGATGCCAGAATGTTCCAGACTGTTGGAACAATAAGTGCAAGGGCCCCAGGGCAGGAACATGCCTGTGTGTTCAAGGAACAGAAACAGAAAGCACACATTCCCAGCGAGCTGGGGTTGGAGGTAGGCAGGGCTATGGCCAGCAGACACCATGGGAAGGGGTTTGGATTTTATTCTGAGAACAGTTCATTGGAAAGCCTCTGAGGACTTGTTCCTCTTCATCCATGTGCTCCCTCCCTTTGTGACCTGGTTTCTACCCCTCTCTCTCTATTTTTTTTTTTTTTGAAACGGAGTCTCGCTGTGTTGCCAAGGCTAGAGTGCAGTGGCGCAATCTCGGCTCACTGCAACATCCCCCTCCTGGGTTCAAGCGATTCTCCTGAATGTGCTGAAGGAATGGCTGGATCCAAGGGGAGCTTGTTGATGCCTCCCCTCTAACTTCATTTCGGGGTCTCCAGGATGCCTGTGAGAGTTTCGGCCTCTTCCCTCTTCCTTCAGTCACAAGGGGGTCTTAAGTGAGATGGTGTGTGTTCACACAGCCCTGTTCCTCCCTATGTCCCTAGGATCTACTGCAGTCCATGGTATTGAGTCAGCAAATAAATGTAGAGCGAGGGGTCATCATCATTAGTGGGAAAACCCAGGTGACACCTGGGACGTGTTGAGTTCTAGTCCCTGGGAGGAAATTAGATGGACCCTGTTTGGAATACTCTAGTGGAGGGCAGCTCTGACATAGATATTTGGACTTTGAAGGTGTTACTATCTGCCGTTATCTGCCAGGTCACCTGTTTCTCCTTTCTCTTTCCCTTTTCTATCCCAATTCTGGCAAATGACTCCTTCTGATGCAAATGATCCTTCCTTCTTGCCCTAGTTTCCCTTCTTACCCTAGTTTGGGGTTTGGGGTTTGGGGTCTGTAGTATTGGTGTTTCCTAATGCCTGTGGTCTTCTCCCATCCTCTCTTCCCCGAGTTATTTCCATTCCATCTGTCTCCAGTGCAGCTCTCCGGCTGGGATCCTGGTTGACGCCATGTCCCAGAAGCACCTTCAGATCAACCAGACATTTGAGGAGCTGCGACTGGTCACGCAGGACACAGAGAATGAGCTGAAGAAACTGCAGCAGACTCAGGAGTACTTCATCATCCAGTACCAGGAGAGCCTGAGGATCCAAGGTGAGGCGCGGTGGAGGCAGTGTGCATCCGGAGGGTGGGAGTGAGGAACATTCTATGGACTCCTAGAGGGTAGAGCTGGGTCAGTGTCCATCTCCTCAGCACTTTGCCCAAAGCCTGGTAGAAGCAATGGCTCCCGGTGATTGAGCCCCTGCCGTGGGTCACACTTGGCACACATTATTTAATTCAACCCTCTCAACAAGCCTATGAAGTGAACAGTTGTGTTATCCCCCCTTTTGCAGATGGTAAAAGTGAGGTTCAAAGAGAACAAGTAACTTGGCCTAGGTTGCCTGTAAATTACAGAACTGGATCTCAACTAGAGATATATCATAAAACTCCTGTACTTTATTAACCAGTATTCTCTCCTTAATGGTATGTATTCTGTAAATATCGACACAAATAGGTAAATATGAACAGTGCTCCCTAACCAGAGGGAGGACTTGGATTGGAAGTCTTCTGGTTGAACCAGGCTGGGAGAGGTGGAACTTCCAAAGTGGGCCTTCTTGAGCCTCACGGATAGGATGTGGGCCTGGGGGAAGGGGTGACAGTAGAAAATTCTCCTGTATCCTAGGTCTGTAGTTCGCCAATGGCTCCCATGATAAAGATGTGGGGAAATTAAAAAATCAAATTAGCTTGAAAGGAACTATCCCCAGGTACAATTTGAGGAGTCATGGGACATGGCCCATCTATTAATATGTCCCATTCCAGACTGACCCCAGAAATGTAACACCTCATCTTAGTGAGAACAAGGGGTGTCAAACTGCTTTTTCCTTTACTCTTTTTAATCTGATTTCTTAAGGTAGACCTTAGGTCATTGATTTTAGACCTTTCTTCTTTTCTTTTCTTTCTTTTTCTTTTCTTTTTTTTGAGACAATCTTGCTCTGTCGCCCAGGCTGGAGCACAGTGGCATGATTTCGGCTCACTGCAGCCTCTGCTTCCCAGCTTCAAGAAATTCTTGTGCCTCAGTCTCCCGCATAGCTGGGACTACAGGTGCAGGCCACCACGCCCAGCTGATTTTTTTAGAATTCTATTGTAGCTATTTAAGCTCTCTTCCTAACCCTGCACTGTCAGTGCTTTGTGTACACTGAGACCAGCACAATGCCTGAATATTGCAGCTATTATGTAAATACTTGCAGGATAATTCTAAATGTTTGTTTGTTTGTTTGTTTATTTATTATTGCCCAGGCTGGAGTGCAGTGGCACGATCTCATCTCACTGCGACCTCTGCCTCTCAGGTTCAAACTATTCTCATGCCTCAGCCTCCTCAGTAGCTGGGACTACAGACATGCACCACCATGCCTGGCTAATTTTTTTTTTTTGTAGTTTTAGTAGATACAGGGTTGTGCCGTGTTGTCCAGGCTGGTTGCAACCTCTAGCCTCGAGTGATCTGCCTGCCTCGGCCTCCCAAAGTGCTAGGATTATAGGCGTGAGCCACGGTGCCCAGCCAATACTGACAGGATAATTCTAAGAGAATTTCCCCTCATCTGAATCTATCCCAGACTGGCCCTAGAAGAAGGGCAGCTCCTTCTGAGAATGGAAACGGAAGATTTTGGGCGGTTATTCCTACCCAAGTCCTTAGACTGTCGACAGTATTTCTGATCCCGTGCCTGGCTTTTCTGTTTCCTGTGCATGGTGGCGGATTAGGTTTGGATTCAGGTTGGGTTTGGATCTATCATGCAGTGTCTTCTCAGTCCCATTTGTCAAGTTCACTCAGCAGAAACACAGACTATTGATCTGCTTTTGCCAGGGAAGGCTCAGCTGCCTCCAGTGGAGTAGGGAAATTGCTTCCCGTCTCCCTGGCCTCCTTCCTAAAAGCTTCTGCAAATTTCCAGGAGAGCCCTAAGTGGGTCCCTTGCATAGGAAGGCTGGGCCCAGGTGTTGGGATCACCACCACCCTCCCTGTGGCTGGGCAGGATACCCGAGGTAGCCGTGCAGACACCTCGGATCTGTCCGTGCCTGGATGATCCTCTTCCTGCTCGATACCTGCAGTGAGATTGGAGCCATATTTCTGAGTTCTAGCTCTGGGCTGTTCCTGGCTACATAGAGTTGCTTTTGTCTGTCCCAGCTTGTGCATCCCATGGGTCAGGGCTGGGGTCAGAGTGACGTGGCCCTCAGGGGCCAGCCAGGAGCTCGACCAAGACATGCTGGTGCGCGCATCTTCTGACTCAGCTCAAGCAAGGACGCTGGGCTGTTGAGAAGGTGATGGGAAGGGATTAATAGTCCCAGTGTGGTGGAGACGGGCTGTCGCTGGGAGGGTGGGGTGGGCCTGCGGTGGTGGTTGTAACTGTGGACATGTTTACTTTCTTAGCCTGGGTTATTGATACACAGGCGCCCTTGTGTTCCACATCCCCTGTGTCTTACGTATTTCATAATGGATACTTTTTTTTTTTTGAGATGGAGTCTTGCTCTGTTGCCTTGGCTGGAGTGCAGTGGTGCTCTCGGCTCACTGCAACCTTTAACCCCGGGTTCAAGCAATTCTCCTGCCTCAGCCTCCTAAGTAGCTGGGATTACAGGCATGCGCCACCATGCCCAGCTAATTTTTGTATTTTTAGTAGAGACAGGGTCTTGCCATGTTGGCCAGGCTGGTCTCGAACTCTTGACCTCAAGTGATCTGCCTGTCTCAGCCTCCCAAAGTGCTGGGATTACAGGCGTAAGCCACCGAGCCTGGCACATGATGGATACTTTTTTTTTTTTTTTTTTAGACAGAGTCTAGCTCTGTCGCCCAGGCTGGAGTGCAGTGGCCCAATCTCGGCTCACTGCAAGCTCCACCTTCTGGGTTCACGCCATTCTCCTGCCTCAGCCTCCCTAGTAGCTGGAACTACAGGCACCCGCCACCATGCCCGGCTAATTTTTTGTGTTTTTAGTAGAGATGGGGTTTCACTGTGTTAGCCAGGATGGTCTCTAGCCAGGATGGTCTCGATCACCTGACCTCGTGATCTGCCCGCCTCAGTCTCCCAAAGTGCTGGGATTACAGGCGTGAGCCACTGCGCCCAGCCCCATGATGGATACTTTTTAAAAGCTAGTGAGGCCTGACTTATTCCCTGTCCCGCCATCAATGAGACTCCTCACAGATGGTGTGGAGGGAAGCCGCCTCCCTTCGGCCTCCCTTTCCTGAGAGAATCTTGGTGGCTCTGCATCCCCAGTGGCCCTGGACACGCTCTCCCTCTGCGGTCTGTCTATCTGTCTGTCTCCCCTGGTTGGTCGGCTGGGCTCACAGTGAGCCCACCTGGACAAACATGCTGGGCCCCTTCCAGCCCCTCAAGAATCTCATCCTCCCCTGAGGAGGGACTGCTGTGCTCAGGGACGAGACAGAGCCGCCGGGGCTGGGGTTCCCTGAAGAGGCCTTGCTGCGGGAGGGATGGGGCCGAGCAGCTGCTTGTCTCTGTCACCTCTTCTCTCTGTCCTGTTCCCCGTTAACCAAGAAGCACGAACCTCACACAGAGCTCACCCATGTCAGGCAGCTTTCTGGCATCTTCCATGTCCTCATGTATTTAATCTTCAAGCACCCCACTGAGGCAGGTGCTGAGAATCTCCCGTTTTACACGTGGGGAAGCTGAGGCACAGGAAAGGAAAGCGATTTGCCCAGGTTCACCTGCAGTCAAGGGCATGGGCACACTTACACCCCAGACAGCCTGGACCCATGCTGGGACGCGAGAAGAGGGCTGGCAGCCCTGTGAGGCAGGCGGGCAGGAGGCAGGCAGGCCTCCTCCCCAGCTGCCCCAGCACCCGTGTGCCCCCAGAGGGGACGGCTCAGAGTCAGGAGGCTGGTGAGCAGGGCCCAGAGGCGCCTCCTGAGGCGCCATTCATCTTGGCCCCCCTGGCTGTCAGGAACCCCGACTTGCTCTTGATGCAGTGTCTGAGCCTGGGAGGGTCTCGCTCCAGAACAGGTGAGTGGGCTTCTCTAGGCCTCCTGTTGGACACTAGGAGGTGATGGTCATGGTTTCCTCTTCTCTCCTCTAGCTCAGTTTGCCCAGCTGGCCCAGCTGAGCCCCCAGGAGCGTCTGAGCCGGGAGACGGCCCTCCAGCAGAAGCAGGTGTCTCTGGAGGCCTGGTTGCAGCGTGAGGCACAGACACTGCAGCAGTACCGCGTGGTGAGTGGGGTCCTGGGCCTCTCCTGGGCGTGGGTGCCATGAAGTCAGTCTCTGGGGACCCGAGGGAGGGCTGGGACCAGCATGAGAGCAGAACCTGGGAGGGCAGGAGGCCTTTTTTCCTGGGGGCCTTGCGAGGCAGAGCAGCTTGGGGAGAGGGAACGGCCTGGGCCCTGCCCTGCCATTTCCCAGCGAGGCCCTGCGGTGTTCTCTGGGAGCCCAGAAGGGGCTGCTCTCCTCCCTTCCCTCAGGAGCTGGCCGAGAAGCACCAGAAGACCCTGCAGCTGCTGCGGAAGCAGCAGACCATCATCCTGGATGACGAGCTGATCCAGTGGAAGCGGCGGCAGCAGCTGGCCGGGAACGGCGGGCCCCCCGAGGGCAGCCTGGACGTGCTACAGTCCTGGTAATGGTGTGGGGCGGCCAGCGGGCAGGGCAGGAGGGGCTGGTGGGGACCCCGGCTGCTTCTGCGTCCTGTGCTGGCTCCTGCAGCAGGCCCCCTCCATCCTGGGACAGCTCTTGTTTCTCCAGGGAGCCTGGTTCCTCAATCAGACTTTGGTCCCCATCCTGTGCACCTCCCCCAGGAAGGGGGCTGCTGTCCTGGGGGTGGGATGGGGCTCGGGTGTGTGGGGTGATGCTTGGGCTGTTTGGGCCTAGTCAGGGTCGCCCCTCCTGTGTACGTCTCTAATTCTGGGAGGCAGGGAGCTCTGCTCTTCCCATGGGTGGGAAGTGTGGCGAAAGCACAGAGCCTTCCTGGGGGAACGGGAGCTGTGTCTTGGGGCCTGGCGTCTGTGAGGAGAAGCCATTGTCCTCCTGTTGGCCTTGGGGCTCTCGTGCAGGTGTGAGAAGTTGGCCGAGATCATCTGGCAGAACCGGCAGCAGATCCGCAGGGCTGAGCACCTCTGCCAGCAGCTGCCCATCCCCGGCCCAGTGGAGGAGATGCTGGCCGAGGTCAACGCCACCATCACGGACATTATCTCAGCCCTGGTGACCAGGTGACTGCTGCCTGTTTGCCATGCCCAGGAGCTTGGGGCAGCTCCTGCCTGCGTGGGGGGAGCTGCAGGTGCCTTCCAGACCAGCAGATCCACTTCCTGCCTCTCATCCCTCCCAACTCCATCTCCAGTTGCTGTGGCTGCTAGGTGCCGCCCTTGCCCAGTTTCTCCTGTGGACACTGCAAGAGATACCCTGGGCCGCAGCCCATGCCAGCTGCTGTGTTATCTCACTCCCCTCTCCATCCTCTCCCTGGACTCTCACAGCTTCCCCGGGAACAGAGGTTGTGCCCGAGCTCATCACCTCCTGAGCCCCATGGGAGGCAGCCCCACCCCCACCACAGAGGGACTGAGAGCCCTTTCCCCTGCGCCAACCCCTCATCGTGTGTCTGTCCCTGTGTCCCATGCAGCACATTCATCATTGAGAAGCAGCCTCCTCAGGTCCTGAAGACCCAGACCAAGTTTGCAGCCACCGTACGCCTGCTGGTGGGCGGGAAGCTGAACGTGCACATGAATCCCCCCCAGGTGAAGGCCACCATCATCAGTGAGCAGCAGGCCAAGTCTCTGCTTAAAAATGAGAACACCCGCAAGTAATTGTGCCTCTCCCTTCCCCTGCCCAAGCTTAGGTGTGGGGGACCTGCACCCCCCGCTTTGTCCTTGCATCCAGCTATGTCTTGTCCCCTAGTTCACCGTGTTGCCCAGGCTGGTCTCGAACTCCTGGACTCATGCAGTCTTCCCACCTCAGCCTCCCAAAGTGCTGAGTTGATAGGCGTGAGCCACCACACCCAGCCGAGTATCCGTTCTTTACCCTGGGGATGGTGTGGCTGCCGGAGAGCTGAGGCTCACTGCCACTGCCCAGCATTGTGAGAGACTATCACACCACTTTCTCCTGAAAGTGTATTGCTTCACACCATTGTAAATTCAAACAATCATGTCAAACCATCATTAAATCTGGGACAGATGGTACACTGCCTTCCTCCTACTCAGATGCCTTCCCTGTCCCTGCAACAAGCTTGGTGCTAGGCTAGATGCCGTGGCTTACCCCTGTAATCCCAGCACTTTGGGAGGCCACGGTCGGAGGATCACTTGAGCCCAAAAGTTTGAGTTGGACAATATAGGGAGACCCTCATCGCTACAAAAAGTTTTAAAATTAGCTGGGCATGGTGGTGCACGCACTTGTAGTCCCAGCTACTCGGGAAGCTGAGGTGGTAGGATCATTTGAGCCTAGGAATTTGATACTACAGTGAGGTATGATTGTGCCATGGCACTCTACCCTGGGCAACAGGGTGAGACCCTGTCTCCAAAAAAATCACACAAAGTATGGTGTTGTAGCTGTGTTCTAGAACCTGTGCTACGCACTGAGGACAAAACTGTGATCCCAACAGAACTGGGCTGTCTTCTCGCCCAGCCCCTTGAGCAGCAGAGCAGGCAGCAGATGCTGGGAAATGCCTGATGGTGTAGCCATGTGGCAGGGGGATGTGTAGGGCACCGAGAAAGGGGGTCTTCTTGCAGGATTAAAGAAATGACAGTCTTAGGCTCCTGGTGGAATTGGAGGTAGCTAGTGATAGGGAGGGAAGTAGCAGAGAGGGAGGACTTTCAGGCAGAGCCCATGTGCCACATCCTGAGGGAAGAGTACAGAGACATTATGTGTAGCAGAGAGTGGAGAAGTAGTGTCCAGTGTCAGGGCAGGCCACCCACAGCGTATGCAGGGGATGAATAAATGAGTGAATGAGTGATGTGGAAGACATGGCCCCATCCCTTGTCATCCAATTAAAAATGTTTACTGAGGCTGGGCGAGGTGGCTCACGCCTGTAATCCCAGCACTTTGGGAGGTAGAGGCAGGCAGATCACTTGAGGCCAGGAGTTCGAGACCAGCCTGGCCACCATGGTGAAACCCTGTCTCTACTAAAAATACAAAAATTAGCCAGGCTTGGTAACGTACACCTGTAGCTCCAGCTACTTGGACCTCTAGTCCTAACTACCAACTACTCTGAGGCAAGAAAATCACTTGAACCCGGAGGTGGACGTGGCAGTGAGCCAAGATTGTGCCACTGCACTCCAGCCTATGACAGAGCAAGACTCTGTTTAAAAAAAAAAAAAAGGCCAGGCACAGTGGCTCACGCCTGTAATTCCAGCACTTTGGGAGGCCCAAGCGGGCGGATCATGAGGTCAGGAGTTCGAGACCAGCCTGGCCAACATGGTGAAACCCCGTCTCTACTAAAAATACAAAAATTAGCTGGGCATGGTGGTGGAAGCCTGTAATCCCAGCTACTCAGGAGGCTGAGGCAGGAGAATTCCTCAAACCCAGGAGGTGGAGGTTGCAGTGAGCCGAGACTGTGCCATTGCACTCCAGCCTGGGCAACAAAAGCAAGACTCTGTTTCAAAAAAAAAAGTTTACTGATTTCCTACCATGTGATCTGGGGTGAAGATGAAGACAAATGACCTTCTCACTGCCTTTGAGCTTGCATTGCAGCTGGGGAGACTGATGATAATACACTTTAAAAGATCAGGCAGGGCCAACCAGTGATAGACACTGGAAAAGAAGTTAAGACAGAGCAATCTAGGCTGGGCACAGTGGCTCACGCCTGTAATCCCAGCACTTTGAGAGGCTGAGGTGGAAGGATCGTTTGAGATCAGGAGTTCGAAACCAGCCTGAGTAACATGGCAAAATCCAATCTCTACTAAAAATACAAAAATTAGCCAGGTATGGTTGTGTGCGCCTGTAGTCCCAGCTACTTGGGAGGCTAAGGCAGTGGAATCACTTGAACCTGGGAGGTGGAGGTTGTGGTGAGCTGAGATTGCACCATCGCACTCCAGCCTGGGCAAAAAGAGCAAAGCTCTGTCTCAAAAAAAAAAAGAAAAAAGAGCAATCTGCTAGCGTTGGAGATGTGTTTAAGGCGGGGGTGAGGAAAGGTCAGCTTGGTAAGCTTCTCCAGATAAGTGGTCCAGGAAGGCCTTTCTGGGGAGCTATCTGGGCTGAGACCTGAAGGAGGAGAAGGCTAAGAGTGTTTGGGGTGACAGGAAGAGCAAGGGCCAATGTCCAAGCCTGGCATGTTCAGCAGACAGCCAGGGCCAACGGGGCTTGCATGTCCTGAGTGAGGGGAGAGGAATTCAGTGAGGCCAGGGGGGTGGGTAGGTGTTGACCATAGGGATCCTCAGAGACTGTGGTTGTGATTTTTATCTTAAGTGCATTAGAAGCTATTGGAAGTCCCCAAAGCCCTCACATCAATCTTGGTATCGAGGAATTTCTAATGATAGATCCAGACCTCACCACTGGAGACCTTGCCTTGGGTGCTGGGCACCAGGTTGATGGAGAAGTCAGTAACCCAGAAAGACGCCAAGAAACACTCTTAGGGGATACGGGGCAGGGGCTGCTGGCAGGGCTGACCTGAGCGAAGACCCCAGCCCGAGGTGTGGACAGGACCATGCTCCTGGCCTGGGGCCCATGTGGAGCTGGGACCCCCCTCTCCTTTGCAGCGAGTGCAGTGGTGAGATCCTGAACAACTGCTGCGTGATGGAGTACCACCAAGCCACGGGCACCCTCAGTGCCCACTTCAGGAACATGGTGAGGACGGGGCCCACCCTCGGAGGGCAGGTCTGCCCAGAGCTGAGTCCTTGTAAGCAGCCGCCATCTCCCTGTTCCCCTGTCACCTCCCACCCTGCAGTCACTGAAGAGGATCAAGCGTGCTGACCGGCGGGGTGCAGAGTCCGTGACAGAGGAGAAGTTCACAGTCCTGTTTGAGTCTCAGTTCAGTGTTGGCAGCAATGAGCTTGTGTTCCAGGTGAAGGTGAGACCCCCAGCCCTCCTGCCCCCACTGCTCCAGGTCACCCAAGAGGTGGAGGGGCCTGCCTCAGGACTCCTGGCAGCAATGCCATCGGACAGCCTGCTTTGACTCTGTGGGTCCCTGTTTGATAGGTTATAATCTGGGACTAACCCAGACAATTTAGGCAATGGGCTAAGAAGAAGTCGGTTGTAGTTTTTGTTTGTTTGCTTGTGCCTACATTTTGCTGGGAGGGGCTTGTGTTTGGAACTGTGGGTGAGGAAAGTGGGTTGGGACCAGGTGTGGTGGCTCTCACCTGTAATTCCAGCATTTTGGGAGGCAGAAGAGGGAGGACTGCTTGAGTCCAGGAGTTCAAGACTAGCCTGGGCAGCATAGTGAGAACCCGTATCTACAAAAAAAAGAAAAAAGTTGGGCATGGTGGCCTGCACCTGTAGTCCCAGCTATTCTGGAGGCTGAGGCAGGAGGATCACTTGAGCCCAGGAGGTCAAGGCTGCAGTGAGCTGTGATTGCACCACTGCCCTCCAGTCTGGGCGACCGAGCGAGACCCTGTCTCGAAGAAAATAAAGCAGATTGCGGCCATGGGTGGTGGGTCTTGCCTGTAATCCCAGCACTTTGGGAGGCCAAGGAGGGTGGATCACCTGAGGTCAGGGGTTCGAGATCAACCTGACCAACATGGAGAAACCCCGTCTCTACTAAAAATACAAAATTAGCCAGGTGTGGTGACACATGCCTGTAATCCCAGCTACTTGGGAAGCTGAGGCAGGAGAATCGCTTGAACCCGGGAGGCAGAGGTTGTGGTGAGCCGAGATTGCACCATTGCACTCCAGCCTGGGCAACAAGAGTGAAACTCCATATCAAAAAAAAAAATACATAAAAAAAAATAAAGCAGATTGGGCATGTTGCCTAAGCAGAGGGCACGTGGTGGTCACGCCCCATCAACTTGGGTTCCTTTGACTCCTGTAGACTCTGTCCCTACCTGTGGTTGTCATCGTCCACGGCAGCCAGGACCACAATGCCACGGCTACTGTGCTGTGGGACAATGCCTTTGCTGAGCCGGTGAGTCCCCGTGGGAGCCCTACCCCAGCACCCCCAGGCCCTAGGACTCACCTGGGGTCAGCCCCACCCCTTGGGCCCCTGCTGAGTGGTCCTTCCTCACCCCAGGGCCAGCCCAGAGGTGAGGTGAGGCCAGAAGGGCTGGGGTGCTGGGCGCCTGCCTTCCACCATGGCCTTGGCACTCTGGGTTCCAGGTTCCTGGACTGGGGTCTGTGAGGACTGTGAGCTTGGTCTTTGGATCCTGGTCTGGGATCCTCCTTTGGCAGATGGCTTGGGTCCTTGCTCTCTGTTTTCTGTTTCCTGGTCTGCATCTCTGTCCCTGCATGCCCCCACCCCCTGCATCGGTTTTCTTCCCTGCAGGCTGGGAAAAAAAGTGCAAGCTAGTATATAAAAGCCGCCGCATTTCCTGCCCTTGCATTTGTGTCACCTTTCTGGATCTGTCTCAGTCTCCTCTGTCTCTAGGTGTCTGTGTATCTTGTGTGTGTGTGAATATTTCCAACTCCCTCAATCTACCTTTTCCCCTCTCTTGTCTCCCTCTCAGGGCAGGGTGCCATTTGCCGTGCCTGACAAAGTGCTGTGGCCGCAGCTGTGTGAGGCGCTCAACATGAAATTCAAGGCCGAAGTGCAGAGCAACCGGGGCCTGACCAAGGAGAACCTCGTGTTCCTGGCGCAGAAACTGTTCAACAACAGCAGCAGCCACCTGGAGGACTACAGTGGCCTGTCCGTGTCCTGGTCCCAGTTCAACAGGGTGAGGGGCCCAGCTGCCAGCCGCCCACCAGGGCCCACCGGGGTCTGTTGCTCCTCCACCTCACAGACAGGTTACTGCCTGGGGCTAGCACCCCACTCTCCACCCCCAACCACTCTCTCCTACAACCAGGAGAGATGGGGGCCCCTAGCCTCAAGAAATGCAGGCAGGGGCTATAGGAGTTGTGCTTAGTTGTGAAGCCAAGAGCGAGATGACGGAGGGCCCAGGGCTGGGAGTCAGGATCCTTGGGTTCTGGGCCTAGATGTGTTTGCTAATTTTCTTTTTTTTTTTTAGAGACAGAATCTCATTCTGTCACCCAGGCTGGAGTGCAGTGGCGTGATTTCAGCTTACTGTAACCTCTGCCTCCCGGGTTCAAGTGATTCTCGTGCCTCAGCCTCCTGAGTAGCTGGAATTATAGGTGCCTGCCACCATGCTGGGCTAATTTTTGTATTTTTAGTAGAGATGGGGTTTCACCATGTTGGTCAGGCTGGTCTCGAACTCCTGACCTCAGGTGATCCGCCCACCTCGGCCTCCCAAAGTGCTGGGATTACAGGCGTGAGCCACCACGCCTGTGGCTCTGGCTCTCCTTCTGCCTCTCTCCTTGCTAATTTTTGAAGACCCATCCATTCTCTGTGCCTCAGTTTCCCCACCTGTAAAATGAGGGGATGACTTTGGAGGAATGACTTTGGAGGCCCCATCCAGCCTAGATTATTCTTTACACCTCTTACTCCCACCCTTGGGCTGGTCTTGGACCCCTGTGTCTTAGAAGTGAGTTTCCTCTCTGTTTTCCTAGGGTACAAGTTGGGGGCTGTGTCACTTTATGGTCTGCTGGAGTGTGGTGGCAAGCAGGGGTGAAGAACTGGGAGAAGACTGGGTGGGGGCAGGAGGGCCCTGACTTTCCTGGGCCACCTGTGACCTGGGGCACCAGCCCTGACTCGGGGGTTCCTGGGCCCTCAGGAGAACTTGCCGGGCTGGAACTACACCTTCTGGCAGTGGTTTGACGGGGTGATGGAGGTGTTGAAGAAGCACCACAAGCCCCACTGGAATGATGGGTAAGGAACGGGGGCTGCAGGGTCAGGGGCCAGCTGTGGGCGCAGAGAGACTGTGGCTGTGGCCCAGTGGTGACGCTCAATGCTCCGTGCACCCAGGGCCATCCTAGGTTTTGTGAATAAGCAACAGGCCCACGACCTGCTCATCAACAAGCCCGACGGGACCTTCTTGTTGCGCTTTAGTGACTCAGAAATCGGGGGCATCACCATCGCCTGGAAGTTTGACTCCCGTGAGTGCCCGTTTTGCCCACACTCCAGCCCCAAGGCCCGGTCTCTTGTTCCCTTGCCCCGCCACCCCACCCTCCATCGGGCCTGTGTCCTTAGAAGGTACCCAGCGGGAAGCTTAGTATGAGAGGGCTGTGGCTTGGAAATGTATTCTCTTTCTATTGTTTTCCATTTTGGAGAACCTGAAGTCCCCAGCCCCATAGACTCCAGGACGGCTGGGCGAGTCCTCCTGCAGTTTCACGCTCTCCCCTCTCTGCCACGACCCAGCCTTGTTGGTATCTGCTCATCTGGTTTGCTGAGTAGAACATCCCGCATCGGCTTTCTTCCCTACAGGCTGGGGCTGCAGCGCAAGCTACTATATAAAAGCCCAGATTTCTCTTGCAAGCCTGCCCTAAAGCCCCACAACCTTGGTCCTCCTGCTGCTGGTGGATTATGGGAATGAGGCTGTTCTTTTCACAGCGGAACGCAACCTGTGGAACCTGAAACCATTCACCACGCGGGATTTCTCCATCAGGTCCCTGGCTGACCGGCTGGGGGACCTGAGCTATCTCATCTATGTGTTTCCTGACCGCCCCAAGGATGAGGTCTTCTCCAAGTACTACACTCCTGTGCTGGGTGGGTACTGCCCCAGGACCCTGCCGGCTGACTCCCCCGGGCTCTTCCCCAGCCCATAGACAAAGCCTTGGGCTGCGCCGTGGGGACTTCCCCAGGAGGAGCCTAGGGGCCATGTCCCCTGTGGGTTTTGGCCCATGGGGTGGTGGAGAGGATTTCAGGGCTCACAAATGAGGAGAGGGAACGAGAAACCCGTCCCAGCTCTCTTCTCTGCAAAGTGAAAGCTGCATGGATTCTCACTTCTGCACCCTCGGAGGAAGGGGTGGCAGCACTGTAGGGAGTGGCCGGGATCATTCGAGCCCACAGATAGTGCTCCGCTCCCCACCTCACCAGCTGCTCTCCACACCCTGCTCACAAACCTTCCCCCGAGTGGAGTGCAGGCAGCAAAAGGGAGAAGTCTCTCTTCTTCCAGCTGCCCCAAATCCATTGGTTGGGTTTGCTTGTTGATTCTCATTCTTTGACAGGGGTGGGAGCAGGGAGAGGGAAATCAGATGGCCAGAAAAAGAACCAGAAGGAATGGGATTCAAGCCAGGGGTCTCAGTGACCCTCAGGCAGGATTCATCAGCTGGTGTTTATTGGGGGTCCTTGGGAAATCTCATCCCAGCTGAGAACACAAGGTGATGTGAGCAGGAGGGAGACTACATGGGGCGTGGGCTTCCACCCCACTTGGGAGTTCCCAGAGACTTTGGTTCTCACCACTGTTCTTCCCTTGACAGCTAAAGCTGTTGATGGATATGTGAAACCACAGATCAAGCAAGTGGTCCCTGAGTAAGTGTCCAGGTGGCTGTGGCTCTCCTTCTGCCTCTTTCCTCCTCCCCCAGACCCTGCCTCCCATCCTGATCCTGGGCCCAGCTTTCCGCTCCCCCAGGGAACCTGTCTCAGCCCTGGGGAGGGAGTCCCCTCTCCTGTAGCTGGAGCCCCAGGGCCGAGTGGGGCACTTTGTCCGTCTACACCCCGAGAAAGACAAACATGCCCCTCGGTCCCCTCCCCAAGTCAGCTGCCCCGGCCTCCCTGGTGGCTGAAGCTCTGTTCTCTTCCTTCTGCAGGTTTGTGAATGCATCTGCAGATGCTGGGGGCAGCAGCGCCACGTACATGGACCAGGCCCCCTCCCCAGCTGTGTGCCCCCAGGCTCCCTATAACATGTACCCACAGAAGTAGGTGGTGTTCTCATGGGGTCCGCAGGGGAAGAACTGGGGACTTGGCCCCAGGCTGGACTCCTGGAGGGCTGGCGGGCAAAGGATCCAGAGCTCTGGTTAGGCCCAAGTCCAGGAGGAGTGAGATCAGCCAGGAAAACAGAGCATTTTGAAGCTAGACATAGCAGGGTCAAGTCCTCACTCTAGTACTAACTGTGTGATCTTGGGAAAATGATTGAGCCTCTCTGATGCTCAAGTTTCCTTATGTGTAAAACGGAGGCAAGAATGCTTGCCTCATGAGAATGGGATGAGCATTAAACTGAGACAGTGTGGGTGAAGCATTTCCACAGGGAGGGGCTTGGAAGGGCTTGATACAGGGTAGCTATGAATGGGGTGGTTGTTCTTGAGTCTGGTGGGAACAAGGTAGATAATTAATTCCCTTCCTCACTGTGGATAGCCAGGGCTGGATGTCTGGGAGGTACCACCTTCCAGTGGGACCACTGAAGATCCCAGGTTCCAATCCGGACTCCACCACCTCCCAGCCAGGTGGCCCAGAGCAAGCTTCCTGATATGGCCTTGGTTTTCTCGTCTATAAAACGGGGTCAATACCCACTCTCCAGTTGGCTGTAAAAATTGGAGTCATGTGCTCAATAGGCTCAGCTGTTCTAGGTGCTCAGTGAAAAGATTCAGCTGTTCTAAGTGCTCAGTGAACGGGGCGGTGCCTACCATTGCAGCTGAGCATCATTGCAGGTGGGCAGAGCCCACTGTGTCAGCCACCTGGTTTTAAGATGAGGACACGGAGAGGGGAAATGAATTCCCTAAGATTATTCAGTGAGTTAGCAAGAGATGCGAATAGAGTGGGGGTCTGCAGAAGCCAGTGGGCTGACTGCTACCCAGCTTGGGGTGGGGTGGGGGCATCCAGCCAGAACTGGTCCTGTTCTCATGAGACGGGTTTGAGTGGAGAGCAGGCTGGAGGCTGTCCCCAGGGAGCTTGAGGCTGTGAGACATGCCAGCTCCCTCTGACATCCCCCTGTCTTTACCAGCCCTGACCATGTACTCGATCAGGATGGAGAATTCGACCTGGATGAGACCATGGATGTGGCCAGGCACGTGGAGGAACTCTTACGCCGACCAATGGACAGTCTTGACTCCCGCCTCTCGCCCCCTGCCGGTCTTTTCACCTCTGCCAGAGGCTCCCTCTCATGAATGTTTGAATCCCACGCTTCTCTTTGGAAACAATATGCAATGTGAAGCGGTCGTGTTGTGAGTTTAGTAAGGCTGTGTACACTGACACCTTTGCAGGCATGCATGTGCTTGTGTGTGTGTGTGTGTGTGTGTCCTTGTGCATGAGCTACGCCTGCCTCCCCTGTGCAGTCCTGGGATGTGGCTGCAGCAGCGGTGGCCTCTTTTCAGATCATGGCATCCAAGAGTGCGCCGAGTCTGTCTCTGTCATGGTAGAGACCGAGCCTCTGTCACTGCAGGCACTCAATGCAGCCAGACCTATTCCTCCTGGGCCCCTCATCTGCTCAGCAGCTATTTGAATGAGATGATTCAGAAGGGGAGGGGAGACAGGTAACGTCTGTAAGCTGAAGTTTCACTCCGGAGTGAGAAGCTTTGCCCTCCTAAGAGAGAGAGACAGAGAGACAGAGAGAGAGAAAGAGAGAGTGTGTGGGTCTATGTAAATGCATCTGTCCTCATGTGTTGATGTAACCGATTCATCTCTCAGAAGGGAGGCTGGGGTTCATTTTCGAGTAGTATTTTATACTTTAGTGAACGTGGACTCCAGACTCTCTGTGAACCCTATGAGAGCGCGTCTGGGCCCGGCCATGTCCTTAGCACAGGGGGGCCGCCGGTTTGAGTGAGGGTTTCTGAGCTGCTCTGAATTAGTCCTTGCTTGGCTGCTTGGCCTTGGGCTTCATTCAAGTCTATGATGCTGTTGCCCACGTTTCCCGGGATATATATTCTCTCCCCTCCGTTGGGCCCCAGCCTTCTTTGCTTGCCTCTCTGTTTGTAACCTTGTCGACAAAGAGGTAGAAAAGATTGGGTCTAGGATATGGTGGGTGGACAGGGGCCCCGGGACTTGGAGGGTTGGTCCTCTTGCCTCCTGGAAAAAACAAAAACAAAAAACTGCAGTGAAAGACAAGCTGCAAATCAGCCATGTGCTGCGTGCCTGTGGAATCTGGAGTGAGGGGTAAAAGCTGATCTGGTTTGACTCCGCTGGAGGTGGGGCCTGGAGCAGGCCTTGCGCTGTTGCGTAACTGGCTGTGTTCTGGTGAGGCCTTGCTCCCAACCCCACACGCTCCTCCCTCTGAGGCTGTAGGACTCGCAGTCAGGGGCAGCTGACCATGGAAGATTGAGAGCCCAAGGTTTAAACTTCTCTGAAGGGAGGTGGGGATGAGAAGAGGGGTTTTTTTGTACTTTGTACAAAGACCACACATTTGTGTAAACAGTGTTTTGGAATAAAATATTTTTTTCATAAATTTGCTGCTATGGCTCCTGGTTGGGGCGTTGGTGGCCTCCCTGGGTGATGGGAACCCCTGGAGCTGGTTGTTCTGTTCCTTCCCGCGTGCATGCCTGATGCTGTCATTTTTAGTCTTAAATTTTAACTCTGCCCGCTTTGCTGTGGTTTTCAGGGTGCTGGCCACCCCTGGAATACTGTCAATGCTTCTCAGAAGGGTAAGGAGCCAGTTTAGGGGGCACAGATTCCTTAAAAAGCAGGGGACTCGAGGTTTGGGGAAATGATGGAGATGGGCGCGGGTGGGCAGAACTCTGACCCAGGCTTCTCCTTAGCAGCTGCTGCTCCCAGCAGCCTCGAAGCTGGCGGCTGAGGGCCCGGCGCCAAGATGCTTCTCAACCCTCGGGGCCAGGGGCAGTCCCAGAGCCGCAACAACCGTCCCATCCTCCTCCTTCCCAGAGACCAGCAGGTGGCACCACGCGGCTGCGCTGTTTTCAGCTGGCTGCCGGCGACTGTGCGAGGCGGAGGTGCAGCAAGCGGGACCGGCTCGCCCCGGCTGGACCCCCGCACTGCCGGCTGCAGCCAGTCCCTGCTGTCGCTGGGGCCCTTGGGCTCAGGGACGCGCGCTCCCTGGGCGGGGCTGGGAGCCAGGTTTGCGGGCAGGTTCCTTCTGAGCTCAGAGCTCAAGCGAGGGAGAGGGGCGGCGCGTGGGCCCCAAGAGGGAGGTGCAGGGGGCCCAGAGCAGGGGGAAGGCGGGGGTGGGAGAAGAGAGGAGGGGAGGGGACGGGCAGGTGCCACCGCCCCAGGGGGCTAATCTGATCCATCTCTGCGAGGGAAGGTGCTCGCTCGTAGCTCCCAGGCGCGGTCTCCAGGGCGCTGGGGCACGTGTAGGGGTGGGGAGAAGCCCTGTGGGCGCCCGCGTAGCTGAGGTTGGGGCGCCTTTCCCTGCATTATCACCGCTGGCTGCCGGGGGCCCTGCAGCCACCACCGGGTGTCTGCGTGTTGTCCCCGCTGGGTGAACTGAAGGGAAAGTGATAAAGGAGCCAACTGTGGAAGGGGAGGCCTTGGTGCGGTGGGAGTATCTACCCCCCACCCCGCTTAGGTGGCTTATCTGACCCCAGACAGGACGAGGCCGCTCTGGGGGGTAGGAGGGGGCCGGGGAGGGAGGCCTCCACTCTGACACCTTTCTGCCGTTGGACTATTGACCTCCTGCTCCTCCAGGCACCCCTTACCTCCGGGCTGGTGGCTAACATAAGGGGGTTGGCGGGGGGGATTAAGGCAACCACCTCCTCTCAAGACCCTTTCCGGCCCTTATCCCAGGCCCCACCTGTGTGTGAGGCCCCCTCAGAACTTATGCAGGGGAAAAGGAAGCCTCCACCAGCCAAACAGAGCTGCCATGCTATCAGACGGTTCCTATATAACGTTTATTTCTGGAAGTTAAAGTAGATACAGCAATATACCAAAAAAAAAAAAAAAAAAAAAAGACAAAAAACCTCACAATAATATAAATTTTTACACTATGAAGTACACATTGGAATTTGAATGCAGTGGCCAGGACAGCAGCTTATAAACCACCTTATAGGTAGGTAAGCAACCCACGGGATTCCCTCGGCTGGGCTGGGGATGGGGAGGGGGCAGTGGACAGGAAGCGGGCAGGGCCTGAGGACCCTGTTCTTTAATGGGCCACAACAGGGCTCAGCTCCTCTCAGAACTTTTGCTACAATCAGAGTTAAGACCAGATACATGCTACCTAAGGCCATGAACTTGACAATATCTGCTCCAGAGAAGCCCTGAACCCTCGCCCTAGGTCCCTATGATTTAAACCCAATGGTAAGCCCAAGTCTCACCTTTCTAAATATTCTGTTTATCAGTTAAGCTTATTATGTACTGAAGAGTGTTGCTGGAGAAGTAAGAGCTCTGCATGACACATCAACTGTCTCCAGGCAGGAGGACTGGGGCGAACCCTGTTCATCTTAGAGAAGGTCGTCTCCCCCTTAATTCAGAGACCAGCTAATTTGATTTAACAAACAGAATTCCACAGAAACTCTGATCAGCTGAGGCAAGGTGGTTTTGAGTTGCCAAATCCGGCCATGCCTCTGAGTCAGAGGCAGCCCATCCAGCACGTGCTAGGTGTTCCCATACGCACAGGAGAGGCGAGCTAGCCAGCCAAGGCGGGCAGGCGGGGAGGCCCTCTAGCTGTTCTGCCTCACCTGTGGGGCCCCAGCAGGGAGGAGTCACCAGCCTCAGAGGGAGGCCAGGTATACACCCTCATACGAGGGCAGACTCAAGTTTATCAGTAAGCCTTTGCCCTGCATGAACTGAATGAAGACGCCATTACAAGTGCCACTGGATATCACCAAGAAACTGGCTAAGAACCATATTCCCTGAGCTCAACCAGACACGTCGCTGGGGCCCCATAGTGTGCATCATGTCCAACCTGTAACTCTCTCCCCCTCTTCTTCCATGAGGTCCTGAGACCAGGATTCCTAAAACAAACAGGATGAGGGACCTTTAGACACGCAAGGAGACATGCCTCTAGCAGGATCAGGGGGACTGGGGTCGGGAGGGTGGGGCAGGAAGGAAGCCAGAATCAGAAGTATCCCAGCCCTGATAAGGCACCCACAGAAACAACCTAGCCTCTGAAACAGCAGATCAAGTCCAGGGAGAAAGGGAGTCAAGGTTGTAAGCACCCTCTGCCCAGCCTTACTCACTAAAAGGCCAATACATTACAAAGGAAAATAAGTCTATTTATAAAAAAAAGTCTAAAATGCTTAGATTCTCCTTAAACCTTCCTATTTCAACACCAAAGGCCAGGTTGCAGCTTCAGATGTCTTAAGGGTTTGACCTGAAGCCCGTTTCAGGGATTATATAAATTACCAGCCTGAAGGAAGCTGAATGCTTAAAGCACCAAGGAGGCTGTTAACTGAAGTTTCTTTTTTTTTTTTTTTTTTTTGAGACAGAGTCTCAGACTGTCGCCCAGGATGGAGTGCAGTGTGCAGTGGTGCAATTTTGGCTCACTGCAACCTCCGCCTCTCAGGTTCAAGCGATTCTCCTGCCTCAGCCTCCCGAGTAGCTGGGACTACAGGCGCCCACCACCACACCCAGCTAATTTTTTGTACTTTTAGTAGAGACGGGGTTTCACCGTGTTAGCCAGGATGGTCTTGATCTCCTGACCTTATGATCCGCCTCGGCCTCCCAAAGTGCTGGGATTACAGGCGTGAGCCACCATGCCCGGCTGCTTAAGTTTCTTAAATACAGAAAGGCTATGCTGATACAGTGTTTTTTGCCCTTTAATTGTTATTATTTCTTAATTTAAAAAGAAACCTAGGGCTTAGATAGTCCTATCTTCTATTTGGATGTCAGCAAGGTTAAAAAGTGCAATGCCAGGAGTATGTAGCTATAGGTGGCCTGTGGCATTTGCTTACAGAAACAGGCAGAAGGATGCCGCAGGCACCAGGAGGCACTTGTCTAAGAACAACAACAACAATAACAAAAAGCTGCTGAGAAAGGAGGGCAGGGGAACAAAACAACACAAGACATTTCCTTTTTCTCCCTCTAGCCACCCCCCGCCACATCCCCTGATCATGGGTCTCAGAGAACACATCCTTATTTGCATTTAGATAAAAGCAGATCACCCACATTCACTCATTTCTCTATTTTTAAAAGTGCCCAGATTGCTCAAAGATAGCAGAAGTAGGAGATTAAAAAAAATCTGGAACCACAAAGTTAGTAGTTTCAGATGATCTGGGGTTTGGCTGTGTGAGGGGTGGCAGAATGCAGGTAGGCGCCTCAGTCGTATCTTTCTGCAGCTTCCGTTCTCAGCTCCTCACATGGGGGAGGTAGCGCACTCCGAGGTCAACTCCATGTCAAAGGTGAGGGACTCTGGAGGGACAGACAGGGAAAACTAGTTCAGTTGTCCACCCTCTGCAACTGGCAGGCCACGCCCCCAGCCCTTCAGAGGACAGGGCCCAGGCTACCACTGCTATCCAATCTCCTGCCCCTTAAGGCCCAGGGATGGTCAGAAAAGCCAGATTTACCCTCCTCCCTGGAGGACCCTGCCTCGGGAAGGGTCCTTTCTCATTCCCACCTTAACTGATTCCCAGAGCTCCATGTTTACAGAAGCTCTAAGGCTGTCCTGAGATCTTCTGCCCTTGATCTACTGTTTAATTCAGGAGCCCCGAGACACACGTGGCCACCAAGCATTTGAGATTTGGTTTGTCCAAACTGAGCTGTGCTGTGGCTGTCAAAAGCCCACTGGATTTTAAAGGCTTAGTATGAAAAAAAAGAATAAAAAAAGGTCTCAACTTTTTCTTTTTAGTTTAGTTTTGTTTATTTGAGATGGAGTCTCACTCTGTCGCCCAGGCTGGAGTGCAGTGGCACGATCTCTGCTCACTGCAACCTCCACCTCCCAGGCTCAAGCGATCCTCCCACCTCAGCTTCTTGAGTAGCTGGGATTACAGGTATGCGCCACCATGCCCAGCTAATTTTTATATTTTAGAGATTTTGGTCAGACTGGTCTCGAACTCCTGACCTCAAGTGATCCACCCACCTCGGCCTCCCAAAGTGCTGGGATTACAGGCATGAGCCACTCACCCAGCCTCAACTTTTTCTGAAATGTTAAATTGAGAGTATGTTGGATTTAGTGGGTTAAATAAAATATATTGTAAAAATTAAGTTCGTCTATTTCCAGTGTGGCTGCTAGAAGATTTATACTCACACATGTGGCATTCATACCATCTCTTTTGGAAAGCAAAGCTCTAGAATCTCCTACCATTCCGAGTGACCAGCTCTCGGTGTGTACATGTGAGAGCATCACACAAAGGGGACCAACTTCCCTTATAGGGACAAAGTCTGTCAACCAAATACTCACCAAACTGCCCTCCTGCTGAGGGTTCAGCACCTTCACCATTATTTCCAAACTGCATCAATGAATCTAAAGTGCGGGGGGACATCGGCAGGTCAATGGTATTGCTGCAGGTCGTTCTGTAGGAAATGGGGGGCAGCAGGAGGGGAAACGGGGGGTTGACAAGACACAATGGAAAAAAAAAAAAGAACAAAACACACACACACAAGCCATCAAACTCTGGTCTCCAACAGAAAAATAAAAGCTCAAGCTTTTTAAACACACAAGGTCACTTTGAGTACTAAACATAGCCCAGGGGCTTCCAACCTTTGGCAGATTAACTCTCACCCAGTGTCCCATTCCCAGGGATAACTGAGGATATTAGAAATGAAGGCAAAACGGGGAAAGGAAGCCACTTACGGTGTCACACAGATAAACTTGGTCTTCAGGTATGGGGCAGCGCCTGGGAAGAAGAAAACCAGTTTTCTTACTGACTGTGACTTCGCATTCAGTAAGCAGAGCTGGAGGAAGCCATCTGCCTCGGCAGGACTGATTTGAAACTCACTCATCCTCATGCCAAGATTGTCTGGAAAGCTCCATCTGCCCCTCAGGGTTGTCTGCCCTCATTTATACTATTTGATCTCCCAGGCACTAGCAGCTGTGAACTTCAGTTCTTTGCACAAAGCTGTCCTGAGCTGCAGAGACTTTTCAGCATAACCTTTTCCCACCTGACCCTAGACTAATGCCACCTTGTGTCCCTTCTTTCCCTAGATTATGTAAAAGTTTAACAGCCTCCACGTGGTCTGAGCATTCTATTCCGGCCTGGTCATATCTCTTAGATAACTTCTCTGCATGCAGGAACCGAGCCTGTGTAGTCTTTGCATGGTGTCCAGCCTAAATACCAATATCACCAAGTCTTTAAAGAACATGGAGACTGCTAATGCTTGTGGTTCCAAAGCCAAAGGTTATATCTCTTATTCCTACCAGCACTAATCTGGCCTCTACCACATTTTTGGATGAGGGCATGAGTAACTTTCTAGTTGGATAAATACGTCAATCAAAAAGCACCAAAGAGAATGTGACTTTGTAAGGCAGTACAATTGCTTCAACTAGAAGACCGGAGACCTGGGTCCAGGTACATCTTCAATAGCTAAGAGACCTGGAGCAAGGCATGGTCTCTCTCTTTTGTTGCTGTTGTTCTTATTGTTTTGAGACAGAGTCTCACTCTGTTGCCCAGGCTCAAGTGCAGTGGCACAATCTCGGTTACCGCAACCTCCTACTCCCAGGTCAAAACGATTCTCCTGCCTTAGGCTCCCAAGCAGCTGGGACTACAGGTGGCACCACCATGCCTGGCTAATTTTTGTCTTTTTTTTTTTTGAGACGGAGTCTTGCTCTCTTTCGCCCAGGTTGGAGTGCAGTAGCGCCATCTTGGCTCTCTACAACCTCTGCCTCCAGGGTTCAAGTGATTCTCCTTCATCAGCCTCCTGAGTAGCTGGATTACAGGCATCTGCCACCATGCCTAGCTAATTTTTTTTTTGTAATTTTAGTAGAGATGAGGTTTCACCATGTTGGCCAGGCTGGTCTTGAACTCCTGACCTCAGGTGATCCATCTGCCTCACCCTCCCAAAGTGCTGGATTACAAGTATGAGCTATCATGCCCAGCCTTGGCCACAATGCCCAGCCCATATTCTCTTTTATGTATAAAATAAGAGGGAGGGGGAAGACAAGGTGCCAATTTTCTATGAGCTTTGTCATTTATAATTCTTGTTCTACAGTTAGAAATGCGTTGACGGGAATAAAATGAATTTTAGATGCTGAATGCTTACACCAAGAGGTCAAGGAACCTTGGGGATACTGGCATGAAATCTGGGGAATTCAGGTGAACAAACCATTGAGAAGGCATGGGGCAGGGTGAGGTGGGCTGAGAACAGCACGGTCATAAAACATGAGGCTTAGACAGAACCTGAGGGATCAGAGAGCATGATGACCATGTGAAAGAAGGCACTGCAGAGTGGCTCTTGGGCTGCCATCTGAGTTTACTTTGGGCCAAGAAACTGATCAATTCAGTGCAGAATTCAAAGGAGCTACTGAGGCAAGACTCTAGTGTCTTATAAATCCAACTGTTTTGGCCCAGCCCTTAGGGAGCTGACACCCTAGACAGAAAAGGATTTAATTCTCCAGCATTCAAGATAGCTGAGGCCAGGCACAGTGGCTCATGCCTGTAATCCCTGCACTTTGGGAGGCTGAAGCAGGTGGATCACTTGAGGCCAGGAGTTCAAGACCAGCCTCACCAACATGGGGAAACCCTGTCTTTAATGAAATTACAAAAATAGCTGGGCGTGGTGGCACGCCTGTAATCCCAGCTACTCAGGAGGCTGAGACAGGAGAATCACTTGAACCTGGGAGGCAGAGGCTGAAGTGAGGTGAGATCGCACCACTGCACTCCAGCCTGGGTGACAGAGTGACAGACTGTCAAAACAAAACAAAAACAAAAACAAGGCTGGGCACTGTGGCTCACACCTATAATCCCAGCACTTTGGGAGGCCCAGGCGGGAAGATCACTTGAGGTCAGGGGTTCGAGACCAGCCTGGCCAACAGGGTGAAACCCGGTCTCTACTAAAAATCCAAAAATTAGCCAGGCATAGTGGTGCATGTCTGTAATCCCAGCTACTCAGGAGGCTGAGGTATGAGAATCTCTTGAACCTGGGAGGCAGAGGTTTCAGTGAAGCAAGATCGCGCCACTGCACTCCAGTCTGGACGATAGAGCGAGACTCAGGCTCAAAAAAAAAAAAAAAAAAAAAAAAAAAGCTGAGAAAAATGACTTCATTGTGTGGCTTTGTACAAGATTGTAAATGTACTTTATCTAATTTGTAAGTGGCTCCGAACCTCTCCCTCAAGCCATAAGGAAATGCTATGTGGGCTTCCAGTAGAGAAGGAAGAGAGAAGAGTCTTGGGAGGATAATCTAACCTGAGACCCTCATACCATAATACTCTTGTGATGGAAATAGAGAGGAAATGGTCACATGCTCATCGTCCTGAAGGCACCCATTTTAAAATAACACAGGGACACCCCCACACCCGTCACCACACTCACATGGAGTCCCTCAGGGCACACTCCTCTCAGCAAGGCAAGGCAAATTACTCAAGTAATTAGTTCCTTTCTCCTGATGAGTGCCTGGCCCCTGAGGAAACGCTGACATCGCTGGGCAGGAAAGGACCTGGCCTCCCAGCCCACAGGAAGGGCGATGGTAATGGAGGATGCAGCCTCAGACTGGGAGGTGGGACCTTGAAAGCAAAATGAGTCAAAAGGACCAGCCGTGGGACCCCAACGTCCTCTGCAGAAGGAACAAAGAGCCGTGTGGCAGGGGCTGATAAACAGATCTCCCAACTGAAGCACACATGCAAAGGGAGATAGGTGGCAGACAGGAAGTGAGTAACTCTTACAGCAGGAACAAGACTCAGGACCCCAACAAAGGAGAAAGGCAACGGTCAATTAGCTCCAACTCCCTCTTCCAAGCCCCATTCTGCCCCATCTCAAGAAATCCCTCAGAAGGAATTCCTAGGAAAAAGTGGGAGGGAAGTTGGTAGGTTTCTGTGTGTGTGCTATTTGGACAAAAATAGTTTTTTCAACAGCAACTAGGGCAAGGCGCCAACCCTAAAGGATCACATTAAAGAGCCCATCATTAGGCCAGGCACAGTGGCTCACGCCTGTAATCCCAGCACTTTGGGAGGCTGAAGTGGGCAGATCACCTGAGGTCAGGAGTTCGAGGCCAGCCTGGCCAACATGGCGAAACCCTTTCTCTACAAAAAATACAAAAATCAGCTGGGCATGGTGGCACAAGCCCATAATCCCAGCTACTCGGGAGGCTGAGGCAGGAGAATTGCTTGAACCGGGAGGTGGAGGTTGCAGTGAGCCGAGATGGTGCCACTGCACTCCAGCTTGGGTGATAGAGCAAGACTTAGTCTAAAAAAAAAAAAAAAAAAAAAGCCCATCATTGGCTTTATGATTACAGAAAGTTAAATCAAACAAAGAATGGCAAACCAGAGACTCCCCATCAAGACCTGCACAAAGAACCCAGAGAGTCAAAACAGCAAGTGCTGAAGGGGAACAGACAGGGCTACCCCCTCCACACTGAGGACAGCTGCAGAGATTACAGTTTTGTTTCGTTTTTTTCTTTCTCTTCTTTGTGTGTGTGTGTGTGTGTGTGTGTAGTGGGGTCTTGCTATGTTGCCAGGCTGGTCTTGAGTTCCTGGCCTCAAGTGATCCTCCTGCTTCAGCCTCCCAAAGTGCTAGGACTGCAGGTGTGAACCCCCATGCCCAGCTGAGATTACAGTATTTTTAATTTCTCTCTCTTTTTTTTTTTTTTTTTTTTGGTGAGTCAAGGTCTTGCTCTGTCACCCAGGCTGGAGTGCAGTGGTGCGATCATGGCTCACTGCAGCCTCAACCTCCTGGGCTTAAGCAATCCTCCCACCTCAGCCTCCCGAGTAGCTAGGACTACAGGCACAAACCACCACACGTGGCTAATTTAAAAAAAATTATTTTTGTATAGATAGGGTCTCACTATGTTGTCTAGGCTGTTCTCAAACTCCCAGGCTCAAGTGATCCTCCCGCCTGGGCCTCCCAAAGTGCTAGGACTATAGGCATGAGCCACTTCACCCAGCTAAAATAATTTATATATAACATATAAGTACATGTCCTCTTACACATTAAAATATACCTTATTTTCAATAGTTGCACACTCTAAATACTAATCCCTTGCCCCTCCACCCAGTCACTGTCTTCCCCTTCAAACGTGATGCTCCCAGCTCTTCTACTCTAGTGTAAACCATACTCCCATGCAGCTAATAATAATTTCCTCCAGAAACCCTTTCTTCAGACCATCTGGCACACTGACATGGTTCAGTTACAGGCAAAAAGCCATATGCTGGGCTGAAATCTGGGCCTCAAACCTTCTAGCATCTACTAAGAAGCACTGTGCCAGCAGGGCATCCTGTTAACTGCCCTCACTTTCCCTTCTCGTGTTTCAGGCATGTTTTGGGGGACGTATGTGTATTGATCCCCTCTTTATTTTTATTTTTTGACACAGTATCTCACTCTATCAGCCAGGCTGGAGTGCGGTGGCATGATCACCGCTCACTACAGCCTTGAACTCCTTGGCTCAGGTGATCCTCCCACCTCAGCCTCCCAAGTAGCTACGACTACAAATGCGTGCCACCACACCGGGTAATTTTTTTGGATTTTTTGTAGAGACGAGGTTTCACCATATTGCCCAGGCTGTATCCCCTCTTTAGACTCATGCACTCTCTGTGGAGCAGGAACTACACTACTCTAAGTGATTCTGATTCTCCTCTCAAATCCCATCGGTCACCCCAACAAAAGCACTCACTACAATTCTTTCCCATAAGGAGAAATAATTATCCCCCAGGTTATTCAGGCATTTGCCTATCTATCCTCCAAGGATCCCAAAATTTCCAACTTTTCCCAAAAATTAAATGCCAGGAACATGGAAAATCAACAACTACCTGGGTCAGCTTCAGGATGCTCCTGGCTCTCTGGCCGACAATACTTTCCGAATGCCTCCTCCTTGGGAATGTCAGGATAGAGATAGACCAGTGGAGACACCAGGATATTGGTAGCATCCATGATCTTATAGCCCATGATGATTTCAGCAAATGACATGTTGTTCAGCTGCTGCTTTGTGTATGGTTCCACGGACTGGATCTGGGTCTTACCTGTCACAGGACATGGGAAGGAAAGATCATGGAACCTACAGCTAGGTCATCTCAGAGAAAACTGCCCATTTTTTCTTTCCTCGAAGGGGAAAAGACTTAAGCCACCCTAGTGTTGAGACCCTGAACACCCTGTTCAGTGGCCTGGCACTGTGGAAATATTCAGGCTGGCTTCTAATTAAGAAGAGGCTACTAGTTGGGTCATAGAAAATAAACTTGAATATAACTACTTGCGTAAGATATATTAACAGGGTTAAGTAGAAAAAGAGATGAAGAATACAATTTAAATTGCAAAATTCTCAACAAATAGTCACTGGAGCAAGCAAAACAAAGCAAACCAATCCTTCAGCTGGAAGGATTTAGAAGTCACGCAAATGTGTTTTGCGAGTCTGAGTGAAACAGGGAGTCAAGGCCATCTCCACCCACCAGGGGGCAGTAGGTGCTTGCAACTAGAAGCAGTGATGAGGCCTCAGCAGCCACCAGCAGGTGGGGTGGGTGGGAGCCTCCCTTACCGCTGATGTCCTTCTCCACCCAAGTGAAAGTGACGCCTCCTTCTTTGCTGCTTTCACTGAATCTTAGCAGGAAGGTGCCTGGAGGCTTAGTGCTCAAGATGGCCCGCTCCCGCTCCTTACTGATAAAGCCCATGATGTACCTGGAGCCAAGGAGGAGGAACAATGTTGTTATTGCTAACAGGGCATCCATCCCCTGCCACTGGCTTGCTGAGAGCAGGGGACTTGGTTACATCTGTGCACACTCTGTCCAACCTACCCTTCGTTCCAAAGGGCCAGGATGTACTTTTTCACAAGGTCAATGATATTGTCCAGCCAGACCCAGAAGGAGAAGCCCTTGCCAGCCATGTTTTCCTGGAGAAAAGAGTAATGGGAAAGCCAAGTCTACTGCCATCCCAGCCCTTCCCTTCCTAGGGGTGCAGTGCATCACCCAAATCCTCAGGCCCGTCTACCTTCAGGCAGGTCCTACTGGCCGCTGGACCAAGAGTTCAGGGCCTTCAAGCCAGAGCCCTCAACGACAGCCGTGCAGGTGAGCATTCCCATTCCCACGAGAATTTAACAAGATTGCTTACTTTGCAAAATTTAGCCCATGTGATCTGACACCCTGAATAATTCACACCAGGTCCTGAAGGAAAGAAAAAGAGTCAAGTAGTACATTTTCAGCTTGGGGTCAAGAGGTTATTTCTTAAAACAGAACACACACACATTCATCCCACAATGGGCCACAAAATAATCAGCTTTCACATCTTTGAAGGTAGGCACTGTTGTGTGTGTGCACATGAGGACAAACACTATCCCATCATTTGACTCACTTGTGTTGCTGGGTAGCCCAGCAGGGATGGAGGGTGATATAACAAGTCCCCCTGCTCTTCCCAACCTCGGGTGGTAGGCTGGGAACCAACAGCAGCACTCACTAACAAGCTGACATCGGGTGTCAGACAGGTGTATTTGGTGGCAACAGCTTTATTAGAACAAAGCTACTTCTAGCCCAGGTGGCACATAAAATATTCCACTAATTCTTTTTTAAAAACTAGCCTACGCTGGGCACAGTGGCTCAAGCCTGTAATCCCAGCACTTTAGGAGGCCGAGGTGGGCGGATCACGAGGTGAAGAGACGGAGACTATCCTGGCCAACATGGTAAAACCCCGTCTCTACTAAAAATACAAAAATTAGCTGGGCGTGGTGGTGAGCACCTGTAGTCTCAGCTACTCGGGAGGCCGAGGCAGAAGAATCGCTTGAACCCAGAAGGCGGAGGTTGCAGTGAGCCGAGATCACACTACTGCACTCCAGCCTGGGCAACAGAGCAAGACTCGTCTCAAAAAAATAAATAAATAAATAAAATAAGACAAAAAAAACCAACTAGCCTATAGTTTATTAAAAAAATGGACAGGGAATGTCAAGCCTTTAGTGCCACCTTCCAACACACACTTAAAAGATCTTCTAAAGTTAGATAGAGTGGGTGAATGAGACAGCAACCAGGAGAAAAGAAATCTACCTCCCACCTCAAAAATGATCACCTCGACTGAAAACTGCAAACTGTCTCTGCACCCCAACTCCCCAACTCCCCTGTTTCCTGGCACCAGCACAGCGCCTTGCTCAGGAAAGAAACATGGCCTAATGCTCAGTAGACATGGCCCAAATGAACAGCCCTATGGGCCGGATCCCTTTTCTGGGCGGGTGGGCGGGAGGGAGAAGGGGTGAAATGCGGACCCAAGAGTTTCTCTGCCAGTGTAGTCAGCTGCTCGATGCTCAGTCCTCGCTTGGTGGTGGAGGAGAACTGCCAGCTCAGGACCTCGGCCACTTGATCCCAGGTTCCAATTGGGGGCTTGGTAAAAAAGTTTACATTCTATTGGAAAGAACACATTTGCTTGTTTAGATGAGGGATGGTGCTCATTGTCTATACTAGGTACCCCTAAGTCGCAAGAGATCCCGGGGCACCAACTAAAAGGAGGGGGCACTAACCTTGGGATTGTTGGTCAGCATGTTGTACCACAGGATGGACGCCCAGGCATTTGGCATCTGACAGATGTTGGAGATCACCACAACTGGCAAGGAGTGGGTCTGCGGAGGGAGTGGGGACTGAGCTGGGGAGGCAGAGGGGCTCTCACAGCCTTGGAAATCTCTTCACCCGCATCTCACGGGGCTCAGAATGAAAGGACATGCCATAAACCACACCTGCTGCCAACTCTAGGCGAGGAGTGTGAGTGAGTCAGCTCAGTGAGCACTCATAGTGGAAAGAATGCCCAGCGTGGCCACACAACTCAGGCTGCAGTCGGAATATACCGGTCCCTTGTAAAACCTGACTTGCTCAAAGCTTGACTCACAATCCACAGATTCCCCATTTTTAAGACCTTGGAGGCATTCTCCAAGACTTGAAGCTGTATCTTCACATGAAACAGGGAGGTCTCAGGAATCAAAGACCAGGATTCCTGCTTTTCTAGGTATATCTTAATTTAAAAATCAAGAAAGTTGGGAAAGGAGAATGTCATTGCCACAATTTTCTGTATACTAAACACACTGGCTGCTAAGACTCTTATGCCCAAACTTTATAAAGTCAGTTCTAATTTCTTTTTTTTTTTTTTGAGACGGAGTCTCACTCTGTCACCCAGGCTGGAGTGCAATGGCACAATCTCAGCTCACTGCAACCTCTGCCTCCCAGGTTCAAGTGATTCTCCTGCCTCAGCCTCCCGAGTAGCTGGGATTATAGGCGTCCGCCACCATACCCAGCTAATTTTTGTATTTTAGTAGAGACGGGGTTTCGTCATGTTGGCCAGGCTGGTCTCGAACTCCTGACCTCGTGATCCACCCGCCTCAGCCTCCCAAAGTGCTGGGATTACAGGCGTGAGCCACCGCGCCCGGCCAATCAATTTCTAAATAGAGATTTTCATATCAAGTTTGCTGAAAGCTGAATATACACACATCTTCTAAGCATTCAAGCAAGACTTTATTGCCAGATGGGATGCCAAGGATTTTTTTGGAGAAAAGTAAGCAAAAATAAACACAGTGTTAAGCAAACAGTAATCATTCCACCTTCTCTTGTAAAAATCCCAGTGGAAGTTTTTGTCCTGAGTCACCCCTGTACGTAGCCTCTCACCGATTCTGCTGCAGAACTTACCTCTAGGTCAATCTTGAGGCCTTGGTGATACACCTCGGTCTCAAAGGTGATCAGGTGCAGCTCCTCAGTCACAATCAGGGAAGCCTACAGTAACGAGAAGGACACTCTTAGGCCAGGTGTGGTGGCTCATGCCTGTAATCCCAGCACTTTGGGAGGCCAAGGCAGGAGGATTGCCTGAGCCCAGGAGTTCGAGACCAGTCTAAGCAGCACAGCAAAACTCCATCTCTGCAAAAAATACAAAAATTAGCTGGGTGTGGTGGTGCACACCTATAGCCCCAGCTACTCGAGAGGCTGAGGTGGGAGGATGGCTTGAGCCTAGGAGATGGAGGCTGCAGCGAGCTATGATTGTGCCACTGCACTCTAGCTGGGGTGACAGAGTGAGACCCTGTCTTAAAAAAAAATTAAATTAAATAAAAAAAAAGGCTGAGCGTGATGGCTCACACCTACAATCCCAGCATTTTGGGAGGCCGAGGCAGGTGGATCACATGGTCAGGAGTTCGAGACCAGCCTGGCCAATAATTTGGTGAAACCCCGTTTCTACTAAGAATACAAAAATTAGCTGGGTGTGGTAGTGGGCGCCTGTAGTCCCAGCTACTCAGGAGGCTGAGGCAGGAGAATCGCTTGAACCCAGGAGGCAGAGGATGCAGTGAGCCGAGATCACGCCACTGCACTCCAGCCTGGGTGACAGAGTGAGACTCTGTCTCAATCAATCAGTCAATCAATAAAAAAGAGAAGGACACTTTTCCTCAGAGAGAATGGCATTCAGTACTAACAGCCACAGCCAAGGAAAGTGACATGCCAAGCCTCACCACACCAAGAAGGGTAAGCCACCAGGTGGTCACAAACAAACTGCCAGGGACACAACTTGCTCGGCACTTACTCTCTTCAACACCAAGAACTTCCAATGCTGTGATCCTCAACCTAATCCTTTACTCAGTTTGTATTATAATATTACATAGATCCAATTGGTTATTTGTAAAATACGTAAGGCACAAAGAATAACAAAACAATATGAACCCACCATTCAATTTAAGGAAAAGTCCATCACTCCTAAAATTCTCTGGGTGCCCTTCCCCAACCCCATCCCCTTCCCTCCTCCCTCAGAAATAACTGCTATTTTGTCTTTTGGGTTTATCATTTCCTAGCCCTTTTTGTCTTGTTTTGTTTTGTTTTTTTACAGTTTTACCATATTTGTTTATCTAAGCAATGCAGGTATTGTTTAGTTTGGGACATTTGTGAACCTTACACTTATGGACTCCAATGAATTCTTTTGGGATTCACTTTTCACTTGATGTGAAATGAATCCACATGGTTATGTGTATCTGCAGTGTATTCCTTTTCACAGCTGCGGAGTATTCCATTGTGTCTATACCACAAATAATGTATTCATTCTAATGTTGATGGGTATTTATTTGGGTTGCATTTAGAGCTTATAATCAGGCTGATGTCCACTTTATATATGTCTCCTGGGACATATATGCAAAGATTTCTCTGCTATTAAATCCTGGGAATGGCACCGTTGGTTTACAGGTATGTTCATTTTTATACTGCCAAATTGTTTTCCAAACTGACTACAACAATGTCTCACATCAGTACAGCAACCTTATTTTAAGTAAGAGTTGTCAATGAATTCTCAAAAATTGAATTCTAGTCTGGGCACAGCGGCTCATGCCTGTAATCCCAGCACTTTCGGAGGCCGAGATGGGTGGATCACGAGGTCAGGAGTTCAAGACCAGCCTGACCAATATGGTGAAACCCTGTCTCTACTAAAAATGCAAAAATTAGCCAGGCGTGGTGGCATGCACCTATCGTCCCAGCTACTTGGGAGGCTGAGACAGGAGAATCGCTTGAACCTAGGAGGCAGAGGTTGCAGTGAGCTGAGATCGCACCACTGCAATCCGATAGAACGAGACTCCGACTCAAAAAAAAAAAAGAAAAAAGAAATTAAATTATAATTCATTTTTAATACTATTTTTCTGATTATAAAAGTAATATATTCAGTTTAAAATGCAAATATCACAGAGACAGTCTAGAATAGCCATGGATACCAACAGCAGCACTAATACACATAGCACTGCTGGTATATTCCTCCAGAATTTCTTAATATACATATGAATACACATAAGAGTATAGTGTATTTTTAAAACACATATACTAATAATACTATTCAAATTATTTTACATTTTGCTTTTTCTTAATATGTCATGTACATTTTCCCATATCATTGCATACAGGCTACTTCACTCTACTGTCAAGTAAAATTCCACATTTTTAAAAAGGACTGCTACATTTTATTTTATTTATTTTTTTGAGACAGAGTTTCACTCTGTTGCCCAGGCTAGAGTGCAGTGGCAAAATCTTGGCTCACTGCAAGCTCCACCTCTCAGGTTCAAGCGATTCTCATGCCTCAGCCTCCCCAGTAACTGGGACTACAGGCGTGCACCACCACACCCAGCTAATTTTTGTATCTTTAGTAGAGACGGGCTTTCACCATGTTGGCCAGGCTGGTCTTGAACTCCTGACCTCAAGTGACCAGCCTGCCTTGGCATCCCAAAGTACGGGGTGTGAGCCAGCACGCCCAGCTAGGACTGCTACATTTTAAAGAGGAAGAATTGTTCAGGGGACAAATGTAAGAAAAAGAACGGGGCATCACAATTTTTAAAAATGACTGAAAACTAGCCTTCCGTCACATTTACCTTTTTTTGTTTGTTTGTTTAAAGTTTATTCTTGACAATAAGAATCCAATAATCTGAATCAATGAAAAGCAGAAAATAAGGGGGATAAAGAACAAGATGGGTTTTTGTTTGTTCATTTTATTTTATGTACTCTTTTCCTAAGCAAGCTAATGCAAGGTGGTCATTTATTTTAAAGTTTAACTCAAATCTGTTGCTTTTACACCCTCTATCCCACCTCAGTGGGAGAGAAAAACAGGGCACTAAAAATGGAGCCAAGCAGGGTCAGCCGCAGGAGCTGGATGGGGAATTTGGAAAGCCCCAGGCAAGGTGGAAAGCTGCTTTATACCACATGGGTGTGGAGAACAACTCAGCAAGGGACTTTCCACTTCTCCTTAAGGAGGAGCCAACTCCCAGATATTCACGGAAATGTTCCAAGCCAGAGAGCTCCATGGCACATGGAACTTCTGTTCATGTCACTTTGGCCTGAAGTGACTTTTTGGAATAACTACAGCTGAAAGAACAGGTTGATGTTTCTAATTCTGGGGATTAAGAAGGATCTTTACCCCTCTCTCCCTCAAGGAAAACACCCCAGTTGTCTTTCATCCCCAACAAAACTTACATCACAATTGGCTCGGCCCCCATTCCCACATCTCTGCTCCCTCAGGGTCTGTAAGAAAAGAAAAAGGCAGGTGTCCTGTGAGGCTCTCCCTAGCCCTCTCCGGCAGCCAGAGGCCCTTTGTGAAGGGGAGCTCCTCCCACATACCAAGTGTTTGAATTCTGCAGAGAGGCTGCCGTTGTTGGATTCTTCCATGTTCATCACTTTTGTGTTTGTGCCCAGAATGTTAAATTTCCGGGATCTGAATCACAGGGGAACAATCAACTATGTAGGTGACCAAGTAGCCGGAGGATGAAGTTAGGTTAAACGGAACAAAAGGAAGCCTCTAGGCTGAACTTACCCTCTGAGAGCTGCAACGTCCCCAGAGTCTCTGTAAGAACACAGACTGTTGTTAATAAAATAGGCTCTGTGTTTCTTCAAAAAGCCTACTTTGACCACCTGTTATTTACTGTCATGAAAAAACCTCTGTGCTCCTGGGCATTTCTTTAAACTATTCAGTTACAGTTGATCAGCGCAACATAACACCTCTGCGTAGCAGGCACAGTTGGTTGCCTCCCCATAGGAAGGGGAACCTATGTTTCATATTGCATATGTACTTATTAAACCTACCACCTTCGTCAACTCCCTTATTTCATTATTTTCCAGTGCATCCTCATGAAATTTCCACATAATTACATCAACTAAAAATAAGAATGCATTTTATCTTTTCTTTTTTCTTTTTTTTTTTTTGAGATAGTTTCGCTCTTGTTGCCCAGGCTGGAGTGCAATGGTGTGATCTCGGCTCACCACAACCTCCACCTCCTGAGTTCAAGTGATTCTCCTGCCTCAGCCTCCCGTGTAGCTGGGATTACGGGCATGCGCCAACACACCTGGCTAATTTTGTATTTTTAGTAGAGACAAGGTTTCTCCATGTTGGTCGGGCTGGTTTCGAACTCTCGACCTCAGGTGATCTGCCCACCTCAGCCTCCCAAAGTGCTGAGATTACAGGCGTGAGCCACCGCGCCCAGCCACATTTTCTCTTTTCTTTTCTTTTTTTTTTTTTTTGAGATGGAGTCTCTGTCGCCCAGGCTGGAGTGCAGTGGTGTGATCTTGGCTCACTGCAAACTCCACCTCCCAGGTTCATGCCATTCTCCTGCCTCAGCCTCCTGAGTAGCTGGGACTACAGGTGCCCGCCACCACGCCCAGCTAGTTTTTTTGTATTTTTAGTAGAGACGGGGTTTCACCGTGTTACCCAGGATGGTCTCGATCTCCTGACCTCGTGATCCGCCCGCCTCGGCCTCCCAAAGTGCTGGGATTACAGGCATGAGCCACCGCGCCCGGCCCACATTTTCTCTTTTCTAATGTCGTCAAAGGGTATATGTATTTTACATCCTGAAAGGTATTGTGAAATTTTGCGTATTCCATTATATGGTAAAGTGTGGAACAATTAAAAAAAAGAGATCTATTCTTTCCACATGCTATGTATGGAAAGAATATATAACGACGTTTCGGTCAACAACAAAATGCATATATGATGGTGGTCCCATAAGATTATCATGGAGCTGAAAAATTCCTACTTCATTGAGATGTGTTACAATTGCCTACGGTATTCAGCACAGTAACATACTGTACAGGTTTACAGCCTACGACCAGTAGGCTCTGCCACATAGCGTAGGTGTGCAGTAGGTTCTGCCACCCAGGTTTGTGTAAGGACTATATACTCTACAACATTTGCACAACAAAATTGCCTAATGATACATTTTGCAGAACGTATCCCAGTCGTTAATTAACACATGATCTCAGTCTTATATATAATATGCATGAATGACATGTACAAGTAAAAAACTAAACAAGGAAAAGAGGGACTGGTTGTCACAATAGCAACCACAAATCAAATCTGTACCCCCAGCTTTGTGGCTTTGTTCAGACACGTAAATGACAATGCACCCCAAGGCTTTTGAAAACTTTTGTCCACAAAATGAAGATCTCTGAATAAAGACAGAGTCTCTAGTTCAAATGATGTCTGTCAAAGTTCTCATTTTTCTATTCCTCATTTGAAAAACAGAGCTAAGATAGGAGTACTTACTTGTCAATGCACACTTTAATTTTAAGCTGATAATTCAACTCAGGGAATTTGACCAGCAACCTATTTAAAAAGAAAAAATCCAAGGAAAAAAAGTCAGTAACTCTCCCATAACCTTTTCTTGAAGAAATGTAAAATTCATAATTCTTCATTTCCAACAGGTAAATAGGCCAAGCTGTCTATAATTACAGGCTCACATCTATAATCTCAGCACTGTGGGAGGCCAAGCTGGGAGGATCCCTTGAGCCCAGGAGTTCCATAACAGTCTGGGCAACAAAGTGAGAGCCCACATCTATAAAAAATTTAAAAATTAGCGGGGTGTGGTAGCATGTACCTGTAGTCGCAGTTACTCGGGAGGCTGAGGCAAGAGGATCACTTGTGCCCAGGAGTTCAAGGCTACAGTGATCTATGATCATGCCACTGCACTCTAGCCTAGATGACAGAGCGAGATCCTATCTCTCTTTCTCTTTTTTTTTTTTTGAGACAGTTTCTCTCGTTACCCAGGCTGGAGTGCAATGGCGCAATCTCCGTTCACCGCAACCTCCGCCTCCTGGGTTCAAGTGATTCTCCTGCCTCAGCCTCTCAAGTAGCTGGGATTACAGGCGCGCGCCACCACGCTCAGCTAATTTTGTATTTTTAGTAGAGACAGAGTTTCTCCATGTTGGTCAGGATGGTCTCGAACTCCCGACCTCAGGTGATCCACCCACCTTGGCCTCCCAAAGTGCTGGGATTACAGGCGAGAGCCACCGTGCCTGGCCCCTATCTCTCTCTTTAAAAAAATTAAAATAGGGCTGGGTGCGGTGACTCACACCTGTAATCCCAGCACTTTGGGAGGCCAAGGCAGGTGGATCACAAGGTCAGGAGTTCGAGACCAGCCTGGCCAAGATGGTGAAACCCCGTCTCTACTAAAAATACAAAAATCAGCCGGGCATGGTGGCAGGTACCTGTAATCCCAGCTACTTGGGAGGCTGAGGCAGGAGAATCACTTGAACCCAGGAGGCAGAGGCTGCAGTGATCCGAGATCACACCTCAGCACTCTAGCCTGGGTGATAGAGAAAGACTCCATCTCAAAAAAAAAAAAAAAAAAAAAAAGGCCGAGCGTGGTGGCTCACATCTGTAATCCCAGCACTTTTGGAGGCCGGGGTGGGTGGATTACTGAGGTCAGGAGTTTTGAGACCAGCCTGGCCAACATGGAGAAACCCTGTCTCTACTAAAAATACAAAAATTAGCCGGGCATGGTGGAGTGTGCCGGTCCAGCTACTCAGGGAGGCTAAGGCAGGAGAATCGCTTGAACCTGGGAGGTGGAGGTTGCAGTGAGTTGAGATTGCAACACGCACTCTGGCCTGGCCGAAAGAGCGAGACTCTGTCTCAAAAAAAAAAAAATTAGCCGGGTGTGGTGGCACGCACCTCTATTCCCAGTTACTCAGGAGGCTGAGGCACAAGAATCACTTGAACCTGGGAGATGGAGGTTGCAGTGAGCTGAGATCATGCCACTGCACACCAGCCTGGGTGAGAGTGAGACCCTGTCTCAAACAAAAACAAAAGATGAGTATCACTCCTTCAAGCCAAAGGTACTGAGAAAACATCTAAGAACTAACAACTTAAAGTTGTGAGAGATTCACAAAAGGATAATCAAAGCCATATAATGAAAAATATTACAGGAACACATGCTGTGCAGCTGGCATTTTGTTCTATTAATCCTGAAACCGAACACCATACTAAGTTTCTGAGGAGGGAAATTTTGCTGCAGAAGGTCAAAACCCCAGCACACCTGTTCTGACTTGAGTGTGAAAGTAACACCTCACCCTACAGGCCCACCACCCACCTGCCCTGGGGCCTCTCAGCTTCCCCATCACTAAGCCTTACTCTTTCCCTTAAAATCCACAGGGAAGAGTAGCCTCAAAGAACAGAAAATAGATGACATTATTTTGTCCCTTGGGCAGAAGGAGAAGCTGTGGCCTGAGACTCCAGGTCTACAATCATAGGAATATGCCCAGGTACCTTCAAAAAGATGACTGCTCTTTTGCTTTTGACATCAGAATCAGAGAGCAAGCAGATAGTATGGCAACAAATTTCAACCCCGCAACAGTGTACTGCCTGTGACACCACACCTGGAAAGAATGACCCTGGCCACCAACTCTACCCTCACCCTAACAGTGTCCCTCAGTAAAATCTCTACTGGAAATGGAAGTGGCATGGCCTACCTGACTTTAGTAGTGAACTGGACGCCGGTCTTGATGACGAGGGGCCGGTCAGGATGCATGGGCATGCAGGGCTGCCGCTCCACCACAAAGGCACTGAGGAAAGAGAAGATGGGCTCACGCGCCACGGCCATGACCAGAAGTCAGCCCGCCTCTCACTCTACCACGTGAGTCTTTAGGTATTTTTTAGATGAGGGAAAGGGACAAGGATGCTAAATTACCTTTTCATTAAGTTTCTAAACAGCTCCACGATTCTCTCCTCCAGCATCGGCCGGTGCTGTACAATGGGGTCCCCTTTGTAGGAAACTTTTTGCTGCAACTCCTCCAGTTTCTTAATTTGTTGACGGGTCTGAAGTTGAGATTCTGCTAATGACGTTATCCTGCCAATAAATTAAGAAAGATGCTAATTACCAAAGTGAATGTATACAGGTGAGATGGAGAAGGGGAAGGAAATACTGAAGACATGGAGACCACTACAATAAGAACAAGGAATTTTTTTATTGTGGTGAAATATATATAGCATGAAATTTACAATTTTTCATCTTAAGTTTACAGTTCAGTGACATTAAGAAAAGAGGAATTTTTCACCATGTTGGGTGGATGCTGAAAAAATAAATAAAAAAAGAAAATAATTTATTTATTTATTTATTTTTTGAGCTGGAGTGCAGTGGTGCAATCTCGGCTCACTGCAACCTCCATTTCCCGGGTTCAAGTGATTCTCCTGCCTGAGCCTCCTGAGAGATTACAGGTGTAAGCCACTGCGCCTGGCCTTTTTTTTTTTTTTTTTTTTTTTGAGATAGAGTCTTACTCTGTTGCCCAGGCTGGAGTGCAGTGGCACAGTCTCAGCTCACTGCAACCTCCGCCTCCCAAGTTCAAGTGATTCTCCTGCCTCAGCCTCCCAAGTAGCTGGGATTACAGGCACCCACCACCACTCCCGGATAATTTTTGCATTTTTAGTAGAGATGGGATTTTGCCTTGTTGGCCAGGCTGGTCTTGAACTCCTGACCTCAGGTGATCCATCTGCCTCGACCTCCCGAAGTACTGGCATTACAGGTGTGAGCCACCATGCCTGGCCAGAAAATAATTTATTTTACCTTTTATTACTAGTCCCTTCCTAAAATCTCAAATTTCTAAGAGGGGGCTGGGCACACAAGAAGTATTAAAATTTATACCACTAGGAGGCATTGATGGAGTTATCACTGGAAAATGACAAGCATCTGAGCCCAGATATGCAGAACACGAAATATGGAATTTAGCACTTACTTTACTCATCCTAACTTGTCTATGAACATAAAGACTCAGAAAAAGAGATTAGACAGCTCCCAAAGATGGGTTTGAGCCAGCTCTGTCACACACTATCTGTGCAAGCTTTGCCAGGCCCTTCACCATCATGGGCCTTAGCATCCCCTTGCATGAAGAGAAGGGCTTGAACTACATGAGCCCTTTCTTTTCTTTCTTTCTTTTTTTTTTTTTGAGACAGGGTCCCACTCTGTGGCCTAGTGCAGTGCAATGGCATGATCATAGCTCACTGCCTCCTCCAACTCCTGGACATGAGTGATCCTCCTACCTCAGCTTCCTGAGTAGCTAGAACTATAGGTGTGTGCCACCATGCCTGTTTAGTTTAGTTTAGTTTTTTGAGATGGAGTCTCACTCTGTCACCCAGGCTGAAGTGTAATGGCACATGTCTAGTTTTTTAAATTTTTGTAGGGATGGGATCTCACTTTGTTGCCCAGGCTGGTCTCAAACTCCTGGGTTCAAGTGATCCTCCCGACTCTGCCTCCCAAAGCATTGGGATTTACAGGCGTGAGCCACAACACCCAATCCCCATAAGCCTTTTCAATGTCAGCCTTCAACTGATCAAAGGACATGACATTATGTTTCAAAATATTGATAACATGCACAAGGAATAAGTGAATAGAGAGGGAGAAAAAGCTCATTAAATCTATCTCCAAGAATAGAGATATTAGGCCAGGTGCAGTGGCTGACACCTGTAATCCCAAAAATTTGAGAGGCCGAGGCAGGTCGATCTACTAAAATACAAAAAAATAGCCAGGCATGGTGGCATGGGCCTGTAATCCCAGCTACTTGGAAGGTTGTGACTAAGAATCGCTTGAACCTGGGAGGAGGAGGTTGCAGTAAGCCAAGATCATGCCACTGCACTCTAACCTGGGTGACAGAGTGAGACTCTGTCTCAAAAAAATTAAAAAAAGAGAGAAGTTAGCATCATTCCATCATTCTTTGATGGTTTATCACTAGTGTAACAAAGACCAAAAGACCAGAAAGACAGAAAGTGAAAGGAGAGGGAGGGGGACCGCTGCAGGGATTTCTGAACTCCTGAGCTCTTTTCTGGCACTTCTATCCTCCCATTCCCAGAACTTAAGCTTCTTCGTTCCCTGGTCAGGAAGCATTTAAAACTGCTTTCAGTAAATTAACAACACTCAGGGTTAGTGAGGATATGAATAGACAGGCATTCTCATGTAGAGTTGCGCTAAATTTCCAGTGCAGGCTCTGTATCTCAAGTTTCTCCTAAGGCAAGCTGGTGCAACATGCTCACTATAGGGCCTTGCACAGGAAGGGTTGCAGTAAGATATGCTGGATGAAGGTAAAAGTGCAAATTACAGAAAAGCATATAAAGGAAGATCCTGGGCTGGGCACGGCAGCTCACATCTATAATTCCAGAGCTTTTGAGAGGCCGAAGTGGGATGATCCCTTGAGCCCAGGAATTTGAGACCAGCCCAGGCAACAAAGTAAGACCCTGTCTCTATAAAAAATTTAAAAATTAGCCAGGTGTGGTGGTGCATGCCTGTAGTCCCAGCTACTGAGAAGGCTAAGGTGGGAAGACTGCCTGAGCCCAGGAGGTCAAGGCTCCAGTGAGCCATGACTGCATAACTGTACTCTAGACTGGGTAACACAGTGAGACCCTGACTCCAAAAAAAGAAAAAAAAATGATCCTAATATAAACTGTATAAATTTCTATCTTTATGTGTATATACATAATGTGTATATACATAATGACAGATGTCTAGATTGAGCATCAACTAAATTTTAACTACTAGTACTGCTGATGATTTCATTTAAAAATTTTTTCTTCTCTTGATTAATTTTCTGTATTTGAATTTTTTCCCTTAAAAAGGGCATGTGTCATTTTAGATTACTAAAATAACTAAAATTAAAAGGTTTGTCTATCTGTTAAATACAGTTAAACCAAAAGCCTTAATTGAATTATTAAGTAAAATATACTTAAAATATAATAATATAAATACATTTTTTAAAACAAAGTTTCTCCAAATAAAGTAAAAACTTTATTTTATTTTTATTTTTTTGAGATGGAGTCTCACTCTGTCTCCCAGGCTGGTTGGTGTGCGGTAGTAAGATCTCCGCTCACTGCAACTTCCATATCCCAGGTTCAAGTGATTCTCCTGCCTCAGCCGCCCAGAGTAGCTGGGACTACAGGTGCGCACCACCACGCCCGGCTAATTTTTTTATGTTTTTAGTAGAGATGTGTTTTCACCATGTTGGCCAGGCTGGTCTCAAACTCCTGACCTCAAGTGATCCGCCCATCTTGGTCTCCCAAAGTGCTGGGATTACAGGTGTGAGCCACAGCGCCTGGCCGAAATAAAGTAAAAACTTTAATTCTTGGGCTAAATTTGAATATGGAAAAGTCCCCACGTTGGAGATATAGTACCAATTCTGTGGGCCTGCAGTTAAGATCAGAATTCAATCTAGCTTTCGAGAAAGAAAGGAAAAGCTTCTTTCATCCTTTACCAGTTTTCTAGCCGATCTAGGCAGATGTTGGGCGGGCCTCCAATGCAGGCAATCTGTTGCCGCCTCTTCCAGTCAGCCAGCTCCTCGTCCGTGAGAGTTTTCTGCACGTACTCCATCGCTGACAAAAGCCCCGCCAGCTCACTCACGATGCTCTGGTTGGAAACCAAAACAAAGTCAGAAAACATTTCCTCAGACTGTCTCTAACCACATTCTTTAGTCAACTCCAGAGCAGGAACTTCTTAGAAACCAAGCAAGTTCTGCCACAAGACGCTGAAATCCCGCAAGTGAGCGAGACACATGGGGGAAGTGGTCCGACCTATGCCCTTACTCTCCGCATCTGGTCCAGCGCAGTGAGCATCTGTTCCAGCTGCTGCATCTTCTGCCTGGTCACTGACTGGTTGTTTCCATTCAGATCTTGCATGTCTGCGAAGGAAGAAAAAACTCCTTGACCTGAGGGAATACTCCTTGACCTGAGGGAATACTCCTTGACCTGAGGGAATACTCCTGGACCTGAGGGAATACTCCTGGACCTGAGGGAATACTCCTGGACCTGAGGGAATACTCCTTGACCTGAGGGAATACTCCTGGACCTGAGGGAATACTCCTGGACCTGAGGGAATACTCCTGGACCTGAGGGAATACTCCTGGACCTGAGGGAATACTCCTGGACCTGAGGGAATACTCCTGGACCTGAGGGAATACTCCTGGACCTGAGGGAATACTCCTGGACCTGAGGGAATACTCCTTGACCTGAGGGAATACTCCTGGACCTGAGGGAATACTCCTGGACCTGAGGGAATACTCCTGGACCTGAGGGAATACTCCTTGACCTGAGGGAATACTCCTGGACCTGAGGGAATACTCCTGGACCTGAGGGAATACTCCTGGACCTGAGGGAATACTCCTGGACCTGAGGGAATACTCCTGGACCTGAGGGAATACTCCTTGACCTGAGGGAATACTCCTGGACCTGAGGGAATACTCCTGGACCTGAGGGAATACTCCTGGACCTGAGGGAATACTCCTGGACCTGAGGGAATACTCCTGGACCTGAGGGAATACTCCTTGACCTGAGGGAATACTCCTTGACCTGAGGGAATACTCCTGGACCTGAGGGAATACTCCTGGACCTGAGGGAATACTCCTGTCCTTAATGACCAGGCTCCTTTGAGGACCCGTACCTCCCTTGCGCCCCGCCCGCCTTAAGATCTAAACAGAGTTAAGACAAATGAGTCTTTCAACTCAACAACACAAACTCACTTTCTAGAGATTTTAACATCTCTAATATTCACTTGCCTCCTTGACTCTTGAGGGTTTTATAGTTGAAATCAAAGTCATCCTGGAGATTCTCTACCACTTTCATTTTCTGTTCTAGATCCTGTTTAAAATAAGCAAACAAAAAAACAGAAGTAAAGAAAGATTTCCTTGGGAACAGAAAATATAAAGTTTCTGAGGAGAATTCAAATGAAGCCAAAACCTCAAAAAAGATACATGCAGGACCTGCAGGCAGTATCCCCAAGAGAAGGCTCCCTGTTGGCCAGGTGCAGTGGCTCACGCCTGTAATGCCAGCACTTTGAGAGGCTGAGTTGGGAGGATCACTTGAGCCCAGGAGTTCATGATCAGCCTGGACAACACAGGGAGACCCCCATCTCTACAAATTTTTTTTTTTTAATTAGCTGGGCGTGGTGGTGCATGCCTGTGGTCCCGGCTACTTGGGAGGATGAGGTAGGAGGATCGCTTGGGCCTGAGAGGTCGAGGCTGCAGTGAGCTGTGATCATGCCACTGCAGCCCAGCCTGAGTGGCAGAGCAAGACCCTGTCTCAAAAAAAAAAAAAAAAATTAATGAAAGCTCCCTGCCCGAGGCTTGTAACTTGCATCACCTGCACTCTCTTCCGGACATCCTGAAGGTGCTGCTCCAGCATCTGCTGCTTCTCCGTCACCACGGCTGCTGTGGGGTGGTTGGCCTGGCCCCCTTGCTGCCAAAAAGGAGGTCAATGCACATGTGAACACAGAACTATGGGGAGAGGAATACCTCTACCCAGCTTCCATCCCACCCTAACTACCCTTCTTGTTTGGCTTGAGACGCTGCTGCCATCACAAGAGGAAGGGAAACAGAGGCAGTGGTGCTGTCACTACACAGGTGACACTACACAGGTCATACCATAAACCCCCTTTATGGCACTAAGAGACCACATGTTCAGCTAAGACATGGTCTATGCCTTCAAAAACCTCATGGGCAAGTATGTCAAAAAATTCAAAACAATTTATGACAGCAGATGTTGGATGTCTACTTAAACGTGGTGTCCAGTATATTTCTGAGGGATAATAAAAAAAAAGTCCTGCCCTAGGGATGAAATTCCATATTAAAAGATATTATCTTGGGGAGAAGGGGAGGCTGGTACCTTGGAAAATGTCAAATAGCACATGGAAAAAGAAAAAGAAGAAAGAAGGCTGGATGTAGCAGCTCACACCTATAATATCAGCACTTGGGAAGGCTGAAGTGGGAGGACTGCTTGAGGCCAGGAGTTCAAAACTAGCCTAGTCAACATAGTGAGGCCCCATCTCGAATGAATAAATGAATGAATGAATTAAAGAAATAACAAAAAATAAATAGCATATGAAACTTAAAAATTACAGGTTCGTGCCAGGTGCGGTGGCTGATGCCTGTAATCCCAGCACTTTGGGAGGCCAAGGTGGGCAGATTACCTGAGGTCAGGAGTTTGAGACCAGCCTGACCGACACGGAGAAACCCATCTCTACTAAAAATACAAAGTTAGCTGAGCTTGGTGGTGCATGCCTGTAATCCCAGCTACTCGGGAGGCTGAGGAAGGAGAATCGCCTGAACCCGGGAGGTGGAGGTTGTGGTGAGCCAAGACTGCGCCATGCACTCCAGCCTGAGCAACAAAAGTGAAACTCCATCTCAAAAAAAAAAAAAAAAAATTACAGGCTTGGGCTAGGCATGGTAGCTCCCACCTATAATCCTAGCACTTTGGGAAACCAAGGCAGGAGGATCACTTGAGGCTGGGAGTTTGAGACCGGCCCAGGGAACATAGAAAGAGACCTCATCTCAACCAAAAAAAAAAAAAAATTTTTTTTTAACTAGCTGGGCATGGTGGCATATACCTGTAGTTCTAGCTACTTGGGAGGCTGAGGTGGGAGGATCATTTAAGTCCAGAAGTTTGAGGCCACACTACAGCCAGTTTTATGGGCAACCATTCTCTTCCTTTCCCATGGTCCCTATCCAAGCCCACAGAATACAAACTTCTTAGAAGTTTTGGGAAGGTGACCCATGCCCCTACTTCTTCCCACAGTGACAGTGACTCATCTGATTGGTAAGATGGAGAGAAAGACTCTGTGTACACACAGATCTTCAAAGAACCCAGCACCTAAGCTGGTGCCTCCCTCCTCTCACTCTTGCCTTCCTAGGGCCCACCATAAGCAAGAGCAGCAGCCTGGTTTCTAGAAGCAGGTCTAGAGGCCTATCCCTCTGCCTTGTTGGTCTATGGCAGCTGAAGCTCCATATGGATGGCTGGGGTGGGGTGGGGGTGCTGCTCTGCACATCCAGTCTCTCTACCCCAAGATCTAACTCAGGGCACAGGCATTGGAAAGCCCCTATGGTTACCAGCTCAAGCCACACTTTCCATTCTAGTTTTACCAACAATACAGCTGATGTTTTAACCTTCATTCCTTTCTCATGTCTATTTCTCAAGCAGGACTACACTTAAAGGGAGAAAACATGATTAACGATCACCCACAGAAACCCACCTCTAATACCTTCGTAAAAAACTGTATTGGCTCCCCACTGCTTCCAGCTATAAACATCTCAGGCCAACACAGAAAGCTGTTTCACACAATTGATAACTTCAACTTTCCCTCCCTGTGCCTTGGTCACCCCAGACTCCCAACTCTTCCCTGCATGCAGTGTGTTTCCACACTCTCTTCCCACCCGCTATCCACTCAGCATGGCCTGGGCTTCAGCCCAAACACACCTGAACTCACTCACCTTCAAATTCAGTTCAAATGTTTCTTTTCCTGAGAAATCTTATTCAACTTCCTTAGACAAAATGACACACATCCTTTTCTGTGTTTTTCTCACTTTGAGTGTTTGTGTACTTATAATCCCAACTAGCCTGACAGCCCTTGGTAGCAGGGATTACATCCACTCTTCTATCTTTAACCAATTCTAGACACTTAAGAGCATGCCAGGTATTGTAAACAGAAAAAATAGCAGTGAGGCCTGGGTTGAGGCCACAAATAACCAACTTATAGCTTTATATCAGGGGTTGCAAACTTTTTCTCTAAGGGACAGAGGGTAAATATTTTTGGTTTCCTGGGTCATACAGTCCCTGCCACAAATAGCCCTGCCACTGCAGCACCAAAGCAGCCACAGATAATGCATAAATAAATGAGTGTGGCTGGGTTCCGAAAAAACCTCATTTACAAAAACAAGCAGCAGGCTGGATTTGGGCCACGCTCACAGTTTGCAGACCCCTAATCCGTACGATTGAAAACATCCTTGGGATAACTTTGGCTTTCCTACCTCCCATGGTAAGTTGGAGCCTCTATCCAAATTGACTTAAACCACTTATTTTTATCTTGTGGAGCAGGATAAAATACAAAGGTTTTCCACAGCAGAAAATCCTAGTGCTGCCTGAGCAAATGCCTGTGTGCTAACCTCTTGGGCTACAGGGCACTGCACAGTAAGTGTTACCTACCACCTCGCTCACACCTGAGCATATCAGTTTTCTGCTTAAAATTCCTCACTAGGGCCGGACACAGTGGCTTATGCCTGTAATCCCAGCACTTTGGGAGGCCGAGGTGGATGGATCACCTGAGGTCAGGAGTTTGAGACCAGCCTGGCCAATATGGTGAAACCCTATCTCACTAAAAATACAAAAAATTAGCCCAGTGTGGTGGCTCATGCCTGTAATCCCAGCTACTTGGGAAGCTGAGACATGAGAATCGCTTGAACCTGAGAGGCAGAGGTTGCAGTGGGCCGAAATCGCGTCACTGCACTCCGGCCTGGGTGACAGAGTGAGACTCTGTCTCAAAAGAAAAAAAAAAAATTCTTCACTGGGTCCCCATTTCCTACAGTAATGGTGAGGGTGATGATAGTGATGTCAGCAGCAGCAGAAAGCAGTTAAATTATTTTGCATTTATGTGTCAGATACTGTTCTAAGCATTTTACATGTATGAATTAATTCTATGAAGAAGGTATTGTTATCACTCCCATTGGAGGAACAGAGAGAGTAAAAATTGTTTACTTAAGGTTACAGAGCAAGTGGCAGGGCTGCGGGTTCAAACCGAAGCAGTTGGCCCCTTGTGGTAAACTGCTCTTCCAGGGCCCCACTGTTAGGCATGACTAATTAAAACATCATGTGGCCTTGACTAGCTTGTCTTCCCCGACCCAATCAGATGCTGAACTTTCTACACTTCTCCCAAGAATACACATTTCTGTTTCTGTCTTTGAACATGATCTTCTTTCTGCCTGGAGAGCTCTTTCTCATCAGTTGATGAGCCCAGGAGTTCAACACCAGCCTGGGAAACATGGCAAGAGCCCATCTCTACCAAAAAAAAAAAAAAAAAAAATTAGCTGGGCATGGTGGCATGTGCCTGTAGTCCCAGCTACTCATAAGGCTGAGGCAGGAGGATCGCTAGGGCCCAGGTGGTTGAGGCTGCAGTGAGCTGTGATCACACCACTGCACTCCAGCCTGGGTGACAGAGTGAGACTGTCTCAAAAAAAAAAAAAAAAAACAAAGGTTACAAAGGTAAATTTGAAATGTAATGTTATGTGTATTTCACCACAATTTTTTAAAAAGCAGGGGGTCACGGAGAAAAAGAAAAAATGTCCCTGATTATAGGATATTAAAGACGGTAAAACCCCTCACAGAAAGTAAAAAAGTCTCCTATGACCGACTACTTTAATGATTTAGTATATGTGTTTCCAGATATTTTCCCATACATACCAATAGTATATGCAAATTGCATACATTTAGTTTTACTACTATGAATCAGATCTTTCTTTTTTTTTTTTTTTTTTTTTCAGTCGGAGTCTCGCTCTGTCGCCCAGGAGTGCAGTGGCGCAATCTTGGTTCACTACAACCTCCGCCTCCCAGGTTCAAGCGATTCTCCTGCCCCAGCTTCCCGAGTAGCTGGGACTACAGGCGCGTACCACCACACCCAGCTAATTTTTGTATTTTTAGTAGAGATGGGGTTTCATCATGTTGGCCAGGATGGTCTCAATCTCTTGACCTCATGATCTGCCCACCTTGGCCTCCCAAAGTGCTTGGATTACAGGCGTGAGACATCGTGCCTGGCCCAGATCTTTACTTTCATTACATCTTCTAACAGGTTACTGCTGCTACTGATTAGGGGAACTGCAGATTCTAAAAATATTTATCTTGTATACAATGGCCTTTCTAAACCTTGCTAGTTCCAATTGTTATTGTTAGTTTTGTTTCTCTTGGATCTTCGAGGAAGACCTATCTATCTGTAAATAATAAGAGTTCTGTCCCTTGCTTTCCAATATTTGTACCCTCATTTCTTTTTCTTTTTGCATAGGCTGGATCCCTCAGAAAAGTATCAATGGTAAAAGACATCCTTATCTTTTGCTGTTTTTACTGAGAATAGTGTTTCACCACTGTGCATCATGCTCCCTTTGGTTTCTGATAAATATTCTTTCTTGTGTTTAGAAAGATCCTTAATTAAGCCAGGTGCGGTTGCTCACGCCTGTAATCCCAGCACTTTGGGAGGCCGAGGCGGGCGGATCACGAGGTCAAGAGATCGAGACCATCCTGGCTAACACAGTGAAACCCCATCTCTACTAAAAACACAAAAAATTAGCTGGGTGTGGTGGCGCGCGCCTGTAGTCCCAGCTACTTGGGAGGCTGAGGCAGGGGAATAGCTTGAACCTGGGAGGCAGAAGTTGCAGTGAGCTGAGATCACGCCACTGCACTCCAGCCTGGCAACAGAGCAAGACTCTGTCTCAAAAAAAAAAAAAAGGCTGGGCGTGGTGGCTCATGCCTATAATCCCAGCACTTTGGGAGGCTGTGGCCGGTGGATCATGAAGTCAGGAGATCAAGACCATCCTGCCTAACAAGGTGAAACCCCATCTCTACTAAAAAAAATACAAAAAATTAGCCAGGCTTGGTGGCACACACCTGTAGTCCCAGCTAGTCGGGAGGCTGAGGCAAGAGAATCGCTTGAACCTGGGAGGCGGAGGTTGCAGTGAGCTAAGATGGCACCACTGCACTCCAGCCTGGACGACAGAGAGAGACTCTGTCTCAAAAAAAAAAAAAAAGAGAGATGAGGTCTCGCTACATTGCCCCAGCTGGTCTCGAACTCCTGAGGCTCAGGCAATCTGCCCGTCTCAGCCTCCCAAAGTGCTGGGATTACAGGCGTGAGCTACTACACCTGGCTGTTTTTTAGGTTTTGATATGAGGATTTTTCCAGCCTCATAAAATAAGCTGAAAACATCCCTTGTTTTCCTATACTTTGGAAAAGTTTGAATGATATTGGAATAATCTGTACTATGAAAGTTTGTCAGAACAGGCCGGGCACAGTGGCTCACGCCTGTAATCCCAGCACTGTGGGAGGCTGAGGCGGGCGGATCACCTGAGGTCAGGAGTTCGAGACCAGCCTGACCAACATGAAGAAACCCCGTCTCTACTAAAAATACAAAATTAGCTGGGTGTGGTGGCACACGCCTATAATCCCAGCTACTCTTGAGGCTGAGGCAGGAGAATCACTTGAACCCTGGAGGTGGAGGTTGCAGTGAGCCAAGATCGCGCCATTGCACTCTAGCCTGGGTAACAAGAGCAAAACTCTGTCTCAGAAAAAAAAAAAAAGAAAAACAAAGAAAATTTGTCAGAACAAAACAAAACTTTTAAACCATTGGGTCTGTTGGATTCTTTTGGTGGAACTTTCTTTTTTTTAGAGTTTTTCAATGTATTTTGGGGGGTGGAACTTTCTTTTTTTTTAGAGTTTTTCAATGTATTTTTATGATTATTGATCTATTTAATTTCTTTTCCTTCTTTTTTAGTAGATCTAATAATTTATCTCATTATAAAGTTGTTTGATTTTCCATTCCTCCCAGACCAGGGATTTGTTTTGTCTCAGGTCTCACCTGGGCCGCAGTGGCTGCAGTCTGTAGAAGGCGTGATTCTTCCCACAGGCACCGGGCCACAATCCGGGCAATCTCCATTGGCTTCTCAAGATACCTGCTCTATAAGTAGGAGAGAAAGAGAATAAAAATCAGCAGCAGACCATGGAGATGTGGACTGAACTGTGGCACCTTAAAACTAATGTATTCATCAAGGAAAGCATTTATTCTAGGAAACAACGGAACAAAGGCTTCAGAGCCTGGGTGAAGGCTCTCTGTCGGCGGGGGGCGAAGGGGAGGTCGTTACTATTTCTGTAACAGAAGGCACATTAGCCTGAGTCTTTTTTTTTTTTTTTTGAGACTGGCTCTCACTCTGTCCGCCAGGCTGGAGTGCAGTGGCGCAATCACGGCTTATTGCAGCTTCGACCTCCCAGGCTCAAACAATTTTCTCACCTCAGCCTTCTGAGTAGCTGGGACTACAGGTGCATGCCACCACAATCAGCTAGTTTTTAAAAAAAATTTCTGTAGAGATGGTGTCTTGTTATGTTGCCCAAGCTGGTCTCAAAACTCCCAGGCTCAAGCAATCCTCCCACCTCAACCTCCTAAGGTGTTGGGATTACAGGCGTGAGCCACCATGCCTGGCCTTGTCTGAGTCTTTACACAGTATACTATCCTGGTCTTGCAGGGAAGCTACTGACTTAGTCAAGAAGTATCCCATTATGGTCAAACATTTAACATGTAACAGTGAGAGTCATCTTCCTATCAGTGGACCGCGTTAACATGCTAACATGTATGATTAACATAACAATCACTTTATTACTTCAACTGTGACAAGAGAAGTGATTCTCAGGTAATGATGCTCACGGGTAAGTATACAGAGCTTTGAGAAAGGGCTAATTACTTCTCCTGTGATTGAAAATACAAGATAGATTCTCGTTACTTAGCCAAATGAGAAAAGAGATGCTTCCAGGAAAGAACACTAACACCCGACTCTGCGGGTCCTGTTTCTCCTTGTCCTCAGTTTCTCATCATACCTGAAGAAACTGCTTGATTCTTCGTAGATTGTGCTGATAGAGAACATTCGACTCTTGCAGGAAGCGGCTATACTGCTGGTCAATCTCTCCCAGGAGATTATGAAACACCAAAGTGGCATGTGATTCTTTGCTGGCCGCATATGCCCTAGGAAAAGGAAGAATGATAAAGAATGGCTCTGAAGCCGACGCATACACACAAACACAGAAATCACCATCAAGAAAGAGGAAAAAAACAAAAAAACAAAGCAAACCTGATGCTATAACCCATTCATCATGTTAGATTCTTCTTGCTCAGCAATAAAATGCCATCAATGTAATAATTATTAACAATTATTCCAGGCCAGGCATGGTGGCTCATGCCTGTAATCCCAGCACTTTGGGAGGCTGAGGCAGGCGGATCACCTGAGGTCAGGAGTTCCAGACCAACCTGGCCAACATGGTGAAACGCTGTCTCTACTAAAAATAAAAAATTAGCCAGGTGTGGTGGTGGGCACCTGTAATCCCAGCTACTCGGGAGGCTGAGGCGGGAGAATCGCTTGAATCCAAGAGGCAGAGGTGCAGTGAGCCGAGACTGTACCACTGCACTCCAGCCTGGGCTACAGCCAGACTCCATCTCAAAAAAAAAAAAAAAAAAACCACAAAACAAAAAAACAATTATTCCAGATATTATTACCCACTCTCATAATCTGTTGTATTTGTAAAATATTTGAGCAAAGTAGACAGATATGCTGTTTTGCTTTAAACCCTCAATTAACTCTGGTCAGATTTATTAGTACAAATAAGTAATCCCAGGCTGGGATGGCCTATCTCCAACATCTGTGAATCACCTCCTGGCCCTTCACCAAATCAGAGTATGCATTCTGGAAAAACCAGGTCATATTAACACTGGCCTGAATTAAACCAAAATCAGTAGTGAGCCTGAGCATATTAAAGTGAAGAAAATAGTTGCTGGACATCTGTGCCATTATCTGCTCTATGAATGGAATCTACTTCCCTTATCCTGTGATCTAGTTTGGATCTACATCCCTGCCCAAATCTCATACTGAAATGTAACCCCCACTGTTTGAGGTGGGGCCTGGTGGAAGGTGACTGGATCATGGGGGTGGGTTTCTCATGAATGGTTTAATACCATCCCTGTTGATACTGTCCTCGAGACAGTGAGTTCTTGTGAGATCTGATAGTTTAAAAGTGTGTGGCACCTCCCCCTTGCTCTCTTGCTCTTGCTGTGGCCATGTGACCTGCCTGCTCCCTCTCTGCCTTCCGCCATGATTGGAAGCTTGCTGAGGCCTCCCCAGCAGCAGATGCTGCTATGCTTCCTATATAGCCTGCAGAACTATGAGCCGATTAAACCTCTTTTCTTATAAATTACCCAGTCTCAGGTATTTCTTTATAGCAAATTGAGAACAGACTAATACACCCCTGTGGCTCCTTCCTTTAACTAAAGGGGAATTACAAGTATCAACCCAAAGTTCTAGCTATGACAGAATTCACATTCAGAGAAAAAATATGTCTACCACATCACTGGATTATCAGAATATATAGAGGATCTGCCCAAGTAAATGAGGTCCAAATCAACCTTCAAGACATCCACCACCATACAGGCGGTTTCAATGTGTCAAAGACAGTTGCCCACATGCCCTTCTAAGATAAAAAAGGCTTTACAAGACCAAAGGGTGCCCCTTTATCTCCTGATCTCATTTTCCCCATCACCTGTACCCATACATTTTTTAATGGAACAGCAAGGCATGACATTAAGAGTTCATGTCTCTTGACTCAAACTGAAACCTAACAATTTGGAGAGTCACTTAAGAAGGACTTACCAATCTTGACTCTCAATCCAAGGGGCCAGAAACTGCCGCAGCTCCATTGGGAAGCTGTCACTGTAGAGCTGATGGAGCTGCTCCAGGTACCGTGTGTCAAGCTGCTGTAGCTGATTCCATTGGGCCATCCTGCTAAAATCAGGGGTCCCAACTGTAAACCAAAGTGTGCATATGTTCACCACAAGTCCCAGTAGGGGTAAACAATCTAGAAGTAGCCATTGCCCAACACAGGTGTCAGGTCTGTGACTAGGGATAAAGATGCTCTGGGGAGGACCCTGCTTCTTTCTCCCAGTTTATTTTATTTTTAAAAAATAGAGATGGGGTCTCTATTTTTTGCCTGTTGCCCAGGGTGGCCTTGAACTCCTGGACTCAAGTGATCCTCCCACCTTGGCCTCCCAAAGTGCTGAGATTACAGGCATAAGCCAACACACCCAGCCTGTTTCTCCCAGTTTAGAACAATACAAACACATTCACAATCCCCACCTTGGGATAATCACAGCTCCTTTTTATTATTTTTTGAAGACAGAGTCTTGCTCTGTGGCCCAGGCTAGAGTGCAATGGCATGATCATGGGCTCAAGAGATCCTCCCACCTCAGCCTCCCGAGGAGCTGGGACTATAGGCACACAACACCATGCCACACTCATTTTTTAAAAAATGTTTCGTGAGACAAACAAAACATGCCCAGGCTGGTCTTGAACTCCTGGGCTCAAGTCATCCTCCTGCCTCGGCTTCCCAAAGTGCTGGGATTACATATGTGAGCCACCCCATCTGGCCACACATCTCTTTTACACTGGGATGACAAGTGGCTATTATGCCAGGTTCTAGAATCCATTATCTACCAGAAGTGTGTGAAATTAAAAAATTACTTAACTCCCAGATTTCTATTCCCTTGTCTATAAAATAGAGATAATAATTCCCACTCCTCAGAGGTATTGAGATATTCCTACAGCATCCAGCTCAGTGCATGGCACATAACAGATGCCCAACAAATGTCGGTTCCTTTCTTTCTCCTCCACAGCCCTTTTAGTTATACACAGTAAACCTGTACTGTAGCCAAAATGTAGAAATTGGATGTTTGGGGTTGGGGGACAGAGCACTAATTCCAAGACTACAGGTTTAAAAGTATAAATGAGGATCCAGGAAGATCTGCCTGAGATTCTCCTACTCAACAAATAATAACTATTTTAAAAATTGCTTAGTCTGGGACAACAGAGAAGGAAAGAAAAATGCCAGGCATAAAAGTTGTCCCAGGTTCAGGAACATCCCAGTGAAATGCTCTGGTATGAGAAACCCAGCCAGCTAATTACCTGTAATCCTCTTTCTGAATAGCATGGGTCATGGAAATATCAATAGAGGCCAAGTTGTTTTAACAAGTTCTAAAATTAGGCCAGGCGCAGTGGCTTACGCCTGTAATCCCAGCACTTTGGGAGGCCAAGGCGGGCAGATCACCTGAGGTCGGGAGTTTGAGACCAGCCTGACCAACTTGGAGAAACCCTGTCTCTACTAAAAACACAAAATTAGCCAGGCGTGGTGGCACATGCCTGTAATTACAGCTACTCAAGAGGTTGAGGCAGGAGAATTGCTTGAACCTGGAAGGCAGAGGTTGAGGTGAGCTGAGATCGTGCCACTGCATTCCAGTCTGGCAACTAGAGCAAAACTCTGTCTCCAAAAAAAAAAAAAGAGAAGTTCTAAAAATAATTACAAGTCAGAGCCAAAGATGAAGGTATGTACAGACCAAGGTCCAATGAGATGGTTCTCTGGGATAGTGAGAACATTTAATGAGAGACTGAACACACGCAAACATACTAGAGTTCTTGATTCTCAGAGAAGGCACGAAGAAGCACCTAGTTAGCACTGGCTTTTTCATAAAAATGACTGAGCAAACTGGCAACAAAACCAGCAGGTCTTCTGTTCTCAAGGCAGCAAATGTAACGGAATGAAAGGTGCGATCGTGGAACCTCTAACTCCTGCAACCTCTAACTCCTGGGCTCAGGCAATCCTCCTACCTCAGCCTCCCAAGCAGCTGGGAGTACAGGCAGCATTGCTGCACCTGGCTAATTTTTTTAAAAAAATTTTTGTAGAGATAGGGTCTTCACTGTGTTGCCCAGGCTGGTCTCGAACTCCTGGGCTTAAGCAATCCTCCTGCCTCAACCTCCCAAAGTGCTGGGATTACAGGCGTAAGCTACCACGCCTGGCCTGGGATCAGGTTTTCTGACAGAACCTGAGAGGGCTGCACTTCTCCCTCCCTCTTTGGGGGACAGACTCAGAATACCCCTCTTGCTACTGTGAAGACGGCTGGTGGAGCTCTCAAGCATATATTCAGGGAAGTGCAGGTAGTACCTCCCAGCAGTCTTTACATTGAATAATTAATAATCTAAGGCAGCAGCATCCAACAGAAATAGAATACAGGCCACACATGCATTTTAAATTTTCTGGTAGCCATACTTAAAAAGTTAAAAGAGGCTGGGTGCAGTGGCTCACGCCTGTAATCCCAGAACTTTGGGAGGCCAAGGCAGGCGGATCATGAGGTCAGGAGATCGAGACCATCCTGGCCAATATGGTGAAACCCCGTCTCTACTAAAAATACAAAAATTAGCTGGGTGTGGTGGCACATGCCTTTAATCCCAGCTACTAGGGAGGCTGAGGCAGAAGAATCGCTTGAACCCAGGAGGAGGAGGTTGCAGTGAGCCGAGATCGTGCCACTGCACTCCAGCCTGATGACATAGCGAGACTCCATCTCAAAAAAAAAAAAAAAAAAGAAAAGAAAAGAAACAGGTGAAATTAATTTTAATGTATTTTATTTCATTTAATATATCCAAAATGTTATTGCAACATATGAACATACAAAACATATTATTATTTATTTATTTATTTTTTGGAGACAGGCACTCTGTCACCCAGGCTGGAGTGCAGTGGTTCAATCACAGCTCACTGTAGCCTCAACTTCCCAGCTCAAACGATCCTCCCACCTCAGCCTCTCAAGTAACTGGGACTACAGATGCGCACCACATCTGGCTGATTATTTTTGTAGAGACGGGGTCCTACTGTGTTGCCCAGGCTGGTCTCAAACTCCTAGACTCATGCATCTCAGCCTCCCAATGTGCCAAGAGTATAGGCTTGAGCCACCGTGTCCAGCCCACAAAAACTATTAATGAGATACTTTACACTCTTTTTTTTGCTACGAAGTTTTCTAAATCTCCTGTGTACTTTACATGTGCAGCACAGCTCCAAGGTATTTTCCCTCCTCATGTATCAAGGGCTTAAATTCCACTGGTGAAAAAGCTCAGTAAAGCAAATAGAGAGAATGTCAGAATAAGGTATTTGCCCCAATTAGGCCAATACGCTTCTATAAATTAACTAAATATTCCAACAATGTTATTTTGTTGTTATTGTTTTTGAGATGGAATCGCCTAGGCTGGAGTGCAGTGGTGCAATCTCACCTCACTGCAACTTCAGTCTCCCGGGTTCAAGCGATTTTCCTGCCTCAGCCTCCCAAGTAGCTGGGATTATAGGCACGCACCACCATGCCCAGCTAATTTTTTTTTTTGTATTTTTTAGTAGACAGGGTTTTACCATGTTGCCTAGGCTGGTCTTGAACTCTTATCAGTTCAAGACCAGTCTGGCCAACACAGTGAGATCCTGCTTATAATTAATTAATTTAAAAATGTAGGCTGGGCACGGTGGCTCACACCTGTAATCCCAGAACTTTGGGAGGCCGAGGCGGGTGGATCACGAGGTCAGGAGTTCGAGACCAGCCTGGCCAACATAGTGAAACCCCGTCTCTACTAAAAATACAAAAATTAGCCGAGCATGGTGGTGGCCGTCTGTAATCCCAGCTACTCAGGAGGCTGAGGCAGGAGAATCACTTGAACCCGGGAGGTGGAGGTTGTAGTGAGCCGAGATCGCACCACTGCACTCCAGCCTGGGCAATACAGCAAGACTCCCTCTCAAAAAAAAGCAATGTTACTTGCCACCTTCCACCCTAAGATTCACCTGCCACAGGACAAATGCTGCCTGGGCAGTGGTACAGGTACACTAAGCACTAGCCAGAGTAAAAGCAGTGGCTGACGTGCATACTATATGCTGAAGCATTGTAACCATGGCATGTATTGATTGCCCTCTGTAAGAAATCAAAGGCCATTAGATCTCTCTTACAATATTTGCATTAGGGCCAAGTTAAAATCTGCCTCACATGGAGGTTGCAGTGAGCCAAGATTGTGCATCTACACTCCAGCCTGGGTGACCAAGTGAGACTCTGTCTCAAAAAAAAAAAAAAAAAAATCTGCCTCATAGACTAAAAGCATCATGACCTGACTTATGCTATGCAAGAACTGATGTGCATACAAAGAAATCTGCATAATATGCCAATTTATGTAGATTCTATTGCATACAAATTTACTGAAACTCTAAACCTACACAGTCCAGTATGGAGTCACTAGCCACATGTGGCTACTGAGCACTTGAAATGTGGCTGCTTCAAACTGAACTATGCTGTCAATATAAAATACACACTGGATTTTGAGGACTTAGTGAAAAACAAAAGAATGTAAAGTATCTTGTTCATGTTGAAATGATAATATTTTAGATATATTGGGTTAAATAAAATATATTATTAAAATTAACTTCACCCATTTCTTTTTACTTCTTTTAATATGGCTACTAGAAAACTTAACATTGGTAGGGCATGGTGGCTCATGCCTGTAATCCCAGCACTTAGGGAGGCCAAAGCATGTGGATCACCCGAGGTCAGGAGTTTGAGACCAGACTGGCCAACATGGCAAAGCTCCATCTCTACTAAAAATACAAAAATTAGCTGGGTATGGTGGCACATGCCTGTAGTCCCAGCTACTCGGGAGGCTGAGGCAGGAGAATTGCTTGAACCCGGGAGGCGGAGGTTGCAGTGGGCCGAGATCGTGCCACTGCACTCCAGCCTGGGCAACAGAGTGAGACTGCATATCAAAAAAAAAAAAAAGAAAGAAAGAAAGAAAGAAGAGAAAAGAAAAGAAAAGAAAAAGAAACTAAAAGAAAACTTAACATTACATATGTGACTTGGATCTTATTTTTATTGAACACTGCTACTCTAGACAATGTAGCCAAAAAGCGGTGGTTCTCCTAAAAAAAAATGATTTAAAAAAAGAACCAACTGCTTTTTGTAATAAACTCCAGTGTTTAAAATTAATTTTAAAAACAGACTTTATTTTTTGAGACAGGGTCTCTCTCTGTCACCCAGGCTGGAGTGCAGTGGCAAATATAGATCACTGTAACCTCCAACTCCTGGGCTCAAGCAATCCTCCTAACTCAGGGACCTGAGTAGCTGGGACTAGGGGCACAAGCCACAATGTTCAGCTAATTTTTTGTAGTTTTTGTAGAGACAAGGTCTCATTTTGTTGCCCAGACTGATCTTGAACTCCTGGCCTCAAGCGATCCTCCCACCTCAGCCTCCCAAAGTGCTGGGACTGCAGGCATGAGGCATCATGCCCAGCCAAAAATAGACTATTTAATTATTTGTCTTGGATACAAATGCAGAGGCATCACAGTCTACTCCCTGAAGGTCCAAATTAAATCATGAAACAGCATCCCACTATACCTGCTCCATCATAGATTAACACTGGGGTCATGCATGAATATTTGCATTTTCAAACTAACATATCCTAAAAACGTGTAAGTTATTGAAAATTATCTAATTCATTTCCAGTACATAACTAAGGATTTTTTGGTTGTTGCTGTTCTTATTTTTAGCTGGGGACAGAGGAGGGCTAGTAAGTAGTACAATAATTGTGTTCTTTTTTTTTTTTTTTTTTTTGAGATGAAATACTGTCACCCGGGCTGGTGTGCAGTGGGGCGATCTTGGCTCACTGCAGCCTCCACCTCCCAGGTTCAAGCGATTCTCCTGCCTCAGCCTCCCGAGTAGCTGGGACTACAGGCATGCCCCACCACGCCCGGCTAATTTTTGTATTTTTAGTAGAGACGGGGTTTCACTATGTTGGCCAGGCTGGTCTCAAACTCCTGACCTCGTGATCCGCCCGCCTCGGCCTCCCAAACTGCTGGGAGTACAAGCGCAAGTCATGGCACCCGGCCTGTGTTATTTCTTAAAACAGAAACCAGCTAGTAGTTTTTTCCATAAAATTAAAGCACCAGGCTGGGCACAGTGGCTAACACCTATAATCCCAGCACTTTGGGAGGCTGAGGTGGGCGGATCACAAGGTCAGGAGTTTGAGACCAGCCTAGCCAATATAGTGAAACCCTGTCTCTACTAAAAATTCAAAAATTAGCCAGGCGTGGTGGTGGGCGCCTGTAGTCTCAGCTACTTGGGAGGCTGAGGCAGGAGAATCGCTTGAACCTGGGAGGCAGAGGTTGCAGTGAGCCAAGATCGTGCCATTGCACTCCAGCCTGGGCAACAGAGTGAGACTCTGTCTCAAAAAAAAAAAAAAGAAGGCACCAGGGCACCAACAATGACTGATTTCATGTTTTACTTCTTAGTCTAATCACCATAGGTAATACTTTAATAGTTATTCTACAGGGGAAAATAAAAGTATAACTTAAAGCCAAAGACCAGGTAGTATTTTCAAGGAGAGAATATGCAAATACTTCCATAGTCTTCTCCTTACAGGCTGCTTAGCTACAAACCATATTTAATTAACAGCAGTCACAGGAGATGACTAGCCAAAGTGTCTAGGAAAATCACTGCCAAGCAGCTTTACTGTAACTGTTTTACTGGAAAAGACCTCAAAGAGCCCATGTTATTTCACAATTTCAATTTTGGTTTTTCAAATTACAAGTTAATCTAAAGAACTCCACTAAGTTCTAACTACATTACTTCATATCTACGGAATAATTCTAAGCCTGTGGGTTTTTAAAAAAATTTTATTAGACATTCTAGAATTGGGCAACACTTCATTCAATGCCATAGGATGAATGTTCTCCCCAAGCCTGTGACTTAATAACTACTTCATTGAGCCCCAGAACACACAAAGTTATCTGAGGAACAACTTGAGTGCCAACTACCACTCTGGGTGCATAAGAGAGAAGACAATTCATTACTCCATATAGGCTGCCTTAGGACATTATATGGGGCTCAATTCAAAGCATTTACTCAGGTTAAGTCAGCAGATAGTAGATGCACTGTACAAAGGCAAGGTGGGTGTAATCCTGTTTTCTATAACTGAAGAGAAAAGAAAAAAATGAAACAGCAAGTCATCAAAGACTTTTTGGACTTTTCAAAACAGGAATTTCTCAGTCCCTTGGGGATAACCTACCAACAGCAAGTCATAAAACAAATAACTATTGTCTAATTGGGAACTTATTACCGTAAAGATGACTGAAAAAGTCTGTCCAAAGTTACAGTTCTCATTTATATACTTGAATCTAATGAAACCAAAAGATATATTGAGAAACGCAGTCAAGACCACTTACAAAAGGGATTTACTACACAGCTTCATAAAACTTTTTAAAGTTAAGACTTGTACTTCACATCCATGCACTAGTGGATTTACAACGAGGGTGAGGGAAGGCGGAAAGAGAGACGAAAATCAGGCTCATACAATAATCCAGAACAGAAAGTGATCTAAAGATAACTTCTGTTCCACTTTGCAATGTGTCATGACATTTTCCTTTGGGTACCACCTATACTTTTATTATAAATACATGCATTTTAAATAGAGCATACCTGTGTTTTATCTGCTGCCTACACTAACCTCTTCTTTGCTGTCAGGAAAGGCCCAGTGATCAAGGCAACCAAAGTATAAAGAAACACAGAAGATTTCTTGCACTGAATTCTATAGGAACCAGTCCTTTTAAGAGATATGTTTGAAAGATTATAAAATAATGTTCAATGTGGAAAATTTAGAAAAATATAAAAAAGAAAATAAAAGATAAAAACATCCATATCCCACCATCCCACTATGCAGAACAAAAACTGACATGTTGCCAGGTGTGGTGGTCTGTGACCCCAGCACTTTGGGAGGCTGAGGGGGGAGGATCACTTGAGGCCAGGAAGTCAAGGCTGCAGTGAGCTGTGATTGCACCACTGTACTCCAGCTTGGGTGACACAGCGAGACCCTGTCTCCGAAAAAATAAAAATTGACATGTTGATGTAATTCCTTTAAATCTATTTCAGAATGTGTTTGTGTGTGTGTATATATATATATATATTTTTTTTTTTTTACATTGGAGTCATAGCATTAATACAGCTGCATATTCTTTTAAAGTTTATTGTGTAGTAAACATTTTTCTATGAAAAGAGTATTGTGTTTGTTTGTTTGTTTGTTCAAATAGAGACCAGCTGCCCAAGCTGGTCTCAAACTCCTGGTCTCAAGCGACCCTCCTGTTTTGGCCTCCCAAAGTGCTGGGATTACAGGCGTGAGCCACAGTACCTGGCCTGAAAAGAGATGTTTTGTTATTGTTGTTGTTGTTGTTTGAGACAGAATCTCACTCTGTTGCCCAGGCTAGAGTGCAGTGGCACCATCTCAGCTCACTGCAACCTCCATCTCCTGAGTTCAAGTGATTCTCATGCCTCAGCCTCTGGAGTAGCTGGGATTACAGGCATGCGCCATCATACCCGGCTAATTTTTGTATTTTTAGTAGAGACGGCGCTTCACCATGTTGGCCAGGCTTGTCTTAAACTCCTGACCTGAGGTGATCTGCCTGCCTCAGCCTCCCAGGGTGCTGGGATTACAGGTGTGAGCCACTGCGCCTGGCCTGAAAAGAAATTTTTATTTAAAGCGCATAAAAGAACTATTTTGTTTCTATTGGTGTTTTCAATACAACCCTGCTAATCCCACTGAGGGCCACATAATTTATTAAGATTTGGAAACCCCAATTTATTTGTTCTCACCATACCACGTTCTAAAAATAATCTGAAGTATCTGCAAGTAGATTAGGAAGGAAAAAAATGAGAAAAGTAAGAGAAAGCAATTCACGCTAGAGAAAAACATTCAATCTTCATAAAATTTTCACCACAGGATAAACAGCATAATGGATGACAGAGAGTCCACATTAAAATACTGTAGGCCAGGTGTGGTGGCTCATGCTTGTAATCCTTGGGAGGCTGAGGAGGGTAGGTCACCTGAGGTCAGGAGTTCGAGACCAGCCAGGCTAACATGGCAAAAGCCTGTCTCTACTAAAAATACAAAAATTAGCCAGGCATGGTGAAATACACCTGTAATCCCAGCCACTTGGGAGGCTGAGGCAGGAGAATCACTTGAACCCGCGAGGCAGAGGTTGCAGTGAACCAAGATGGTGCCACTACACTCCAGCCTGGGCGACAAGAGCGAAACTCCATCTCAAAAAATAAATTAAATAAATAAATAAATAAATACTGTAGCTTTAAACTATTAGAGTCATTCATAATTTAACCATTCATAATTACTCTAGACATTAAGAATGGAATTTCAAGTTTAAAACATAACTCAAAATAAGTACACTTATATAGTAAGCACACAATTTCATAGTTTTAAGTCCAAATAGTACCTTTGTAAGATTTAAGACTAGATACTTGCAATAAGAAGTCTATATATAAATCTAGTTTTGATTTCCTAAAGAGACAAAATATTAACACTTGAGTGCCCAATCTGAAACAAATTACTATAATTACTGTAATGTTCAATTACATATAACAGGATTTGCTTTAAAATTAAAAACCAATGACGATCAAGCTTGTAAAAATGAACATCAATCTATAAGAAAACTTGAGTTATAGTTCCCTACTAATATGACAAAATTTGAATATATGAAAGAAGTAAAGGCCAGGCATGGTGGCTCATGCCTATAATTCTAGCACTTTGAGAGGCCAAGGTGGAAGAGGGATTGCTTGAGCTCAGGAGTTCAAGACCAGCCTGGGCAACACCGTGAGACCTTGCCTCTACAAAAAAATTTTTTTAAAATTAGCCTAGCATGGTGGCCCATGCTTGTAGTCCCATGGAGGCTGAGGCAGGAGGATCACTTGAGCAGATTGAGACTGCAGTGAGCTGTGATCATACCACTGCGCTCCAGCCTGGGTGACAGAGCTAGACCCCATCTCTAAAGAAGGAGCAAGAGCTTAACAAACCTAATTCCCTCTAAATTAAAAGTAACAAACATGATTTGTCAATTACTGAGTGCACAGTTGATTGTTAAAGCTGCCTAAGAACAGGTCTGAGCTCTACAAAAACTAAAACTAAAACAAGAAAACCCACAAAACAGACCAAATTTGTGCATCAGATGACCTCCCCACTTGGGAACACTTCCACTTCCCCAACCAGACACATTCCTCTGTATCAGTGTGGTGTGGGGGAAAGGACAGTAGAGACGGGAGCTGGATGGGCCTGGGTGCAAAACCCTGCCTGACATTTATTAGCTATTTGTCTTTGGGAATGGTATTTCACTACCAAATGGGCTTTCTCTTCAGTAAAACAGGGAACTCTCTCTCCTTTGAAGAACTGTTGTAAAGTTAAAATCAATAATGGTTGTACAGCATCCCTCTGTGCTGGTGCTGCTGGTGCCAGATCCTCAGAGCTGCAGTTATTGTTCCTTTCCCCCAGGGTCTCCCTTTCATGGACATTTCTTACTTTTTTTTTTTTTTTTTTTGAGATGTAGTCTCACTCTGTTGCCCAGGCTGGAATGCGGTGGGCACAATCTCAGCTCACTGCAAGCTCTGCCTCCTGGGTTCACACCATTCTCTTGCCTCAGCCTCCCGAGTAGCTGGGACTCCAGGCGCCCGCCACCACACCCGGCTAATTTTTTGTATTTTTAGTAAAGAGGGGGTTTCATCGTGTTAGCCAGGATGATCTCAATCACCTGACCTCGTGATCTGCCCACCTCGGCCTCCCAAAGTGCTGGGATTACAGGCGTAAAGCCACCGCACCCAGCCAGATATTTCTTATCTTAAACCCATTTCCTTAGTGTCCTGGAAAGCAGGTTAATCCATCAGATTCACTAGGGGTTAAGTGTGATAATCACTAATCAGCTTTCCCTGCTAAGTAAAATACATGCATTTCAATGCACACTCTTATCATATCGGGAGGGAAGGAGTCAGTGATGCTGTGATTTGGCATGTTAATTTAAGGAGAGAAGGGAGGTCAGGAGAGCTGGGTGGTGACCTGATCAAATATCTCCATACGTATTTCACCTAGGATGGCTCTAGGTCCTAAAAAGAGTAAAAGGTGAAAACACTAAGTGATATTCAAAACAAAAGAAAAAGATGAAAAATAAGAACCTTGGTTAAAGAGCAGTCGAAATAAGTAATGATTATAGCTATGATTTATATAGCACTTTTTACAAGAAGCCAGGCGCTGTTTTAAACACTTGACATACTTATTTGCTCATTTCATAATTGTAACAACCCTATCAGATAGGTACTATTTTTATCCCACTTTACAGAGGAGAAACTGAGGCACAGAATTTTAAGTGATTTGGCCGGGTGCGGTGGCTCACGCCTGTAATCCCAACACTTTGAGAGGCTGAGGCGGGTGGATCACGAGGACAGGAGATCGAGACCATCCTGGCTAACACGGTGAAACCCCGTCTCTACTAAAAATACAAAAAATTAGCCAGGTGTAGTGGCGGGCACCTGCAGTCCCAGCTACTTGGGAGGCTGAGGCAGGAGAATGGTGTGAACCTGGGAGGCAGAGCTTGCAGTGAGCCGAGATCGCGCCACTGCACTCCAGCCTGGGCGGCAGAGCAAGACTCCGTCTCAAAAAAAAAAAAAAAAAAAAAAGATTTTTAAGTGATTTATCCAAAGTCACAACACAGGTAGTAAAGGCATGGAGCTGGAATCATAACGCACAGTCTGTTTTCGGAATGTCTGTTCTTCACCACTATAGGAGTCTTGTTTTTTCTTTTTTTTAAATTAGAGATGGCGTCTGGCCATCTTGCCCAGGCTGGTCTCGAACTCCTAGGCTCAAGCGATCCTCCAGCCTCAGCCTCCAAAAGTGCTGGGATTACAGATGTGACCCACCGTACCCAGCTACTACAGGAGTATTAGAAAGTGGGAATTTTGGCCAGGCTCAGTGGCTCACGCCTGTAATCCCAGCACTTTGGGAGGCTGAGGCAGGTGGATCACCTGAGGTCGGGAGTTCGAGACCAGCCTGACCAACATGGAAAAACCTCATCTCTACTAAAAATACAGAATTAGCTGGCCATGGTGGCACATGCCTGTAATCCCAGCTACTCAGGAGGCTAAGGCAGGGGAATTGCTTGAACCTGGGAGGCAGAGGTGGCAGTGAGCCAAGATTGTGTCATTGCATTCCAGCCTAGGCAACAAGAGCAAAACTCCATCTCAAAAAAAAAAAAAGAATTTTAGTTGATTTTTAAGTAACCCACAAACCAACCATTGTAACTAGCCAATGTGATCTTATGGTATTTTAATAGACATACTAGTACTTGGATTTTGAAGGATCTAGTAGTCTAGCTGTAACAGACCCACATCTGGATGCTATTCTAATTCTGTGTATCAAAATTGAAATGGAACACTAAAACAACCAAACACATCCAGGGAGGGACAACCAGGGTGTGAGGAGTTGAAGACCTTGAATATTTTGCTCAGCAAGAAGATGCAGGCAACAGGAGTGAGGTTAGGAGAGAAAAACATGAATTACAGAAGAGTGGCCCCTCAAATACCTGGAAATCTGTACGAGAAAGGATAAATCACTCTAGGACTAGAACCTGTCTCCTCACAACATCTTCTCCCAAATTCTTCCCCATGAAGTAATACAGAGGTCTCCACCCTGGCTGACACTAAAAAATATATACAGCAAGAAAGATGCCTGGGAACCAAACCAGTGCCAAATTGGAACCTCTGACAGTGGGACCAGGTTTCAAATTTCGAAAGCTACGGCTGGGCACGGTGGCTCACACCTGTAATCCCAGCACTCTGGGGGGCCTAGGTGGGTGGATCAGCTGACGTCAGGAGTTCAAAACCAGCCTGACCAACACTGTGAAAGCCCACCTCTACTAAAAAATACAAAAACATTAGCAGGCATGGTGGTGGATGCCTGTAATTTCAGCTACTTGGGAGGCTGAGGCAGGAGAATCTCTTGAACCCGGGAGGCGGAGGTTGCAGTGAGCTGAGATCACGCCATTGCACTCCAGCCTGGGCAACAAGAGCAAAACTCTGTCAAAAAAAAAAAAAAATTCCTCAGATGATGCTAAAGTGAGGCCAAAGAATAATAATAAATTTTTTCGTGATCATTAATAAATATAACGAGAACCTCGAAATCAGAGCAGAGATCAGGGCTCAACTCTGAATACGCCTCAGAATCTCCTGAGGAGCTCTACAAAGCCAGGTGCCAGTTCTTAGCCCAGAACTAGCAAATAATAATCTCCAGGGTTCTAATGAAGCAGTACACTGTAGAGACTGTACAAGGAGACCACGGCAGAAGAGGAGGCTGGAGAAGGCTCTCCTGTCAAGATATCTGCACTTTCTTCCAAGGGCAATGGGGTAAGTCTTTGAAAAGCTTTAAACAGACAAGTGATAGTTTGATTTACATTTCAAAAAGATCCCTCAGGCTGCAATAATCCTGGTGGGAGGTCGTGGCTGCCCAATTTAGGTAGCAGCATTGTAAGTGTTTTGAGGCAGACATCCATCTTCTGTGACATTACAGAGCTACATGTGATGGGACTTGGTGACTGACTGAAGGGCAAAGGTGACTCAGAGAAAGGGAGGAGTAAGTGACAACCTCCCAGGTTCCTGTGGCATTTGGTATTCAGATGGCGGTCACATGCTCAGCATGGTAAATGTCATGGCAGGAGTGCCAACATTGAGAGGGCAATTGGGCCACACAGTCTCTAAAAACTGTTTGTTCTATAAATTACTGTCAAGCTCGATTCCCTCAAGACATTACAGCCACAGCAACTCAAAATAATACTGTAGGAAAAGCAAGTAGATATTTAACCAAAAAGGGTTCAGGGTTTGTACTCCAGCTGAATGGTAAAACCTGCCATCCCCTCAGGAAAAGAGGCAGAGGCAAGAGAAAAATCAGGCAGAAACATCAGAGCCAAAATGCATAGGGGGCCATGGCAAGAGCTGTTAACTGTCTCCCAACATCTGTGTGCTTGCCTCCAGGCCATTTTCCACACTGTGGGTAGAGAGACCTTTTCAAGACACAAACTTGATCTTGCCACACCCCTACTTAAAACCCTCCTGATGACTGCTCTGTTCTTAGGCTAAAAAACAAGATTTGTTATCTTAAGGCAGAATAGCATGGATTTGAATCCTGGTTCCACCACTTCGATCACTTAGCGTGTAGCTGGTGCCAGTTATTTATCCTCTTTGTGCCTTAATTTCCTCATCTATAGAAAGGGGAGAGAACAGTGCTTACCTCACAGGGTTGCTGTACAAATTCATCGAGCTAATGAACACGTAGCACTCAGGAGCCCAATAGCGTGCAGCATGTAAGTGTTTGTACTCATTACTAGCATGACCGACATCCTGGCTGGCTCTGCCCCTCTCGTATGGCTGGTACCAGCTGGTGGCTAAGTTCCTGGCACTCACTCTGCTCCTTCTTCAGGTCCTCAAAAACACCAGGCTCCTGCCTGCCACTGGCCCTCACACATGCCTTCCTTCTATCACCATCACCATGACTTGCACCCAAGTACTGTGACTCCATTAACTTGGACTCATAACCACTATGCTGGACTGAAAGCCCCATGAAGACAAGAAGAGTCTTGGCTTTTGCTCACTAGCGTGTCCTACCCTGAACCCTGGCATCCAGCATAGTGTCTGGCTCATAATAGGTGCTGAAAAAATAGGTATTGAATGAATGAACGACTGGAGTGAATTACAACTAAAGTGTGTAGCCAGGTTCTCCCAAGTGAGGACACTGCGCCCAATTAGAAAATATTCTGAGGAATAGGCCAACTCTTCCAGTTTTGCTGTTTGAAAAATTCAAGAATGATCAAGAATCACTGATTCAAGAATAATCCTTCAGTGATTCTTCAATAAGAGTAAAATCACAGCACTCCCCAGCTCAAAAACACACACTAACATCTCATTGTCCAATGCAAAATCTTTACCCTTATCTCAGGCTCTGTAACTACTCAGCCAACTTTAGCCCCTTCCAGTTCCTCTCTCCAGCCTACAGATGACTTTCATTTTTTGAGACAGGGTCTTGCTCTGTTACCCAGGCTGGAGTGCAATAATACGATCACAGCTCACTGCAGCCTCAACCTCCTGGGCTCAAGCAACCCTCCCACCTCAGCCTCCTGAGTAACTGGGATTACAGGCACATGCCACCATGTCTGGATAATTTTCTTTTTTTTTTTTTTTTGGTAGAGACTCAGTCTCACCATGTTGCCCAGGATGGTCTCGAACTCCTGGGCTCAAGTTGTCCTCCTACCTCGGCCTCCCAAAGTGCTGCGATTATAGGCATGAGCCATGGCACCCAGCCTCCAGGTGACTTTCATAAGTGTTGTCTTCCTTCAAGTCAACTTATCTCCTCCTTGCCCCCCACCCACAGACTTTGTTCCTTTTTCATATTTGTTCTTGCCTAAAATGCTTTTTTCTCTGGGTGGCGTTATCCATCCCTTTCTTGTGTCTGTCAGACAGGCTCTCCCTAACCCCACCCCTAGTCCAATGACTGCTTTCACTCTGAATCCCCACGGTACATATATAAGCATCTGAGGCTCTTTCCTATTGGCTTTGATTCTACCTCCTTCACTTGAGGAGCAGCTCTCTGCTGGCAACCACGTACCATCCTGATTTAGAACTTCCCACAGGCTAACTTAAGACACCAAATAAACACTTGCACACACACATAACCACCACCTCCCATTACAGAAGTACACCTCCCCTACTGAACAGATGATGGCCACGATACTGAAAAGCATGGCATCAACATGACAACTGCATCCTGAAAGATCAGCCTATATATAGGTTTGGTTATCTTGAATTTCGAGTTTGGAGAGAAGCAAAGTATTTTTCTAATAAACTGTGAATGCTGAGGAATTCACCTTCATAGGAGTCAGAAACAGGCTGCCAAACTTTTCAAAAGAAAAACAGTGGTAGGTTGAGCAAGCACATTGTCATGTCAGATTTTCCAGGCTCGAGGGCCACTGAAGGGAGAAGAGCGAGTAGCTGGAAAAAACCTGTGGGTACTGTTATCTTTGGCCAAAGCTCAAATAAAAGAATCACAAAAACATCCACTGATCTAAAATGCTATGTAAGTCATTAATATTCATCTAAGAGAGGCAACTGAAATAAAGCAGATAAAGAGAACTTAAGCCATTCTCTTACCTCAGCCTCCCAAGTAGCTGGGATTACAGGTGCCCGCCACCACACCTGGCTAATTTTTGTATTTTTCGTAGAGATGGAGTTTCACCATTTTGGCCAGGTTGGTCTCAAACTCCTGACCTCAAGTGATCTGCCTGCCTTGGCCTCCCAAAGTGTTGGGGTTACAGGCGTGAGCCACTGCGCCTGGCCAAGAATTTAAATTTCTGAGTCTCAAAGTCATAAACCTATAATATGGCTCAATGCTTACCTCAGTGCTTACTGGAGAGAAGGAAGATTCTTTTCTCAAATTTATTCAGGTCACTTTCCCTATACGAAATACTAAGGTAGTCCTGGTCACTTACATGGAACAATATACCTGGGGCTGACGATGCTTGGATATATAGAAGTCCTTCAGTCAAAGGAACTATGAACTTTTGAGGCAGAACCTCAAATTCAGAAGGCATTTGTGGTGGTTGGATAACATGGCCCTAAATTCTCTCATTATGCCCCACTCTCTGAGAGGAGGGGGTCTTTGTTCCCTTCCTTTGAATCTAGCTAAGTCCATAACTGTTCCAACCAATAGAGCATGCTGAAAGCGGCGAGATGTCATTTCCACCTGATTTCATTGGAAGTCTCATTCTCCAGAACCAGCCACATTCTGTGAGAAACCCAAGGCAAAAGGGGAGGCCACAAGTAGGCACGTGGTCTACAGTCTCAGCTGAAATCAGCCTTTGAGTCATCGCAGCCCAGACATCAGATACAGGAGTAAAGAAAATTCCAGATGATTATTACCCCCAGCCGCTTGAGTTTTCTCAGTGAGACCTCAGACATCGCAGAGCAAAGACAAGCCATCCCTGCTGTTATCTAAATTCCTGCCCACGGCATCTTCGAACATAGTCAAATGATTGCTGCTTTAGGCCACTAAGTCTGAGCTGGTTTATTGCATTCGGCAACTAGAACAACATTTTTACTAACATAGTGATTGAATGTAGACTTAATAATGAAAGAGTCCAACTTCCATAAGAAAAAAATTCATAATTTTAAAGGAAGAGGCTTTGCTGTTAAAGTTTTTTTTTTTTGTTTTTTTTTGTTTTTTTTTTTGAGACGGAGTCTTGCTCTGTTGCCCAGGATGGAGTGCAGTGGCGTGATCTTGGCTCACTGCAACCTCCACCTCCCGGGTTGAAGTGATTCTCCTGCCTCAACCTCCCAAGTAGCTGGGACTACAGGTGCCCGGTACAACGCCTGGCTAATTTTTGTATTTTCAGTAGAGACAGGGTTTCACCATATTGGCCAGGCTGGTCTCAAACTCCTGACCTTTTGATCTGCCCACCCCAGCCTCCCAAAGTGCTGGGATTACAGGCATGAGCCACCGTGCCCGGCCTGTTAAAGCTATTTTAATAGTAAACTTATTTTCTCTATGCACTCCTTTCTAAATTATTCAGCCCCACTTTCTTTCAAAACAACGTTTATACACTGACAATTCTCAAATTTATGTCTCTAGCCCCATCCGCTAATATGAACATCAGACACTTATAGCCAACTGCCTCTTCAATATCTCCACCTGGATGTCTAAAATGCATGTCAAACTTAATGTATCCAAAGCCAACCCCTTCATTAAAAACCTCTCCCAGCCGGCTTCTCCTCCAGTCTCCCCCATTCTAGCAAGTGACAACTCCATTCCTGCACATGTTGAGGCTAAAAACCTTGAAATGAGCCTTAACTTCAACTCCAGTCTCTCTCTCTCTTCCTCCCCCTCCTCCTGCCACACCTAATCCATTAACAAATCCTGTTGGCTCTGTCTTCAAAATCTGGAAGTGACCGGGCACAATGGCTCAGGCCTATAATCCCAGCACTTTAGGAGGCTGAGGCGGGTGGATCACTTGAGCTCAGGAGTTTGAGACCAGCCTAGGCAACATGGCAAAACCCTGTCTCTACGAAATATACAAAAATTAGCCGGATATAGTGGCGCAAGCCTGTGATCCCAGCTACTTGGGAGGCTGAGGTGGGGGTATCACTTGAGCCCAGGAGGCGGAGGTTGTAGTAAGCTGAGATTGCACCACTGCACTCCAGCCTGGGAGACAGAGTAAGATCCTGTCTCAAAAAAAAAAAAAAAAAAAAAAAAGGAAGGTGAGCCTTTCTCACAACCTCCCACTGACGCAGCCTTAATCCAGGCCACCAGCATCTCTTACCTAGATAGCTGGACTAGGCTAACTGGCCTGGATGCTTTCATCCTTGTCCCTCTACCTTCTATTCTCCACATTACAGATCCTTTCAAAATAAGAGTCCTGGCTGGCACGGTGGCTCAAACCTGTCATCCCAGCACTTTGGGAGGCCAAGGCGAGCAGATAAATTAAGGTCAGGAGTTCGAGACCAGCCTGGCCAACAAGGTGAAATCCCGTTTCTACTAAAAATACAAAAATTAGCCAGGTGTAGTGGCAGGCGCCTGTAATCTCAGCTACTCGGGAGGCTGAGGCAGGAGAAGTTGCTTGAACCGGGGAGGCAGAGGTTGCAGTGAGCTGAGATCGCGCCACTGCACTCCAGCCTGGGTGACACAGCGAGACTCCGTCTCAAAAAACATAAACATAAAAATAAATAAAAAATAAAAATAAAAACAGAAATTCGCCGGCATGGTGGCCCAAGCCTGTAATCCTAGCTACTCGGGAGGCTGAGGCAGGAGCATAGCTTGAACCCAGGAAGTAGATGTTGCAATGAGCCGAGATTGCGCCACTGCACTTCAGCCTCGGCAACAGAGCAAGATTTTGTCTCCAAAAAAAAAAAAAACCAGAGTCAGATCATTTCATTCCCCTGCTCAAAACCCACTCAGGAAAAAATCCAAAGTCCTACCACGGCCCACCAGTCAATCCATTTTGCCCCAGATGTCTCTCTTTGCCTCCTTCCCTACAACTCTCCCCTTGCTCACAGCTGTCCCCTCTCTGCTCCTGGAACACACCTTGCCCGTTTCTGCCCTAGGACTCTTCTCTCCACCTGATAGGCTCTTTCCCTAGATATCTCCATGGCTTGCTCCCTCACTTCGTTCAGGTCTCTGCACAATGTCTCTTGACACCCCTCTATCTAAAACAGCAACATCTCCCCTGCTGAATTCTCCTTTACAGTACTCATCGCCCTCCATTGTTCATATATTTCTTTTTTCATGTATCTCCTTCCAATATGATCAACTAGGAACTTAAGCCCCATAAGAACAAAGACATTCTTCAGTTCACTGCTATTTCCCCAGCAACTACAGAATGCTCAAATATTTGAATAAATGAATGAAAATTAAGTAAGTTTTTCAAAAATCTAGAACACACTTTTAGCATAGAGAAAACTGAAGTACCATAGGAGGTTAATTCACTTCATATAACAGCATAAACTGCCCTTCCTTAAGTAGGAGACAATAGGTACAATAATGCATGCAAATGTTAAGTGGTAAAGCAAACATACAAAGTTTCCCAATAGAAGAGTTTAAATTAAAATCTAAACTTCCAGCCAGGAGCAGTAGTGGACGTCTAGTCCCAGCTACTCAGGAGGCTGAAGCAGGAAGATCACTTGAGCCCAGGAATTCAAGGCCAGCCTGGGTAACATAGGAAGACCCCATCTCTAAAAACATAAAAATAAAAATCTAAGCCTCAAAAGAAAAAAAATAAATAAACAAAAGGCATTTCCTATAAAGTTAAACTGTTACAGAATTGTTTTTCTTAAACTGCAATAATGAGACTTTAGCACTCTCTTGTCCTCTAAAAGACATTATTTCATGACATGTGCCCATTGGCAGTATTTGAGAATCTAAGAAAGTAGATCACACTAAATATTGATATGCAGACACTAAAATCGTACAACCACTTGGATGACTAGGTTTGAGATATTCCCAAAGTGACAGGTTTTTGTTTTGTTTTGTTTTGTTTTTTGAGACAAGGTCTCGCCCTGTCGCCCAGGCTGGAATGCAGTGGTGCAATCTCAGCTCACTGCAACCTCTGCCTCCTGAGTTCAAGCAATTCTCCTGCCTCAGCCTCCCTGGTAGCTGGGACTGCAGGCATGCACCACCACACCTGGCTAATTTTTGAATTTTTAGTAGAGACAGGGTTTCTCCACGTTAGCCAAGCTGGTCTCGAATTCCTGGCCTCAAGTGCTCTGCCTGCCTCAGCCTCCCAATGCAACCAGCCTTTTTTTTTTTTTTTAACTTTTATTTTAGGTTTGGGGTTACACGTGCAAGTTTGTTATATAGGTAAACTCATGTCAGAGGGGTTTGTTGTACAGCTTATTTTGATAAAATATTAAGTATTAAGCCCAATACCCAATAGTTATCTTTTCTGTTCCTCTCCCTCCTCCCACTCTCCACCCTCAAGTAAACCCCAGTATCTGTGGTTTCCTTCTTTGTGTTCACAAGTCCTTATCATTTAGCTCCCACTTATAAGTGAGAACACGTGGTCTTCGGTTTTCTGTTCCTGCATTACTTTGCTAAGGATAATAGCCTCCAGCTCCATCCATGTTCCTGCAAAAACATGATCTCAGCCGAGCACGGTGGCTCACACGTAATCCCGGCACTTTGGGAGGCCGAGGTGGGAGGATCATGAGGTCAGGAGTTCAAGAACAGCCTGCCCAACACGGTGAAACCCCATCTCTACTAGAAATACAAAAATTAGCCAGGCATGGTGGAGGGCACCTGTAATCCCAGCTACTCGGGAGGCTGAGGCAGAGAATTGCTTGAACCTGGGAGGCGGAGGTTGCAGTGAGCTGAAATCGTGCCACCTGCATTCCAGCCTGGGCAATAGAGCAAGACTCCATCTCAAAAACAAACAAACAAACAAACAAACAAAAACATGATCTCGTTGTTTTTTATGGCTGCATAGTATTCCACAGTGTATGTACCACATTTTCTTTATCCAATTTGTCACTGATGGGCATTTAGGTTGATTCCATGTCTTTGCTATTGTGAATAGTGCTGCAAGTAAATCTCTTTAAACAGCAAATCTATTACTGCCTGCTTTTCAATGCTTTACCCTCAAGAAACTTGGGCTACAACTCAATAACAAAAAGCAGCATTTTTGTTCTTGTTGTTTTTAATTCAGTTTCTTTTTTTTGTTTTGTTTTGTTTCTAAGAGACAGGGTCTCACTCTGTGGCCCAGGCTGGAGTGCAGTGGCAGGATCATAGCTCACTATAACCTCGAACTATCAAACTCCTGGGCCTAAGTGATCCTCCCACCTCAGCCTCCTGAGTAGCTAGGACTACAGGTACATGCTGCCAAACCCAGCTAATTAAAAAATATTTTTTTTTTGGTGATGAGGTCTATGTTGCCCAGGCTGGTCTCAAATTCCTGGACTCAAGCGATCCTCCTGCCTCAGCCTCCCAAAACATTGGGATTATACAGATGTAAGTCACTGCACTTTGGCCATGTGTTGGTTTTTTGTTGTTGTTTTTTGAGACGGAGTCTTGCTCTGTCGCCCAGACTAGAGTGCGGTGGCGAGATCTCGGTTCACTGTAACCTCCACCTCCTGGTTCAAGCGATTCTCCTGCCTCGCCTCCCGAGTAGCTGGGATTACAGGCACCCACCACCATGCCCAGCTAACTTTAGTATTTTTAGTAGAGATGGGGTTTCGCCATGTTCACCTGGCCTCAAGTGATCCGCCCACCTTGGCCTCCCAAAGTGCTAGGATTATAGGCATGAGCCACCACACCCAGCCTTTTTTTTTTTTGAGACAGAGTCTTGCTCTGTCGTCCAGGCTAGAGTACAGTGGCATGATCTCGGCTCACTGCAACCTCCGCCTCCCAGGTTCAAGCGATTCTCCTGCCTCAGCCTCCTGAGTAGCTGGGATTACAGGCGCCTGCCACCACACCTGGCTAATTTTTGTATTTTTAGCAGAGACGGGGTTTCACCATATTGGCCAGGCTGGTCTCGAATTCCTGACCTCGGGTGATCTGCCCATCTCGGGTGATCTGCCCGCCTCGGCCTCCCAAAGTGCTGGGATTACAGGCGTGAGCCACCGCGCCCAGCCATCTTCTCATTTCTTTGGTGAGATTGTTTGGTTTTTGCTTCTGAAGATTTTCCTGTTTTTCTTTTTTTGTTTTTTTTTTTAAGAGACAGAATCCTGCTCTGTCACCCAGGCTGAAGTGCAGTGGCGCGATCTCAGCTCGCTGCAACCTCCGCCTCCCAAGTTCAAGCATGCACCACCTACAGGTGTGCACCACAACACCCAGCTAATTTTTTTTTTTTTTTTTAGTAGAGGTGGGGTTTCACTACGTATTGGCCAGGCTGGTCTGGAACTCCTGACCTCAGGTGATCCACCCACCTTGGCCTCCCAAAGTTCTGGGATTACAGGCGTGAGCCACCACACCGGGCCTCCCTGTTAAGCCCAGTTTATCCAGTATTTCTAGGTGTTTTGTACAAAAGAGTTTTCAGGGCATTTAGCCTAACATAAAGCAGAAACAAAAGTCAGGATGAGTCAAGTAACAGTATTTGAGAAAACTTCAGAGGTAGAACCAACAGGATTTGCTGATGCTTTGAATGAAAGCAGAGATAAGACAGAACAGGGAATTTAAGGATGATTCCTAGATTTCTGGCTTGCACAAAGGAGTAGATGGTGGTCTACCATTTATTTAGATGGGGAAGTCAGACAGGGAGAGAGGCACAAACTTGCAGAGAGAAAAGTTTAAGAGTTATATTTTGGGCAAGTAGACAGGAGACAACTACAAGTTACTTGAGGGAAGATGTCAAGTTTGCAGCAGGATGCAGGAGCTGGGAGCCCAGAGCGACTGGGTGGAGGGCCACACTTGCTAGTCATCACAGCGGCTAACACGTCTTCACAGTAAAAGCCAAAACAGGCGGGGCACGGTGGCTCACACCTGTAATCTCAGCACTTTGGGAGGCTGAGGCAGGCGGATCACCTGAGAACGGGGAGTTCAAGACCAGCCTGACCAACATGGAGAAACCTCGTCTCTAATTAAAAAAAAAAAAAAAATTAGCCAGGCGTAGTGGCGGGCGCCTATAATCCCAGCTACTCAGGAGGCTGTGGCAGGAGAATCGCTTGAACTCAGGAGGCGGAGGTTGCAGTGAGCCGAGATTGTGCCACTGCACTCCAGCCTGGTCAACAGGAGCAAAACTCTGTCTCAAAAAAAAAAAAAAAAAAATTGAGGCCAGGTGCGGTGGCTCATGCCTGTAATCCTAACACTTTGGGAAGCTGAGGCAGGTGGATTACCTGAGCTCAGGAGTTCAAGACCAGCCTGGGTAACACAGTGAAACCCCATCTCTACTAAAATACAAAAAAATTAGCAGAACATGGTGGCGTGCACCTGTAATCCCAGCTACTTGGGAGGCTGAGGCAGGAGAATCACTTGAAACTGGGAGGCGGAGGCTGCAGTGAGCCGAGATTGCGCCATTGCACTCCAGCCAGGGCAACAAGAGTGAAACTGTGAAACTCTGTCTCCAAAAAAAACCAATTTTAATAGGTATACCATTATACACCCATTAAAATGGCTAAAATCCAAAACACTGACACCACTAAATGCTGGTGAAGATGTGGAGTAACAGGAACTCTCACTCACTGCTGATGGGAATGTATAATGGTACAGTCACTTTGAATATAGTTTGATAGCTTCTTACAAAACTAAACATACTCTTACCATATGATCTAGCAATTGCACTCCTTGATATTTATCCAGAGGAGGTGAAAAGTCCTGCACTGGAATGTTTATAGCAGCTTTATTCATAACTGCTCAAACTTGGAAGCAACCAAGATGTCTATCCTTCAGGTGAATGTTTGATAAACAACATGTGGTATATCCATACAATAGAGTATTACTCACCAATGAAAAGAAACAACCTATCAAGCCACAAAAAAACATGAAGAAACCTGAAATGCATATCATTTACTGAAAGAAGCCAATCTGAAAAGGCTACACACTGTATGTCCAACTATATGACATTCTGGAAAAGACAAAACTATGGAGATATTATAAAAGATCAGTGGTTGCCAGTGGTTCAGCAGAGGAATGAATAGGTGGAGCACAGGGGGTTTCTAGGGCAGTAAAACTATTTTATATAATTGTGTACTGGCAAATATACATCATCACACATTTGTCAAAATCCATAGAATGCTCAACAGAGTGAAATGTAATGTAAACTATGGACTTCAGGCTGGACAGAGTGGCTCACACCTGTAATTCCAACACTTTGGGAGACTGAGGCAGGAGGATTGCTTGAGCCCAGGAGTTTCAGGCTATAGCAAGCTATGATGATGCCACTGCAACCTGGCCTGGACAACACAGTGAGACCCTACCTCTAAAAAATAATAATAATAAAATAAAAATAGAAATAAAATAAACTCAGGAATTTGGTTAATAATAATGTATCGAGTTGGTTCATTAGTTGTAAGGGACGTACTATACTAATGCAAGATGTTAATAATAGAAGTTGTGGGAGAAAGTAAGGGGTATATGGAAACTCTCTGTACTTTCCACATAATTTTTCTGTAAAACTAACACTGCTTTAAAAAATAAAGTCTAGACTGGCCGCAGTGGCTCACGCCTGTAATCCCAGCACTTTGGGAGGCCAAGGCAGGCGGATCACGAGGTCAAGAGATCGAGACATCCTGGCTAACATAGTGAAACCCTGTCTCTATCAAACATACAAAAAATTAGCCAGGCGTGGTGGCAGACAACTATAATCTCAGCTACTTGGGAGGCTGAGGCAGGAGAATCACTTGAACCTGGGAGGCGGAGGTTGCAGTGAGCCGAGATCATGCCATTGCACTCCAGCCTGGGCAAAAAGAGTGAAACTCCATCTCAAAAAAAAGAAAAGAAAAGAAAGAAAACACGTATCTACTAAAATTACAAAAACTAGCCGGGTATGGTGGCAGGCACCTGTAATCCTAGCTACTTAGGAGGCTGAGGCAGGAGAATCACTTGAGCCCGGGAGGTGGAGTTTGCAGTGAGCCAAGATCACACCACTGCACTCAGCCTGGGTGACAGAGCGAGACTCTGCCTCAAAAATAAAATAAAATAAAAATAATAAAGTCTATTAATTTTTAAAATATATTAATTGAGCCGGGCGCGGTGGCTCACGCTTGTAATCCCAGCACTTTGGGAGGCCGAGGCGGGTGGATCACGAGGTCAGGAGATCGAGACCATCCTAACACGGTGAAACCCCGTCTCTACTAAAAATACAAAAAATTAGCCGGGCATCGTGGCGGGCGCCTGTAGTCCCATCTAGTCAGGAGGCTGAGGCAGGAGAATGGCATGAACCTGGGAGGCAGAGCTTGCAGTGAGCCGAGATCGCGCCACTACACTCCAGCCTGGGCAACAGAGCGAGACTCCGTCTCAAAAAAAAAAAAAAAAAATTAATTGAGCTTTATGGTTAAGTTTTTAAAAAGATAAATCTGACCCATAAAGTTTAAATAATAGTCAAGATGGAAGATGAGTGATCTCCCCAAGGAGACAAGCTTTTCTATGAAAATCTTATCAAAATGTATAATGTACTTAGAAAACTAAGTGACCTCATTACACATCATAGTTTTGCATGATGTAACCACTCTTCAGAGAATATCTCATTTTGTCCTTCAGCTCCCACACAAGAGAAGGTTAAGGAAATTCCACTACTCATGAAATTATAATCCCACAATGTAAGTGAAGTGGTGGCTGTGCCTAGGAAAGAAAGAGAATACACGCTTAGAGAGAATCTAGAAAGAAACATTATCCAGTTTGTGTTGGGGATAGCCCATGATCTAAATTCTAAAAAGCACACCCATATAGAACCTAGCCTGGGCTGGGTGCGGTGGCTCATGCCTGTAATCCCAGCACTTTGGGAGACTGAAGCAGGTGGATCACCTGAGGTCAGGAGTTTGAAACCAGTCTGACCAACACAGTGAAACCCCGTCTCTACTAAAAATACAAAAAAATTAGCCAGGCATGGTGGTGCATGCCTGTAATCCCAGCTACTCGGGAGCCTGAGGCAGGAGAATCGCTTGAACCTGGGAGGCAGAGGTTGCAGTGAGCTGAGATCGTGCCATTGCACTCCAGCCTGGGCAATAAGAGTGAAACTCCATCTCAAAAAAAAAAAAAAAAAAGAACCCAGTCTGAAGCATGAATTCACATTGCGTTTTCCAGTCAATCACTCAGCCAAAGAGAACCTGAGGTGGCCAAGATAATGTAACAACCCTATCAAGTAGGTGTTATTCCCATTTACAGATAAGGACAGAAATGTTAAGTGACTACACATGGATGCAAACTTGGAATCTTCAAACTCCCAGGCTAGTAGCCAAATTACCTGTTTTTAAATCTCATCTCTGCTATCTGATCTCTGCCAAGCAAATTTCCCTTTGAATTTGTTATGCAAACAATTAACGAGAATAAAGGAAAATGAGAGCTTTATATACGTTACATGTAATAACTGGAAGTTAACTTTATTAAGACATCTGAAATAAGTCAACACTTTTAAAACTTAAAGGCTATTCTTTACCAGAATCGTCTGTAGGAATTAACCCCAGCAGTCAGAAAGTACCTTAAAACAAAACCAACATTAATCTGGTAATGTCATGACTTCATAAAATATCCTTAATATTCAGGTACGTGCATACCAAGAAGAGTAAACAGAATAAAAAGAAATCTCTAAAACATTTTCCCTCATTCACTACATGTCTACTCTTCCACTTACCTTTATCTCTAAAACAAAAACATTTTCTAAACCCTGTGGACATGACTTCACTAATCCAAAGAAGACTTTATATTCTATGGGCCTTGTAAAGCCACATTTCTCAAACTAAGGACCAAGGACCATCTGAATCAGAATATCTGCTATGCCTGTGAGGATGACCCCAGATAAACTACATCAGACCCTCTCAGGCAGATCCATAGATTCTTTCTTCTTTTTAAGCAAATAACCCAGGGATTCTTATGTTAAAACCTTTAGACCAACCTTTCTCAAACTCTTCGCTCTCATGGCCCCTTTATTTATTATTTTTTAAATTTAAAAGAAATAATAAGCAAACCGGGTCAGGTGGCTCAAAACTGTAATCCCAGTACTTTGGGAGGCTGAGGCAGGCAGATCTCCTGAGGTTGGGAGTTCGAGACCAGCCTGACCAACATGGAGAAACCCCCATCTCTAATAAAAATACAAAACTAGACGGGTGTGGTGGCACATGCCTGTAATCCCAGCTACTCGGGAGGCTTAGGCAAGAGAATCACTTGAATTCGGGAGGCGGAGGTTGTGGTGAGCCGAGATCGCGCCATTGCACTCCAGCCTGGGCAACAAGAGCGAAACTCCATCTCAAAAAAAAAAAAGAAAAAGAAAGAAAGAAAAGAAATAATAGAGCCGGGCGCAATGGCTCACACCTGTAATCCCAGCACTTTGGGAGGCCAAGGTGGGCATATCATGAGGTCAGGAGTTCAAGATCAGCCTGGCCAACATGGTAAAACCCTGTCTCTACTAAAAATGCAAAAATTAGCCAGGTGTGGCTGCTAGCCCCTGTAATCCCAGCTACTCGGGAGGCTGAGGCAGGAGAATTGCTGGAACCTGGGAGGTGGAGGTTGCAGTGAGCCGAGATCATGCCACTGCACTCCAGCCTGGGTGACAGAGTGAGACTCCGTCTCAAAAAAAAAAAGAGAAAGAATGATTGATAAACCAACTGGGATACTGGCAGATATTTTCTCAAAAATGAAAGAAGGGAAGCTGTCTGTTCAGGGAAAGCAACTGACAATATTTGTTGCCAATGATAAAATTTGAGCTTTAGAGTAAAAATCAGAATTTGAGAAAGTTTGTATCCACCACTGTGAGTCTGACAGTTGTCTAATATTAATGATTATTAATGAAACCCCATCTCTACTAAAATTACAAAAATTAGCTGTGCGTGGTGGCACACGCCTGTAGTCCCAGCTACTCAGGAGGCTGAGGCAGGAGAATCACTTGAACCCGGGAGGTGGAGGTTGCAGTGAGCGGAGATCATGCCATTGCACTCCAGCCTGGCAACAGAGCAAGACTCCATCTCAAAAAAAAAAAAAAAAACCGGCCAGGTGCGGTGGCTCACACCTGTAATTCCAGCACTTTGGGAGGCCAAAGCGGGCGGATCACAAGGTCAGGAGATAGAGACCATCCTGGCTAACATGGTGAAACCCCGACTCTACTAAAAATACAAAAAATTAGCCGGGCATTGTGACGGGCGCCTGTAGTCCCAGCTACTTGGGAGGCTGAGGCAGGAGAATGGCATGAACCCGGGAGGCTGAGCTTACAGTGGGCCCAGATCGCACCACTGCACTCCAGCCTGGGCAACAGAATGAGGCTCTGTCTCAAAAAAAAAAAATTGGCGGTTTATGGGTTTGTGGGGGGTACAATTCCTGCCTGTCCAAGTGACAGACTCATTTAATTATCCCCAAGTTAATGTTTAAGTGCAATGGGGTAAAACATGCACTCTGTTAACTAAAAAGCCACATTTCCAAATAGTATACATATTACGATTAAAACATTAAAAATATATGTGTACAGATTTATTCATATAAGCCCAAAAACAAATGTCAGACAATGTTTCTGTCTTTGGAACCTGACTCAAAATAAGGTTCCTCCTGTTGGCTTCTTCCTGAGACACAGCCAACGCTAATTTGCCGCCCAGGCAAATCATCTATGCCTATCATTAGGAAATCAAATTTATGATATGCATAGCCTAGAATACTACTCTGTAGTTTTTTTGTTTTTGTTTTTGTTTTTTGAGACAGAATCTTGCTCTGTGGCCCAGGCTGGAGTCCAGTGGTGTGATCTCAGGGTTCAAGTGATTCTCCCACCACAGCCTCCCGAGTAGCTGGGATTACAGGCACACACTACCATGCCTGGCTAATTTTACTATGTAGATTTTTTAAACATGAGGTATATACACATGTATTTGCATTGAGTATTCTCTAAGATAAAGTGACAAAAAGCAAAATACAGAGTTTGGTGTATTTGCTGCTATATATGGAAGGAACAACACCCAGAGAATAACATGTTTGCATGCATACATATGAAGTAACTCAGGAGAGATAAATAGTAGGTAACTAGCTGTCCCTGGGAAAGAGTCCCAAGGATAAGGTGCGGACTAACTTTCCACTTACTACATATCTTTTGTACTGATTCATTTCAAAATTTACTCTAAAATATTGGTATTACAATAAAGAAAACTGGAGTCTAGAACTGAATGACAAAACTGATACATTCTTACTACAAATCTGTGGTTAAGATTAGCATTAATCTTTCCTAGGCAAAGAGGAAAAAGTTTAACCCAAAGACTGTATGGATCTTCTCTACCCTACATCTCCAATCTCATTCCCATTACTCAGAAAATATTCTCACTGGGTATAGAGGTATGAACTCCCATTGGAAAACTTAGGGTAAACGTCCGTGGAATCTATGGGGCACTGCTGACCCAGGACACCTGGGATATTTCTGCAGAAACAGGATTTTTTTTTTTTTTTTTTTTGAGATGGAGTCTTGCTCCATAGCCCAGGCTGGAGTGCAATGGCGCGATCTCGGCTCACTGCAACCTCCACCTCCCAGGTTCAAGCGATTCTCCTGCCTCAGCCTCCTGAGTAGCTGGGATTACAGGCGTGAGCCACCGCACCCAGCCAGATTATTCTTAATCAGTTGATTATTTCTGGCTCCAGAATGCTTCAATTATTCCACCTGCCCCTATGTATAAGCGTTACCACCCTAATTATGCTTGTTTTTGTTTTTTTGGTTGTTTGAGACGGAGTCTCTGTTGCCCAGGCTGGAGTGCAGTGGCACGATCTCGACTCACTGCAACCTCTGCCTCCCAGGTTCAAGCGATTCTCTTGCTTTAGCCTCCAGAGTAGCTGGGATTACAGGCACGCGTCACCACACCCAGCTAGTTTTTTGTATTTTCAGTAGAAACAGGATTTCACCAAGTCGGCAAGGATGGTCTTGAACTCCTGACCTCAAGCAATCCACATGCCTTGGTCTCCCAAAGTGCTGGGATTACAGGCGTGAGCCATCGCTCCCGGCCTCCTAATTATGTTTCATTTTGGTTAATGTTTCAATAAATGTGCTTTCCCTAAACATACTGATGAAAAGAGGCCCAAATGCAAAACTGATTTGTCGAGAAAGTCAGTCTGAGATGAAATATTTATTATGTCTAAACCACAAGTAGAAAAAAATTCAAAGGCCGACTATTTCAATGCTAACTCAATGCAATATTGCACTTTGTTTGGTTTACGGGAGAGGTAATTTACACAGCTAACATTTGGGTTTTCAAGATTACATTGTGGGGAGAGAAGGGGAAAACAAGAAAAGTCTAATGCTTTTAGATTCTGTCAGAAAAAGTGTTTGCTAAAAAGCAAAACAAAATGAACATGAGAAAAAATGTGAAAAAACATGCATTTTAGGAAGCTTTCACCGAAGCAGGTGCTCAAGTTCAGACTCAAATCTTCCAACTCTTGTAATAAAAATGAGAGGTCAGAATACCACAAACTAATCAAATCAATCAAACAAAGCGGGAAACAGGTGGCTGACACCAGACTGGGCAGGGTTTTCCTAAATTGGGCTTACCTTCACTAATCCAAATCAGTTTTCAGAAATGGCTTCTACAAAAACTACCCAAACATCCCCCTAATAATTTGCACTCCTCCTCCACAATAGGGAAGCCAAGCCGTTTATTTCCCAGAAGGTTTACTTTCTCTTTCAAGCTCTGCTGGCTTCTTCCTGCCCCGCATACGGCCAGGAAAAAAGAAAAGCACTGCCTTTTCTTTCCTGCCTTCTCTAAAACTGGGGAGATGGGGTGAGAGAACCTGTTTCATGGACAAGCTGGGTGGTTCTTAACTGCAACACTGTTCTGAATACAGATTAGTTTGCAAAGGAAAGTTACAGGACAGGAAAATAAAGGTCTACCCCTCCAACTAACTCATACACATGTACATTTGCATGTACGCACACACACAGATGTGAGGGCACATTTAATTCAGCTGAGTAATGTGCAGCAATCAGCTCCCAGCTTCATACCTGGCCACCGGGATGCCTCCTCACTCCCACCTTCTTTACCTGACTCAAAATAAGGTTCCTCCTGTTGGCTTCTTCCTGAGACACAACCAACTCTAATCATTCCTCTTCCCCTCAAACCTTCAACACTACCTGCACTTTCTGGGTCGGGAGCAATTCCTTGGGTGGTAATCCATTTTTAATGTGTTAAATATTACTTAAAATAAGGGAGAGGTAATCATGGACTGTGGGCAATGCAGAGATTTATCAGAAGGGCATTTGTGTAAACAGGAATTTACAGTTTGCCTTACCTATTCCTTTTATATGACAGCCTCAATTTCCTCTAACAGAATGTAAGTCCCCCATCCCTATTCATTTAGTTTTTTTCCCATTAGGTTAGAATCTGCTAATTATTCTTTCTCTCCTTTGGGTCATTAGTGGCTGCCATGAATCATAATTTGCCTGACTTTGTAATATCTAACAGATATTACCATTTTAGTTTAGTTTTTGATATGACAGTTTTTTGTTTTTTGTTTTTGTGACGGAGTCTTGCTCTGTCTCCCAGGCTGGAGTGCAGCGGCGCGATCTCAGCTCACTGCAACCCCCACCTCCTGGGTTCAAAAGCAATTCTCCTGCCTCAGCCTCCCGGGTAGCTGGGACTACAGGCACCCGCCACCACAACAGGCTAAATTTTATATTTTTAGTAGAGACGGGGTCTCACTATGTTGGGCAGGCTGGTCTTGAACTCCTGACCCGCCTCGGCCTCCCAAAGTGCTGGAATTACAGGCGTGAGCCACCATGCCCGACCTCCTAATTATGTTTTATTCCACCTGCCCCTATGTATAAGCGTTACCACCCTAATTATGCTTTTTGTTTTTCGGTTTTTTTGAGACAGAGTCTCACTCTGTCACCCAGGCTGTAGTGCAGTGGCACGATCTCGGTTCACCGCAACCTCCGCCTCCCGGGTTCAAGCGATTATCCTGCCTCAGCCTCCCGAGTAGCTGGGATTACAGGTGCCCACCACCACAACTGGCTAATTTTTATATTTTTAGTAGAGACGGGGGGGGTCTCACTCTGTTGGGCAGGCTGGTCTTGAACTCCTGACCTCAGGTGATCCACCCGCCTTGGCCTCCCAAAGTGCTGGGATTACAGGCGTGAGCCACCGCACTCGGCCTGATATTATAGTTTTTAATAAGAGTAATTCAGCCTAGGCAACGTGACGAGATCCTGACTCAAAAAAATTAGAAAATTAGCTGAGGGTGGTAGCACACACCTGTAGCCCCAGCTACCCCGAAGGCTGAGGCAGGAGGATCACTTGAGCCTAGGAGGTCAAGGCTGTCATGAGCTGTGATCTCACCGCTGCACTCCAGCCTAGGTGACAGAGTGAGAACCTGTCTCAAAAAATAAATAGTAATAATAGTAATTATTAGCACTTGAATGTTACCTGTCTGCCCGGCACTATGCAAAGTACTTGATATGCATCATCTTGCTTCATCCTCTCAATTACTCTACAAGTGGACCTCGTTTCCACAATTGTGGACAGAGAAACTGAAAACCAGAGAAGTGAAAACAACAGGCCCAAGGTCTAAGAGAAGGCAGAACTGGGATTAAAGCCCAATAGGTCTGACCTGATAGTCCACTCTTTTAACTGCTATAGTAACTTTGGACCATGAAACCCTCAAACATACCAACCAAGTGTTTCAAAACTACAATAGCAATCACCTTAGGAATACTCAAAATATAAGTTCTTTGGCTGACGCAGTTAAAAATTCAAAGGTCAGGTAAAATTTCAGTGATGAGCAAGGTCATTTATTCTTATGGCTGGGGGTAGCAGGAAGGAAAGCCGGATCGTCGAAGCATTATTTTCTTGTAGGGGCAGATTTACCTTCCTTATTATTCTTTTGCTAGGCTGTTAAAAGGAATTTGGAAGGCCAGGCGTGCTGGCTCACGCCTGTAATCCCAGCACTTTGGGAGGCCGAGGCAGGCGGATCACAATGTGAGGAGATTGAGACCATCCTGGCTAACACGGTGAAACCCTGTCGCTACTAAAAATATAAAAAAAAAAACATTAGCTGGGCGTGGTGGCGGGCGCCTGTAGTCCCAGCTACTCGGGAGGCTGAGGCAGGAGAGTGGCGTGAACCCGGGAGGCGGAGCTTGCAATGAGCCAAGATAGCGCCACTGCACTCCAGCCTGGGCGACAGAGCGAGACTCCATCTCAAAAAAAAAAAAAAAAAGGAATTTGGAATAAATATGTCTCCAAGATAACCTGGTAAACAGAAAGGGCTGCAAAAAATCTGAATAAAAGCAAGTCAATTAACAGGATACATGTAAAACACACATTTTATATTCCTACAAGTCTTTTTTTTTATAATAGCATGTTATTACTTTTCTAAAAAGGACAAAATAACTTATTTTAATGACATTTAAACCCAATTATTAACAGAAAAGGGATAAGAACTGTGGTTCCTTGGCCTCCTTTCCCCTTGGTTTAGTTCTCCTAAATTAAGAACTTCTACTTATAGCTCCCTGAACACACAAGGCTGTTTTAAGCCTCTGCACCCTCATGTTCCTTCAGCCTTGAATGCAACTTTTTGTAACGCAACTTCGTGGAAAGAATTCCTATTCATCCTATAAAACCCTATTCAGGTGTTCCCATCTGATAAAGCCCCTCAATAATGATGACTTTCTCTCACTCCTGAAAAGAATTAATCTCTTTTCTTGGATATTTAGTAAGAACTTAGATTTACCGAGCTCTTACTATGTGCCAGGCACTATGCTAAGCATTTTATCCACATTATCTTATTGAATCGTCAACAGTACCTACAAGATAAGCACTGTTATAATCTTCTTTTACAGATAAGAAAATAGAGGCTCAGATTCTGACTAGGAAGTGGCAGATCCAGGATTCAGTCCCAGATCTGTTTGACTTCAGAGCCAGAGTCTTGAACCACTCACTGCCCTGTCGTCTCCCCTGTCCTACTTCCATACTGGCATAGCACACACCTCGGTCCCTGCAACATCTCCAGTTTCATGAAAACGGACAATATTTCATTATCCTTGGATCCTGCCTGACGCAATACCTGGCTCTCAACATGTTTGCTGATCTGAATTAAAGAGTTGCGGTAATCCTTTTTTTTTTCTTTTTTTTTTGAGATGGAGTCCCACTCTGTTGCCCAGGCTGGAGTGCAGTGGCACGATCTCAGCTCACTGCAAGCTCCGCCTCCAGGACTCATGCCATTCTCCTGCCTCAGCCTCCTGAGTAGCTGGGACTACAGGCGTCTGCCACCACGCTGGGCTAATTTTTTGTATTTTTAGTAGAGGCGGAGTTTCACCGTGTTAGCCAGGATGGTCTCGATCTCCTGACCTCGTGATCCGCCCACAGCCTCCCAAAGTGCTGGAATTACAGGCATGAGCCACCACACCCGGCTGGGTAAGAGTTGCAGTAATCCTAACATGACAAATGAGAACTGACCATAACAGAAATTCATTCTTCCATATGTTATTCCCAGGCCTCATAACCTCTCCTTCCTCTGAAGACATGTAGCATTCAGTGTAGCACTGTCAGAATGTCTCACTCTGTCCCCCAGTCTGGAGTGCAGTGGCAGGATCTTGGCTCACTGCAGCCTCCACCTCCCAGGTTCAAGCAATTCTCCTGGCTCAGCCTCCAGAGTAGCTGGAACTACAGGCGTGTGCCACCACACCTGGCTAATTTTTGTATTTTTAGTAGAGACGGGGTTTTACCATGTTGGCCAGGCTGGTCTCAAACTCCTGACCTCAAGTGATCCGCTCACCTCTGCCTCACAAAGCGCTGGGATTACAGGCATCAGCCACCATGCCCAGCCTGTTTTTGCCTTTTTTTTTTTTTTAAAGAAACAAAGTGGTCTCACTATGTTGCCCAGGCTGGTCTTGAACTCCTGGGCTCAAGCAATCCTCTTGCCTCGGCCTTCCAAAGTGCTGGGATTATAGGCATGAGCCACTGCTCCTGGCCCGATATGCTACTCCTTTTAAAAACTGGAGGCATCTCAAACAATTTACCACCAAAGGACCATGTGGCCATACTGACTAAAGCGCACTACACTTTACGCTTACGTCTTGTAAGCCAAGGTGTCTAACAAAGAGTATATAACCACCATATTAATTCTTTACACCATAATCAATAAGGGCTGGGCCAGCCCAGCAATGCCATCCTCCTGGATCTCACTGAGGCTGCTCCAGAACACCAGAAGTTCTTCAGGATTCGGGGATGTCCCTCAAGTACTCTTTCAGTGGTTTTTATAAATGACTCAAAAGTTATGGTGAAATTTTTAAGTGCCAAAGACATAAAATATGAGTGGTGGTTTGTATCCAATCAAAAATCCTCAAAAAACACTTCTGCACTTAAGCACACTATACTTTTTTCACCCAAAGTACCAAATCAAACTAGTCAGGATACCTACCTTTGTACAATGTCAGACTCCAGTTAATAACTCCCCTAGGGCAGAGGGCATATGCACTGATTTACTTTGTACAAATTAACCAGCATCAGGCAATCAGGCCTGTGCCTAACACATAGTAAGCACTCTATGATTAAACATCAGTGCTTCGGCTCCAAAGTTTTATTTATTTATTTATTTATTTATTTTTTTTTTTTTTGAGACGGAGTCTCGCTCTGTCGCCCAGGCTGGAGTGCAGTGGTGCGATATCGGCTCACTGCAAGCTCCGCCTCCCGAGTTCACGCTCTTCTCCTGCCTCAGCCTCCCGAGTAGCTGGGACTACAGACGCCCGCCACAACGCCCGGCTACTTTTTTTTGTATTTTTAGTAGAGATGGGGTTTCACCGTGTTAGCCAGGATGGTCTCGATCTCCTGGCCTCGTGATCCGCGCGTCTGGGCCTCCCAAAGTGCTGGGATTACAGGCGTGAGCCACCGCGCCCGGCGCCCCGAAAGTTTTAAAAGCTTCCCCTACAAAAGAACAGAACTGAAATTCCTTGGTCCTGTATTCAATGTCTTTTGTAAGTAATCACTTCTCCCCTACTTACCCTCCTAGTCTACCGGGCTACCAGGAATTTTTTTTTTTTTTGGAGACAGGGTCTCACTCTGTCACCCAGGCTGGAGTGCGGTGGCGGGATCACGGCTCACTGCAGCCTTAACCCCCGGGGCTTGGGTGATCCTCCCACCTTAGTCTCACCAGTAGCTGGGACTACAGGTCCACGCCACCAGGCCTGGCTAATTTTTTTTATTTTTAGGGGAGAGGGAGTTTTACCACGTTGCCCAAGCTGGTCTCAAACTCCTGGGCTCAAGCAATCCTCCTGCCTCAGCCTCCCAAAGTGCTGGGATTACAGGCATAAACCACCGCAAATTCTTTACACCTATCAAATTCCACCCATTATTTGGGACCCAGTTGAAATCCCTCTTTGGCAAAAAGACTTTCTAGACAACTCCAGGCCTCATAACCTCTCCTTTCTCTGAAGATCTGTAGCATTCAGCCTAGCACTGTCCAATAGAACGTTCTATGATAACAGAAAAGTTCTACATCTGTACTGTATGTTCTTTTATGTAGAACAGCTACCTTGTTAGCACAAGTGTAAAGTCTCACCATCTCTTTGATGACAACATGTTACATTGGATGGTTAAAACATTTATCAGCTCCCCCAGTAGACTGCAATTTCTGTGAACAAGATACAACTTATTCTTCATAGCAACTCTGACAAAGTTGCAAAAGGTATATATATGTTGGCCAGGCAAGGTGGTTCACGCCTGTAATCCCAGCACTTTGGGAGGCTGAGGTGGGCAGATCTCTTGAGGTCAGGAGTTTGAGACCAGCCTGGTCAATATAGTGAAACCTTATCTCTACTAAAAATACAAAAATTAGCCGGGCGTAGTGGCGGGCACCTGTAATCCCAGCTACTCAGGAGGCTGAGGTGCGAGAATCACTTGAACCCGGGAGGAGGAGGTTGCAGTGAGCCACGATCATGCCACTGCACTCCAGCCTGGGTGATAGAGTGCAACTCCAACTCAAAAAAAAAAAAAAAAAAGTATATATTTGTTGATTTGCACATCACCTAAGAAAACCATAAGCTAAGAAGGTTTGGACTCAGGCGTCTGGAAAGTTGGTCACCACCTCTACCCCACCTCATATCTGAATGTCAAGAGACACGTAGAGGCAGAGAAGTTAAAGCAACTTTCTAGAGACAGAAATGACCACTGATCAAGCCACAATGCACTCTGGTTTAAATGACATTTAGGTCATGACTGTCCTTAATCTAAAACAAACCTAGATTAGTATTTCTTTTCATTAGTAAATAGCTAAATTCTGATGGTAAATTATGCTGACCAAAAACAGTTCCTCACTTCCCAAGTTAGACATAGCAATTAGAAAAATAATCTAAGCAAGCTCCATTTGTATTTCTTTTTTCACCTGTTTATTGAATATTTACCTCCCATGAAGTCTTTCAGCCTATTGGTGGTATTTTACTGTTCAGATATATGTTAGAATTTCACTGATACTTACTGGGCGCGGTGGCTCACACCTGTAATCCCAGCACTTTGGGAGATAGAGGTGGGCAAATCACAAGGTCAGGAGTTCAAGACCAGCCTGGCCAATATGGTAAAACCCCGGTCTCTACTAAAAATACAAAAATTAGCTGGGCGTGGTGGCGCACGCCTGTAGTCCCAGCTACTTGGGAGGCTGAGGCAGGAGAATCGCTTGAACCCAGGAGGCAGAGGTTGCAGTGAGCCAAGATTGCGCCACTGCACTCTAGCCTGGGCAACAGAGCAAGACTCTGACTCAAAAAAAAAAAAAAAAAGAATTTCACTGATACTTTTCACAAAATATACAGAAGGAGGCACAAATTCCACCACTATGGCACTCTGCTGCGTTGGCCAAGTGTCTTGATCCTTTGGCCTCAATTTTCTTATCTACGATATTAGGGTAATTGTTATGTGAACTACCCACCTCACAAGTCCTTTGTGGGTTAATTCATAACTGTGCTGTGGGTATTTCTTTTTCTTTCCTTTCTTCCTCCTTTCCTTTCTTTCTTTCTTAAAGATGGGTTCTCATTATGGTGCTTAGACTAGACTCTAGACCCAATTCCTGGCCTCTCACCATGTTGCCCAGACCAGACTCAACTCCTGGACTCAAGGAATCCTCCCACCTCAGCCTTCAATTAGCTGGGATCAGAGGTGTGCACCACCATGCCTGGCACTGTGGATATTTCTAAGTGATTATTCTTCTCAAATGAACTACATAAAAAACAAAAGATTCATGAATTTACTAATGGTTCTTTGTGATGGATGTGCTAATATAGAGACTAAAATCAAGGCTCCAACCTCTAAAACATTTTTTTTTAAATTCCAGACTTGTTTCCCCATCCCACTGTGCAAACTGAACAAAAACTGGGCTAGCACTCCTGTCTGGAACATGTAATAAGGAAATAAATGTGCTGACTCAGAGAACACAGACATATTTAATATAAAATAAGATAGAAAACTGGCTGAACCAAGTCATAACACAGTCTAAATCCACATATAAAAGATTGAGATGATTTTCTGCTTTGCTTTATTCAAGCCCAATGCTTTATCAGCACAGCCAGCCAAAAATTTACAACCCATACACAGACTATGTAAACCTTTAGTTGCACATACAGTAAGACCAGCAGGTACACACTATACACATTTTTAATTAAAAAAATGACTAACCACTGATTTTGTCACCACACTTAACAACGACCTGATATGGCACAGAGTGATGTGTACCAAACATGGAAATACCAACTTGGGCGACGGTTTGAATCTTGTTAACTTCAGTGCAACCACACCCCCCAAATGCATGTAAAGTTTGCACACATGGTTTTTTCAAGGCCAGCCTGTCTTTGTTTCCCTCTCCTCTGCATTTACCCAAGATCTTGGCTCTGAGACAGAAAACTCCCACTCTCAATTGGTTCATTCCGTCCTATGCAATTAAGCAACACCACAATCCAGTAAATGCAATGGCTCAATTATTTATCTTCTGGCCGACTTTACCAGGTATTTGGAAAAGGACAATGTCAAGAGGTTTATTTCTCTCTCTAGAGCTGGCTTGACGGGTTGATGGGGATTTTATTTTGTCTTTTTTTCTCTTTTTTACAAGGCGGGGACGTGGGGGGAGCATAATTTAACCTAGAAAAAGATGCGAGGGAATTTAGAAAGAGTACCGGTCTGTCAATTTCCCTACAGGAAACTTGATTCTTATGCAATAAAGCCTACCCACGACCAGCCAGCCCGTAAGGCTGCAGGCGACAGACACACCTATTCCTGCCTCCAAAAGGGCACAGCTGTCTCCTGAAGGAGCGGGAACAGGGCAAGCGGAGGAAGTGGCTCAGCGGGAGCCGCCGACCGGGCGGGGAGGAGGCGCTTTCCGACCCCCCACTCGCGCCGGTGATCCCCGTCGGCGTGACAGTCGCTCCGGTGGCCGGAACGTCCCCAGGGCCCCAGGGAGCAGGAAATCGGGGGACTGTCCCTCACTCCTGCCGCCGCAACCGAGTGCGCCCTCGCCCCACGGTGCCCCCTCGAGCGCGTTCTGTTTCTCCGAAGAACGAAACTTCCCTCCAGCGCCCCGAGTCCCTTCCGAGGCCCGCTCCTGTCATCCCGAAGAGTCTTCCCTCAGGGCGACCCTCCGCGTCTCTTCATCTCTCCCGGCCCCACTGCAGCGTCCATCACAACATCCCCAAGGTCCCAGAGGCCCCCTGCCGCTGCGGAGCCCCCGGGTCCCCAGGCCTCCCCAACGGCCCCACCCTGCACCCCCTTCACCTGTTTCTCCGGCAGAGGCCGAGAGGCCGGGGCTGCGCGTGTGCCGGGGACGGGCGGCGAGGCTCCCTCAGGCCGAAGGGCCTCTCCGAGCCGAGGGGGAGAGACAGCGCCAAGCCGGGGTGCCTGTCCAGGATCCGGTTGGGGCTTGTTCCCTCGGCTGCGACGTCGGAACCCCCGGCTCCCCCTCCCAGTCTGCGCCGCCGCAGCTCCGGAAACCGCTGAATTACAGCCCCTTCAGCCAATCCTCGCCCAGCCCCAGCCTGGCCGAGGCACGCCGTCATGCATAATTCATGAAAGGCCAGCTCGTTCGGCCACCCAGAGGTCCCAGTGCGTGTGCGGTACAGCCGAAGCCCCGCCCACTGACCAATGAGGAGAGCAGCTAGGAGAAAGGGCGGAGCCAAGAGGAGACTGATACGCCCCTGTGCTGGCTGTTCCGACAGTTCGGTGCTCCTCCCTCCGCCACAGCGAGGGAAGAGCCGAGGACTTGGGCACAGAAGCCCGGGGGGAGGGAGGGAAGATGACCGGAATGTCCTGCTGAAAACTCAGCTGAGTTCCTGGCAGTGCGTGACGTCAAGGCACTTTAAATGCCCCTGATACAGCTCCCTCCTGCCCGCTCTCCCTTTTCCCGGCCCTTGGCACCACGTGGTGGCGAGGTTGAGAGCCTCTTACCACGCGGGAATCAGCTAGTTAGATAGTCCCCAGGTATCTCCAGATCCTCTGGGGACCCAACTCCTGAATTGGGTTCTGGGGACAACAAAAAGAACATGGGTGACTCCGCCTGCTTTGAACTTCAGTTTCTGCGTGAGCAGGGACACACACACCCGGAAACATGACGTGGAAATAGAGTAATTACTAGAGTGCGTGGGGAGAGGGTAGTGGATTTAACCCCGTACTCCGTTCCATCACTTCAAGCATCAAACGCCGACCAGCTAGCCCATTGGCCCGTACAGGCGAATGCAGAAGACGGTGTATACGAAAGCTGATAACGTGTAGGGCTTGACATTTTTATGCGTCTGAATTGAAATACATGAAATGTTCTGCCTTTTTCTTTTCCACCTTGCCTACTTGGTATGCAAGTTTTACTGAATTGAAGCCAGTGGTTGATAGGAAATGTAGACATTTTGCCTTTCATAATAGAGGATGAACTTTGCATAATGGAGTGATTTCTGTGTATGTGCTGATACTATCAGGGTTTTTAATTTTTATTTTTTTGGGTCTTTAAAAATATGTTATTAATATTTGTGTTTGTTTAATACGAACAGGTATAAAGACAAAAATCTAAAAAGGACCCATTATCTCACTGCTCAGCTAACCCCTGACATATTTTTTTTCAATGAACCTAATACATGTTCCTGTTTAGAAAATGCAGACCGTTCAGAAAGGTCAAAAATATTAAATGAAAATCTTTCCCTACCCCCATCATTCCTTCTCCCCAAGGATAGCTGTTCTTATTAATTTCTAGTGAGAAAAATCAATGACTCTTAACCTTTGAAGGCAGTCACAGATCCTTCTGAGTGTTTGAAGGAGACTAGATTCTAGCCCCAGAAACAATACAAGGTTTTACTCACATGGTTCCCCAGATACCTGAAGCCTGTCTAAGTCTACAGATTCAGACCGCTCGTACCACCTCATATCCAATGAGGGACAGAGGCATCTACAGGGCAATTCATAGGGTCACTGGTGGTGAGAATTGAGAACCTCCTATTGCCCTCTGGTAGACACAGCTCAGTATGGAAATTGCTGTATTTACCTGTAGAGTGTGTGTGTATTGATTAGGCTGTTTATCTACACCACAGGACAGATATCCCCCATCTCCGCCTATAGTCTCTTGTAACTACGCTATCCCGTGCGGCCAACTGCCTCCCTGATAACATAGGGTCTAGGATTTGTTTAGTGATTTACTGCTTACAAAGGACTTACACACCTTATACACTCCCTGCCTGGTTTCTTTCTCACAATCATGAATAGCAGATAGGAGAGGCCATATTATCCGCTGATAGAAAACTAAAGACAACATAATATGACATTTTCAAGATCACAGAGAAACTCAGAAATATACCAGGTTCAGAGTCAGGTTTGGGGGCTTTACGTCCCATAGCTTTGTTCCATTCATTCAAACCCTGCCCTGCTTCTGACTTCTCAAGAGCTGGCCTCTGTTTCCCTCATTGGCCTCCCCACCAGTAACACATAAAATCTACCTCTGCGACTATGGGTTTGACCTGCAAAAATTCTCTTCAGCCCAGACACTGGCCTTTCTCCACAACCCCGCCAAATTCCTCTTGGCTAAATGCTGCAATTTCTGTCCCTTGGGCCACTGCCTTAACCACCTGATTATTCTCTCCTTATTCTATCCTATTCTTCCACTGGCTGCCAGGGACATCATCCTAAAAATTAAATAAATAAACATTCAGGCCAAGGCGGGTGGATCACAAGGTCAGTTCAAGACCAGCCTGGCCAACACAGTGAAACCCCGTCTCTACTAAAAATACAAAAATTAGGCTGGGCACTGTGGCTCACGCCTGTAATCCCAGCACTTTAGGAGGCTGAGGCGGGCAGATCACCTGAGGTCAGGAGTTCGAGACCAGCCTGACTAATATGATGAAACCCTGTCTCTACTAAAAATACAAAAATCAGCCAGTCATGGTGGCTTGCACCTGTAATCCCTGCTACTCGGGAGGCTGAGGGAAGAGAATCTCTTGAACCCGGGAGGTGAAGGTTGCAGTGAGCCGAGATCGCGCCATTGCATTCTAGCCTGGACAACAAGAGCGAAACTCCATCTCAAAACAAAAGTAAAAATTAGCTAGCCATGGTGGCACGTGCCTGTAGTCCCAACTACTCAGGAGGCTAAGGCAGGAGAATTGCTTGAACCCAGGAGGTGGAGGTTGCAGTGAGCCCAGATCCCTCCACTGCACTCCAGCCTAGGCGATAGAGCAAGACCCTGGCTCAAAAAAAAAAAAAAAAAAAAATTCAATCATGTCACAGTCGGCTTAAAAATCTCTATGGTTCCCTACTACCGGCAAGATAAAATCCAAGTTAATTTTTTTTTTTTTTTTTTTTTTTGAGACAGAGTTTCCTCTTGTCGCCTAGGCTGGAATGCGATGGTATGATCCTGGGTCACTGCAACCTCCGCCTCCCAGGTTCAAGCAATTCTCCTGCCTCAGCTTCCCAAGTAGCTGGGACTACAGGTGCCCACCACCATGCCCAGCTAATTTTTGCATTTTTAGTAGAGACGGGGTTTTACTGTGTTGGCTAGGCTGGTCTTGAACTCCTGACCTCAAGTGATCCGCCCACCTCAGCCTCCCAAAGTGCTGGGAGCCACCGTGTCCGGCCAATCCAAGTTAAATTTTAAAAATGCTGACCAGGCACAGTGGCTCATGCCTGTAATCCTAAAGCTTTGGGAGACCGAGGCAGGAAGATCATTTGAGGCCAGGAGTTCGAGATCAGCCTGGGCAACATGGCAAAACACCAACTTTACAAAAAATTAGCCGGGCGTGGTGGTGGCATGCCTGTAGTCCCAGCTATTCTGAGGACTGAGGCAGGAGGATCACTTGAACTTAGAAAGAAGTTCGAAGTTACAGTGAGCTATGACTGTTCTACTGTACTGTAGTCTGAGCAACAGAACAAGACCAACCTTGTCTCAAAAACAAACAATAAACAAAAAGCTGACCATTTAATTCAGTGCCATGGCTGGGCGCGGTGGCTCATGCCTGTAATCCCAGCATTTTGGGAGGCCGAGGCGGGCGAATCCTGAGGTCAGGAGTTCGAGACCAGCCTGGCCAACATGATGAAACCCCGTCTCTACTAAAAATACAAAAAAATTAGCTGGGCATAGTGGCGGGTGCCTGTAATCCCAGCTACTTGGGAGGCTGAGGCAGGAGAATCGTTTGAACCCGGGAGGCAGAGGTTGCAGTGAGCCGAGATCATGCCACTGCACTCCAGCCCAGGCAACAAAGTGAGACTCTGTCTCAAAAAAAAAAAGAAAAAAGAAAAAAACACCATAATTCAGTGCCATGCATGTGGTAGGAGCTCAATTGATGTTCCTTCTTTCTCCCTCTTTATTTGAATCATAAAATCCTACAGGCCCAGCACAGTGGCTCACGCCTGTAATCTCAGCACTTTGAGAGGCCGAAGCGGGTGGATCACCTGAGGTCAGGAGTTCAAGACCAGCCTGACCAACATGGTGAAAGTCTGTCTCTACTAAAAATACAAAAATTAGCCAAGCGTGTTGGCGGGCACCTGTAATCCCAGGTACTCGGTAGGGTGAGGCAGAAGAATCGCTTGAACCCAGGAGACAAAGGTTGCAGTGAGCTAAGATTGCACCATTGCAATCCAGCCTGGGTAATACAGTGAGACTCTGTCTCAAAAAAAAGATAAATTCCACAAAGGCTGACCTGAATCCCCCCTTTTCTAACCTAGTCCCACAAACCCTACTAAATGTGTTACCTTCCTCCAAACATGTCTACACCTTCTGCAACTTCATGCCTCTGTGGATAGTCTTCCTTCTACCTGGAATCTCTTTCCTCAGTCCCTACCTGAGAACTCTTACTCATTCTTCAAAGCCCTGTTGCAACATCACCTCCTCTAGGCTTCCTTCTATTCTTACTGGCAAAGTTAATCTCCTACCAGACTCCTTCGGCAGGTTGTTTCCCCATCTAGAATACATTCTCTACCTTGAATTCTAATAAATCCACATATTGGCCTACTTCCTGAAAAAAAACAATAATTAACATTGATTAAGTAATTACTACTATATTCCAGGAACTGTGCTAAGCATTTTACATAGATTATCTCATTTGATCCTCACCAGAACCCAGTGAGGGTAATATTATAATTCTTATTTTACAATTGAGGAAACGAAGACTGAGAAAGTGAAAGACTGGCTCAAGACTGGTCTCACAGCTAGAAACTAGGTGGAAACTCAGAATGAAAATCAGGTCTGGCTGACTCTCTGGCCACGTGCTAACAAACATCTTCCCCTAAACTGTGGGTTCCTGGAAACTTGAACCCCTTAAGCCCTGTCTTCATAATCTCAGCATCTATCATCTAGCCTAGAGCTCACCTAAGACTGAATTAATTAAATATTAATAAATAAGTCTTGAGGCCTGACGTGGTGGCTCATCCTGTAGTCCTAGCACTTTGGGAGGCTGAGGCAGGCGGATCACTTGAGGTCAGGAGTTTGAAACCAGCCTGGCCAACGTGGTGAAACCTTGTCTCTACTAAAAATACAAAAATTAGCTGGGCATGGTGGCGGGTGCCTGTAATCCCAGCTACTTGGGAGTCTGAGGGAGGAGAATCGCTTGCACCTGGGAGGTGGAGGTTGCAGTGAGCCGAGGTAGCACCACTGCACTCCAGCCTGGGCGACAGAGCGAGACTCTGTCTCCAAAAAAAGTCTTGAATAATGACATCAGCATTAACAAACACAGAGTGTTGAATATGTACTAGCCACTGTTCTAAGAATGTAATTCATGTAACATATCTGTGAACTCATTTAATCCTTACAATAACCCCATGAGGCAAATACTGTGACTTTATAGATGCAGAAAATGAGACTTACCTAAGGCTAAGTCACTTCCCCAAGAACATACAGCTGGTAAATGGCAGAGCCAGGATTCAAATTCAAGCACAGTTTGTCTAAATTGAGAGCTTTATATCTGTTTTTCCTTAATTATAACTATATTTGTGTCCAAAATTCTCGTTAACCCTGTGAGAACTGCTTCACCTCTTCCCCGAAGGAATTAGCAGTAAAACCCAAAGTCAAGAGGAAAGCATAGCAAGAAAGAGAACCTTGGGGATGGTAAGTGGGTGGCAAGTCACTGTGGTGACCAAAGGGAGTAAGGGGCAACCTGTGAGGGTGATGAGATCTTCATGGGGTTCAGCAACAGAAAGGCTCACCCAGGGCTGCCCAAAACTCCCACTAATATCACAGTGAAGAGCAGGTCTGCGCAACACAAACTCTTTGGGCCTTCTCTCTGCCAAAACACCTCAGGCATCGTTATGCAGATATGTCTCTTTCCTTCAGTCTGAACAGTCCTCCCCACTCAATATTTTCTTTTTTTTTTTCCTTTTTTGTTTGTTTGTTTTGAGACGGAGTCTCGCTCTGTCGCCCAGGCTGGAGTGCAGTGGCGCAATCTGGGCTCACTGCAAGCTCCGCCTCCCAGGTTCACGCCATTCTCCTGCTTCAGCCTCCCGAGCAGCTGGGACTACAGGCTCCCACCACCACGCCCAGCTAACTTTTTGTATTTTTTTTAGTAGAGATGGGGTTTCACCGTGTTAGCCAGGATGGTCTCAATCTCCTGACTTTGTGATTCACCCACCTTGGCCTCCCAAAGTGCTGGCATTACAGGCGTGAGCCACCGCTCCCGGCCTTTTTTGTTTTTTGAAACCAAGTGTCGCCCTGTCGCCCAGTCTGGAGTGCAATGGCACGATCTTGGCTCACTGCAACCTCCGCCTCCTGCAAACTCCTGACCTTGTGATCCACCCACCTTGGCCTCCCAAAATTCTGGGATTACAGGCGTGAGCCACCGCGCCTGGCCCCCAGCTCAATATTTTCAAGGCTATGATGTTTTTTCCTGTATCGCTTAACACATCATTCATACCATGTCCTTCTTTTCTTCCAGTCAATTCTCATGGGGCTTTGGATACAGTTCTTCTTTATCTCATCTCCTTCAAGGCCCTGCCTACCCCACCTACATCTCTGCTGCCCACTAAATTCCAGCCAGTCCACTTCCCAGCTCAGGACCTTTGCATATGCTGTTCCTTTTCCTTCCCCGGCTTTGGCGTGGCTGTTTCCTTGTTACTCCAACAGACCTTGTCTAACCACTCCTATCTAAAGTTATTCACAGCCTGTTAATCCCTATTTCTATATCCTGTTTCCTGTGGAATTCATCACAGTTCTTTTCTATTTATTTAATTTTTTTTTTTTTTGAGACAGAGTCTCGCTCTGTAACCCAGGCTAGAGTGCAGTGGCAAGATGCTGGCTCACTGCAATCTCCATCTCCCGGGTTCAAGTGATTCTTCTGCATCAGCCTCCCGAGTAGCTGGGATTACAGGTGCCCACCACCATGTCCAACTAATTTTTGTGTTTTTAGTAGAGACGGGGTTTCACCATGTTGGCCAGGCTGGTCTCAAACTCCTGACCTCAGGTGATCTGCCTGTCTTGGCCTCCCAAAGTGCTGAGATTATAGGCATGAGCCATCGCACCCAGCCTTATTTTATTTTATTTTTTGAGATGGAGTCTCGCTCTATTGCCCAGGCTGGAGTGCAGTGGCATGATCTCGAGTACAGTGGCACAATCTCAGCTCACTGCAATCTCTGCCTCCCAGGTTCAAGCAATTCTCCTGCCTCAGCCTCCCAAGTAGCTAGGATTACAGGCGGACACCACCATGCCTGTCTAATTTTGTATTTTTAGTAGAGATGGGATTTCACCATGTTGGTCAGGCTGGTCTCCAACTCCCGATCTCAGATGATCTGCCCACCTCGGCCTCCCAAAGTGCTGAGATTACAGGCGTGAGCCACCGCGCCCGGCCTTATTTTGTTATTATTTTTTTTGAGACAGGGTCTCACTCTGTCACCCAGGCTGGAATGCAGTGGCATGATCTCAGCTCACTGCAACCTCTTCCTAACAGGCTTAAGAGATCCTTCCACCTAACCACCTGAATAGCTGGGACTACAGGTGCGCACCATCACCCCTGGCTAATTTTTCTATTTTTAGTAGAGACAGGGTTTGGCACCTCTCTCTGTCACCCAGGCAAGAGTGCAGTGGTGTGGTCATAGCTCACTGCAGCTTTGAACCCCTGGGCTCAAGGCATCCGCCAGCCTCACCCTCCCTAGTAGCTGGGATTACAGGTGTGTGCCACCATATCCAGCTCTGTTTATAGGGTTTCTCATCTATCTTTCTCTTTATACTGTTAGTTCCAGGAAGAGGTGTCTTCTCTGTTCCAGGCTCCCTTGACTCCCCAGTCAACATGCTGACATAATAGATGCTCAATAAATAATGAATGCATGGAAGTGCTCTTGATCCCGCCTCTCCCCTCTTTGAGTGTTCTCAATTCTCTTCTCCTTCCTGACCTTCTCCACTTGTTCTCTTCTTTCTGACTTGAAGATCCTTCCTCTCTCCTATACTGACCTTGCTATTTCCTCAAGTTACCCCCATCACTTCACATTCATTGCCCCATGTCCTCATCCCCACTTGCTCCATCAAGGTGGTTTCTGCCCTCTCTTGTTCATAGGACAGAGCTCTTGAAGGGCTACCAGGGACCTCCTCATCAACGTTGATATCTTTTTTTTTTTTTTTTTTGAGATGGAGTCTCGCTCTCTCGCCCAGGCTGGAGTGCAGTGGGGTGATCTCTGCTCACTGCAAGCTCCGCCTCCCAGGTTCACGCCATTCTCCTGTCTCAGCCTCCCGAGTAGCTGGTACTACAGGCACCTGCCACCACGCCCGGCTAGGTTTTTGTTTGTTTGTTTGTTTTGTATTTTTAGTAGAGACGGGATTTCACCGTATTAGCCAGGAGGGTCTCGATCTCCTGACCTCGTGATCTGCCCGCCTCGGCCTCCCAAACGTCAATATCTTATTAGTCATTTTACTTAACTTTGCGTTGAATCTAGAGCTGTTATCCTCCTCTTCCTTCCTACACATTCTCTCCTCCCTTGACCATCACAGCAGTTGATAGAAGCAATTGCATTAAATTGAGAGCTGAGGGGAGCTGAGGCGAGACATCCTGGCTCTGACACAGAAGAAGCTGTGCAACCTTGGGCTAGCTCCTTAACCTCTTTGAACCTCAGCATCCTCATCTGCAAATAGAGAACATAATTCTAACTTTAGTGAATTTGCATTAAAGTGTTTTTTGTTGGAAGATACTCTCCAGCTGACCATGCAGCATAGCAGATAAGAGTCAGGTCCTAAGCCAGGTGCAGTGGCTCACACCTGTAATCCCAGCACTTTAGGAGGCTGAGGCGGGCGAATCACCTGAGGTCGGGAGTTTGAGACCAGCAAGACCAACATGGAGAAACCCTGTCTCTACTAAAAACACGAAATTAGCTGGGTGTGGTGGCGCATGCCTGTAATCCCAGCACTTTGGGAGGCCAAGACAGGCTGATCAACCTGAAGTCAGGAGTTCAAGATCAGCCTGGCCAACATGGTGAAACCCTGTCTCTATTATAAATATACAAAATTAGCCGGGCATGGTGGTGTGTACCTGTAATCCCAGCTACTTGGGAGGCTGAGGCAGGAGAATCGCTTGAACCCAGGAGGCAGAGGTTGCAGTGAGCTGAGATCATGCCATTGGACTCCAGCCTAGGCAACAAGAGCGAAACTCCATCACAAAGAAGAAAAACAAAAAACAAGAGCCCTTTTAGTTCTAGCACACCAAAATTCTTTTTTTTTTCTTTTTCTTTGTCTTTTTTTTTTTTTTTTTTTTTTTAGCTAGAGTTTCGCTCTTTTTGCCCAGGCTGGAGTGCAATGGTGCAATCTTGGCTCACTACAACCTCCACCTCCTGGGGTTCAAGGGTTTCTCCTGCCTCAGCCTCCCGAGTAGCCGGGATTACAGGCATGTGCCACCACGCCCGGCTAATTTTGTATTTTTAGTAGAGATGGGGTTTCTCCATGTTGGTCAGGCTGGTCTTGAACTCCCAACCTCAGGTGATCCGCCTGCCTTGGCCTCCCAAAGTGCTGGGATTACAGGCTTGAACTACCGCACCCAGCCTCACACCATAATTCTATAATTATTAATCAAGCCTTCAGCCCTATGCCTTTCTGCTTTCACGCTGTTCGTTTTGCCTGAAGAACCTCCCTGCCCCGTATCACTGCTTGCATTTCATTCACACGTATTGTGTACCTGCCTAGCTCACAGGTCCTCTTTTCCTGGGAGTTTCCCCTCCTCCCTGCAATCAGACACTGAAATGGGTCCCTTCAGCCACATCTGTATTATATGATCCTGTCCTCCTGGCCTTTGATTATTTATTTTTTGTTTATTTATTTATTTATTTTGAGACGGAGTCTCATTCTGCCAGGCTGGAGTACAGTGGCGCCATCTCAGCTCACTGCAACCTCTGCCTCCCGAGTAGCTTGGATTACAGGCGCTCACCACCACGCCCGGCTAATTTTTGTATTTTTAGTAGAGACGGGGGTTTCACCATCTTGGCCAGGCTGATCTTGAACTCCTGACCTCGTGATCCACCTGACTTGGCCTCCCAAAGTGCTGGGATTACAGGCCTGAGCCACTGTGCCTGGCGGGCGTTATTAAACTCAGGGCAAACACTAATGTGAACTAGCTTACTCAGAGTCTCTCTGTCAGGAATTTGGAATGTTGAAATAGAAAGGCACAGAGCCTGGGAGCCCTTAGAGCTGAGTTCCATTAATATCAGCACTCAGGGAGCACTCCCTCTGCAGAAGTCCCTGGAAATCCCCTGATTCCTACTCTTTCACTAAGTAACATAAACCACTATAATTGTGTTTGAGACACTTTTAGGTTCTGGTGACACAAATATCAAGTAAAATGCTGCCTCTGGCCTCCAACAGTTATCTATTGAAATCCTGCCCATGTTTAGAATCACAGCTGAAAAGCTCCCTTCTTCCTTTAAGTTTTCTCATATTCCCCAAGCAGGATTAACCCTTCTCCAGGGTATTGTCATTGCACTTTGCTTTACTTCTCTTACCTTAAGTCATGTCTTTGAGCTTGTATTTACTTATGATGTATTTGTTTGTTTGATGCCTTGAAGATCTTTCTGGATATTATTGTGTTCGTGCAAAGGTAATTGTCGTTTTTGTCAAAGTAATGGCAAAACCCACAATTACTTTTGCAACAACCTAATAATATTTATTTATTTAAACATTTTTGTAGAGATGGGGTCTTGCTGTGTTGCCCACAGTCATCTCAAACTCGTGTACTCAAACAATCCTCCCTCCTCAGCCTCCCACAGTGCTGGGATTACAGGTGTGAGCCACCGTGCCAGGCCACTTTGAGCTATTTTGAACAGCTGCCTCTCCCACTAATTGCAAACCCTTTAAAATTAAGGACTAGATCTGGCTGTCTTTTTAAGTCTCTCAGCTCCTGGCACAGAATCACAAACAGATCATTTGGAAAGACCATCTGTTGTTTTGTCTGCCCATCTTTCTCTCTCTTTTTTTCCCCCTCCTTAAAAAATAAATGAATAAATAGGCCAGGCTCTGTGGCTCATGCCTGTAATTCTAGCACTTTGGGAGGCCCAGGTGGGTGGATCATTTGAGGTCAGGGGTTCAAGACCAGTCTTGCCAACATGGAGAAACCGCATTTCTACTAAAAATACAAAAATTATCTGGAAATGGTGGTGGGCACCTGTAATCCCAGCTACTTGGGAGGCTGAGGCAGGAGAATTGCTTGAACCCGGGAGACAGAGGTTGCAGTGAGCCAAGATTGCAATGCTGCACCAGCCTGGGTGAGAGTAAGGCTCTGTCTAAAATAAAATAATAAAAAAATAGAGACAGGGTATTGCTTTGTCACCCAGACTGGAGTGCAATGGTTTGGGTCATAGCTCACTGCAGCCTGGAACTTCTGGGCTCAAGCAATCCTCCTACCTCAGCCTCCTGAATAGCTGGGACTACAGGCACACAACATCCTGCCTGGCTAATTTTTGTATTTTTTGTGGAAAAAGGATCTTATTATATTGCCCAAGCTGATCTCGAAGTCATGGGCTCAAGCTATCCTCTTGCCACAAACTCCAAAAGTGCTGGGATTACAGGCAGGCGCCACTGCACCCAGCCTCCCTTTTCTATTGGTAACTATATCCCTGTTTTCCTTTGAGAAAACAGCCCTCCTTCACTTGTGATTGTTAAGTTTAGGTGTCAATTTGACTAGATTAAGGAATACTTATGAGGTGTTTCCAGAAGAGATTAGCATGTGAATGTGAAGGGAGGAAGTGGGGAAGATCTGCCCTCAATGTGGGCAGGCACCACCCAATCAGCTCCCCCTAACCCACCATAGAACAAAAAACAGAGAAATAGCTGCGTTGGTCTCTCTCCTGGAGCTGAGATACTCTCCTCTTCTCCTGCCATGGACATCAGAACTCCAGCCTCTCTGGCCTTTGGACTCCAGCACTTACTTATACCAGTGGCCTCCTGGGTTCTCAGGCCTTTGGCCTCGGGGTGAGAGTTACACCGTCAGCTTCCCTGATTCTGAGGCTTTCAGAGTTGGACTGAGCCAAGCTATGGCATCCCAGGGTCTCCAGGTTGCAGATGGCTCGCCGTGGGACTTCTTAGCCTACATAATCAAATAAGCCAATTCCCCCAATAAATTCCCTCTCCTCTATCTACCTATCCATCCATCCTATTGGTTCTGTCTCTCTGAAGAGCCCTGATTAATACTACTCTTAATTCCACATTTCAGGTGGGTTCTACAAGTGATCACATGACCTGTGTTTGGTCAGAGCCATAGTGATTTGGATATGTGACCTATCAGGGTATGACAGCTGAGATTCTGGCTGGACAAATCTGGAAAGAACCCCTCTTCACTGGGGTTGCTCACCTGTTAGTCCATAAGCCTGCTGCTATTTATGGTCACTTTTGCCACCACATGGGAAGAATCTGATTATTATTATTATTATTATTATTTTGAGACGGAGTCTCGCTTTGTCACCCAAGCTGGAGTGCAATGGCATGATCTCGGCTCACTGCAACCTCCCCCTCCTGGGTTCAAGCTGTTCTCTCACCTCAGCCTCCTGAGTAGTCGGGATTACAGGTACCTGCCAAAATGCTGGCTAATTGTTTTATTTTTAGTACAGACGGGGTTTCACTGTGTTGGCCAAGCTGGTCTTGAACTCCTGACCTCAGGTGATTCACCTGCCTTGGCCTCCCAAAGTGCTGGGATTACAGGCACGAGCCACCTTGCCCGGCCCTCTTCCTCATCTTATAAAGTCACTGGTCCCATCATGGGAGCCCCACCCTGGTGACCTTATCTAATGCTAATTACCTTGAAAAGGCCCCACTTCTGATTCTCCTCAACATATGAATGTGGGGTTTCCAACAAATGAAATTTGCGCTGGGTGTGGTGGCTCACACCTATAATCCCAGCACTTTGGGAGGCCAAGGCAGGCAGATCACTTGAGGTCAGGAGTTCAAGACCAGCCTGCCCAACATGATGAAACCCCATCTCTACTAAAAATACAAAAGTTAGCTGGGCGCAGTGGCACATGCCTATAATCCTAGCTAATTGGGAGGCTGAGGCAGGAGAATCACTTGAACCCAGGAGGTGGAGGTTGCAGAGCAGAGATTGCGCCACTGCACTCTAGCCCAGGTGACAGAACAAGACTCCATCAAGAAAGAAAGAGAGAGAGAGAGGGAGAGAGACAGAGGGAGGGAGGGAGAGAGAGAGGGGGAGGGAGAGGGAGAGGGGGAGAGAGAGAGAGAAAAGAAAGAAAGGAAAGAAAGAAAGAAAGAAAGAAAGAAAGAAAGAAAGAAAAAGAAAGAAAGAAAGAAAGAAAGAAATATGGGTAATACATTTAAACCATAGCAGTGCCCGTCACAGGGTTGTGGGGAGATTGAAATATGCTGTGTGGATACAACTGGGATATGTCATGTACTTTCTTTACCGATATTCAGCCCTCTGAGGGCCTCTGATATTCCCCTCCCCTAGGCTGCCTCCTCTAGGCCTATGATTCCAAAGGGTATGTGTGTGGGAAGCTCAGGCTGAGTACAGTAACTGGGTGTGTCTGGAGGGCTAATGCCCTGACTGCAGGGAAGTGGATCCAGGGGGCACAGGGTTACAGACCCTGTATAGACACAGGGTTATAACCATGAAACAGACTATACAACCCGGTACAGACACAGGGTTATAACCATGAAACAGATTGAGGATCCAGGTGCCTTTGAATCCCAGCTCCACTGCTTCCCAGCTATGGCACCTTAGACAAGTCACTGTTTCCTCATATCTAGACTGGGAATGATAATGATAGGCTCTGCCTAGAGGGGCTGTTATGAGATTAAATAAGCAATTCCATACCAAAGTGCTTAGAACAGTTCCTGGTAGAGAATAAGGGCTCAATAAATTGGCAATTATTGTTATCTCCCTGGCCTTCCCCCACCCCAGGCACGTGAGACAAGTTTATACCAACAGTTCTCCCTCCCTCTCTTTCTCTCTCCTTCCCACCTGCCCTCTGTAACCCTATGTAACTGCCTTCAGAGAATACAATCAAACACAGATCCTTTTAGAAAAGCAGGTTTATTGGTCGGGCTGCTCACCAGGACACAGCAACGTGAGAGGTTCCCCAAGCCCACAGAAAACTGCATCTGCCCACAGCTCAGGCCCCTTCAGGCCATCAGCACCAAGGGACCTTGTCCCACAATCCCCAACCTCCCTCGGCAGAGGGGTCTTCAGCCATTCAGAGGAGAGAAGAGAACCGAGAAAGGGAAAAGGAAGAAAAAAAAAAAAAAAGCAAAGCTTTGTATTGTATAAAAGGTTTGTGTCCCCAGGCTCCCTCCCCCAATCCCTTAAAACAATGAACTGCAGTTCTAAAAAGCAGGGCAGAGAAGGTAAGGAGCAGGTGGGGGGAAGGAGGAAGCTCTCGGGGCCTCCCTTCAGGCTGTGACTGGGGAGAGGGGCTGTTCTTGCTTCTGACAAACCCCCTTTAATGGGGAGGAACAAGGGGACTCGTGTCTTGAGAACCTGGTCGTGTCTTGAGAACCCAGTCCAAACAGAATCAGGCCTCTGGACTGGGAGCAACACTCCCTTCACCCGCAAAGATTCAGGAAAAGCACCCCAAGGACAAGGAAACCAATGAGGTCTGGGCTAGCTCTGCAGCTTTAGGATACTAGCTCTAGGGAAGGATTTTTTCCTTTTTAAACAGCGTATCACTCTGTTGCCTAGGATGGAGCACAGAGGCACCCTCATAGCTCACTGCAGCCTCAAACTCCTGGGCTCTGGCGATCCTCCCGCCTCAGCCTCCCAAGTAGCTGAGACCACAGGCACGTGCCACCATGCTCCTAGGGAAGGAGCTTGAGAAGAAACTGCCAGGAGTGAACCAGGGCTGGCTGCTCTGTGATGTTCTCTCCCCACCTCCCCTCCAGCTCTCAACTTGGTGGCAGGGCCGGCACCCTGCTCTCCCTCCTAACTCCCAGCCTGCTGCTGCCCCCTTCTGGGACCCTAATTTTCTGGACTTTGAGAAATGGGCTGCCCCTGGGGGTGCCTCCAAGAGCCCATTTGAGGGATCGGGTGGGGCTGACCTCTCTGTCTTCTTTGGATCATCGCCTTCTCACACTGTCCTCCCTCTTGATTCTGAAAAATGGTCCTGCTGCCCATGGAGAACCACAGTAAGATAGATTTCTCATGCAGCTAGTGAGGGGACTTCTCTCTTCACCCATTTCCACCTTCTCCTATTTTCCTTTTTTTTCCTTCTGTTGAGATGGAGTCTCACTCTGTCACCCAGGCTGGAGTGCAGTGTCGCGACCTTGGCTCACTGCAACCTCCACCTCCCAGGTTCAAGCAATTCTCCCCACCTCAGCCTCCAAAGTAGCTGGGATTACAGGCATGCGCAACCATGCCCAGCTAATTTTTGTAATTTTAGTAGAGATGGGTTTTCGCTTAGTAGAGATGGGGTGTTTGCCAGGCTGGTCCCGAACTCCTGACTTCAGGTGATCCGCCCACCTCGGCCTCCCAAAGTGCTGGGGTTACAGGCATAAGCCACCAAGCCCGGCCGACCTTCTTCTATTTTTCCATTCTCCTTTCCAAAGCCATGGCCATGCGCTCCTGTGTACAGGTGCATAAACACATCAGTGTGCCATCCCTCACATGCATGTCGTTCCCCACCCCTCCTTCCCAGGGCTTCTCTTGGCTCCAGCGTTCCTCTGGGACCCTCTGCAGATACAGCCTGTGCTGGACCCCCAGCCAGGGTGAGGGCTCATTCTGCTCTGTCTTCCCCACTGCCTCAGTTTCCCCCAAAAGCTGCTTTCACGTCCTTCTAGTAGGGGGCCTCCCATGGGGGCAGGGATCCCCTTTAGGATTCAATCTTTCCTCTTTGGGCAGTTTTGGCTTTGAGTCCCCCAGGGATCAGGGTGAGAATGAAGAAGAGCTCAGTGAGCGGAATGACAGCAGCTGGGTGGGTGGTGTGGGGAGAGGCTGAGGGGAAGGCAGCCCCCCCAGGGGGGCCTAACCGTGGAATCACTGCAATTTCCTCTGAGATCCCGACTTGGACAACCAGGACAGGGATTGACCATTCCCTTCCCATTCCACTCGGACTGTGTCCAAGCGGGGGTTGTCCACTGCGGGGGCTGCCTCCCCATCGGGTCCTAACAGCTCTAAGACTGGGAGTGGAGTTCCTGGAGGTGTGGGGAGGGGGGCGTGTTTTCAATTTAGAAAAATCTCAGCCAGCTCGAGCCGAGAGAGAATGCGAAAGAGGAAGTTCGGAAGGAGCGAGGAATGGGGTGGGTGGCAGCGGGGGCGGCTCAGTCGCTGTCGCTCTTGTCCACCAGCACGGCGTCCGACTCCTCGGTGATCTCCAGCAGCGCGTGCACGTCGGGGCTGCTCCCGCGCCGCAGGTCGCCGGCCTCCCCGCGCTCCGCGCCGCCCTCGTCGTCGTCGGCGCCCACCTCCACCATCTCGGTGGCCTTGAGCACTTCCACCTGGCCCTCGCGGATCTTCTTGACGTGGAAGGTGAAGGGTGGCACCTTGTAGACCGCGGTCTTGGAGCGCGCGTACACCACGTGGTCGGGCGTGAAGGATTTGCGCAACTTGTCCCGCGACGTCTTCAGTTTCTCGCGCCGCTCGGCGGGCACCAGGCGCGTGCCCAGCTTGTTCATGCGCTTCTCCAGGGTGTGCCGCGTCTTCTCCAGGTTTTCCTTGGTCTTGAGGCGCGTCTTCTCCAGGTTCTCGCGGGTACGCACCTTGGTCTTCTCCATCTTCTCCTTGGAGAAGGCCTTCTTGAAGTCGTCCACGCGCCGCAGGCCGCTGCGCTTGATACGCTCTGCGCGGGACTCCTCAATAACCTCCTCAACCTCCACCGCCTCGTCCGACGAAAGCTCCAGCGCCGCTGCGTCCTCCTCGGGCCGCTCGCCCTCGCCCAGCTCCTCGCCCTCCTTCTCTGGCAGCGCCTCCGACTCTTTCAGCGATTTGCTGATGCTCAGTTTGGCCGGCAGCTTCACTTCATCCTAAGGGAAGAGGAGAAGGGACATGAGAGGCGTCGGAGGAGGCGGATGTGGGCGAGCCTGAGTCAGGGTGGTGACGATCCTGGAGAGAGGGGAGCATGGGACGCTCGTGGTCCCCAGGAAACTGGCGGGCGCTCAATAAATGTGTGTAGGCTCACGCCTGTAATATTAGCGCTGTGGGAGACCGAGGCAGGAGGATGGCTTGAGTCCAGGAGTTCGAGACCAGCCTGGGCAACATATCACCCATCTCCGGCCCCCCAACCCCGCGTCGCCATTCTTTCTCTCTCTCTCTCCTTGTTTTTTTTTTTTTTTTTTTTTTTAAACGGAGTCTCGATCTGTTGCCGAGGCTGGAGTGCAGTGGGCGCGATCTTGGCTCACCGCAACCTCCGCCACCCGGGTTCAAGCAATTCTCCTGCCTCAGCCTCCCGAATAGCTGGGATTACAGGCGCCCGCCACCACGCCGGCTAAATTTTGTATCTTTAATAGAGACGGTGTTTCTCCATATTGGTCAGGCTGGTCTCGAACTCCCGACCTCAGGTGATCCGCCCGCCTCGGCCTCCCAAAGTTCTGGGATTACAGGCGTGAGCCACTGCGCCCGGCCTCGCGCCGCCATTCTCTAAAAAACATGTGTGTTGAACGAATGGTGACTAAACAGACCGCGGGAGCAGGGGACCAAACTTCGGGTCGGAGATGGGGTTGCGTAATAATTGCACTTGGGCTAAAATCTCTGTGGTCGTCCAACCCTGTCCTGATCCCTTTCCACCCGTAGATGATATTAAACCACTACGGCCCTCGGGAGACACAGCTCCACTTTGGAAATGGGCGGAGCGCCCTCTGGTGCCGCAAATCGCACACTGCCCGAGCCAGGCCGAAAAGCAAGTGGTGGGAGTGTCTAAGTTGAAAGCGGGTAGGGGTTTGAGCCCACAGCTGCACCTACCCACCCAAGCAGGTAAAGTAAAGGAAGTGCATTTCCTAGACTCAAGCTATTTCTTTTTTTTTTTTTTTTTGAGATGGAGTCTCGCTTTGTCGCCCAGGCTGCAGTGCAGTGACACGATCTCTGCTGACTGCAACCTCTGCCTCCCAGGTTCAAGCAATTCTCCTGCCTCAGCCTCCTGAGTAGCTGGGACTGCAGGCATGCGCCACCACACCTGGCTAATTTTTTTGTATTTTTAGTAGACTCGGGGTTTCACCATGTTGGTCAGATTGGTCTCGAACCCCTGACCTCAAATGATCCACCCGCCTTGGCCTCCCAAAGTGCTGGGATTACAGGCATAAGCCACTGCTCCTGGCCTCAAGCTATTTCAGAACCAGCCTTAGAGATGGAGAACTGTGGTCCACCCTCCCCCACCTCCACCTTCTTTGACTCCTTCATACTGTTTGGCTCCACCAGTGGTCATTCTCCCCCTCCCCCACATTTAGAAATTGATATTGGAAAGAGGAAGAAGCTGGCTGGGAGCCACGGACATGTTTTCTCCCCAGTCTGGACATTTCTTCTGGTTGTGACTTCCCTACTTTGGGATAGAAGAGAGATTACTTTTCAATTCTTGCTTTCCCTACCCCCTGCCCCCAGCACAAAGCCTGAGCTCAGGGGTCTAGGAGTAGGATGGGTGGTCTCAGATTCCCCATGACCCTGGAGCTCAGAACCAGTTCTTTGCTTTTCTGTCTTCTCCTTGGAGGACTTAGCACCAGAACTGCTTTCCATTCCGGGAAGATTTTCCAAGATCTTGACTCTGGCCAACATTTCAGAATCTCTGGATCACTCCCTCCCCCACCTCCACCCTCATCAGAGAGCAGGGGAGGCTGAGCACAGAAAGGGAAAGGGCAGACCAAGATCATCAATAGGATCTCTTTGGCCCAGACTCCCTTTAGTGACTTCAAATGAAGGAACGAGAGATAGTCGCTTTTCTAAAGGGTTTTCTGAAGACCATTTCCCAGAATTATAAGAAAAATCCTGTCCCCTAAGAAATTAAGGCAACATAAACTGAGTCCTCTCACTGACACCACACACACACACCCCTATACATAGGCTGCTCGGTATCTCTGCACCACCTGCTACAGAAATTCCTTCCCCAGCCCCCAACCTCTTTCCTCTTCCCTCCCATCAACATCCCCCCAGAGTTTCCTGGTTTACACTGAAAACTAGGAACACCCTCTCCCAACTTCCTTCCCTTCTTGTCAATAGCATTAGCAGGGACAAAGAGGGAATGCTGGCTCCACCTCTTCTCTCATCTGGGCATCAGCTCTGCTGGGCACCAAGCCACCTCCAGCTCTCTGTTACCCAACTACACCTCCCAGCAGGCAAGGTGACCTGGGCACAGGGCATGCTGGGACTTGTAGTCTCTACCTGCCATAGACGGCTTAGTGCAGATCATGGGCAATCCTAGGGCATTTTGTTTATCCCTCTGCCTCTTATCATTCACTGAGGCATTGAAGGGTGTTTTCCTTGTTCTGAGTGTAGGAGAGTCTCAACTTCTCTTTGCATTCCCTCTGATTTCCAGTCATTCACTTTGGGGCTCCTACAATCACCCTTACCCTGCCTGCTACTGGAGTGCATATCATTTAAGACTTATACATCATTGTAGGATCTAAACCCTCTTCATCCATCTCCACCCAGAATTTACCTGCAGCCCCAGTATATATATATATTAAAAAAAATTCAGCTCTGATCTTTCCTTCATAACCTCCCAGACTTAAAAACCCACCCACGCCCCACCAAAGGGTGGAGAGAGCCCCTCCTTTCACTAAACTCAGACAATGTGAATAGGCTAGGGAGGGATTAAGGGTGACAGGCAGGGAATAGTCAGGAAACAGCCCCAGCTGCTGGAAAACAAATCCACTTTGTCTCTCTGCCCTACCCCCAGCATCCCCCGCTTCTCCCCTACCCCTGCTGCCTGCTCCACCCCACCCCTAAAGGCTGAGCTGGCTGGTTTTCCTGGCCTGTGGCTTCCTAGATAAAGGTCTTTGCCAGCTGAACTTGGAAGTGAATGGGACTGGGGAGAGAGCTGCAGACTTCTTATAGCCAATGCCATCTTCCTAGTGCCTCATGAAAGGTCTCAAACTACAACATAAGGAAGCAATCCTAGTGAGAGGAGGTTTTTGTTTTTTAGTTTTTTTGTTTTTTTTGAGATGGAGTTTTGCTCTTGCTCCCCAGGCTGGAGTGCAATGACACGATCTCGGCTCACCGCAACATCCGCCTCCTAGGTTCAAGCAATTCTCCTGCCTGGGCCTCCCAAATAGCTGAGATTACAGGCATGTGCCACCACACCTGGCTAATTTTGTATTTTTAGTAGAGACGGGGTTTCTCCATGTTGATCAGGCTGGTCTTGAACTCCCAACCTCATGTGATTCGCCCTCCTCAGCCTCCCAAAGTGCTGGGATTACAAGCCTAAGCCACCGTGCCCGGCCTTTTTTTTTTTTTTTTTTGAGACATGGTCTCACTCTGTCACCTAGGTTGGAGTGCAGTGGCGCGATCTCGGCTCACTGCAACCTCTGCCTCCTGGGTTCAAGCAGTTCTCCTGCCTCAGCCTCCCAAGTAGCTGGGATTACAGGCATGCACCACCACACCTGGCTAGTTTTTGTATTTTTTGGTAGAGACAGGGTTTCACCATGTTGGCCAGGCTGTTCTCAAACTCCTGACCTCAAGGGATCCTCCCACCTCGGCCTCCCAAAGTGCTGGGATTACAGGCACGAGCCACCGCATCTGGCCATTTTTGTGTTTTTGTTTGTTTGTTTTGAGATGGGGTCTTGTTCTGTCAACCAGGCTGAAGTGCAGTGGCATGATTACAGGTCACTACAGCCTCAACCTCCTGGGCTCTAGTGATCCTCCCACCTCAGCCTCCCAAGTAGCTGGAACTACAGGCGCACGCCACCATGCCCAGCTAATTTTTGTAGTTTTTGTACAGGCAGAGTCTCACTATGTTGCCCAGGCTGGTCTCAAACTCCTGGGCTCAAGTGATCCCCTTGCCTCGGCCTCCCAAAGTGCTGAGATTTCTCGCATGAGCCACTGTGCCTGGCCAAGGGGAGGTTTATTCCTGGATTTAGAAATCTCTCCAGACCAGTAAGGGATCTGGGGGCTCTAACCCCATTCATCGTAGGCTTCCCCTGGAGTGACGGCTTACACCATAGGAGCTGCCTTCTTGGTGGAAGGTCAGGGGACAGGAGACGAAACAACTTGAGCTGAATCCTGGGATGATGTCCAATAGGCTGGCTCTGGAGAGGGTATTTCACCATTAGCTTTTCCTCTCCACTCCAGGCCAGGTTTCCCCCATGACTCACAGCCTTGGAGTGCTGTCTTGGTCCCACCCATCTGCTTGCTGGTACAACCACCACAAACACAATCCAAAATCATCTCCCTCCACCCTGGGCACACAGGCCAGGCACCCTTGTCCCACCCCTACTTCTCTGGCAGAGCTCCTAAGCCAAAGGAAGGACCTCAGGGGATGGCAAGGAGGGACGGCTCTGCTTGTTCTGTTTCTCGTTTTTATTAAACAAAACCACCACTCCCAATAGGCTTGGTTTCCAGAGTTACCTTTAATGACCAGCTCTGAACAAAAGCATTACAGTTCCCCCTGCCCTTTGCCAAGCACACATAGCTCCTCAATCCTCGATGGATGCAGAGGAGCCACAGGGAGGCTCCCAGCCTCTTCCACTCCACCCCCCAACCCTGCTGTCTAAACTCGAGATCTGGCTTAGGAAGATTTTTATAAGATTATAATGTCATTGAGCACCTATTACACATCTGGCCCTTGGCCAGGCACTTCACATTTGTTAGGGAGAAGGGACAGATGCCACATGGGTCTGGGTAGGAGGCTCTCTTGACTTAAGGCTGACCAGCTCTAGGTCCCCAACCACTGCCTGGGAATGGCTGGAGGAGACTGGAGAGGTAATTCAGAGACCCAGGATCTGCTTAGAGTGTATGTTAGAAGAGGGTGCAGAGGAGGGGAGAGGTGAAGGGGAGAGAACGTCTTTAAAATTCAGGACCTCTGCTAGAGGTTGCTAAGACAAGGAGATGAGAGACCCCAAGGGCAGAAGTGTCCCTCCCTTCTGCTCTAGCGTGCATTCTTGGCAGGGGTGAAATTGCATCCAAAAGGGTGAAAACTGATTCTTGGAGATTGGGAGGGGACTTAGATATCACAATGATTTGTGCCACTCCCAAGAGCCACAGTACATAAACAGATATACAGTTTATCTATTGTTTTAACATTTCGTGAGGGAGATGAACAGCTTGGTTAAAAATATCTGAAAGGGGCCGGGTGCTGTGGCTCAAGGCTGTAATCCCAGCACTTTGGGAGGCCGAGGTGGGCAGATTACGAGGTCAGGAGATCGAGACCATTCTGGCCAACATGGTGAAACTCCGTCTCTACTAAAAATACAAAAATTAGCTGGGTGTGGTGGCACGAGCCTGTAATCCCAGCTACTCGGGAGGCTGAACCAGGGAGGTGGAGATTGCAGTGAGCCGAGATCGTGCCACTGTAATCCAGCCTGGCGACGGAGTGAGACTCTGTCTCAAAAAAAAAAAAAAAAAAAAAAAAAAAAAAAAAAAAAATTGAAAGGGCCAGGGGTGGTGGCTCATGCCTGTAATCCCAGAATTTTGGGAGGCGGGGCAGATCACCTGAGGTCAGGAGTTCGAAACCCCGTCTCTACCAAAAAATACAAAAACTAGCTGGGTGTGGTGGCACATGCCTGTAATCCCAGCTACTTGGGAGGCTGAGGCAGGAGAATCACTTGAACCGAGGAGGTGGAGGTTGTAGTTAGCCGAGATCACTCCACTGCACTCCAACCTGGGTGACAGAGTAGGACTATGTCTCAAAAAAAAAAAAAAAAACTAAAAGGTCTGTATATGGGAGTGATTATGAAAACAACAACAACCATCAACAACAAAAACTGGCTGGGTGAGGTGGCTCACATCTGTAATCCCAGCACTTTGGGAAGCTGAGGTGGGAGGATCACTTGAGCCCCAGGAGTTCAGAACCAGCCTGGGCAACACAGTCCAACCCCATCTCTAAAAAAAATTTTTTTAACATTTTTTTTAAGTTGAGAAACACTCTGCTATAGGAAGGCCAGAGGTCCTGAGCCAGAGCCAGCTAGAATGTCCCCCTCCTGGCATCTGTGAGTTGGCAGCTTTTGGGCACCCCACCCAAGGCAGGATCTGGCAAACATAAGCGATCTCTTTGCAAAGCATTTTCTAAAAGAAACTGGAGAAAATACGTGTAAATGTTTTCCTCAGCTGCAGGGAGTGGGTGGAGAGGGCACAGAACAGACCCCAGGCCTGAGCCTCATGATGGCCCTCTCCAAAGAGGCTTTGAGCCAAACTGGGTTGTCCCTCAGGAGGAGGCAGCAGGGGGAACGGCAGAACCAGAAGCCATGCGCCTTCATGCTAGGCAGCCTTCGGGTGCAGCTTAAGTGTGGGGGAGCATTTACTACTAAAAACAGAAACCAAGAAGTGGGGAGGCCCCTTCCATTCCCCTCCCATCCCCACTGTATACATCCCATTCTCCTGAACTTTGCATAACGCCAGTGTTCTCACAGTACCCGGCACCCGTCCACAGTGGGCAGTGACTGGGGATGGTGGCCCTCCTGGCAGTGATCACCACTAGGCTGTGGGCTGACAGTGGACTGAAGAGATACCCCACGCCCACAGAACGGGATCCGGGAGACCCTAAACACTCCCACCGGCTGTCAGCTCCTCTGGGGTGGGCCGGGGCCCAGGCTCTGGGTAATATGGCAGTGCCCTAGGCGTCTGGTCAAAAGGTGGGAGCTCAGGCACTGTCTCAGGCTTCAGGTCAAAGGGCTCAGTCTCAGGCAGGTCAAAAGGCACGATCTTGGGTGTGGCCAGGTCAGAGGGTGCATTCGGCTTCTTCTTGGGCTAAGATGAGGAAAAGGGGTTTAAATGGGGCTTGGGGTGGGTGCAAAAGGAGTTGAGAAAAAAGGGCCTTGGTGGCATGCAGAGTAGGGGCTGGTGAGTAGGGAGGGGAGCACAATGTATTAGGATGGAAATAAACCACTTTTTTTTTTTTTTTTTTTTTAGAAATGGGGGTCTTGCTCTGTTGCCCAGGCTGTAGTGCAGTGCACAATCATAGCTCACTGCAGCCTCCAACTCCTGGGCTCAAGCAATCTTCTTACCTCAGCCTCCCAAATATCTAGGACTACAGTTGTGTACCATCAAACCCGGCTAATTTTTTTTTTTTTTTTGATAGAGACAAGGTCTCACTATGTTGCCCAGGCTAGAAACTATTTTATTTTATTTTTTTGAGACAGAGTCTCACTCTGTTGCCCAGGCTGGAGTGCAGTGGCACGATCTTGGCTCACTGCAACCTCCACCTCCCAGGTTCAAGTAATTCTCCTGCCTCAGCCTCCCGAATAGCTGGGATTACAGGTGCATGCTACCACGCCCAGCTAATTTTATACTTTTAGTAGAGACCGGGTTTCACTGTGTTGGCCAGGCTGGTCTTGAACTCCTGGCCTCAAGCGATCCTCTTGTCTCGGTCTCCCAAAGTGCTGGGATTACAGGCGGGAACCACTGCGCCTGGACTATTTTATTTATTTTTTTGAGATGGAGCCTCTCTCTATCGCCCAGGCTGCTAAACTGTAGTGCAGTGGCGTGATCTCTGATCTTGGTTCACCGCAACCTCCGCCTCCTGGGTTCAAGCGATTCTCCTGCCTCAGCCTCCCAAGTAGCTGGGATTACAGGTGGGTGCCACCATGCTCAGCTAATATTTTGAAATTTTAGCAGAGATAGGGTTTCACCATGTTGGCCAGGCTGGTCTTGAACTCCTGACCTCAAGTGATCTGCCCTCCTTGGGCTCCCAAAGTGCTGGGATTACAGGCATGAGCCACCATCATGCCTGGCCTAGAAACTCATTTTAAATGCTTCATCAAGAGGGCCCTGGGAGCTGGGCACAGTGGCTCACGCCTATAATCCCTGTAATCCCAGCACTTTGGAGGCCAAGGTGGGTGGATCCCTTGAGCCCAGGAGTTCAAGACCAGCCTCAGCAACATTGCCCAGGTCTCTGCAAAAAATACTGTTAGTGGGGCCTGTTGGCACATGCCTGAAATTTCAGCTACTCGGGAGGCTGAGGCAGGAGAATCACTTGAACCAGGGAGGTGAAGTTTGCAGTGAGCTGAGGTCCAGCCACTTCACTCTAGCCTGGGCGACAGAGCAAAAGTCTGTCTCAAAAAGGGAAAAAAAAAAAAAAAAAAAAAAAAAAAAAAAAAGAGGTCCCTGGGGCCAAAAGGGGTGGGGCAAACTCAAGCCCAAGAATTAATAAACACAGCTTCAATTGAGCCCCTCCCTTCCTCCCTCTACAATATTCCCCAGTCCCATTCTTGGGCTTCCATCTCCAATCCTTCCCCAGCCATAATCATAGGAAGACTATGGAGGCTACTAGGGGTGGATAAGGAGTTTTCTAAGGGGCTAGTTGTTGGATTATAACTGGGGAGGCTCAGATGAGTAAATACAAAGGCACACAACTTCACTGTCTTCAGAGTCAGACTCTGCCAATCCCAGTTTTGTGGTTGTTGTTTTTTTTTAGACGGAGTCTTGCTCTGTCACCCAGGCTGTGGAGTATAGTGGCGTGATCTTGGCTCACTGCAACCTCTGCCTCCTGAGTTCAAGTGATTCTCCTGCCTCAGCCTCCCTAGTAGCTGGGATTACAGGTGTGTGCCACCATGCCCGGCTAATTTTTTTTGTATTTTTGGTAGAGACGGAGTTTCGCCATGTTGGCCAGGCTGGTCTTGAACTCCTGACCTCAAGTGGTCCACCCACCTCAGCCTCCCAAAGTGCTGGGATTACAGGCATGAGCCAGTGTGCCCAGATTAATCTGTTTTCATTCTTCCCTGGGGTAGGGTGGACACAGGATGCTACCCCAAATGAGGAGAGGGATAGGCATGGAAGAGGGACATCCTGGCAATTTCCCTTTGGCCACGTCCCCACCTTCTGTCTCCCTTGCCACCCCTCCCTCTTGCTACCACTTAAGATATCATACACTAAAATGCACAGAGAAATCAGGATCCAAAACCAAGCTCTATTTTTTTTTTTAAGATAGAGTCTCTCTATGCTGTCCAACCTGGCTTCAAACTCCTAGTCTCAAGCAATCTTCCTGCCTCAACTTATTGAGTAGCTGGGACTACAGGCACACATCACTGTGCCTGGCAAAACCAAGCTATTTTTATGACAGGTGAGCCTATGTCCTGGGACCTCTGGACCTCTGCGGCAGCCCCCAACTCTCTCTCCTGAGGGGCTGAGTTGTGGAAGACTATAGGCTTCTTGCTTTGAGCAATCAGATGCCAGGCGAGAGGGACACTTGGCGGCACTATTGGACTCAGGCAATAGCAGTATTTGATAAAGCCTGTAGTCTCAAAAAAACAAAGCAGCAGGTCCCAACCTCCCCTGCAGGGTACAAGGAGGAGGTGGGAGTGGCAGAGAGGCTGAAGAGAAAGGGAAACAACATGTCCCTCTCCTAGGTATGTGTGGAGTCCCTGCCAGGGCACACCACGGCTGACCAGGAGCTCCACTCCTCCCCTACGCCCCTCCCCTCCCCAACACCCCTCCTTTCCCCCACTTTTCTCCCCTACACCCCTCCCCTCCCCTACACCTCTCCCCTCCCACTGTCACCAGGCCAGGTGACCACACATTGCCTCTACTTCAGCACTTACAAGGCTAAGCAGCCAATGGCCACCAATGCTGGCCACTCATAGCCAACGCCACACACACAAACACCCATACACACGCAAAGCAGCCCCAGGGCCAGGACTGTGCAACTAACTCCCTCAGCAAGTGTCGGAGCCACAGCTAGCCCTAGCTTTGTCAGGGCTAGTCTTCACTCAGCTTTCTGCTGCAGAGCCCAGAACGGAAGGAGGGGGTGGGGAGCAGTGAGTGTAGCGGAAGGGTACACCTGGGTTCTGGCTCCAGTTTGACTCCCAATCACTTGAGTGACAATAGGCTAGTGACTTCCCCTCTCTGGGCCTCAGCTTCCTAAACCACAAAATGAAGGAGTTGAAGTTGATTATTTGCAAAGTGTCTTCTAGCTCAAGAAGTGTATAATGAGGCCGGGTGCGGTGGCTCACGCCTGTAATCCCAGCACTTTGGGAGGCTGAGGCAGACGGATTGCTTGAGCTCAGGAATTGGAGACCCTGGGCAATGTGGAGAAACCCCATCTCCACCAAAAAATACAAAAATTAGCTGGATGTGGTGGTGCATGTCTGTAGTCCTAGCTACTTGGGGGCCTAAGGCAGGAGGAATGCTTGAGCCCGGACGACAGGGGCTGCAGTGAGCCGTGACAGCTGCCACTACATTCCAGCCTGGGCAACAGAGTGAGACCCTGTCTCAGAAAAACAAAACAAAACAAAAAACAAAAAAAAAGAAAAAAAGAAAAGAAAAATTTAAAAAATGCTAATGACAGAATGATGAAATATTCACAATGTTATATTTCCAAAAAAAAATGGCCCAAGCCACTCCTACTTCTGAGGTTAGTTGCTTAGCAATAATATCCCCTCCCCTCTTGCTATCAGTTGCCCACTCTTTGCTGTCTCCTCATGCTTTTGACTTTGATCTTTACAATATGAAAAATAAAAATAAAAAGGCCGCGTGGCTCACGCCTGTAACCCCAGCACTTTGGGCGGCCAAGGCAGGAGTATCACTTATGCCCAGGAATTCGAGACCAGCCTAAGCAACAGTGGGGACCCTCTAGAAAAAACATTTAGGCTGAGCACAGTGGCTCCCACCTGTAATTCCAGCACTTTGGGAGGCTGAGGCAGGTGGATCACCTGAGGTCAGGAGTTCGAGACCAGCCTAGCCAACATGGTGAAACCCCGTCTCTGCTAAAAATACAAAAATTAGCCAGGTGTGGTGGCACATGCCTGTAATCCCAGCTACTTAGGACGGTGAGGCATGAAAATTGCTTGAATCCAGGAGGTGGAGGTTACAGTGAGCTGAGATCACGCTACTGCACTCCGGCCTGGGTGACAGAGCAAGACTCTGTCAAAGAAAGAAGAGAGAGAGAGAGAGAGAGAAAAGAAGAAAAGAAGAAGGAAAGAAGGCCGGAAGGAATTTAAAAATTAGCTGGGCATGGTGGCTTGTGCCTGTAGTACCAGCTACTTGGGAGGCTGAGATGGTGAGATGGGAGGATTGCTTGAGCCTAGGAGTTTGAGGCTGCAGTGAGCTATGATACCACCACTCCAGCCTGGGCTGCAGAGCTAAGATCCTTTCTCAAAAAAAAAAAAAAAAAAAAAAAAAGGGAGGGAGGAACCCAGGGATAGCATGATTTCCTTTCGTCTTGGGAATACCCCTAAAAATACCCTCCCTGCTTTGGACCCAGTGACCAGGAAAAACAACCCAAACTCAGTTTGGGAGGAAGGGATGTACTATGCATACTCTCCATGGCCGCTGGGTTTTAGGGATGAAAGGGACCAAAGCCCTGGGTTGAGAATATTTTTGGACAAAGGTTTGGGGTTCTTCTAGAGCAAGGTAGCCCTAATTTGCGTTGAATCCAGGAAAGAGGTACAGGTTGGATTGCGATTTGGGGAGGAGAAGCCATCAGGCTCTCGTTCCAGCCCTGGTGCCCTACCCTTTAATGCCCATGAGACACCTAATCCCTTAAATGCTTCCTGGCCCTTATCCCCAGGCACTTGGAGCAGGTCTGATGGGCCTTTGCTGCTGGTCCATATGTAGGTCACTGACTTTGCCTCCTCAAAACTGCTCCAGAACACATTTTTAGTCATGAGCCGCATAGCAACGTTTCAGTCAACAGACGGCATACACAACCGTGGTCCCATAAGATTGTAATGGAGGCTGGTTGTGGTGGCTTATGCCTGTAATCTTAGCACTTTGGGAGGCCAAGGCAGGTGGATTGCTTGAGGCCAGGAGTTCGAGACCAGCCTGGCCAACATGGTGAAACCCTGTCTCTATTAAAAATACAAAAATATTAGCCAGGCATGGTGGCTCACACCTGTAAATCCCAGCTACTCGGAAGGCTGAAGAAGAACAATTGTTTGAACCTGGGAGGCAGAGGGGTTGCAGTGAGCCAAGATTGTGCCACTGCACTCTAGCCTGAGCAACAGAGCGAGAACTTGTCTCCAAAAAAAAAAAAAAAGATTGTAGTGGAGATAAAAAATTCCTATCACCTAATAACATTGTAGCCATCATAATGTGTTAGTGAAATGAATTACTCAAGTGTTTATGGTGATTGCTGGTGTAAACAAGCCTGCTGCACTACCAGTTGTATAAAAGTCTAGCCCATACAATTATATACAGTACATAATACTTGATATTGATAAGACATGACTGTGTTACTGGTTATGTATTTACTATACTATACTATTTTTTTGAGACAGTCTTGCTCTCTTGTCCAGGCACAACCTCCATCTCCCAGGTTCAAACGATTCCCCTGCCTCAGCCTCCCAAGTAGCTGGGATTACAGGCACCCACCACCACACCCACCTAATTTTTGTATTTTTATTTAGAGATGGGGTTTCACCATGTTGGCCAGGCTAGTCTCTAACTCCTGACCTCAAGTGATCTACCTGCCTCGGCCTCCCAAAGTGCTGGGATTACAGGTGTGAGCTACCGTGCCATGGCTATTGCACCTTTTCTATGTTTAGACACATTTAGATACACAAATACTTACCATTGTGTTATAGTTGCCTACAGTATTCAGTACATTAACATGCTGTATAGGTTTGTAGCCTAGGAGCAATAGGCTGTATCATATAGCCTAGGTGTGCAGTAGGCTATACTGTTTAGGTTTATGTAAAGTTACTCTATGATGTTCACACAGTGAGGAAATGGCCTAACACTGCATTTCTCTGAACATATCCCAGTCATTAAGCAATGCGTGACTGTATTTCCTTTTTTTTTTTTTTTTTTTGAGACCAAGTTTCGCTCTTGTTGCCCAGGCTGGAGTGCAATGGTGCGATCTCGGCTCACCGCAACCTCTGCCTCCTGGGTTCAAGTGATTCTCCTGCCTCAGCCTCCTGAGTAGCTGGGATTACAGGTATGTGCAACCACGCCTGGCTAATTTTGTATTTTTAGTAGAGACGGGGTTTCTCCATGTTGGTCAGGCTGGTCTCGAACTCCCCACCTCAGGTGATCCGCCCGCCTCAGCCTCCCAAAGTGTTGGGATTACAGGTGTGAGCCACCGCGCCCAGCCCCGTATTTCCATTTTATCCCCACTTTCTGGATCTAAAAGAGCCCTACTCTCCAAATTGTTGCCTGGAGGGATGGTTAATGGGTACAAAAATACAGTTAGATAGAAGGAATAAGATCTAACGTTCAGTAGCACAATAGGGTGATAGAGTTAACAGAAATTATTGCGTATTTCAAAATAATTAAAGGAGTGGAATTGGGATGTTCCTAACACAAGGAAATGATAAATGCTTGATATGACGGATACTCTAATTACCCTGATTTGATCATTATACATTGCATACTTGTCTCGAAATATCACATGTACTCCAAAAATATGTACAACTATTATGTATCCATAGTAATTAAAAATAAAGCCTTTTAAGTTTAAAAATAAACAAACTGGATGCACGTGGTAGCTCATGCCTGTAGTCTCAGCACTTTGGGAGGCCCAGACAGGAGAACTGTTTGAACCCAGGAGTTTGAGATCAGCCTGGGCAACTAAGTGAGACCCCGGACTCTACAAATATGAAAAAAAACAATTTGCCGGGCACGGTGGTGGGCACCTGTAGTCCTAGCTACTCGGGAGGCTGAACCAGGAGGATCACTTGAGCCCAAGAGTTCGAGACTGCAGTAAGATATGACTGTGTCACTGCACTCCAGCTTGAGCAACAGAGTGAGAACTTGTCTGAAAAACAAAACCAAAAAACCCCAAAAAACAAATTGTTGCCTGGAAGAATTGGTTCTTTAATGATCATAGTTCCACTCATCTGCATGGCATTTTATTTTATTTATTGTTGTTATTATTATTATTATTATTATTTTTGAGATGGAGTCTCACTCTGTCGCCCAGGCTGGAGTGCAATAACACGATCTCGCTCACTGCAACCTCCGCCTCCCAGGTTCAAGCCATTCTTCTGCCTCAGCCTCCCGAGTAACCAGGATTAGAGGTGCTCACCACCATGCCCGGCTAATTTTTGTATTTTAGTAGAGAGGGGTTTCACCATGTTGGCCAGGCTGGTCTCGAACTACTGACCTCAAGTGATCCACCTGCCTCAGCCTCCTAAAGTGCTGGGATTACAGGCACGAGCCACCTAGCCCGGCCTCTGCATGGTATTTTAGAGCAACTGCCTCTATATTCACAATCTGGCCTGATCGTCCTGCAACCCTCAGTCCATTAACTCCTATAACTAGTAGAATTCACTTCTCTCATTTACTAGCTGTTGCTAGCCAAGTGTCGCCTGATAGAATGCAATGTCAAACTGCTAGGTTTTGTTTGGGAGACAGGGAAGGAAATGCCAGAGAAGGGCAGTAATGACTCAGAAGTGAGTTTAAGATGAGGGCTGTGATACCTTGGGGTGGGAGGTGCTGAATTTCGTGTGTGTGTGTGTGTGTGTGTGTGTGTGTGTGTGTTCAAATGCAAACTTAAAGCTGTGAAATCATTAAGTCTAGAAGTTCCCTGAATTTGGGGTGGGGCCATACAAGGGATTCCCTCCTTTTCTCCCCAGGAATAGGGTATGGAAGGCCAGATGTCTCCATCCCACAACGGGGGCCTTCCCATCCCTTGGTGTTCTCTGCCCCGCCCCCACTGCCACATCATCACCTCCCACCCCTGTAGTGGGGAATACAGCATCCCTTCCCCTATGGCCCCTCCAGAGAATTCACACCATCCCAGGAAACTTTCTCCAAATCTCTGTCTCTTTGCCTGGCCACCCAACATCCTCCCCCTTCAGCCGGACTTTACCATAAATGCTGCTGCCCCCAATCTTCCCTAATAGGCCTGCCAAGGCACAGAGCTATTTTTACCTCCTTCCCTTCTCAGGCCTGCAGACCTCTGGGAGGAGCAGGAGCAGCCTCTGCTTTCCTCCAGCAGCCGGGTCCCCACCTGGAACATCTGCTCTGCAGCTCAGGGAAGTTCTGCTTTCCCAAGCCTCACCCCATTTGCTGGAATCTTTTCCTTACGTCTGAAGTCTTCCCCAGGTTGGGACCATTTCAGTTCTTAGTTATTCCCTCTGTGGGTTTGGGACTCCATTTGAGCTACTCTTACTACCTCAACTCTCTGTCACCCACTGGCCTTGGTTTAGTGCAGATTCATTTGAAGCCACCTGTGATTAGAACACATTCCCTCCCACCCCCTAAAATATAGACATATCCCTGCAGATTGCTGGAGAGGGCAGAACAGAGGGATGCCAGTGGCCTCTGCAGATAAGTCTTTCTCCCTCCATACCTTTCCCTCTTCTCTCAGAATCTCCATCTTTGGCATAGGGAAGTTTACCTCCAGGCCAAGACTTTTCCCAGGTTCTATGGTCTGGGATAGTTAGCGTGAGAAGGGTCACCCCTCGAGCTCTTCATGGTGGCTCTCGGCCACACCAGGCTCTGGAGGAAATATAGAGCTGGCTTGCTGTCCCAGACCCCTGTCTTGTTCCGCTCCTCTCAATGTCCCCAGTACTAAGCAGGTCTCTTAAAAAACGTCAAAAGCCCCCCTCTCATCCTGCGTCCTCCAAGCAGTTAGACTAAGTGGAAATAGCTCTGGGCAAACATTTTCTATCTAAATAGTGCTTAAGTAGGGGAAGTAAAGCTTTTAAAAGCCACGTATATGCCTCCTGGGAGGAGTCTGTCATCCGTGGGTAAGGGTGGGGAGGGGGACAAGTGCCACTTCTGCCTCTGTCCCACCACCTCAGATAGGTACCAGCTGACCCACCTTTCTGTCTCTACTCTTCCCAGATACTTGTCCTGATTTGCATCTATCTTAACTCCTCCTGGGGAAACCAAGCCAAGGACCCCCTCGCCTCACCCCAGATGGTCACTCAGAACCCGGCTCGACCAGGCCCCAGAGCAGTCAGCAGAGCCACAACTCCCGGAAAGGGGTCTTCTAACTTGGAGGGTGTGGGAAATCCAGCCTTCCCTTTCTTTCCATTCCCTTCAGCAGGGAGAGGAAGGGGAGAGGGGAGCATAGACTAACCCCCCTGCCCCACACGATCCCGCCTCCCTGGGGTTAGGAGCATCAGCAGGCCTTTGGGAGGCGGGGAGGAGCCAGGCTGGAACACTTGCCGCCCAGCCCAAAATCTCATCCCCGATGGCACTGCGGAAGCGGCGTGGAGAGGAGCAGCATAGAAACCCGAGACTCCCAGGTTTATTGGGGGTTATGATCCAAAAGCTACATTTTTATCCAAGTGTGAAGAATGGGGAGAGCTGCAAAGAAAGCAACAAGTGGCCCCGGGCGGAGCCGGGGGGTGGGGGCGCCAGCCTCCTCCCGCCGGCTGCGCTGCTGCGCCTGGCCCCCGCCCCCGCAGGCATGCGGGGTGATTCACCTCGCCCAGACTGCGCCCAGACCGCCGGACCCCGCAGGGGCTGTCCACCCACTCCACCAGCCCCTCTTGCACTCCTGACGCCCACTCTTCCCCGCCCAGCCCCGCCCGCTTCCAGGAGGCCCAGGGTGCCAGCGCGCCGCGGGTGAGGGTGTCCTCAAGGGCCTGAAAATGCCTGGTGGCCAGGAGCAGAGAGCAGCGAGGGGACAGGGGTGGGCCGCCGAGGCCGATGTGGGGGCGCGGGGGCGCAGGGTCTGGGGAGGAGGTTGGCGGTCGCGTTCCCCGCTTGGCACAGCCCCCGCTGGTGCGTGCCTGAGCCCTGAATCACCCGCTATATCAGGCCCGCAGGCGCAGAGGCCCCAGGCCCGGGCCCCGCAGCCAGTGTCCGCTTACAGCGGACCCCAACGATCGCGAGGGACCCCTGACTTTCCTAGAAACTTCCCCCAAGTAGGAAGAAGTTTGACAGAGCCAATTAGGGAGGGAGCGGTCTGCGAGGGGCAGCGTCCTCGAGTCCACCCGCTAATTCGGTTCTGCTACAAGTTTGGGACCCGAGGGAAGGATCTGAGTGGGGAGGTGCGAGGTGCAGAGCGCGCCCCTCTACGCGCCCCAGGAGTCCGCCGCTCCCTCCACCCCATCCTACCCCACCCAACCCCACCCCAGCCGCGCTCACCGGAAGGAGGGTGGATCTGCCGGGCGCCCGGGCCAGGCTGGGAGGGGAGCAGCGCCACGGGCAGGTCTCCCCACCCCAACTCCCAGGCAGGGGACGCGGGCCGGGCGCGGGAGCTCTGGGCGCCTTCCGCCCTGTGGGCTCACCTGGTAGATCATGACTTTAAAGTTGCGGCGCCGCAGCAGCTCGGCCTCGTTGACCTCCAGCTTCTTGATCTGCCCCGCCTGGCGCTCCAGGCTGCCGCGCACGGTCTTCACGTTGACGCTGACCTTGCGCACCTTCTCCAGCAGCTTGCTCACCGTATTGCTCGTGGTGGCGTGCGCCTTGCCCAGCTTGCTCAGCTCGCCCTGGATGCTCTGCACTGCGCCCTCCATCTCCGCCTGCCGCTCCTCCAGCTGTGCTTGAGTCAGCTGGATCTGGTCTACGGCCCCGATGATTTTGTCCAGGAGGCTCAGCACCAGCACGCCGTTCACCTGGTCCGACTTGATCAGCTCTTCTGAGCCGGCCCCCGACGGCTCCTCCGCTGCCTGAGCCCCAGCGGAGGAAGGCTCCGGGGCCTCGGCGTCGGGGTACCCGGGAAGCGGCCGCTCGACAATATAGAGCGTGGGGTCCTCCATGGCTACCCGGAGCCGTGCGGGACCGGCCGGGTGGGGCTGGAGCTGGAGCGGGAGACCCGGAGAGAAGCAGGAGCGGAAGGGAGGAGAGCTAGCGGGCGAGAGCGGAGAGCAGAGGAAACTCGAGCCACGTCCGTGCGCACCGGGACAGCGGCCAGAACTGCTGGGCGGGGGATCGGTGAGCTCCCCAGCTCCCGGGCCAAACTCCGGAGTCTGATCGCTGATTGGCTGGCCCCACCCCAGAAAGGGAGGGACCGGGGCAGAAGGGGAGATCGACGAGGCGGGGCGGCGGAGGGGGACCCAAGAGCCGAGCGCCCCACCCTTCCCGGGATGGTTGGAATAGTTGGAGCGGGAGACTAGGGCCTCCGCTGGCGGCGGGAGCGGGACGGGCGGAGGAATGCGAGCTGAGGAACGGAATCAGGTTCTAAGAGTGTTGCTCTCTGTTTCCCTCTCACTTGAATTGCTCATCCGAAAATCCTCAAGATCTGGGAGCCGGGTGGACCAGGAGATTCTGAAATTATAGGCAAAATCTTGTATTTGCCTTTACCTAGATTTTGAGCACAAAAGGACCCTTGCCCTTTACAATATTTTCTAAGAGGCCTCTCGGATTTCCTCATCACCAACCCCAACCAGGTTACTAACTCAGGGGTAAGCTTAGGGGGTTGTTTGTGGGGGGCGGGGGGAGAAAGAGAGAACGTATTTGGGGTCACGGTGGTGGTGAAGGGCTGCGAAGCTCCTCTAAGTTCTTTTTAGAATTGCCCTAACAGAGTAGAATTAAGATGGGCAATCAAACGGAAAATAAAGCCCACCTCCCAACCCCCCTTTCTGAGACAGGGTGTCACTCTGTCACCCAGGCTGGAGTGCAGCGGTCTGATCACAGTTCACTGCAGCCTCGACCTCTTGGGCTCAGGCAATCCTCCCACTTCAGCCTCCTGAGTAGATGAGACTATAGGCGCTTGCCACCACGCCCAGCTAATTTCAATTTTTATTTTTTTCAATTTTTATTTTTTTAAGAGACGGGGTGTACACTATTTTGACCAGGCTGGTCTCGAACTCCTGAGCTCAAGTGATCTGCTGGTTTCAGCCTCTCAAAGTGCTGGGAGCCACCGCGCCTGGTGTAAAGCCCTTTTTAAAAGCCCACCTCTCTTAGGCCAGGCGCGGTGGCTCATGCCTGTAATCCCAGCACTTTGGGAGGCCCAGGCGGGTGGATCACGAGGTCAGGAGTTCAAGACCAGCCTGGCCCAAGATGGTGAAACCCCGTCTCTGTTACAAATACAAAAATTAGGCCAGGCGCAGTGGCTCATTTTGGGAGGCGGAGGTGGGTGGATCACCTGAGGTCGGGAGTTCGACCTCAGCCTGACCAACATGGAGAAACCCCATCTCTACTAAAAATACAAAATTAGCCAGGCGTGGTGGCGCATGCCTGTAATCCCAGCTATTCGGGAGGCTGAGGCAGGAGAATCACTTGAACCCGGGGGGCAGAGGTTGCAATGAGCTGAGATTCGCGCCATTGCACTCCAGCCTGAGTGGAATTCTACAGAGTAGAATTCCTCTTTTTTCCAAAAGCTTTTTCAATCCTTAGTAGAAGGAATTTAAATTACTTTAATACATTTCTCCTAAATTCTAAAGTAAGTTGGTAATCTGCCAGTTGGTAATCCACTGTCTGAGTGCAGACAGAGTGAGACTCTGTCTCAAAAAAACAAAAAAAACAAAAACAAAAGCAACCCACAAACCCACGTCTCACCTCTCTCTAAAACTCACCTTTCCCTGTGTTCCCCCTCCCACCGCCCCCTCAGAGGCAGCTGACACCAATCTCAGTGAGCAGGATCTAGGAGTCCATTTCTCTTTCAAGATTCCAGGGACTAACAGTAAGCCATCGGAGAGACCATCAAATCCCACCCCCTCATTTGACAGACAGGAAAAGGAAAGCCTGCAGAAGACAGGTGGCTTGCCAGAGATCACTCGCAGGTTAGTGTTGGCATTGGCACTTGAACCCAGGTCTGGACTCCTGCTTTCATGCTCTTTCCACCTTCTGCTCTAAGCCTTCCACTGGGGCAGGGAGACAGGCACCCACAGCCACTCCCCAACTCCCATGTGCTGTTTCAGAAGATTAACCAAAGCATATTTTCATCCATGCTGGGTACAAGGGAGCAGGCAATTCTGAGCAGGCCCAAGGAGGGTCCTTAGTGCAGAAAGTCCAGAAATAGGGAGGCTGCCCATCCTCCCCCATTTTGCTGTCTAGCACAGCACTGGTGCTGTGAGTGTCTGAAGTGGCGCCAGCTCCCTTTCCCACAGAAAAGCGGCAACCCTTTTCCCTCCTTAGGAAACCACACTTGGGTTTCCCCAGCTGGCTGGATGATGGTCCTGGCAAAAGGTCACTTCTAGTCTGGTATCCATTATCATTAGGAAGAGTGAAAAACTGGTCTATGGGGACCCAGGGCCTCCTCAACCCAGACAGAGAACCCACAAACTCAGAAAGGAGACCGACAGTGCAGGGACTGGGTTAGTGCCCTAACAACATTGTAGGGTTTTTTAAGGGTTTACAACACCATATTTGTTATCCGAAATTCTCATAGAAAATGGAGCCATCAACTAGGGCTGTTTATCAGGTTATCCTGAAGTACTGTTTCTGCTAGAAAGGCAAGATACGTGGTTACTGGTAACCTCTTTTTTTCCTTTTTTTTTTTTTTTTTCTTGAGATGGAGTCTCACTCTTTTGCCAGGCTGGAGTGTAGTGGTGCAGTCTTGGCTCACTGCACCCTCCACTTCCTGGGTTCAAGCGATTCTTCTGCCTCAGCCTCCCGAGTACCTGGGACTACAGGCACGCACCACCACACCCAGATAATTTTTTTTTTGTATTTTTAGTAGACACGGGGTTTCGCCATGTTGGGCAGGATGGTCTCAATCTCTTGAGCTCGTGATCCACCCACCTTGGCCTCCCAAAGTGCTGGGATTACAGGTGTGAGCCACTGTGCCCCGCCTTTTTTTTTTTTTTTTTAAGACAGAGTCTCACTCTGTTGACCCTGCAGCCTCGAACTCCCGGGTTCAGGTGATCCTCCCACCTCAGCCTCCCAAATAGCTGTGACTATAAGCGCACACCATCACACCCAGCTAATTTTTGTATTTTTTGTAGAAATGGGGTTTCACCGTGTTGCCCACGCTGGTCTCAAACACCTAGGCTCAAGGGATCCACCTGCCTTGGCCTCCCAAAATGCTAGGAATACAGGCGTGAGCCACTTCGGCTTTGTGTTTTTTCCAACTTTTTTTTTTTTTTTGAGACAAGGTCTTGCTCTGTCATGCAGGCTGAGTGCAGTGGCACAATCACAGCTCACTGCAGTCTTGACCTCCTGGACTCAAGTGATCCTCCCACCTCACCCTCTCAAGTAGCTTGGACTACAGGTGTGCCACCACACCGGGTACCCTAACACTTCAATAACTGTTTTCTCACAAACAAATGGCTTTCTCATTTGAGGCTCAAGTAGAATTAAGCTAGTATATAAGATCATATATACACATATAACTGCTAGAACTGGCAGATTACCAACTTACTTTAGAATTTAGGAGAAATGTATTAAAGTAATTTAAATTCCTTCTACTAAGGATTGAAAAAGCTTTTGGAAAAAAGAGGAGTGACAGTAGAGAACCTTATAGGACCTTCATTTCTTAAGTGTCCCATAAGATCCTTAGATGATGATGATTATTATTATTATCATTTTTTTTTTTGAGATGGAGTCTCTCTCTGTCACCCAGGCTAGAGTGCAATGGCACAATCTCGGCTCACTGCAACCTCCACCTCCCGGGTTCAAGCGATTCTCCTGCCTCAGCCTCCCAAGTAGCTGGGATTACAGGTGTGTGCCCCCATGCCCAGCTAATTTTTTTTTTTTTTTGAGACGGAGTCTTGCTCTGTTGCCCAGGCTGGAGTGCAATGGCATGATCTCAGCTCACTGCACCTTCCGCCTCCTGGGTTCAAGCGATTCTCCTGCCTCAGCCTCCCAAGTAGCTGGGACTACAGGTGCCTGCCACCACGCCTGGCTAATGTTTTGTATTTTTAGTAGAGACGGGGTTTCACCATGTTAGCCAGCATGGTCTCGATCTTCTGACCTCATGATCCGCCTGCCTCGGCCTCCCAAAGTGCTGGGATTACAGGCGTGAGCCACTGTGCCTGGCCTCGCCCAGCTAATTTTTTGTACTTTTAGTAGAGACGGGGTTTCACCAGGTTGGTCAGCCTGGTCTCGAACTCCTGACATCAGGTGATCCACCCACCTCGGCCTCCCAAGGTGCTGGGATTACAGGCATGAGCCACAGCACCCGGCCTCTAAAAAATTTTATCTCTATCCCAGCAACTAGTTTCTTTTCCAGGAGACATCAATTATTACTATATTCTCTTTTTTTTTTTTAGGTGGAGTTTTGCTCTTGTTTCCCAGGCTAGAGTATAGTGGCACCATCTCGGCTCACTGCAACCTCTGCCTCCCGGGTTCAAGCAATTCTCATGCCTCAGCCTCCCAAGTAGCTGAGATTACAGGCATGTGCCACTACGCCTGGCTAATTTTTGTATTTTTAGTAGAGAAGGAGTTTTACCATGTTGGCGAGGCTGGTCTTGAACTCCTGACCTCAGATGATTCACCCACCTCGGCCTCCCAAAGTGCTGGGATTACAGGTGTGAGCCACCATGCCAAGCCTATTATTACTATTCTCTTGCGGAATCTTCTATAGACTATTTCTGCATATATGATCATACATATATATATTTCAGCACTTTCCTGTTTTCAGTTATTAATATGTTTTATGGATAGTTCCATATCAGTACATGTAGAACTGCCTTGTTTTCCAATGTATACGTCTACTATATTTGTTTAACCAGTTCCCTATCAATGGACATTTACAGATTACAATTTAAATCTCATGGGGGAGGAGTTGCTGAAGACAAGTGGGATTTTTTTGTTTTTGTTTTTTGCTTTTGAGGCAGGATCTCATTCTGTTGCCTAGGCTGGAGTGCAGTTGCTCAATCAGGGCTTACTGCAGCCTCGAACTGCTGGGCTCAAGCAATCCTCCCAACTCAGCCTCCAGAGTAGCTGGGACCACAGGTACACACCACCACACCTGGCTAATTTTTAAATTTCTTGTAGAGACAGAGTCCCAGCCATGGGGTTTTGCCACGTTGCCTAGGCTGGTCTTGAACTCCTGGGCTCAAGTGATCCTCCCGTCTTGGCCTCCTGAAGTGCTGGGATTACAGGAATGGGCCACTGTGCCCAGCCTCATCAGGAAAGTATTTCTATACCACTTCTTCAAACAGGAATGTCAGAATTTGTGGATGAGTCAAGTTATGTCCCAGGGGTAGTCCAGTGAATACATCTCTGACTCATTTAATGCCTCCTTAATGGATGATTTCTGTAAAAGGGCCCTACCCCTGCATGCCTATGTTGGAGAAAAATCTGCATCAACAAGTTTCTCTCACATTCCTTTTCTTACTAAATGCCAGCTAAGTCCAACAGGGGGCATGCTGAGGCATATTGTACTAGCTCCACCAGCACAGATGCCGCAAACTGGAGCAGAGCAGTCCTTTCCAGAGCATTTCACTCCATTCCAGTGAAAATAAGCAGTTTCTCTTCATTTGTAACTGCATTCAGCATGCCATTGCCTGCATTCAGGGTTGTTGGTTTGCATTTTCCATTGCTCACTCTATTTGCTTGCTGAAAGGCACACTGTTCCATTGTGTGCTTTCAGCCACTGAGACAGAATCCATAAAAGGGATAGTGAGGTAAAAGCAAACAACCCCTTTGGCCCAGAAAAAGGACACCAGGATGCAACATGTCAGCAGTTAGAATCTTACAGGGTGCTCTATCGTATTCTTCCATCCATCTACTTGTTCAATAAAACATGACTACTTCGCACTAGCCATTTACTGGGCTAGGGACTTTAATGAGGATAAATCAAGTCTAGTCCTTTTTTTTTTTTTTTTTTTTTTGAGACGGAGTCTCACTGTTGCCCAGGCTGGAGTACAGTGGCGCCATCTCAGCTCACTGCAACCTCTGCCTCCCAGATTCTCCTCCCTCAGCTTCCCAAGTACCTGGGATCACAGGCACCCACCACCACATCTGGCTAATTTTTATAGAGTTGGGGTTTCGCCATGTTGGCCATGGCTGGTCTTGAACTCCTGATCTCAGGTGACCCGCCTGCTTCGGCCTCCCAAAGTGCTGGGATTATTGGCGTGAGCCACTGCACCCGGCCTTTTTTTTTTTTTTGAGACGGAGTCTCGCTGTGTTGCCAGGCTGGACTGCAGTGGCGCGATCTTGGCTCACTGCAACCTCCGCCTCCCGGGTTCAAGTGATTCTCCTGCCTCAGCCTCCTGAGTAGCCGGGATTACAGGCACACAGCACCATGCCCAGCTAATTTTTGTATTTTGAGTAGAGATGGGTTTTACCATGTTGGCCAGGCTGGTCTCAAACACCTGATCTCAGGTGATCCACCCAAAGTGCTGGGATTACAGGCATGAGACACCACGCCTGGCCACCCCCAGCATTTTTTTTTTTTTTAAAGACAAAGTCACATTCTGTTGTCCAGGCTTGAGTGCAGTGGTGCGATCTCAGCTTGTTGCAGCCTCGACTTCCTGAGCTCAGGTGAGCCTCCTATCAGCCTCCCATGTAGTTGGGACTACAGCTGTATGCCACTACACCTGGCTAAATTTTTTTTTTTTTTTTTTTTTTGTAGAGATGGGGTTTTGCCATATTTCCCAGGCCACTCTTGAACTCCTGGGCTCAAGTGATCTGTTCACCTCGGCCTCCCAAAGTGCTGGCATTACAGGTGTGAAACTCTGCACCTGGCCAGATGCATAGTGTCTGACACAGCTGAAAGCTCCCCCCCAGCATAGGGAAAGCAGTCACTACTCTCAGGAAGAGTGGGGAAGGGTTCACAGGTGAGGGTAGGTACAAAGGAGGGGGAAAGGACCCCCTCCCAAACCCAGTATCTTGCGGTGTGAAAGGGCACTGGGGAATAGCCAAGCACTGCTCATCTCCTCTTATCATGGTTCTGCCATAAGTCTTATCAGTTTACATTTAGGGAGATCCAGCAAAGGGTGTAATATGTAATATGTTCTGTTCAGTTTTGGATCTGTGCTGGGAGAGATCCCAGGGAGACTGTGTGTTTTGTTAATAATAAACAGCTGGGACAAATGATGTGTCTTCACATTGGGACAACCGTCTCACATGGGAGGCTAGCCCTCAGCAGCTGGCTCACAGCTGCCACAAACAACAGTGATTTTTTTTTTGCCAGTTTTATAGGCACTATTCTTGTCTCTCTGATATACATATATGAAAAATGCCTATAATATTTGTATGTTTCTCTTTCTCAAAATCCCTTCCTTTCTTTGCCTTCAAATATTAATATATAGGGTAACTTCCCTGAACCAGAAAACAGTCAAAATTATTTATTAAGTGCTAATTTATGCATAGTTTGGTGCTAGAAACCATCCAAAGGACACAACCAGCACTTTTGCTGTGGAGTGGGAATTTTAGTTTCAGAGAAGCAGTGATTCAGGCTAACAAACAGAAAATACAAAAAAACAGGAGAAGGGGGCTGCAGAAAATAAAGCAAAATACATACAGTTTTACCAGCGTGGGCAAAGTGGTAAAACCCCGTCTCTACTAAAAATACAAAAATTAGCCAGGCATGGCAGCGTGTGCCTGTGGTCCCAGCAACTCGGGAGGCTGAGGTGGGAGGATTGCTTGAGCCCAGGGGGCAGAGGCTGCAGTGAGCCAAGATCGCACCACTGCACTCCAGCCTGGGTGACAGAGTGAGAACCTGTCTCAAAAAAAAAAGCAAAACTAAGAAACCCTAGATTCCACCAATTGTTTCTCCTTTTCTTTCTTTCTTTCTTCTTTTTTTATGTTGTTGCCCAGGCTGGTCTCAAACTCCTAAGCTCCTGCCTTTGCCTCCAAACTGTTGGGATTACAGGCATGAGCCACCACACCCAGCCTTTTCTAATTTTATTTGAACTCTGATTTAGCACTGCTGACCAATTTATCTTTGAGATTCTTCCCTCTTAGCCTTGGACACTGTACTATTTTTATTTACTTGTCCCATTTGCTAGCTTATTTTTTCTTCCTTTCATTTTCTTTTTTTAAATAGCTTTATTTATTTATTTATATTGAAACAGGGTCTTGTTCTGTTGCCCAGGCTGGAGTGCAGTGGCATGATCACAGCTTACTGCAGCCTCAACCTCCCAGGCTCAAGCAATCCTCCTACCTCAGCCTCCCAAGTAGCTGGGACTACAGGCATGCACCACCACACCTGACTTACTTTTGTATTTTTGTAGAGACAAGGTCTCACTATGTTCTCCAGGCTGGTCTTGAACTCCTGAGCTCAAGCGATCCGCCTGCCTCAGCCTTCCAAAGTGCTGGGGTTACAGGCATGAGCCACTGTACCCAGCTAATTTTCAAAAATTGTCGTAGAGATGGGATCTCGCTGTTTCCCAGGCTGGTTTCAAACTCCTAGGCTCGGCTTCCCAAAGTGTTGGGATTACAAGCATAAACTGGTACATTTGGACAAAAAAAAAAAAAAAGCTTTTAATACTGCTTTAAAAGGTTAAACAATATAACTTTATTGAGGTAGAATTCACATACCACACAATTCACCTAAAGCATACAATTGAATAGATTTTACCATATTCACAATGTTGTGCAAGAATCAACTTTCATCAGCCCCCAGAAAGCCCCCGACAAAGAAAAAACACTAAAGGGAGACTTTATCCTAAAGAATGTTTGCAAGGAGGGGAAAAAGACTGTTGCAATACGGGGAGGGAGTCTATTGCAATAGGGAGAAGGATCGGCCCATAGTTCTGCAAATGTCTTAAGGGCCAGACCTTTTTCCTTTTATAGAGAGGAGTAAACAAAGCTAGAAAGAACCAGGTGTAGAGAATAGGAGGAAAGTGGCCTGATGAGAGAATAGATCAGAGAATGTTTTACCCTGAGGTCAGGCTATCCTCAGGAGGGGTTGTGTGCTGGCTCAGGCCCAGTGAGGGTGGGCCAGAGTTCAGGGCCTGGAGGAAGAAGAAAAGCTTAAACAAAATGTGTTATTTTTTTTTTTTGAAACGGAGTTTCGCTCTTGTTGTCCAGGTTGGAGTGCACTGGCGCTATCTTGGCTCATAGCAACCTCCGCCTCCCAGGTTTAAGAGATTCTCCTGCCTCAGCCTCCCGAGTAGCTGGGATTACAGGCATGCGCCACCATGCCCGGCTAATTTTTTGTATTTTTAGTAGAGACAGGGTTTCTCCATGTTGGTCAGCCTGGTCTCGAAGTCCCAACTTCAGATTACAGGCTTAAGCCACCGAGCCCAGCCTTTTATTTATTTATTTATTTTTGAGACGGAGTCTCACTCTGTCACCCAGGCTGGAGTACAATGGCGTGATCTCGGCTCACTGCAACCTCCGCCTCCCGGGTTCAAGTGATTCTCCCACCTCAGCCTCCTGAGTAACTGGGATTACAGACACACGCCATCATGCCCGGCTAATTTTTGTATTTTTGTAGAAACGGGTTTCACTATGTTGGCCAGGCTGGCCTTGAACTCCTGACCTCAGGTGATCTGCCCACCTTGGCCTCCCAAAGTGCTGAGATTACAGGTGTGAGCCACCACGCTGAACCAACAAAATTTGTTTAATGAGCATTTTGTTCATCGTGATCAGTGTTGGGAAAACCAGTTTAGCTGGTCATTCATGAGGCAGAGAATAAGAATTTGAAGTTCTGTGTCTGTTCCTGTCACAGGTAAACAATGGGGGGCATCTGCGAGTCACATGGGGAAGGGTGGTTCTTGGCAGTAAACAAAAACATAGGGGATTCCTTTAACCTTGGATGTTTTCCAAGAGCACAGGGCTCAGGTGAAATTCACCACTGTTACCTCATACCCATTAGCTGTCACTCCCCACTCCTCTCTTCCCTGTCCCCTAGCAACCAGTAAGTTTTAAGTCTCTATAGATTTTCCTGTTCTGAACACTTCATATGAATGGAATCATACAATTTGTAGCCTTTTGTGTCTCGCTTCTTTTACTTAGCATGTTTTCAAGGTTGATCTATGTTGTAGCATGTATCAATACTTCATTCCTCTTTATGGCTATATTCCGTTGTATAAATATGCCCCATGCTGTTTATCCATTCATCAGCTGATGGACGTTTGAGTTGTTTCCATTTTTTTGTTTTTTTAAGAGACAGTCTCCCTGTTGCCCAAGCTGGTGTGCAATGGCACAATCATGGCTCACTGCAACCTCAAACTACTGGTCTCTAGCCATCCTCCTTCCTCAGCCTCCCAAGTAGCTTGGACTACTGGTCACAACAGGCTAATTTTTTTTTTAGACGGAGTCTTGCTCTGTCACCCAGGCTGGAATACAGTGGCACAATCTCGGCTCACTGCAACCTCTGCCCCCTGGGTTCAAGCAATTCTCCTGCTTAAGCCTCCCGAGTAGCTGGGATTACAGGTGCGCATGACCACGTCTGGCTAATTTTTGTATTTTTAGTAGAGACGGGGTTTCACCATGTTGGTCAGGCTGGTCTCGAACTCCTGACCTCATAATCCACCCACCTCAGCCTTCCAAAGTGCTGGGATTACAGGCGTGAGCCACCATGCCCCGCCTAAACCAAATATCTTTCCTCAAAAGCTAGAATGCTTCTTGGCTTATTTCTGTTGATGGTGGGACCGTCCTATCAAACACCAGAGACTCCAACCTTAGAATTATATTTATCTCCTCTCTTTCTCTCATCTACTAAAGCAAATGAAATCCCAGATCCTGCCTTCCTTCCTTCATTATCACTCCCCTGTAATTCCCATTTCTGTGACTGTCTGTCTGATCCTGTTGTTACCAGCTGATGGCTGTTACTGTACTTTCCTAGTTTGTCTCTGTGTCTCCAACCTTTTCCTTCCAATTCATAATGCATTTTAGAATGAAAATTGATTTGAAAAACTGTAAATGATAGTTTGGAAGGTGCTGGGACTAGAAAAAAGGAGATCTAACAGGAGACTACTGCAATAGTCCCAGCAGGGGAAGATGATCATTTGAACTAGAGCATTACGGGGCACAGAGAGAGGACTGATGGGTGAGCACTATAGCATGAAAACCATTAGGGCTTGATGAATGAGTACATGTAGATACTGAAGGAGAAGGAGGAGTCTAAAATATTACAATTTTGGCTGGGTGCAGTGGCTCACGCCTGTAATTCCAGCACTTTGGGAGGCCAAGGCAGGCGGATCATTTGAGGTCAGGAGTTCAAGATCACCCTGGCCAACATGGTGAAACCCTGTCTCTACCAAAAAATACAAAAACTAGCCGGGTGTGGTGGCGCATGCCTGTAGTCCCAGCTACTTGGGAGGCTGAGGCAGGAGAATCACTTGAACCCGGGAGGTAGAGGTTGCAGTGAGCTGAGATCACGCCACTGTATCCCAGCCTGGGTGACAGAGCAAGACTCTGTCTCAAACAAACAAACAAATTGGCAAATAAAGAGAATCAATGAAGCATTAATCCTACCTTTTCTGGCCGGATGAAGTGGCTCATGCCTGTAATCCTAACACTTTGGGAGGCCGAGGCAAGAGGATCACTTGAGGTCAGGAGTTTAAGACCAGCCTGGCCAACATGGTGAAGCCTTGTGTCTACTAAAAATACCAAAATTAGCCGGGCGTGCTTGTGCACACCTGTAATCCCAGCTATTCGGGAGACTGAGGCAGGAGAATCACTTGGGCCCAGGAGGCAGAGGTTGCAGTGATCACTCCATTGCACTCTAGCCTGGTGGACAAGAGTGAAACTCTGTTCCAAAAAAAAAAAAAAATCTTACCTTTTCTGTTTGGATTGTACCTCTGTGTAACCAAATAGCGGCTGGGTGAAGGAAAGCACTTATTTATAAAATAATTTCAGCTCATAAATAAAGAAGGAATGATGGATTAAAATGTCACTATTTTGTAGCCTCTAGTGAAAAAATGAGCTAATGATCATTAATGCCCGCTAAAACTATTAGGCAGAAAATTGTGGGGAACTCTATTATATCAAAGTAACAACTCAACCCACTCACTAATCTTTGTATTTATTTATTTATTTTTTTGAGGCGGGAGAATGGCTTGAGCCTGGGAGGTGGAGGCTGCAATGAGCTGGGCTTGTGCCACTGCACTCCAGCCTGAGCGACAGAGTGAGACCCTATCTCAAAAAAAAAAAAAATTTAAGTATGATAGCAGCATTGTGGTTATGTTTTTAAAAAATTCGTACATTTTTGAGATATATACTGAAGTATTTACAGATGATATGATATCACATCTAAGATTTGATTCACAATAATTCTGGCGGAAGTAGATGGGATATAAATGAAACAAGCTGGACTATTTGTTGATTATGGTTGAAGCTGGGTGATATGTACATAGGGATTCATTATCCCGTCTCTGCCTTCTGTATCCTTAGGTTCCACACCCATGGATTCAACCAACTGTGGATAGAAATTATTAGGAAAAAAATTCCACAAAATTCCAAAAAGCAAAATATGAATTTGCCAAGTACTGTGTTGAATCCACAAAAATGAAGTGATGTGTGGGCATCGTATTAGGCCTAAGTAAGCTAGAGATGATTTAAAGTATATGAGAGGATGTGCATTAGGTTATATGCCAATACTACACCATTGTATTGTATTGTATTGTATTGTATTGTATTGTATTGTATTGTATTGTATTGTATTGTATTGTATTGTATTGTATGGTATTGTATTGTATTGTATTATTTTTTGAGACAGGGTCTTGCTCTGTCTCCCAGGCTGGAGTGCAGTGGCACGATCTCGGCTCACTGCAACCTCTGACACCTGGGTTCAAGTGATTCTCCTGCCACAGCCTCCCGAGTAGCTAGGTTTACAGGCACCCACCACCACGCCTGGCTTATTTTTGTATTTTTATTAGAGACAGGGTTTCACCATGTTGGCCAGGCTGGTCTCCAACTCCTTACCTCAAGTGATCTGCCCGCCTCAGCCTCCCAAAGTGCTGGGATTACAGACGTGAGCCACCAAGCCCCGCCTGAAGTTTCCCATAATAAAAAATACTAAGGTTGTTTTAAGGATGAAATGTGTTCACATCTGTAAAGGGACATATCAAAATGTTTGATACACAATGTGTGGCAAATAATGTGCATGACCCTTTTCCCTTTCTCTCACTTGAACCAATTCAGAACTGGTGTTCAAAGAGACTGTTTCTGTTAAACCCATTTTGTTGCACAAGAGAAGAGCCCCTTCCTTTCAACTTTCCAGCTGGAACCAAGACCAGACCTTTCAAACAAGCCACTTTCAGTAAACGCAGTAAGTGTTTAGCAGCTGTGCATATTAAAGCAAAACCATTTCATTTGTGGAATCGGGCCCTTTTCCCAGGAAACGGTGTTTCCATTTCACAACCTAACAGAACAGGAAGAGTGTAAACTCTTGTTCAGTTACAGATTCCTTGTGCTTCACTTAGATTTCCACATTTCTATTGTGCTCTGAGTGTGAGAGTCCAGCTGTGCGTTGGTGGAGTGACTCATTTTTCCATGGAGACGTGTATTCCTATGAATCCCAGGGGCCTCTGATTGGTATGAAAGAGCAATCAGCACAGATGTAGTCCACAGATCCATCATATGACTTAAGAGAGATGATTTAAACGGTTTTTCCATGGGCTTAAATTGAAAGCGTCAACTGAGCTAGTCAGATTATTCATATGCTCCAAACCCTTTAGTGTTTACAAGTGGCTAAGAGTGGCTACTTGAGACCACAAAGGAATATTAATACAAGAGAAACAAAAGCATAATCTGTATTCTTTGGGTGTTTAAAAATCTCAATGAGGGCCGCGCGCGGTAGGTCATGCCTGTAATCCCAGCACTTTGGGAGGCCGAGGCAGGCAGATCATTTGAGGTCAGGAGTTTGAGACCAGCCTGGGCAACATGGCGAAATCCCGTCTTTACTAAAAATACAAAAATCAGCTGGGCATGGTGGAGCGCGCCTGTAATCCCAGCTACTCGGGAGGCCAAGGCAGGAAAAGGTTGCTTGAACCTGGGAGGCAGAGGTTGCAGTAAGCCAAGATCATGCCACTGCACTCCAGCCTGAGTGACAGTGAGACTCCGTCTCAAAAAAAGGCCAGGCGTGGTGACTCACGCCTGTAATCCCAGCACTCTGGGAGGCCGAGGCAGGTGGATTGCTTGAGGTCAGGAGTTCGAGACCAGCCTGGCCAACATGGTGAAACCCTGTCTCTACTAAAAACACAAAAATTAGCCAGGTGTGGTGGTACATGCCTGTAATCCCAGCTACTTGGGAGGCTGAGGCAGGACAATCGCTTGAACCTGTGAGACGGAGGTTGCAGTGGCCAAGATCGCATCACTGCACTCCAGCCTGGGCGACAGAGTGAGACTCTGTCTGAAAAAAAAAAAAAAAAATCTCATTGAGGAAATAAATGTTAAGAAGTAGAAGAAGAATTCCCAAATAAGCAAATTATATACAATACAAATGGATATAAAATATATCAATCAATGTTTAGCAGCTCCAGGATAAGAGTAATCAAAATTGAAGTGGCTATCTGGAAAAAAAATTCACTTTTATTTTTATTTATTTATTTTATTTTTTGAGACGGAGTTTTGCTCTTTTGCCCAGGCTGGAGTGAAGTGGCACAATCTTAGCTTAATGCAACCTCCACCTCCTGGGTTCAAGCAATTCTCCTGCCTCAGCCTCCCAAGTAGCTGGGATTATAGGCTCCTGCCACCATGCCCAGCTACTTTTTGTATTTTTAGTAGGGATAGGGTTTTGTCATGTTGGCTAGGCTGGTCTTGAACTACTGACCTCAGGTGATCTGCCCACCTCGGCCTCCCAAAGTGCTAGGATTACAGGCATGAGCCACTGTGCCCGGCCAAAAAATTCACTTTTAAAACGTTTAAATTATTTTAAATTTACAGTGTTTTTTTTTTTTTTTTTTTTTGAGATGATGTCTTGCTCTGTCGCCCAGGCTGGAGTGCAGTGATCTTGGCTCACTGCAACCTCCACCTCCCGGGTTCAAGCAATTCTCCTGCCCCAGCCTCCTGAGTAGCTGGGATTACAGGTGCATGCTGCCACATCTGGCTAATTTTTTTGTATTTTAGTAGAGATGGGGTTTCACCATGTTGCCCAGGCTGGTCGTGAACTCCTGAGCTCAGGCAATCTGCCCGCCTCGGCCTCCCAAAGTGCTGGGATTACAGGCGTGAGCCACCGCTCCCGGCCCAGAATTGTTTTTTAAAGTACAAAAGTATTATTTCTTCATGAACTATTTGCAAGTAAGTTGACAACCTGACAAGTTTTATCACCCCCAAATACTTTAGTGTGTATTTTCTCCAAACACACATACATAACCACATAGACAACATACATTTTGTAACCATAATACAATAATCAGTATCAGGAAATTAATCCTCAGCAGCTGATAAAATTTCACCATTTATCCCAATAATGTCTTTTATGCATAAACGATCCAATTAGACGTAATGCTTAGCAGTTACTGCATCGTTTTAGTATCCTTCAGTCAGGGAAATATTCTTTCTTTGGCTTTCATAACCTTGACACTTTTGATGATCATAGGACAATTAATCTGCAAAATGTTGCTCAGTTTGGACTTGTCTGATGTTTCCTCATGATTAGATTTAGGAAATGTATTATCTTTAGCAGGAATAGCATGAAAGGGATGCTGTGCTCTCATTGCATCCTGTCAGGTGGTACACAATTTTGATTTCCCCATTACTAGTGATGTTAGCCTTGATCATTAGGTTAAGGTGGTATCTGCCAGACTTTTCCAGTGTCAGGTTATCTTTTTTTTTTTGAGATGGAGTCTCCCTTTGTTGCACAGGCTAAAGTGTAGAGGCACGATCTCGGCTCACTGCAACCTCCACATCCTAGTTTCAAGTGATTCTCCCACCTCAGTCTCCCAAGTATCTGGGATTATAGGCAAGCGCCACCACCCCTGGCCAAATATATATATATGTATATGGAGAGATAGAGAGAGAGAGAGAGAGATGAGGTTTTGCTATGTTGCTTAGGCTGGTCTAGAACCTCTGGGCTCAGGCCGGGTGCTGTGGCTCAAGCCTTTAATCCCAGCATTTTGGGAGGCTGAGGTGGGCAGATCACTTAAGGCCAGGAGAGACCAGCCTGGGCAACACTGGCGAAACCCCGTCTCTACTAAAAATACAAAAACTAGCCAAGTGTGGCAGTGCACACCTGCAGTCCCAGCTACTCAGGAGGCTGAGGCAACAGAATCACTTGAGCCTGGGAGGCAAAGGTTGTAGTAAGCCTAGATGGCGCCACTGCACTCCAGCCTGGGCAACAGAGGAGACTCCATGACAAAAATAAATAAATTAATTAAATTAAATTAAAACAATAAATAAAACCCCTGGGCCCAAGTGATCCTCCTGCCTCGGCCTCCCAAAGTGCTGGGATTACAGACGTGAACCACCTCACCTGGCCCTATTTATTTATTTATTTATTTGAGATGGAGTCTTGCTCTGTCCCCCAGGCTGGGCTGGAGTGCAGTGGCACAATCTCGGCTGACTGCAACCTCTGCCTCCCGGGTTCAAGCAATTCTCCTGCCTCAGCCTCCTGAGTAGCTGGGATTACAGGTGCACACCACCATGCCCAGTTAATTTTTGTATTTTTAGTAGGGACGGGGTTTCACCATGTTGGCCAGGCTGGTCTCAAACTCCTGACCTCAAGTGATCTGCCCTCCTTGGCCTCCCAAAGTGCTGGGATTACAGCCACTGTGCCCAGCCCTTATTTATTTTTTTGAGACAAAGTCTCACTCTGTCGCCCAGGCTGGAATGCTGTGCCATGAACATGGCTCACTGCAGCCTCAACCTCCTGGGCTCAGCAATCCTCCCACCTCAGCCTCCCAATTAGCTAGGACTACAAGTACATGCCACCTTACCTGACTAATTTTTTGTGTTGTTTTTTTTTTTGTAAAGACAGGATTTTTTTTTTATTTTTTTATTTTTTGTAGAGACAGGATCTCCCAGGCTGGTCTCAAATTCCTGGGTTCAAGCAATCCTCCGGCCTTGGCCTCCCCAGCTGTTGGGATTACAAGTGTCAGCCACTATGCCCGGACTATTTAAAAAAAATTTTTTTGGAGAGTTTTCTGGTAAAAACTGGAAAACCTGCTAGACGGATTCTAAAAGAGCTGTAATACTTGATTTCTTTGACATTTTAATTTTTAGTCTGAAATTTTCATTTCCAAATTTTCAATTTCTATGCACAAAATTCTTTTTTTTTCTTTTTTTTACAGTTTTTCCTCCTCTGCTGAGGTTTCTTTTTTTTCCTTTTTTTTTCTTTTTGAGATGGAGTCCCACTCTGTCGCCCAGGCTAGAGTGCAATGGCGTGATCTCGGCTCACTACAACCTCCACCTCCCCGGTTAAAGCAATTCTCCTGCCTCAGCCTCCCGAGTAGGTAGGATTACAGGCACCCGCCATCATGCCCGGCTAATTTTTGTATTTTTGTAGAGATGGAGTTTCACCATGTTTGCCAGGCTGGTCTTGAACTCCTGACCTCAGGTGATCTGCCCAAGTTGGCCTCCCAAAGTTCTGGGATTACAGGCAGGAGCCACTGCGCCCGAGTGGAAAGTTCTAAAATTAATTGTGGCTATGGTTGCACAATTCTGTGAGTATTAAAAATTGTTGACTTGTACGCTTTAAATGGGTGAGTCGTATGGTATATGAATTATATCTCAATAAAGCTATTACAACAAAAGATTCAGCAGTTTTCAAAATAGAACATATATATACTTTTTTTTCCTTTTCTTTTTTTTTCTTTTGCAGAAACAGGAACTATGTGTCCCAGGCTGGTCTCAAAATCTTGAGCTCAAGTGATCTTCCTGACCCAGCCTCCCAAATCGCTGGGATTACAGGTGTGAGCCACCATGCCTGGCCTGAAAATAGAATATTTGGAAATAAAATGATAAATTCAATAAATGAAATCCCCAAGATTGGAGGAGACCCTAAACTGAATGAAAACAGAAATTAACTCATGTTACAAATGAACAACAAAACTGTACTGAAGGAGAAGTGGTATGGGAATAGCAATTATGACATTATATTGTGCATATTATAGAATTAAGCAAATGACATATAAAAGAATGTGGAAGCTAGAGTTCTCACTGTAGGAAAAAAGTAGATTTAAATATGAATTAGGGAATACAAAGGAACCTTAGATGGGTGGAACTGGTGTTAGAGGCATCAGTATAAACCCATAACTTCATATACATTTGTAGAGATAGAGCTAGAGGTTTGGCCTCTGTGTGTTGAAGGCTTAGAAGCAATAACACAATGTAACAATGAGCAGGCTTGGTACCAAGATCTTGGTTTCTAAATATTATTCCTCACAACAAAGAAACAGCTTCTTAGAGAAATGGATGACTTCAGGGCTGGAACAAGGAAAGTATAAGCTAAGCTTAAAATATCCTATTGTGATAGAAATTAAGGAAGTCCCCTGCCACCCCCAACACCCCAGCAAAATGATGGGAATATGTCAAAAAACACAGGAGGAAGTTCCAATTATGGCTGAGTAATTCCCATCACACCAAGTCTTCTGTAAATAAGAATGATATACTCAGAGCAAAATATTAAAGAACAAACAAAAACTACCTGAAGGCATTAGCAAACAACAGGAGGAATATACTGCACAGAGGTGGATACCTGGAAGAGAAGAGGACTGAATGGGTTTCCTGTGTTTTTACAGCTTTTAGTCTAAGGGAAGTCCAAAGTCTGCAAAGTGAGTGGTTAAAACAAAGCTGGGGGTAGTGGTGTGCGCCTGTAGTCTCACCTACTCAGAAGGCTGACGTGTGAGGAAACCGTGAGCACAGGAGTTCAAGGCTGTAGAGCACTAAGATTGTGCCTGTGAATACCCACTGTATTCCAACCTAGGCAACACAGTAAGACCTCATCTCTTTTTTTTTTTTTTTTTTTTGAGACAGAGTTTCACTCTGTTGCTCAGGCTGGAGTACAGTGGCGTGATCTCAGCTCACAGCAACCTCTGCCTTCCGGGTTCAAGTGATTCTCCTGCCTCGGTCTCTTGAGTAGCTGGGACTACAGCTATTTTTAGTAGAGACAGGGTTTCACCATGTTGCCCGGGCTGGTCTTGAACTCCTGACCTCAGGTGATCAGCCCATTTCAGCCTTCCAAAGTGCTGGGATTACAGGCATGAACCACTGTGCTCGAGATCTTATCTCTTAAAACGACGACAACAACAACAAAAACAAAACAACAAAAACCCAAACCCTGCAGTCTTACTAGCTTGAATTGTTCAGGGCAACCCCAGCAGGTGGAAATAATGGGAGGAAATCCTATCAAAATAAGAGCCACAGAGAGGGAGGCTCAAATTCTGTGCATAAACTATAGTCCCAGCTACTCGGGAGTCCCAGTACCTGTAGTCCCAGCTACTTGGGAGGTTGAGGTGGGAGGCTCGCTTAAGCCCAGAAAGTCAAGGCTGTAGTGAGCTGTGATGATGCCACTGCACACCAGCCTGGGTGACAGAGTGAGACCCTGTCTCAAAAAAAAAAAAAAAAAAAAAAATTCAGAACTTTAAAAAATCACCCTGAAAAGAAACCCCATGCCCTTTTATTATTTTTTTCACTTTTTTGACTTTATTATTTTTTCTTTAAAACAATATTTATTCTTTTTTGTTGAGACTGGGTGTCACTATGTTGCCCAGGCTAGTCTTGAACTCCTGGGCTCAAGCCATCTTCCTGCCTCAGCCTCCCAAAATGCTGAGATTACAGGTGTGAGCCACTGTGTCTGGCCAAGAAACCCCATGCCCTTTAGCCATCACGTTCCATTCTCCCCATCACCCCAGCCCTAGGCATTAATAATCCACTTTTTGCCTCTATAGATTTGTCTACTCTAGACATATCATATAAATGCAGTCACATATGTGGTCTTTTTTGACTGACTTCTTTCACTTACTATGTTTTCAAGGTTTTTGTTGTAACATGTGTCATTACTTCATCCCTTTTTATTGCTGAATAACATCTCATTGTATGGCTATACTACACTTTCTTTATCCATTCATCCATTGTTGAACATCTGGGTTGTTTCCAATTTTGGGCTATTGTGTATAATGCTGTTATGAACATTTGTGTACACGTTTTTCTGTGGACATTTGGTTTTTATTTCTCTTAGGTGTATACCTAGGAGTGGAATTGTTGGATTATATGGTAACTCTATGATAAGCCTTTTAAGAAATTGCCAGACTATTTTCCAAAGTAGTTGCCCCATTTTACATCTTCACCAGTAGTGAATGGGGGTTCCGATTTCTCCATATCTTCACCATGAATCTTTTTAAGAAAATAGATTATTGACCAGAGGTCAGGCATTCGAGGCCAGCCGGGCCAACATGGCGAAATCCCTCCTCTAATAAAAATACGAGTATTATTGGCTGGGCACGGTGGCTCATGCCTGTAATCCCAACACTTTGGGAGGCCGAGGCGGGTGGATCACGAGGACAGGAGATTGAGACCATCCTGGCTAACACGGTGAAACACTGTCTCTACTAAAAATGCGAAAAATTAGCCAGGTGTGGTGGCGGGCGCCTATAGTGCCAGCTACTTGGGAGGCTGAAGCAGGAGAATCGCCTGAACACAGGAGGCGGAGGTTGTAGTGAGCTAAGATCATGCCACTGCACTCCTGCATGGGTGACAGAGTGAGACTCTGTCTCAAAAACAAAACAAAACAAAAAACAAATATTAGCAGGCTGTGGTGATGCATGCCTATAATCTCAGCTACTCAGGAGGCTGAGGCAGGAGTATTGCTTGAACCCGGGGAGGCAGAGGTTGCAGTGAGCTGAGATCGTGCCATTGCACTCCAGCCTGGGCAACAGAGCAAGACTCTGTCTCAAAAACAAAACAAAACAAAACAGATTATTGATATATAATTCACATACCACACAATTCACTCAAAGAGTGCAATTCAATGGTTTTGGTATATCATGTTAATTTTTAAAATTGTGGTAAAATATAAAAGTTGCCATTTTAACCATTATATATATAAATATATGTGTGTGTGTGTGTGTGTGTGTGTGTGTGTGTGTATATATATATTTTTTTTTTTTTTTTGAGATGGAGTCTTGGTCTATTGCCAGGCTGGAGTGCAGTGGCATGATCTTGGCTCACTGCAACCTCTGCCTCCCGAGTTCAAGCAATTCTCCTGCCTCAGCCTCCCAAGTAGCTGGGACTATAGGCACACAACACCATGCTCAGCTAATTTTTGAATTTTTAAATTCTTACTCCTTCTAGGACTCTGACGACATAATTTTCTTTCTTTCTTTCCTTTTTTTTTTTTTTTTTTTTGAGGCAGAGTCTCACTCTGCTGCCATGTGAACTATGTTGGCCAGGATGACCTTCTTGATCTCTTGACCTCGTGATCCGCCCACCTTGACCTCCCAAAATGCTGGGATTACAGGCGTGAGCCACTGTGCCCGGCCATATATATATATATATATATATATATATTTTTTTTTTTTTTTTTGTAATATAGAGACGGAGCCTTGCTATGTTGCTCAGGCTACTCTTGAACTCCAGGCCTCAATGTATTCTCCCACCTCAGCCTCCTAAAGTTCTGGGATTGTAGAAATGAGCCACTGTGCCTGGTCCCCATTTTAACCTTTTTTTTTTTTTTGAGATGGAGTCTTGCTCTGTTGCACAGGCTGGAGTGCAGTGGTACGATCTCGGCTCACTGCAACCTCCACCTCTTGGGTTCAAGCAATTCTTCTGCCTCAGCCTCCCGAGTAGCTGGGATTACAGGCACTCGCCATCATACCCAGCTAATTTTTGTATTTTTAGTAGAGATGGGGTTTCACCATGTTGGACAGGTAGTGCTCGAACTCCTGATCTAAGGTGATCCACCTGCCTCAGCCTCCCAAAGTGCTGGGATTACAGGCATGACACCGCGCACAGCCTTAACCATTTTTTAATGTACAATTCAGTGGCATTAATTACACTGACAATGTGCATAACTATCACCACTATCTATTTCCAAAATAAAAGAGAAATTCTGTTCCCATTAAACAACAATTCTCCATTCCCTGCTTCTCCTAGCCCCTGGTAATCTGTAATCTACTTTCTGTCTCTATAAATTTGCCTAGTCTAGTCTAGTCTAGATATTTCACTTAAGTGGAATCATACAATATTTGTCCTTTTACAATCTGCCTTATTTCACTTAGCATGTTTTCAAGTTTCATCCATGTTGTAGCATGTGTCATACTTTCATTCCTTTTTATGAAATTTAATTTTAATATTAAAGAATATTTCAGTCCAGGTGTGGTGGCTCATGCCTATAATCCCAGCACTTTGGGAGGCTGAGGTGGTCAGATTGCTTTGAGCTTAGGAGTTTGAGACCAGCCTAGGCAACATGGCCGAACCCTGTCTCTACTAAAATACAAAAATTAGCCGGCCATGATGGCGGGCGTCTGTAATCTCAAGTACTCGGGAGGCTGAGGCAGGAGAATCGCTTGACCCCGGGAGGCAGAAGGCGGAGGTTGCAGTGAGCCGAGATTGTGCCACTGCACTCCAGCCTGGGCAGCAGAGCGAGACTCTGCCTCAAAAAAGAAAAGAAAAGAAAGAAAGAAAGGGGAGAGAGGGAGAGGGAGAGAGGGAGAGAGGGAGAGAGGGAGAGAGGGAGAGAGGGAGGGAGAGAGAGAGAAAGAGAGAGAGAAAGAGAGAGAGAGAGAGAAAATTATGTCGTCAGAGTCCTAGAAGGAGTAAGAATGTAAGACCGAAAACTTATTCAAAGAAATAATGGGCTGGGTGTGGTGATTCACGCCTGTAATCCCAGCACTTTGGGAGGCCGAGGCAGGAGGATCACGAGGTCAGGAGATCGAGACCATCCTGGCTAATACAGTGAAACCCCGTCTCTACTAAAAATACAAAAAAAAATTACCCGATGTGGTGGCGGGCGCCTGTAGTCCCAGTTACTCGGGAGGCTGGGGCAGGAGAATGGCGTGAACCCGGGAGGCGGAGCTTGCAGTGAGCCGAGATCGCGCCACTGCACTCCAGCCTGGGTGACAGAGCGAGACTCCGTCTCAAAAAAAAAAAAAAAAAAAAAAAAAAAAAAAAAAAAAAAAAGAAAAAGAAAAAAAAAGAAGAAATAATGGCAGAAAATTCCTCAAATTTGACAAGAGACCTAGAACTACAAGTTCAAGAAGCTGAGAAAACCACAAACATGATAAACTCAAAGAAATCTATACCAGGACACGTAATAATCTAACTCCTGAAAACTAATAACAAAGAAAAAATCTTGACAGCAGTAAGAGAAAAACATCTTTCTCATAAGGGAAAAACAGATTGAACCACAATAGATTTCTCACCAGAAACTAAAAAAGGCCAGAAGAAAGTGGCACAACTTTTTTCAAATGCTAGAAGAAAAAAACTATCAAAGATGAAAGAGAAATCAACACATTTTCAGATGAAGAAAAACTAAGAGAATTTGTCATTTGTAGATCTACCCTTTAAAAAAGTGGCTAAAAGGGGGCCGGGTGCAGTGGCTCATGCCTGTAATCCCATCACTTTGGGAAACCGAGGCAGGCGGATCACTTGAGGCCAGGAGTTTGAGACCAGCCTGGCCAACGTGGCAAAACCTAGTCTCTACTAAAAATACAAAAATTAGCCAGGCATAGTGGCACATGCCTGTAGTCCCAGCTACTCTGGAGGCTGAGGCAGGAAAATCGGTTGAACCTGGGAGGTGGAGGTTGCAGTGAGCAGAGATCGCACCACTGCAATCCAGTCTTGGTGACAGGGCAAGACTCCATCTCAAAAAAAAAAAAAAAAAAGCTAAAGGAAGTTCTTGAAAAGAAAGGGAAATGATAAAAGAAGGGACCTTGGAACATCAAGGATGAAAAAAGAACGTGGAGTGGCCCACACTTGTAATCCCAGCACTTTGGAAGGCCGAGGCGGGCGGATCACGAGGTCAGGAGATCGAGACCACGGTGAAACCCCGTCTCTACTAAAAATATAAAAAATTAGCCGGGCGTGGTGGCGGGTGCCTGTAATCCCAGCTACTCAGAGAGGCTGAGGCAGGAGAATGGCGTGAACCCGGGAGGCGGAGCTTGCAGTGAGCTGAGATCGCACCACTGCACTCCAGCCTGGGTGACAGAGCGAGACTCTGTCTCAAAAAAAAAAAAAAAAGAAAGAAAAAAGAACGTGGAAAGCAAATATATGAGTAATTGCAATATACTTTCCTTCTTGTATTAGTCATCTAGGGCTTCCATAACAAAATACTGCAGACTGGGTAACTTAACCAACAGAATTTATTTTCTCACAGTTCTGGAGGCTGGAAGTCTAAGACCAAAGTGTTGGTAGGTTTGGTTTTTCCTGAGGCCTCTTTTCTTGGCCTGTAGATGGCCACCTTCTTGCTGTGTCCTCCCATGGCCTTTTGTCTGTGTGTGACCACTCCTGGTGCTTTTTCCTCTTCTGAAAAGGACACTGGGCCGGGCGTGGTGGCTCACCCCTGTAATCCCAGCACTTTGGGAGGCCAAGGCAGGCGGATCACCTGAGGTCGGGAGTTCGAGACAAGCCAACATGGAGAAACCCCATCTCTACCGAAAAAACAAAATTAGCCGGGCTAATCCAACAGGACTGGTGTCCTTTTTTGTGGGGGGGGACGGAGTCTTGCTCTGTTGCTCAGGATGGAGTGCAGTGGCACAATCTCAGCTCACTGCAACCTCCACCTCCCAGGTTCAAGTGATTCTCCTACTTTAGCCTCCCGAGTAGCTGAGATTACAGGCATGTGCCACCACACCCAGATAATTTTCTTTTTTTTTTTTTTAGTAGAGACGGGGGTTTCAACATGTTGGCCAAGCTGGTCTCAAACTCCTGACCTCAAGTGATCCTCCCACCTCGGCCTCCCAAAGTGCTGAGATTACAGGTGTGAGCCACCAAGCCCGGCTGGTGTCCTTTTTTTCTTCTTTTCTTTTTTTTTTTTTGAGACGGAGTTTCACTCTTGTTGCCCAGGCTGGAGTGCAATGGCGTAATCTCGGCTCACAGCAACCTCTGTGTCCCGGGTTCAAGCAATTCTCCTGCCTCACCTTCCCGAGTAGCTGGGATTACAGGTGTGTGCCACCACTCCTGGCTAATTTTTTTGTGTTTTTAGTGGAGACAGAGTTTTGCCATGTTGGTCAGGCTGGTCTCAAACTCCTGACCTCAAATGATCTGCCCATCGTGGCTTCCCAAAGTGCTGGGATTACAGGAGTGAGCCACCGTGCCCGGCCCTCATTTAATCTTAATTACATCTTTAAAGGCCCTGTCTCCAATGTACAGTCACAATAGAGGTTAGGGATTCAACATAGGAATTTGGGAAGACACAATTCAGTCTATAACACTTCTCCTCCCTCTCCCTCTCCCTCTCCCTCTACCCACGGTCTCACTCTCCCTCTCCCTCTCCCCACAGTCTCCCTCTCCCTCTCTTTCCACGGTCTCCCTCTGAGGCCGAGCCGAAGCTGGACTGTACTGCTGCCATCTCGGCTCACTGCAACCTCCCTGCCTGATTCTCCTGCCTCAGCCTGCCGAGTGCCTGGGATTGCAGGCGCGCGCCGCCACGCCTGACAGGTTTTCGTATTTTTTTGGTGGAGACGGGGTTTCGCTGTGTTGGCTGGGCTGGTCTCCAGCTCCTAACCGAGAGTGATCCGCCAGCCTCGGCCTCCCGAGGAGCCGGGATTGCAGACGGAGTCTCGTTCACTCAGTGCTCAATGGTGCCCTGGCTGGAGTGCAGTGGCGTGATCTCGGCTCGCTACAACCTCCACCTCCCAGCCGCCTGCCTTGGCCTCCCAAAGTGCCGAGATTGCAGCCTCTGCCCGGCCGCCAACCCGTCTGGGAAGTGAGGAGCGTCTCTGCCTGGCTGCCCATTGTCTGGGATGTGAGGAGCCCCTCTGCCTGGCTGCCCAGTCTGGAAAGTGAGGAGCTTCTCTGCCCGGCCGCCATCCCATCTAGGAAGTGAGGAGCACCTCTTCCTGGCCGCCATCCCATCTAGGAAGTGAGGAGCGTCTCTGCCCGGCTGCCCATCGTCTGAGATGTGGGGAGCACCTCTGCCCCGCCGCCCCGTCTGGGATGTGAGGAGCGCCTCTGCCCGGCCGTGACCCCGTCTGGGAGGTGAGGAGCGTCTCTGCCCAGCCGCCCCGTCTGAGAAGTGAGGAGCCCCTCCGCCCGGCAGCCGCCCCCTCTGAGAAGTGAGGAGCCCCCTCCACCCGGCAGCCACCCCGTCTGGGAAGTGAGGAGCGTCTCCGCCCGGCAGCCATCCCGTCTGGGAGGGAGGTGGGGGGTCAGCCCCCGCCCGGCCAGCCACCCCGTCCGGGAGGGAGGTGGGGGGTCAGACCCCACCCGGCCAGCCGCCCCATCCGGGAGGTGGGGGGCACCTCTGCCCAGCCGCCCCTACTGGGAAGTGAGGAGTCCCTCTGCCCGGCCACCACCCCGTCTGGGAGGTGTACCCAACAGCTCATTGAGAACGGGCCATGATGACAATGGCGGTTTTGTGGAATAGAAAAGGGGGAAAGGTGGGGAAAAGATTGAGAAATCGGATGGTTGCTGTGTCTGTGTAGAAAAAAGTAGACATGGGAGACTTTTCATTTTGTTCTGTACTAAGAAAAATTCTTCTGCCTTGGGATCCTGTTGATCTATGACCTTACCCCCAACCCTGTGCTCTCTGAAACATGTGCTGTGTCCACTCAGGGTTAAATGGATTAAGGGCGGTGCAAGATGTTTTTGTTAAACAGATGCTTGAAGGCAGCATGCTCATTAAGAGTCATCACCACTCCCTAATCTCAAGTACCCAGGGACACAAACACTGCGGAAGGCCGCAGGGTCCTCTGCCTAGGAAAACCAGAGACCTTTGTTCACTTGTTTATCTGCTGACCTTCCCTCCACTATTGTCCTATGACCCTGCCAAATCCCCCTCTGCAAGAAACACCCAAGAATGATCAATAAAAAAAAAACAAAACAACAACAACAAAAAAAACACTTCTCCTCTTGAGTTTTCTCAATTATGTTTGATGGTTGAAGCAGACTGTGTAACATTGTCCAATGTGGTTTGCAAAGTATGTTGAGGAAATATTTAAGACAATTATGTTGTAAATGGGAAAGTAAAAAGACTAAAATGGAGGTAAGAGTTTTATACTTCACTCAAGCTGATAAAAATATTGACATCAGTTGGCCAGGCACAGTGGCTCACGCCTGTAATCCCAGCACTTTGGGAGGCCGAGGCAGGTGGATCACCTGAGTTCAGGAGTTCAAGACCAGCCTGGTCAATATGGTGAAACCCTGTCTCTACTAAAAATACAAAAGTTAGCCGGGCATGGTGGCACATGCCTGCAATCCCAGCTACTCAGGAGACTGAGGCAGGAGAATCGCTTGAATCTGGGAAGCAGAGGTTGCAGTGAGCCAAGATTGCGCCACTGCACTCCAGTCTGGGCGATAGAGAGAGACTCCGTCTTAAAAAAAAAAAAAAAAAAGAAAGAAAAAAGAAAAAATATTGACATCAGTTGACTGTGATAATTTATATATGTATAATATGAAACCCATTACAACCACTTAAAAAATCTACACAAAGAGATACACTCGGGCCAGGCGCGGTGGCTCACGCCTGTAATCCCAGCACTTTGGGAGGCCGAGGCGGGCGGATCATGAGGTCAGGAGATTGAGACCATCCTGGCTAACACGGTGAAACCTCGTCTCTACTAAAAATACAAAAAAATTAGCCGGGCGTGGTGGCGGGCACCTGTAGTCCCAGCTACTCCGGAGGCTGAGGCAGGAGAATGGCGTGAACCTGGGAGGCGGAGCTTGCAGTGAGCTGAGATCGCGCCACTGCACTCCAGCCTGGGCGACAGAGCGAGACTCCGTCTCAAAAAAAAAAAAAAAAAAAGAGATGCACTCAAAAACACTATAGGAAAATTAAAATGGGATTTAAAAAAAAAAGGTACAAGTAGCCCACAGTAAGCCAGAAAAAATCAAACACAGAGACAACAAGAGGAACAAGCAGAAAACAAAAAATAAAACAGCAGACTTAAACCTTTTATTTATTTACATACTTATTTTTTTAGCAATGGAGTCTTGCTGCAAGAGAGCAGTGGCATGATCGTAGCTCACTACAGCTTCGGACTCCTGGGCTCAAGTAATCCTCCCACCTCAACTTCCCAAGTAGTTGGGACTACAGGTGCACATGCCACCACTCCTGGCTAGTTAAAAAAAATTTTTTTTTTTTGTAGAGATGAGGTCTTGCTATGTTGCTCAGACTGGTCTCAAACTCTTGGGCTCAAGCGATCCTTCTGCCTCAGCCTCTCAAAGTGCTGGGGTTACAGGCATGAGCTACCACACCTCGCCTTTAAGCCTTAAGGTATCAATAATTACATTAAATGTAAACAAAGTGCACCAATTAAAAAGCAGACTTTGGCCGGGCACGGTGGCTCATACCTGTAATCCCAGCACTATGGGAGGCCAAGGCAGGTGGATTACTTGAGGTCAAGAGTTTGAGACCAGCCTGGCCAACATGGTGAAACCCCATCTCTACTAAAAATACAAAAAAATTAGCTGGGTGTGGTGGTGGGCGACTGTAATCCCAGCTACTCAGGAGGCTGAGGCAGGAGAATCCCTTGAACCCAGGAGGCAGGGGTTGCGGTGTGCTGGGATGGTGCCACCACACTCCAACCTGGGTGACAGAACGAGACTCAATCTCAAAAAATACAAAAATAGGCCAAGGACAGTGGCTCACACCTGTAATCCCAGCACTTTGGGAGGCCTAGGTGGGTGGATCACCTGAGATCGGGAGTTCGAGACCAGCCTGACCAACATGGTGAAACCCTGTCTCTACTAAAAATATAAAATTAGCTGGGCGTGGTGGCTCATGCCTGTAATCCAAGCTACTTGGGGACTGAGGCAGGAGAATCCCTTGAACCCGGGAGGCAGAGGTTGCGGTGAGCCGAGATTGCACCATTGCACTCCAGCCTGGGCAACAAGAGCGAAACTCTGTCTCAAAAAAATTAATTAATTAATTAATTAAAGTTAAAAAAGCAGACATTGACAATGGATTAAAAATATGACACAACAATATGTTTTCTTTTTTCTTTTTCTTTTTCTATTTTTTTTTTTGAGATGGAGCCTTGCTGTGTTGCCCAGGCTGGAGTGCAGTGGCACTATCTCGGCTCATTGCAACCTCCGCCTCCCAGGTTCAAGGGATCCTCCTGCCTCAGCCCCCCAGCAGCTGAGATTACAGGCATGCATTACCATGCCTGGCTAATTTTTGTATTTTTAGTAGAGATGGGATTTCGCCATGTTGGCTAGGCTGGTCTCAACTCCTGACCTCAGGTGATCCACCCGCCTCGGCCTCCCAAAGTGCTGAGATTACAGGCATGAGCCACCGTGCCCGGACAACAATATGCTGTTTTCAAGAATCTCATTTCAGGCCAGGTCCAGCGGATCACATCTGTAATCTCAGCACTTCAAGGGACTGAGTAGGGAGGCTCATTTGAGTCCAGGTGTTTGAGTGCAGCCTGTGCAAGATAGTGAGACATTGTCTCCACAAAGAATCAAAAGATTAGTCTGGTTTGGTGGTGTGTGACTGTGGTCCCAGCTACTCAGGAGGCTGAGGCGGGAGGACTGCTTCAGCCTGGAAGTTGAAGGCTGCAGGGAGTCATGATTGCACCATTGCACTCCAGCCTGGGCAACATAGCAAGAGAGTCTTTTTAGAAAAAAAGAAATGGGTCGGGCGCTGTGGCTCATGCCTGTAATCCCAGCACTTTGGGAGGCAGAGGCAGGCAAATCGCCTGAGGTCAGGAGTTTGAGACTAGCCTGACCAACACGGTGAAACCCTGTCTCTACTAAAAATACAAAGATTAGCCAGGTGTAGTGGTGTGCACCTGTAATCCCAGCTACTCGGGAGGTGGAGGTTATGGTGAGCCAAGATCGCAGCCCTGCACTCCAGCCTGGGTGACAGAGCAAGACCCCATATCTTAAAAGAAGAAAAGAAAATTTTACTAAGTATATACTGAATACCAGGTACCAAAATAGGCAGTGAGAATACAATAAGTGAGATACGCAGGGTCCCTTCTCTTGGAGCTTTATGTTCTACTGAAAGTTAGATCTCTCCTTTGAACATTGAATCAACTAGATCTTTTCTATTAGAATTTTCCGATGTATTCATTCCACGTCTCCCTTTCTTTCTCGAAGTCACTAGAAACCCAATATAGAAACATTTGCCAGATTTTCCACTTCAGAAATCTCGAACTAGTTTCTCACTTTCCTGGACAAATATTTCAGGTCTAGTGTCACAGATGTTTTTCAGCCTTGTGTCACTCAGCCCTTTCCCTCATTCCCATCCCAAGATTTCTCATGTTTTCCAAATTTCATTTCCTTAAAAAGCCTCTGCATAGCATTCTTAACTTCCACAAGTTAAGAGGCTCACTGCCTCATGTGTCTGTCACAGGAGTCATGAGGGTTGCATAAAATAAAATGTTACATGCCTTAGGCTCATTTATATCTCCTTGTCCATGCAATCATTAGCAGAGCTTCCGAGGAAGTCTCAAAATCTATTAGGTTTTTACTTTTTACCAAAAGGCCTTTAATCTTAAACACTCACAGGTTTGAAAGTAAAAGCAGAAGTATTTTAAGGAACTCACAGTGAAGTTGTAAAAGGGACTACTTCTATGGAAACAAACTGCTAATCAACAGGTCACCTAAAGGTTGTAGCAGTAGAAATGTCTCAATGAACGCTCATATCAGATTCTTGGTAGAACAGTTTTAAGAATCAGAATTCATTTTCACATAAAAAGAAAACTTTTAAAAATGGAATTCTGGTTGCAAAAAGGAAAACATAGGGCAGGTGTGGTGGCTTACGCCTGTAATCTCAGGACTTTGGGAGGCAGAGGAGGGCAAATCACTTGAGGTCAGGTGTTAGAGACCAGCCTGGCCAACATGGTGAAACCCTGTCTCTACTAAAAATACAAAAAAATTATCCGGGCGTGGTGGCAGGCCCTGTAATCCCAGCTACTCGGGAGGCTGAGGCAGGATAAATGCCTGAACCCAGGAGGCAGAGGTTGTAGTGAGACGAGACTGCGCCACGGCACTCCAGTCTGGATGACAGAGTGAGACTCCGTCTCAAAAAAAAAAAAAAAAAGGAAGAAAAGAAAAAAAAATTCATGTATAACGGGGAACCTGTGAAGGTGGCCTCATTTGGAAATAGGATATTTGCAGATGTAATCAGGTTAAGATGGGATCATACTGGATTAAGTGGTGCCCTAATCTAATGGCTGGTGCCCCTATAAGAAGAGGAGAATTTGCCTACAGACAGAGACACATAGAGAAGGCCGGGTGCAGTGGCTCACTCCTGTAATCCCAGCACTTTGGGAGGCTGAGGCGGGTGGATCACTTGAGGCCAGGAGTTCGAGACTAGCCTGAGCAGTATGGCGAACCCCCGTCTCTACTGAAAATACAAAAATTAGCTGGGCGTGGCGGTGCACACCCGTAATCCCAGCTACTCAGGAGGCTGAGGCAGGAGAATTGCTTGAACCTGGGAGGTGGAGGTTGCAGTGAGCTGAGATTGCGCCACTGCACTCGTCTGGGCGACAGAGCAAGACTCTATCTCAAATAAAAAAAAAAAGACATATAGAAGAAAGAATACCATGTGACGATGGAGGCAACAATTGAAATGATGCATCTATAAGCCAAGGAACACCAAGGATTTCTGGCAACCACCAGAAGCCAGGAAGAGGGAAGAAAGGATTCTTTCCCAGAGCCTTTGGAGATACCATGCTCTGCAGACACCTTAATTTCAGACTTCTAGCCTCCGCTGTGAGAGAATAAATTTCGGTGTTTTTGTTTTTTTGAGACAGGGCCTCACTGTGTCACCCAGGCTGAAATGCAGTGGCTCAATCACGGCTCCCTGCAGCAGCATCAACCTCCCTGGCTCAGGCTCAAGCCATCCTCCCACTTCAGCCTCCTGAGTAGCTGGGTCTACAGGCACGTGCCACCATGCCCAGCTAATTTTTTTTTTTTTTTTTTTTTACAGACGTGGGTCTTGCTGTGTTGTCCAGGCTGGTCTCAAACTCCTGGGCTCAAGCCATCCTTCTGCCTTGGCCTCCCAAAGTGCTGGGATAACAGGAGTGAGCCACCGTGCATGGCCGATTTCTGTTGTTTTTTGTTTTTTTGAGACACAGTTTTGCTTTTTCATCCAAGCTGGAGTGAGGTGGCGCAAACTTGGCTCACTGTAGCCTCTGCCCCCTGGGTTCAAGTGATTCTCCTGCCTCAGCCTCCCAAGTAGCTGAGACTACAGGCGCCCACCACCATGTCTTGCTAATTTTTGTATTTTTAGTAGAGATGGGGTTTCCCCATGTTGGCCAGGCTAGTCTCGAACTCCTGACCTCAGGTGACAGGCTGGCCTCGGTCTCCCAAAGTGCTAGGATTACAGGCGTGAGCCACCTCGGCTGACCTGATTTCTGTTGTTTTAAATGCTACCCAGGTTGTGGTTATTTGTATGGCAGCCTTAGGGAAACGAATACTGGAAGCCTGTGGAGAAGACACTGGAGCAGATACGTATTTCAAAACACCGGGCTTAACGTTAAAACTCTCCTCTAGGCCCCATCTAGGAATCTAAGTGGGATAAGCTAAGATGAGCTAGCTGATTCTTCACTGGTGGAAATTTGGACAATTGACACGCATTCATTCAAACTAAAAATTAAAGATAAAAAACCACATTTAATAATTTCACTACAGTGACAATTCTTGTAACATTTTGAGACTCTATCAGTTAGATCCCTACCTCTGTTCTATTCTTTTTGTGGTAGTGAAGAACTAATCTTTATAACTGTTTTTTTTTTTTTCAGACTCAGTTTTGCTCTTATTGCCCAGGTTGGAGGGCAATGGCGCGATCTTGGCCACTGCAACCACCGCCTCCTGGGTTCAAGTGGTTCTCCTGCCTTAGCCTCCTGAGTAGCTGGGATTATAGGCATGCACCACCATCCCCAGCTAATTTTTTGTATTTTTAGTAGAGATGAGTTTTCACCATGTTGGCCAGGCTGGTCTCAAACTCCCGACCTCAGGTAATCCACCCGCCTCAGCCTTCCAAAGTGCTGGGATTACAGGCGTGAGCCACCACACCTGGCTTTAATTGTTTTTTAGCCATTTTCACAAATGCTAGGGAATAGCTCGGTTTAGATACTCGGAACTGTGTCACTGGCCAAGCCTCATATGGAATTGCTCATGTCTTCTAGGGCTGTAGGTGTGGTCAACAGCATTTTAAATTTGATCTTATTGGACATATGCCTCAGTTTTACCATATCATCTGTTATATGGGGATAATAATAGTAACTGCCTCCTAATGTTGTTGTGAGGATTAAATGAGTTTGTATTTACCAAGCATGTAGAAAAGTGCCTGGCACATAGTAAGTATTAATCACTGCACTCCTCTCTCTCTTGCCATTTGGGAAGTTTCTTTCTCACTGAACCATGAGCTCTCCAAGGATAAGAAGCATGTCTGTTTCATTTTCTATCCCCAGCACCTAGTACCCCTCTCTGGCACACAGTAGGCCCTCAGCAAGCATCTGCTGCCTAAAAGGCACTATCAAGCAGGCAGTATGAAATTCCATTTCTGAGTCTTGAAGAAGGAAGTCAGGTGGAAAAACAGATAAGAGTCCTACACATAAACGTTTAAGCTTGACAACACTCAAGACCATCAAGGAAGACAGCATGGAGGGAAAATAAATAGAACACTGAGGAAAGATTGATGGCAGGAGATGGAAGCAAACAGAAAAGGAGTTCTGAAACAATATTCTTTCAAAGAAGCCGTGAAAAGAGTTCAAGGGAATTGAAGTAAGTCCACAGGAAAGGCTGTCTTAAAAGTGGAGTATGAAAAATTTGTGGTTAGCAAGCAGCTGACTGAGGTTAATTTTTTTTTAAGTCTCAGAGGAAGGAAATGATATTGTGTAACAGTTTTCTCTAACTTGGCAGGCTTTTAAATGTGGGTCCCGATCTGTCTTGCCAGAAGGGTTGAGAGCTAGGGAGCAGGGAGAAGGAGGGTATGGGTCTCTCCAAGACTCTGTGTCTTAAGAAGGTTGTATTGAAGTCAGGTTATATCTTCACTCACAATATGAGACAATAAATTCAAATAAAACGTCCATTTTTGTCCCCTTATTTTGTTTAGGCTGGTAAAGCAGGTTTGATGATGTTTTTGTCAGGTTGACAAAATTATCAGCAACAAGTTTTTATCTGGAATATCTCCCTCATTACACTTGAATTTCAACAGGGTTCCACCACCCAGGAAGACAGAATAACCGGTTTTCTGAGTTTTTCCTGATACAATTCTGGTTATCACAAACGACTTGAGATCCCTACTCTTCTTTAAAAGGGCAAGAAAAGGGAATCAATATCAATATTTGATAATGGCATTTAAAAAATAATAGACATCACTTTTGCGTTTAAAAAATGTTTTTCAATATTTAATTTACAAGTTGAGTACAAGCCATAAAAAATGTTTTTAAAATAAATTTGAGGAATTGAAAACTCCTAAGTGGTCAATTGAGCCCACATGAATCTACCAAACAAGACTGAAATGTACTTTCACAACATATGGTCTGATGAGGTTTTTCCTGTTAAACAGAGAAAAATAGACCCGGGGAAGTTGCTGGAAGGCATGAACCATGTACCATTTAAAGAGAGGTTTTCCATACTTATGCAAATGAGACCCCGTTAAAGACTCTACTACAGGATCTAAAGCTAGCCGCTCCCCAGTCTGGGGCTCAAATGTTCTCATCTGTAAAATAAGGGAAAAGAGAAAGGGTGGTATATGTGTCTGCGTATTAATTATTTGAGTGTGTGTGTGAATTCTTTGGATATGAAAATAAAGAGAGAAGACATTAATTATTTGGGTGCGTATGTGTGAATTAATTCTTTGGATATGAAAATAAAGAGAGGGCCGGGCGCGGTGGCTCACACCTGTAATCCCAGCACTTTGGGAGGCCGAGGCGGGTGGAGGCCAGGACCAGTCTGGGCAACATGGCGAAACCCCATCTCTACAAAAAATACAAAAATAGCCGGGTGGCGTGGTGCGTGCCTGTAATCTCAGCTACTAGGGAGGCTGAGGCAGGAGAATCCCCTGAACCCGGGAGGCGGAGGCTGCAGTGAGCCGAGAACGCGCCACTGCATTCCCGCCTGGGAAACAGACCATCTAAAAAAAAAAAAAAAAAAAAAAAAAAAAGGCCGGGCGTGGTGGCTCACGCTTGTAATCCCAACACTTTGGGAGGCCGAGGCGGGTGGATCACGAGGTCAGAATTCGAGACTCAGCCTGGCCAACATAGTGAAACCCCGTCTCTACTTAAAAAAAAAAAAAATACAAAAATTAGCCGGGCATGGTGGTGCGTGCCTGTAGTCCCAGCTACTTGGGAGGCTGAGGCAGGAGAATCGCTTGAACCCGGGAGGTGGAGGTTGCAGTGGGCCGAGATCACGCCACTGCACTCCTGCTTGAGCAACAGAATGAGACTTCAAAAAAAAAAAAAGAAAGAGAAAAGACAACCTACCCCAGTATAAGGGGTAAGAAAAAGGATTCAGGGAGGCTCAGGAACTTAAGGCCTCGAGCACCTGCACCTCCAGCCCCACCCGCTAACCCTCCCCAGCGTGGAGATACAGCACAGGGGCCAACATGGCGTCAGCACGCTGGGTCTCGCCTGCGACCCCCGTGACTCCGCACTGCTGCAGCCCGGGCGAGGCTGCGCCCCATTGGCCAACTGCAATGAGGTCATTGCGGGGGCGGGGGCCGGCGGCGGCGCAGGGGCGGGGCTTTACGGACGCAAGCACGTCGAAGCGCTGCTCCTGGAGCCGCGGAGGGTGCGGGTTTGGCTGCGGTGGTTTCTGTGGCGGTTGCTGTGGCGGAGTTTGGAGGTGAGTGGGGGCTGTAGGTTTAGCGCAACAGGGAGCGGCCCTCGATGGACGTAGGAAATCCTTCTAAGAGCCCCCTTGATTGTCAGAGGAATTAGCGGGGATCTGACGTCTTCGAGATAAAATGGGGGTTCGCCCCCTCCTTGGGCACCCCTCCTCTGCCCTGAGGAACCGGAGGCTCACTGCCCTTTGGAAGCCCCGCATCTCTTCCCTGCTTTAAGGGGTAGGCGGAGGAACCGGAGGTTATTGGATAGGCAGAAGAATTTAGGGGGCTTCTTAAAGGGTTTCTCAGTTTGGGGGTTTTCCTCTCCTTTTTTCCCATCTCAAGGTAGATGAGCCTGAGTCCAGAGAATTCCTGCTCATTGGGTAGACAGGAAATGAAGCAGGTGAATACCGTGGGAGGAGGCGAGGACCGGATGACAGGAGTGAGATTCTTCTAGGCAGGGCGCGGGGGCGCTGTAGTTGGACTCATCTTTTGCAGAATTGCTGTTTCTTCATATTTTGTTTTGTGATCGTCCAGAACTACTTTGGCCTAATTAGTTTTCTGTTAGCCTCCATTGCTATAGAGATATTCTTGGGAGACCTATAATCATTAAAGAGCAGGAGGACGGAGGCGACTCGTTGGAGGCTTATCATTATCCACAGCTCCTGAACTATGCTGACCAGGCCTAATTTTATGTGTTTAGAGGTTGTAGAATCTCTCTTTGTTTAAGGGTGGTGCCGGTAACAGCTGATTTGGATGATTCAGATGTACAGAATCTTAAAGTCAGCCTGCATATTCTCTTGAGAAGTCCTTGCTTATGTCTGAGCTTGTGTTACTGTCTTGAACATCACATGCACAAAGGTTTGTTCGTTCAGATTTCTCAAAATGTCTCCCAGCCTTCCAGAAGAGTAAATCTTCCTTTGATGTCAGACTCATCTATCAGTACTCAGTATAGATGCCCTTATGACACTAAAAATACTGTGCATTTTTCTGAGTTTGGATACTGGACAGGCTGTGCCTTACATTAGCTGATCGAGAATAAATAATTGCAGTTTCAGGACCACTGATAGCGCCAGTTGTCTCATACCCGGCAACAGTAAGACAGCACTAAAACGAAACCTTTATTGGCTCATGAGATTTGACAGATGGAAGAATGTAATTAATCTTGAAGGTAGGGTTGAGAAACAGAAAGCTGCAGAGGTGGAAGGCTTATTCTCTGTGGCTTGATAAAACTGCTTTGTCATTATCAGTGTGTTCCTGTCATGCTTGATTTGAAATTGAGCTTAATATGCAAACTGGTTGCTTTTTCCAGATGACGGTTATTTGTTTGAATTCCTAAGTGGGGAAATATTGTTTTCTGAGGAATCTGGAAGATTAAACCCTTTAGTGTAGCCATAGCTTTAGGATAGTGCCAGAACTTTGGGCTTTTAGAAATGCGCATTGTCAGTAGAAGGGAGAAGGATAGTTACAAGGCAGACATCTTTATGAGAGGGTATTGAAGGCCTCTTCTGTTTGTTTCCTGCACTAGCAAAAACAGATTGAGCAGTGTGAAACTCACTGCCTCAATATTGTGTCCTGGGTATTTAAAGAGTTGTTTGAGGTTCCCAGTTCCTGTCTTTAATCTGGATACATTCTTATCAGTTGAGTTGCCCAAAATAATTGTCATTTGATCCTGATGTTGACTGGAATGGAAGTGACTTTTCATCTGACACTCTGTGGGACAGAATTCAGGAACTGCCTTTGCAATTTCTCCTTTCCATCTTTCTAGACAGGGTGTCAAAAACAGTTGTTGACCTGTCCTCATGGGGTGTTAGAAATGTAAATGCAAGAGCCGTAGTGGGGTGTCATTTGCTCTTAGCCCTCGTGGTAATTTCCAAAGTTATGTCATTTTCTCTTTGCTTCAGGTTGGAGAGAAATCCAGGTACTCACTAGACTGGTACCTTCTGCCACCATGGGGGAGCTTTTCCGGAGTGAAGAAATGACACTGGCCCAGCTTTTTCTACAGTCAGAGGCTGCTTATTGTTGTGTCAGTGAATTAGGAGAACTTGGAAAGGTTCAGTTTCGTGACGTAAGTAGTTGTGGGGCTGCGACTTGATTACTGCTGAACTCTATTGCTATCGTGGTCAGATGCCTTATGATGAATGTTTTGTTTTTTATTTGCAAAAATAACATTATAGCACTGACTTCCTATTGGCAGAATGCACATTTTGAGTTGTCTTTCTAAAGGTGAGAATGTTTTGTGCCAATCTTTACATGCTTTTGCTAGCTCCCACTTTCAGAACAGTCCTAAGCATTCTCCAGGTAATTGTTTGGGATGCAGGGAGAGGTTACCAAACTAACCTGATCAAGGCTTTCACTTGCTAAATAGCAAGGTATTTAAAAAAATATATTGCAGTTTTTCCATATAGTAGGACATTTTAAAAAAAATAAAATTTGAGGTATCCAGCTACAGATATATAGTATATAAATAAGCATATACTGAATATTCATTATTTTGGAATATTATACTGGGCACTTGGAGAAGCTATCTAAAGAATATGGACAATCTAGCCTGGGTACAGTGGCTCACGCCTATAATCCTAACACTTTGGGAGGCTGAGGCGGGCGGATCGGGAGGTCAGGAGTTTGAGATCAGTCTGGCCAACATGGTGAAACCCCGACTCTACTAAAAATACAAAAAAAATTAGCATGGTGGCGCAGGCCTGTAATCCCAGCCACTCGGGAGGCCGAGGCAGGAGAATCGCCTGAACCTGGGAGGCGGAGGTTGCAGTGAGCCGAGATTGTGTGATTGCACGCAGCCTGGGCGACAGAGCAAGACTCCGTCTCAAACAACAACAACAACAACAAAAAACTTGTCATCCTTAATTTGCAGTTCTTCATCTGGTCCTATGTTGTCCCTCTGCTTAACATCTATTGGCTCTATTCAGCCTTCTTTTCTTTTACTTATGCTGTACTTCAGTCATACAAAAAAAAGAGATAGGGGCCAGGTGCAATGGCTCACACCTGAAATGCCAGTACTTTGAGAGGCCAAGGCAGGAGGATCGCTTGAGCCCAGGAGTTGGAGACCAGTCTGGGCAACATAGGGAGATCCCGTCTCTGCCAAAAAAAAAAAAAAAAAAAAAAATGCCGGATGTGGTGGCACATGGCTGTGGTCCCAGCTGCTTGGGAAGCTAAGGTGGGAGGATCGCTGAAGCCCAGGAGGTCGAGGCTGTAGTGAGCTGTGATTATGCCACTGCACTCCAGCCTGGGTGACAGAGCATGACACTGTCTCAAAACCAAAAAAAAAAAAAGAGGTGGGGGGAGTATTATAATGACCACCTATGTTTCTACTATCTGCTTAAGAGGGAAACATTCCGTGTATAATTGAAACCTCTGTTTCTCTTTGCTCCATGCCAGTCCTTTCTTCCACCCCAGAGGTAACCCGTACAGTGATTTGTTTTGCTTTTATTTCTCCTATGTGTGGTTTTTGTTGTTGTTGTTGTTGCTTTTCTTTTTGAGACAGAGTCCACTCTGTCGCCCAGGCTGGAGTGCAGTGGTGTGATCTCAGCTCATTGCAGCCTCCGCCTCCCAGGTTCAAGCAATTCTCCTGCCTCAGCCTCCTGAGTAGCTGGGACTAAAGGCATGCACCACCATGCCCAGCTAATTTTTGTATTTTTAGTAGAGACGGGGTTTCACCACATTGGCCAGGCTGGTCTCGAACTTCTGACCTCTGGTGATCCACCCGCCTCGGCCTCCCAAAGTGCTGGGATTACAGGCATGAGCCACCATACCTGGCCAACAGATATTTCAGTTTCTTCTAGTTCTGTTAATTTTTTTTTAATAATAAAATTTATAACATTAAGAAAAAAAATAGAGATGGGGGTCTCGCCATGTTACCCAGGTTGGTCTTGAACTCCTGGACTCAAGCGGTTCTCCTGCCTCAGCCTCCCAAAGTGCTAGGATTACCGGTGTGAGCCACTGTGCCTGGCTGAAATGTACACATCTTAAGAGTACAATTTGCTGAATTGATAACTTTATACACCTCTGTAACCAGCACCCCAATCAGGATATGGAACTTTTTTTTTTTTTTTTTTTTTTTTGGAGACAGAATCTTGCTCTGTCGCCCAGGCTGGAGTGTAGTGGTGCGATCTTGGCTCACTGCAACCTCCGTCTCCTGGGTTCAAGCAATCCTCCCTCAGCCTCCTGAGTAGCTGGGACTACAGGCGCACACCGCCGAGCCCGGCTAATTTTTTTTTTCTATTTTAGTAGAGATGGAGTTTCACCATGTTGCCCAGGCTGGTCTCGAACTCCTGACCTCAGGTGATCCATCCCCCCTCAGCCTCCCAAAGTGCTAGGATTACAGACGTGAGCCACCAGGCCCAGACTGAACATTTTCATCAGTCCAGAAAAGTATCTGTGTCTACTGCTAGTCAGTTGCTACCCTTCATAGGTAACCTCTGTTTTGATTGCTGTCATCATAGGATTAGTTTTCCCTGTTCTTGAATTATATGTAAACGACTCATACATTGCAAACTCATGTCTGACTTCTTTCACTCAGCCTCTGTTTCTTGCATGTATCCGTAGTTCATTTTTAAAAATTGCCGAACGGTAAGTAGTTCATTGTATGATTACACCACAGTGTTTTCATCCTTTCTTTTGTCATTACTCTTTTGGGGCTATTATGATTAAAGCTGAAGTAAACATTATCATAAAAGTCTTTTTTTTAGTTTACAAGTTTTGATTTTTCTTAAGCAAATACAGTTGATCCTTGAAAATGCAGGGGTTAGGGGTGCCAATCTCCCCATGCAGTCAAAAATCTGCATACAATTTTGACTCCTCCAAAACTTAACTATTGATAGCCTGCTTTTGACCAGAAGCCCTACCAATTTCATAAACAGTCGATTAATACATATTTTGTATGTTATATGTATTGTACACTGTATTCTTACAATAAAGTAAGCTAGAGAAAAGAAAATACTGTTAAGAAAATCATAAGGAAGATAAACTGTATTTACTGAAAGTGGATCATCTTGAAGGTCTTCATCCTTATTGTCTTTATGTTGAGGAGGCTGAGGAGGAGGAAGGGGAGGGGTTGGTCTTACTGTCTCAGGCTGGCCGAGGTGGAGGAAAATCTGTGTGTTAGTGGACCAGCAGAGTTCAAACCCACATTGTTCAAAGGTCAACAGTAACTGAGTAGTGGAATGCTCAGTCATGGGTTGGGTAGGTGTATGTTTAACTTTGTAAGAAACTGCCAACAGTTTTCCACATCTTTTACTTCCTTTTTAATAGCATTTATCACAACAAATTGTAATAATTGGTTTGTGTCCGTCTCTTCTGTAGAGCTGAAGACTGGGACGTAGCTTATTATTAATCTTAATTGCTAATAAAAATTTTTGCCTTAGATTCCTCTAATATTAATATATTGAGTTCTCGAAGAGAGAAGTGTTGAATACATGGATATGTATGTGTGTGTTTGTATTTTTTTTTTTCTTTTTTTTGAGACTGAGTCTAGTTCTGTCACCCAGGCTGGAGTGCAGTGGCACGATCTCGGCTCATTGCAACCTCCGCCTCCCGGGTTCAAGCAATTCTTCTGCCTCAGCCTTCCAAGTAGCTGGGATTACAGGTGCCCGCTGCCACTCCCGGCTAATTTTTTTGTATTTTCAGTAGAGACGGGGTTTCACTGTGTTGGCCGGGCTGGTCTCGAACTCCTGACCTCATGAACTGCCCGCCTTGGTCTCCCAAAGTGCTGGGATTACAAGCGTGAGCCACCGTGCCCGGCCAATGTGCTTGTATGTTTCTATGTGTGTATGCATATAATATATATACACACATACGTGATTAAGCTAATAAATTGTGTTGTTCAGCTTTTCAAAGCTAGGACATAGCTTATTCTTTGTATTTTCCCCAGTGCCTAGTTCAGTATCTGACACCTATTTGGTGCTTCATAAATGTTGAGTAAATATAGTTCTTTATTTGTGTTAATTTTATGGAATTTATCACATACTATTTTATTGGTTGGGTTCATCTTCTTCTCTATTAGATTGCAAGCTTTTTATTTAATTTAATTAATTTATTATTATTATTTTTTGAGACAGAGTCTCGCTCTGTTGCCCAGGCTGGAGTGCAATGGCACGATCTTGGCTCACTGCAACCTCTCCCTCCCAGGTTCAATTGATTCTTGTGCCTCAGCCTCCTGAGTAGCTGGGATTACAGGCATGTACCATCATGCCCGGCTAATTTTTTGTATTTTTAGTTGAGACAGGGTTTCGCCATGTTGTCCAGGCTGGTCTCAAACTCCTGAGCTCAGATAATCCTCCTGCCTCAGCTTCCCAAAGTGCTAGGATTATAGGCGTGAGCCACCGCATCCGGCCTATTTATTTTTTTGAGACAAGAGTCTCACTCTTGTCACCCAGGCTGGAGTGCAGTGGCATGATTTTGGCTCACTGCAACCTCAGCTTCCCGGGTTCAAGCGATTCTTCTGCCTTGGCCTCCCGAGTAGCTGGGATTACAGATGTACACTACCATGCCCGGCTAATTTTGTATTTTTAGTAGAGATGGAGTTTCGCCATGTTGGCCAGGCTGGTCTTGAACTCCTGACCTCAGGTGATCCACCCACCTTGGCCTCCCAAAATGCTGGGATTACAAGCGTGAGCCACCGTGACCGGCCAGATTGCTAGCTTTTTAGTGAGTAGTTACTTGTTTTGTTTTTATTTGTATATTCCAGAACATCTGTCATATTGCTTTGAAAATTACTTATGGTGCCAGACGTGGTGGCTCATGCCTGCAATCCCAGCACTTTGGGAGGCCGAGGTGGGTGGATCACCTGAGGTCAGGAGTTTGAGACCATCCTGGCCAACATGGTGAAACCCTGTCTCTACTAAAAATGCAAGAAAATTAGCTGGGCATGGTGGTGCGCACCTGTAATCCCAGCTACTCAAGAGGCTGAGGCGGGAGAATTGCTTGAACCTGGGAGGCAGAGGTTGCAGTGAGCCAAGATCACGCCACTGCACTCCAGCCTGGTGACAGAGCAAGACTCTGTCTCAAAAAGAAAAAAAGCAATTACTTGTGGTGTATGAATGAATAAACTAAAGCCTGTCACTGAGAAGGTGAAGGCCTTGGGACAGAAAAACAAGAGAAGTTCCTCTTGTGCTTGGAAAGAAAGAAGGAAAACCAGAGAGAGCTTCTGTGATATTCATTGCCCAAATTTTAGGTGGTGGGAAGGAAGCTCACTGAGACTTTTGCCTAGGAAGAACATTTTTGTACCGTTGTGTTTTACCTAATTTGCCTCCATTCCAGTAATGTTGCAGCAACGAGGGAGGAAGTTTTTATCCTTAGCTGGTGTGACTGGCCATAAAGCAGTTTTTTTGGATCAGTAGACAGTTTTGATTAGTGTTGCATCATGCATTGACAGAAAATTAGTTTTTCGCTTTGCAGAATGTGTTGCTTGAGAAACAGAAGAAATAGATACAATATTTCAATGTTTGGTATTGTGTTTTTATTTTTCAGTTAAATCCAGATGTGAATGTTTTCCAACGGAAATTTGTGAATGAAGTTAGAAGATGTGAAGAAATGGATCGAAAGCTTCGTATGTGCACTTTGGTCTTGTGTAATGTTCCTTTAATGAATCATTTGTCTTAGATTAGTGACATTAGTCCTCTTAATAGAGGAAGAAAATGTTATAAGAGAAAAGGGAAAAATCTTGCAGTTAAGATGCCAAGGTGTATTTCTCGTATACGAGTAGATTTTGTGGTCTTTGGGCTAAGTAGTGCTTAATGGAAACCTCGTTTGAAATAACATGCTGCAAACTGAAAACTGGTTGTTTTTTTGTGAGATTTTAATAACAAAACTACATGATAGAATTTTGAGAAATAGGACCCAGCACACCATCAGTTTTTGTCAGCAGAGCCACCTTTTAATTTGAGCTATTTAAGAGGGAAGAAACTGGCTGGGCCCGGTGGCTCACACCTGTAATCCCAGCACTTTGGGAGGCTGAGGCGGGTGGATCACGAGGTCAGGAGATCGAGACCATCCTGGCTAACATGGTAAAACCCCGTCTCTACTAAAAATACAAAAAATTAGCTGGGCGTGGTGGCAGGCGCCTGTAATCCCAGCTACTGGGGAGGCTGAGGCTGGAGAATGGCATGGACCCGGGAGGCAGAGCTTGCAGTGAGCTGAGATCGCACCACTGCACTCCAGCCTGGGCGACAGAGCGAGACTCCGTCTCAAAAAAAAAAAAAGGGAGGAAACTAACATTTATCTAAGTTCTCTTGAGGGCTAGGTTGCTCATATACATTACTTTATTCATTCTCCACAACATTCCTTCAAGATGGGTATTATCTTATTTAATAATTGAGGAAACTAAAGATTAGAGAGGCTTAATGACTTGCCCTAGATCATAAACAGTTATGATGGAATCAGTATTTGAAGCCAGGTTGCTCTCTCTGGCTCAAAAGTCCATGATCTTGCCACTCTACTAAGCCAGCTTATGGTTAGCTGATAAGTGAATTTGGTCCCCACTATAAAAAACAGTTGTAGTTGTTACCTGAAACACTCTTCTCTTCTGGTATTTTGTGTCCTTATTACCTGTTCTGCTTTTTCATTTTTGTTTTTTATGCTTAAAACTGACCTGATTGTTTTCAAATTTAATGAACCCCTTTAGATCTAGAGTTGTCTCACTAGTGTGTTAAGTGTCAAATATTCTATTGCATTATACTCTTCTTCATAACTCTGCTTTGCCAATAATATCTATAAGCAGAACTGTCATACTTTGGAGTGGCATTCGCGTATGGAGGAGAGGTGTGGCCTTGAAGGCCAGTGTTAAGACCTGAAGAAGGAAAGAAGGCAGTTGTGGGATGACCACCCTTTGGAGTAACTTTAGAGAATGTGAGGAAGGAGAAAGAGGGATGGGGAGAAAAAAGGTGCTTCTTTCATATTAAAAGATATTATATCTTTTATATATATATATAAAGTATCTTTTTTGAATAAAACTTTTTGTAACCAGGTCTTAGATGTTAATTCTTTTCCTTAAATAATGGCAATTACGAGCATGTGCAGTTAGACATGAATGTTTTGATTCTGTCATTTTAGGATTTGTTGAGAAAGAGATAAGAAAAGCTAACATTCCGATTATGGACACCGGTGAAAACCCAGAGGTTCCCTTCCCCCGGGACATGATTGACTTAGAGGTAAACACTTCTGGGAAAACCAGAAAAGTTTCTTTCTACTTGAACGCAGAAATTACTTTCCTGAGCAGATAGAGAGTAAAGTAATTCTTGCTAACTTTGTCAGCATTATCTACTGATTGTAAGTTTCTTGTAGGTGGGATTTTGATAGATAATATTTGTACACATTTATGGTGTACATGTGATATTTTGGTATATACATAGAATGTGTATATACCAAGTCAGGGTATTTGGAGTATCCATCACCTTGAGTATTTACCATTTCTATGTGTTGGGAACATTTCAATTCTTCTCTTCTAGCTATTTTGAAATATATACAGTACATTGCTGTTAACTATAGGCACCCTACTCTGCTATTGAGCATTAGAACTTATGCCTTCTATCTAACTGTATGTTTGTCCACATTAACCAACCTCTCTTCATCCCCCCACAAACCCACACACCCTTCATAGCCTCTGGTATCTATCATTCCACTCCCTACCTCTATGAGATCAACTTTTTTAGCTCCCACATATGAGTGAAAACTTGTATTATTTGTCTGTGCCCTGCTTATTTCGCTTAACATAATGACCTCCAGTTCTATCCATGTTGCTGCAAATGACATGATTTTATTCTTTTTTTATGGCCAGACCATATGAATCCCCTCTTTTATGGTGACAAACAGCACTCAAACAGTATTATATGCCACTAAGTAAATGTTTATTGGTTTATCGAAACCTTATTGGAGTAAGTTATCTACTATTTTATTTTATTTTATTTTATTTTTGAGACATAGCTATCACCTAGGCTGGACTACAGTGACCCCATCTTGGCTCACTGCAACCCCTGCCTCCCAGGCTCAAGCAGTTCTAGTACCTCAGCCTCCAGAGTAGCTGAGACGATAGCTGTGTGCCAACATGCCTGGCTAATTTTTTTGTATTTTTTGTAGAGATGGGATTTTCCCATGTTGGCCAGCTTGATCTCGAACTCCTAACCTCAAGCAATCTGCCTGCCTCAGCCTCCCAAAGTACTGGGATTACAGGTGTGAGCTACCACACCTGGCCTATCTACTAGTTGGTTAATCTTGCAATCTTGCAGACTAAATGGGCAGCCAGTAGACTTCTCAGTAATTATTTTATCCATCTGAAATCGCCTGAGAAAGTTACCAAGTATACAATAGAATGTGTAAACAAAGAAAGACTATTTTTTTGACTTCTACAATGACTTAGAAAGGAAAGACTTTTTTTTTTTTTTTTTTTTTTTTCCAGACAGAGTCTTGCTCTCTCACCCAGCCTGGAGTGCAGTGGTGCGATCTTGGCTCACTGCAACCTCCGCCTCCCGGGTTCAAGCCATTCTCCTGCCTCAGCCTCCCAGGTAGCTGGGATTACAGGCATGCACCACTGCACCCAGCTAATTTTTTTTTGTATTTTTAGTAGAGACGGGGTTTCGCCATGTTTGGCCAGGCTGGTCTTGAACTCCTGACCTCAGATGAGCCACCCACCTCAGACTCCCTAAGTGCTGGGATTACAGGAGTGAGTCACCATGCCCGGCCAGGAAAGACTATTTATTTATTTATGAGATGGAGTTTTGCTCTTGTTGCCCAGGCTGAAGTACAGTGGTGTGATCTTGGCTTACTGCAACCTCCACCTCCCGGGTTCAAGTGATTCTCCTGCTTCAGCCTCCCAAGTAGCTGGGACTACAGTCATGCGCCAGCACGCCCAGCTAATTTTGTATTTTTAGTAGAGACGTGGTTTCACCATTTTGGTCAGGCTGGTCTCGAACTCCTGACCTCAAGTGATCCACCCGCCTCGGCCCAGGAGAGATTATTTTAAGCAAAAAAATTTCCATAAAGAAAATTGCTCTAGTAAAATCACAGTATTTGCTAGGCAAGTCCAAGTTCTCTTTGAACTATCGGCTTGGCAACAGTTCTGTGGGATGAATTCATTTAATGTCTTTCAGAGCAAACATATTGAGCTTAGCTTAATATATTTTCTTATTTCATCTAGGCCAATTTTGAGAAGATTGAAAATGAACTGAAGGAAATCAACACAAACCAGGAAGCTCTGAAGAGAAACTTCCTGGAACTGACCGAATTAAAATTTATACTTCGCAAAACTCAGCAATTTTTTGATGAGGTCAGACTATTGTTTCTTTTAGTATTTGAGCAGCTGATATTATACTCACACAAGTGGGCCATATTTTTATTCCAGTAATTATTTTAATTTGCTAGTTTGGAAGCAATGCCATTTTTGCACCCTGTTTTAGTTACAGAAATGTGAGATTATGTTCCATTTTTCATGCAGTACACAACCAGCCATGGTTTTGCATTTTTTCACATTTTCTTCAATTTTTCATCTCAATATGAGGAAAAGAACCCTGAAGTAGTTGTATAAACATAGTTAGTATAAATTTTTACATTATATTTATACTTATAAGGTAAGTATATGCTTAAGGTTAAAGCTGAGGAAGCAAACATTTGGTTATAGACAAAATTATAACAAAGGTTTAATCACCAAACCTTTTGTCATCAAATTTTTATTTCATTGTCTATGTTTGCTTATAAACCTTCGAGCACATTTTTCAGTACTTCAGATAGCACACATCACACTAATTTTTCAAGAGTTTTTCATTGTATTTATTGTATGGAAAATATTGGTAGGATGCTTGTTTGAAACTTCTGGATTATCACATAAACTTAGACGCATTACCTCAGAGGGAAAAATGTTAGTAAAGTTCTTGGGTTAAATATGTAGGTGAGGCCAGGCATGGTGGCTCATGCGTGTAGTCCCTGCACTTTGGGAGGCCGAGGCAGGTGGATCACCTGAGGTCAGGAGTTCGAGATCAGCCTGGCCAACATGGTGAAACCCGGTCTCTACTAAAAATACAAAAACTAGCCGGGTGAGGTGGTGGTTGCCTGTAATCCCAGCTACTCGAGAGGCTGAGGCAGGAAAATCATTTGAACCTGGGAGGTGGACGTTGCATTGAGCTGAGATTGCTCCACTGCACTCCAGCCTGGGCGACAGAGTGAGACTCTATCTCAAAAAAAAAAAATGTAGGCTGGGCGCGGTGGCTCATGCCTGTAATCCCAGCACTTTGGGAGTCCGAGGTGGGCGGATCACGAGGTCAGGAGATCAAGACCATCTTGGCTAACACGGTGAAACCCCGTCTCTGCTAAAAAAATACAAAAAATTAGCCGGGCATGGTGGTGGGCACCTGTAGTCCCAGCTAATCAGGAGGCTGAGGCAGGAGAATGGCGTGAACCCGGGAGGCGGAGCTTATAGTGAGCCGAGATCGCGCCACTGCACTCCAGCCTGGGCGACAGAGCAAGACTCTGTCTCAAAAAAAAAAAAAAAAAATGTAGGTGACTTGGTTGGGCATGGTGGCTCACACCTGTAATCCCAGTACTTTGGGAGGGTGAAGTGGGCAGATCACTTGAGCCCAGGAGTTCAGGATCAGCCTGGGCAACATGGTGAAACCCCGTCTCCACAAAAAATACAAAAATTAGACAGGCATCGTGGTGCACACCTGTAGTTCCAGCTACTCGGGAGGCTGAAGTGAGGGGATTGCTTGAGCCCAGGAGGCAGAGGTTGCAGTGAGCGGAGATTAAGCCACTTTACTCCAGCCTGGGGGACAGAGCAAGACTGTCTCAAAAAAAAAATGTAGGTGACTTAGTCCAGGTGACAATGTGCTGAGGTGACTCCATGGAAAGGATCTGGAGCAAGGCTTCCAGAATGCTCCCTTCTCCTAACTCAGTCTGGGGAGGAGTCTTAGCTTTCAACTTGGATGTGGTTTTTCTGATGGCCTAAAGTACAGTAACTGTCTTCTTGACAGGTGTCTTTGCCACCAGATTGACAATATTAGACACTTTAGGGATTGTTACAGTCACTGTTCAATGTGCCTTCCCATAAAGTTCTTTCATTCCTTTGCTCAACAAGAAAACTTGGCAAAGCTTTTAAATATAGAGGCCCTTTTTTTTTTTTTTTTTCCCGAGACAAAGTCTCACTGTGTTGCCCAGGCTGGAGTGCAGTGGAGTAATCTTAGCTCACTGCAACCTCCACCTCCCAAGCTCAAGCAATTCTCCTGCCTCAGCCTCCCGAGTAGCTGGGATTACAGGTGCTCACCACCACCCCCAGCTAATTTTTGTATTTTCAGTAGAGACAGCGTTTCACCATGTTGGCCAGGCTGGTCTCGAACCTCTAGCCTCAAGTGATCCATCCACCTCTGTCTCCCAAAGTGCTGGGATTACAGGTGTGAGCCACTGTGCCTGGTAGAGTCCCATTTTAGTTAGCATCTGCTGTGTTCTCAGTTGTACTTTAAATTTATATATATAGTTTTTATTTTTATTTTTTATTGTTTTTAGGCCGGGCGCGGTGGCTAACGCCTATAATCCCAGCACTTTGGGAGGCCGAGGCAGGGGGATCACGAGGTCAGGAGTTCAAGACCAGCCTGACCAACATGGTGAAACCCCGTCTTCTACTAAAAATACAAAAATTAGCCAGGCATGGTGGCGGGCGCCTATAATCCCAGCTATTCATGAGGCTGAGGCAGGAGAATCGCTTGAACCGGGGAGGCGGAGGTTGTAGTGAGCTGAGATCGCACCACTGCACTCTAGCCTGGGCGAAAGAGCGAGACTCCATCTCAAAAAAAAAAATTGTTTTTAACTGCCTCATCTCAGAAATTTTTCTCTTTTGAGGGGAGATCAAATATCCAGAATTCTCTAGACTGGAGCAGGGGTTTTTCAAACAACAGCAGCAGACTCACCTGTAATCTTGTCAGAAGTATGAATTATCAGTCTCCACCCTAGACTTACTGAATCAGACACTGTGGGAGTTAGGCCTAGCAGTCTGTATTTACTAGGTGATCCGGAGGCATGCTAGTTTGAAAACTGCTGGGCTAGAGAAGGTCTGCTGAGGATGTGATACATTCCTCACTAATTTAAGGATTTGACTCAGAAGCCATTTAATTAAAAGGATCTGCTGGGTCAAGGGAAAGGGGAAAAACTCATATGAATTTAATTGCCTGGTCCTTTCAAGAGTCAGAAGGTACAAATATTTATTTAGTTTGCTCACAGAGTCGAGAATTTTGAGACTAGTGGTAACTTCTTTCGCCAGTCCCTAATGACATCACGTTAGAGGGTGTGGGACAGTGTGATTAACTCTAAGTGTTTAAGGTCTTTTGCAATAGGCATCGCCACTTAAGCTGTATGTTTTTAATGAACCTGGAATTCCAGCATGCTCACTGCCCAGACGTTATTGTATTTTTGTTCACTAATTCACTGAGCATATAATGAGCACCTACTTATTGTGAGACACAAGATGAGTAAGACATGGTCCCTGTGTTTAAGGAATGTATCATTCAGTCTTAAGAAATACCCCAGAACATGACGCTTTCATATGCTCACAGATGTGTGCTTTTCTAAACATATCCAAGCTGCTACCCACAGATCTGATGTAAACCTGGCCTTGTAGTCAGAGCTCAGCTACCTTTTAGCATTATTTGGAGCTTAATTCTTTTACCTTCCCTGTCCCCATTTTTTTCCCTTTTGATATACTGTTTAGTTTACTGCTGAGATATTGCTATCTCATATGAAAATGTCTTTCAAGACCTCGTAAGTTTAAGAATGAGAGCCAGCTTCCTATTATGGTTCATTTTTGGAGAAATTCCGAATAAAGACTGATAGATGGATTCCCTTAAGGGAAATAATTATTTAAACTATTAATTTTCTAATGAAAAGAACTTAGTAAAAATGAAAATAAGAGGAACCACTTGGAAAAATGATATTTTAAAATCATAATTTATGGATTTAGGACTTTTATTTTGTGAATAATAAGTCTAAACACTAAATGCCTGTTTTGAGAAGGCAGACTCTAAGTCTTCATGATCTTTGTGCCCTTTTCATGCTGGGGTTGTTTTCCCTCTCCTATTTTTTTTTTTTTTGAGACAGAGTCTCGCTTTGTCATCCAGGCTGGAGTGCAGTGGTGCGATCTTGGCTCACTGCAACTGCCGCCTCCCGGGTTCAAGCGATTCTCCTGCCTCAGCCTCCCGAGCAGCTGTGACTATAGGTGTGTACCACCATGCCCAGCTAATTTTTGTAGTTTTAGTAGAGACGGGCGTTTCACCATATTGGCCAGGCTGGTCTCGAACTCTGACCTCGTGATCTAGCTGCCTCAGCCTCCCAAAGTGCTGGAATTACAGGTGTGAGCCACCGCACCCAGCCTCCCCCTCCTATTTTATTCAAAACTTTTTTTTTTTTTCCAGTCTCTGGAAGTACTTAGAGCACAAGACCGTGGCTATGAGAGGTTCTTATGCTGCTTTTGTCATCAATTCCCCTTCCATTCCCAGCAGTCTCACTGCATTGCAAGTCTCCTGGCAAGAACCTCTCTGCCTTGCCTGTTCTTGCACTAGCTCACAGCCTCAGCCAGGTTCCTTTCCATAGACCTTGCCCTGCTGCTGCGTAGCAGCAGGCTCAGGTGTCACTGCCACAACTTTGCATCTGCACATGCGCGTGCACTTCAAATAATGCGAAAGATAGGACACTTGGGACCCTCAAATGTTGGAAACTTAGGATTTTTAATGAGATTTTCTTCTGTGTCTGAAATTATAATATTTGCAAAGGGCCTAAAACACTACCAGTTTTAAACCCCTTATTTTGTGTAATTTGGTGACTATAATCAATAATTCACAGTAATGAGTTAGCAGAAATGGCTAAATCAGAAAATGATTCTATATTTAGGCATAGGAGTTATGATTGGCAGGGTGTGTGTAAGGTGAAAAATAAACATATTGAATAGTCTTATGATTAAAGATGATTACAAATTTGACTTAGTCATTTCTTATCTAGGGCATTTAAAATGACTTGTTAATGATTATCCTTTTCTAAGTCTTCTTGCTTATGAAGAACTGTAAGAGCTGGAGAGATTTCTCTGCATCTTTTACCATAAGCACCATAACATATGAGAACATAAAGAAGACTGGAAAAGTAATGGTTAATGGCATGCAGATTCCCTGCTTTCCTTTCCTTCTCAGTTTTCCATCCATCTGCTTTCTTTATTTTTTTCCCATCTGCCATTTCCTTTGGGGCCTAGGTGAATACCTTAAGTAATGAAATATAATTTTTTTCTCGATGTAGATGGCAGTAATTGTTTGTTCTTGGTAATTGACATAGCTTGAACTGGATGTGCTATTTATACTTAATTGCTGTAGAAACAGAACTGAAGTTCTTCTACTTCCTTTTTGTAAGGCGTGGTTTTCAGTATCTGAATGGAGAAACCAGAGGGCATAGCAGTAATGTAGAGGCATATTCACAATGTTGTTATTAGAGAACCCAGATACCCTTAAGACAAGCTTGTCCAGCCCATGGCCTTCAGGCCTCAGGACAGCTTTGAATGTGGCCCAACACAAATTCGTAAACTTTCTCAAAACATTATGAGATTTTTTTGGAATTTTTTTTTTTAGCTCATTAGTTATCATTATAGTGTATTTTATGTGTGGCCCAAGACAGTTCTTCTTCCAATGTGGCCCAGGGAAGCCAAAAGATCAGACACCCCTGCTCTAAGATTTAGATACTTTCAACCACATGGTTTTAGATACTGCTTTAAAGGCCTTCAGTTAGTGAGTGGTTCTAGTCATCCTAGTTTCTCACCAGGCACAATTTTACTTAAAAATTTGTAACTTTTCTCTCTAAGATAGAATTCTTAAGTATGAAGTGGTGAAATTAGCAATTCAAATATTATCGCAAGTTTCTGTTGAATTTTAATTTTGTTGTTTTTTATTCTCAGAGAGTCCTAGATAGAGTCTTTGAAGTGGTCTAGTTGCTAAGTACTGTTTGCTTTTCCATCAGTTAGAGCACATGTGTTTGCATTGAGTCCGATATTTAGGGTTGACTTAAACCACGTCTTGTGAGACAGGCAGGCAAGTAGGATGGAGTCTTGTGAGTAGTCAGGCTCACTGGTTTTTGCCAAGGGATAAACCAAGAACAAGTTGAAATGTTGTAATCATCGGGATCCTGAAAACAAGTTGCTTGTAGTCAGCTGATTTGATTGCAAGTAGAAACCGAAAGAACCCCCTCAACTTACATGTAACAGCCAGTGGTAACTAGTGTCTCCATGATCTCATCTTAAACTTTTCCAATCTCATGACAGTATTTCTCTGCACTTCTGGTGTTGATCCTTACTTCCCAAAATGATTGCTTTCTATTTTTTAGGCCTTCAGACTTATCATCTGGTTTATACACAGTTTTTCCCCCTTTTTGCTATGTTTATGATCCCATGACTTTATCAAGTTATGGTCCCTGTGCCACTTTTTAAGAGTGTGGCTGACAGGGGTAGAATCAAATTGAAATTTGGAATGAAAATGATAGAGAAAAACTCTTCTGATTTTTTGTCTTATTGTGCTTTTGAAGAGGATGATTGTTCTGGTTTACTCCTAGTTTTTGGTCAAACAAGTATTGCCTGGGTATTAGAGTTGGGGAGATGAGGCAATGGAGAAGTTGATTGGACTGGTTTTTGTTTTGTTTTGTTTTGTTTTGTTTTTTGGAGCAGCTTCTCCTTTCTGATGGGAGTAAAGGGTGGTAGGATGAGTTCGGTAGAGAGAGGCTAGGAAATGTAGACCTGCGTGTGGGAAGATCCTTCTTCATTTCATTGTATAAACTGTCATGGTGGAAGTCATTTTAAATCTTACCAATTAAACCAGCCCATGAACTCTAGTTTGGTTTATTATCTGTTGTTTTTCCTTCACTTTACTTGATTCTTGAGCTGTGTTCTCAAGAATCCTACAACTGTAAAGCCTATGTGAACTTATTTAGAAGATTCCTAGTCAGAAAATGGGACATTCAGATATGTTTTTACAGGCCTGCCCAGCTATTGTGCTTCTTATCCTTTTGAAGACATAAATACTCTTTAAATCCCATGGCTTGGATCATTCTATAAGTGGCCATGCTGAAAGTTCTCATATTCTGAATTTTAAAGGGGCTGGAAACGTAGATACCTGGAGCTTCCCCTTCTGTCTTTCTCCAGACTTCACAGCATTCAAAGACAGTGGCAGTGCCTTGCTTCTTCCTTGGAAAGAGAGCCTCTATCTTTCACATTCTCACGTAGGGAAAATTCTAGTTTGTAGCTGCCTAGAAATTAAATGTTCAGAGTATCTGCAGAGTCTCTTCATTATTGCACAGAAAGAAGAGATATTTTAGCTTCCTATCTACATGCAGAGGTATTTCCTGGCACTTTCATCATTCATTCAGGGAAACGTAGGAGAGAAAATGGCTTCCACCAAGTAACAGATTTATACATGTCACCATCACTTAATTTTTTTTCCTTTTGCTCCTTATTTCTAAAACCATTTCCCCAGATGCTTTACTGGGGCAATTATGCTTTCTTTACCTCAAATTTATTTTCTGTGTTTTCATCCCCTATTCTTCTTGTCTTTTTATGGATATATCTTGTCTTTTCGTGGTTTGTTTTCTTTTTCATCCTTATTTTCTGAACCTGTCTCCTGGTTCCTCGTTGCCTGCATGCCACTAACTATTTTCATTAGATATTAATTGATTTGTGAATTCAGGCTGAATTGCATCATCAGCAGATGGCGGATCCAGACTTGTTGGAAGAGTCCTCATCCCTCTTGGAGCCAAGTGAGATGGGAAGAGGCACTCCTTTAAGACTTGGGTAAGTGCCATGTCAACTTTTCGGTATTCAGTGGGGCCATGTTCATCTCTTCTGTTCAGAAGAGCAGTGAGACTGGGGATTCACTTGCTACCAGGATATGCCCTCTTCTGAGCCTATTGAGATAGTCCTACAACTCTGGATTCATGCCTGAGTTGCTCTGTCAGCTCTCTGCTGGGTCCATAAGTGAAGCTGGGAATAAGACTTGTATTAAACCAACCCAAATGTCCATCAATGATAGACTGGATTAAGAAAGTGTGGCACATATACACAATGGAATACTATGTAGCCATAAAAAATGATGAGTTCCTGTCCTTTGTAGGGACATGGATGAAGCTGGAAACCATCATTCTCAGCAAACTATCACAAGGACAAAAAACCAAACACCACATGTTCTCACTCATAGGTGGAAATTGAACAATGAGAACACTTGGACACAGGAAGGGGAACATCACACACCGGGGCCTGTTGTGGGGTGGGGGGAGGGGGGAGGGAGAGCATTAGGAGATATACCTAATGTAAATGACGAGTTAATGGGTGCAGCACACCAACATGGCACATGTATACATATGTAATGAACCTGCACGTTGTGCACATGTACCCTAGAACTTAAAGTATAATAAAAAAAGATATATATATAAATATAAATAAAAAAGACTTGTATTAAAACCTTCCATCCCATGACATGGAATAGAGTTTCCAATCTGCCTCTTCTCCCCACAGCTTCGTGGCTGGTGTCATTAACCGGGAGCGCATCCCTACTTTTGAGCGCATGCTTTGGCGGGTATGCCGGGGAAATGTGTTCCTGCGACAGGCTGAAATCGAGAACCCCCTGGAGGATCCTGTGACTGTAAGACAAGGAGATTGCATCCTGTGGAGTAGGTCTTGTAAAGGGAGCCCAGAGCAGTAACGTAGCATGGGGCCACCTGAATCCAGTGCTTCCACAGAGGAGCCATTATCTTTATCTCTGCTCTAATTGGAGAATTTGAAGTACTTCCTCTTAGTTAATTCCTGTCATATATACATATGGATGTATGATGTATACATGACATATACATATTTTCAAGTTTACCCGTGTAGATGTTATTCTGATTGGAAATTTTTATTTTCACTCATTTGCCTTTTATGAAAATTAACTTTAAAGCAAGACATCTGGTTCCAAATTTGGTAATTTTTTTTTTTTTGAGGTGGAGTCTCACTCTGTTGTCCAGGCTAGAGTGCAGTGGCGCGATCTCGGCTCACCACAACCTCCGCTTCCTGGGTTCAAGCGATTCTCCTGCCTCAGCCTCCCGAGTAGCTGGGGATTACAGGCATGTGCCATGATGCCTGGCTAATTTTTTCTGTATTTTCAGTACAGACAGTGTTTTACCATGTTGCCTAGGCTGGTCTTGAACTTCTGATCTCAAGTGATCTGCCTGCCTCGGCCTCCCAAAGTGTTGGGATTATAGGCATAAGCCACCATGCCCAGCCCCAAGTTTGGTAATATTCATGTATAAAAAGAGAAGGAGAGATTTCCTAGACTGTGATCTTAATAAGCTGATGAAATTTTACTTGGTAAAGTTTTTTTGTTTGTTTGTTGGAAGGATTAGAAACTTAGTTTAAGAATAGATATCGCACAAAATAGGATGATCTTCCCCACCCAGTACTTCAGGAAGTAGAAACAGTTTAACATCCTGGCATTTGCCATAATGGGACAGAGTTTATCGTCTAAACCTGCATTTAGGTATGGTGAGTCCTGATTTCAGGGAGTACCAGTGAAGATAAATGTACTGCAAAAATTTTGCTTTGCTTTTGTACTAGTATTATTTAGAAACCTAAAGTTAGCTTTTCTGTTCTAAATTATCTTGTGAATTTCTTAAATTCGTGTTCTTTACCTAAAAAGAGAGAGATTGAATTGTGAGATTTCTCAGATTGGGTGGGCTGTGCAGCTGCAGGTCTTTCATCCTCCATGCCGTGGAGGAGTGTGGTTACACTTCAGGTGAACCCCCTGCCTAGGGGTGTAGTTTCACAATCTTGCCAAAGGCCATCAGGTTGTGGAAACGTTGTAATTTGTAGTCACATTAATGAGGAACTTTTCTCAGGAATATTCAGTCAAGTTTCCTCTTGGCAACAGAAAGGTTATTTTATCAACAAATCCAGAAATGGGGACCCTGGATATCTGTAACAGAGCAGGCTGCACAAAGAATGGGTTCTAGTTTAGCCTACAGAATTTAGGGATTTCAGACCCTTGAGCCCAATTTTCTTCACTCCTCATCCCCTTTTATCCTTCTAAAGTTTTGTTTGTTATTATAAAAGCTCTACATGCTGTGTATGACTATGAGAAAATACAGGCAACCTGAGACAATCCTGGTTAACACACCATACACCTTTTTTTCTGATCTTTCCTTCCAGTCCTTGCATCATACTTCAGGTATAAATTTGGTATTTGGAATGGATTACCTTCCTCCCTGCCCCATAAAGTCCAGATTAGCTTGAATTGTGAGATTCTATATCAGCATTCTTTCCAGGGACTCAGTTCCTTGTAGTTATTCAGCCCCTTTTATCTAAGAATTTCTAAGTCCCAGAACAGGCAGAAATGGCTTCCTTCTCTTTTCTCTCCTATACTTTCATCATTCAGGCAATATAAGATTTAAAGCTGAATTGGTAAATAAGTCTAAACAGTGCTAAGAGGAGCATCATCTTAGCTTCAAGCTCCTGGTTGAGTCAAAAAAACAAATAGAGAAAGATTTTTGTGAATTAGAGATTATAGGGCAGATGTTCTTGTAGTGAAGCTTAGGAAATGGAGTGAGGGCAGTGGTTAAAATGCAGGACTGCCATGTCCTTAAAAGATGCCTGTTGTTCTTGCATCACCAAAAAAGTGGGTTATTTAAGAGATTTTCATCCAGATACAGAAGTCTGAACTCTTGTTTTTTTATTCTGGGGCCTAGGGCGACTACGTGCACAAGTCTGTGTTTATCATTTTCTTCCAAGGCGATCAGCTGAAAAACAGAGTCAAGAAAATCTGTGAAGGGTAAGAGAGGCATGCCTCTACCAGGAGTGCACAGCCATGCTGCCCAACTGTTGAGTCTTAAAGTTCACAATAGTGAAATACAAATCCTTTTTAGTCTACCTCAACACAGTTAATTTTAATAATGTTAGGGGCTATTTTAATCAATTAGAAATAGCCTGCATTCATTTTTATTTTTATTTTTGTTGTTCAGATGGGGGGGTCTCACTCTGTTGCCCAGGCTGGAGTGCAGTGGCATGATCACGGCTCACGGCAGCCTTGACTGCCTGGGCTCAGGGGATTCTCCTGCCTCAGCCTCTAGGGTAGCTGGGACTACAGGCGTGTGCCACCATACCTGGCTAATTTTTTGTATTCTTTGTAGAGACGGGGTTTTGCCATGTTGCCCAGGCTGGCCTGGAACTCCTGGACTCAAGGGATCTGCCCATCTCAACCTCCCAAAGTGCTGGGATTAGAGGCGTGAGCCACTAAATTCTTTTTCTCTTTTTTTTTTTTTTCTGACCGAGTCTCCCTCCACGCCCAGGCTGGAGTACGATGGTGCGATCTTGGAGCACTGCAACTTCTGCCTCCCAGGTTCAAGTGATTCTCCAGCCACCCGAGTAGTTGGGATTACAGGTACCTGCCACCACACCTGGCTAATTTTTTTTTTTGTATTTTTAGTAGAGATGGGGTTTCGCCATGTTGGCCAGGCTGGTCTTGAACTCCTGACCTCAGGTGATCCACCCACTTCAGCCTCCCAAAATGCTGAGATTACAGGTGTGAACCACTGTGCCTGGCCCTAAATTCATTTTAAAAAATACCATCAGAACCACAGTTGTGGCCAGATACAATGGCTCATGCCTGTAATCCCAACACTTTGGGAGGCCAAGGCAGGAGGATTGCTTGACCCCAGGATTTGAAGACCAGCCTGGCCAACTTAGTGAGACCCCATGTCTATAAAAAACTAAAAACTGAAAAAAAAGGACCATAATTTCCTTAACTTGGGGAAAAATAACTCTTAAGGACTCATGGTTTATAAATGCCATATTATTCTGGGACAGTGAGTCTCCATACTTAGCATAGATGCTATGTCCTTAAATTTTCTGAAATTCTGCCTTAGGGACAGATCTTTTTTTTGAGACAGAGTCTTGCGCTGCCACCCAGGCTGGAGTGCAGTGGCACAATCACAGCTCACTGCAACCTTCACCTCCAGGGTTCCAGCGATTCTCCTGCCTCAGCCTCCCGAGTAGCTGGGACTGCAGATGCGTGCCAGCACACCCGGCTAATTTTTGTATTTTTAGTAGAGATGGGGTTTTGCCGTGTTGGCCAGGCTGATCTCGAACTCCTAATCTCAAGCAATCTGCCCGCCTCAGCTCTCAAAGTACTGGTATTACAGGTGTAAGCCACTGTGCCTGGCCTTTTTTTTGTTTTGTTTTTGTTTTGAGGCAGGGTCTCACTCTGTTGCCCAGGCTAAAGTGCAGTGGCATGATCACAGCTCACTGCAGCCTTGACTTCCTGAGCTCAGTTGATTCTCCCACCGCAGCCCCATGAGTAACTGGGACTACAGGCATGTGCCACCATGCCCGACTAATTTTTGTATTTTTTGTGGAGATGAGGTTTCACCATGTTGCTCAGGCTGGTCTTAAACTCCTAGACTCAAGCAATCCACCTGCCTCAGCCTCCCAAAGTGCTGGGATTACAGGCGTGAGCCACTGCACCTGGTCTAGGGGCAGAATTTTTTCCATGCCATCTTACTCCGTTAATTTACAATATAATTTGCTTTACTTTTTTTTTTTAATCACAAAGGAATTTCATAGCTACAGAGAATGTCAAGATAGTTCGGATGCTATAATTGCTCCGTCTGCAGGTCATTTTACGTAAGTGTTGACTTAGGCTGGGCATGATGGCTCATGCCTGTAATCTCAGCACTTTGGGAGGCCGAGGTGGGTGGATCGCCTAAGGTCAGGAGTTCGAGATCAGCCTGGCCAACATGGTGAAACCCTGTCTCTAGTAAAAATACAAAAATTAGCCAGGTGTGGTGGCAGGCGCCTATAATCCCAGGTACTTGGAAGGCTGAGGCAGAAGAATCACTTGAACCCAGGGGCAGAGGTTGCAGTGAGCTGAGATCGTGCCACTTCACTCCAGCCTGGGTGACAGAGTGAAACTCTGTCTCAAAAAAAAAAAAAAAAAAAAAGTGTTGACTTAATACATCGGTCTGACCTAATCCTGTTTTGGTCCTTCTGGTACATTAGGATTACTTTCTGAGATTATTTAAATTAGATAAGTTAAGAAACTTCGATGTTCTTATATTCCAGGTTCCGAGCCTCACTCTATCCCTGTCCTGAGACACCACAGGAGAGGAAGGAAATGGCTTCTGGAGTGAATACCAGGATTGATGATCTCCAAATGGTATGCAGAAGGCTGGAGGGAATTTGTTTTTGTGAAATACTGGAATACGAGACCATTATCCTTCCTTGAAATGCTGATATTCTATAAGGTACCTGTAGCAAACCAGGATACCAAAAAAAGAAATGTACATGGGTAATATGTCCTTCTGGGAGCTGAGAAAGTATCAGGGAATGATGGTTAAAAATAGCATTAGCCATCCTCAAACGAGACAGGAATGTAAAGCATCTAGAATCGTTGTTGCCTAGCATATTCAATTCCTCTCCACCTCATGGGTCTGAGATTTTTTTTTTTTTTGAGACAGAGTCTCACTCTGTCACCCAGGCTGGAATGCCATGGCGCTGTCTCAGCTCACTGCAACCTCCGCCTCCTAGGCGCAAGTGATGCTCCTGCCTCAGCCTCCTGAGTAGCTGGGATTACAGGCATGTGCCACCATGCCCGACTAATTTTTGTATTTTTATTTATTTTTTTGAGATGGAGTCTTGCTCTTTTGCCCAGGGTGGAGTGCAGTGGTGTGATCTTGGCTCACTGCAACCTCTGCCTCACAGGTTCAAGCGATTCTCCTGCCTCATCCTCCCAAGTAGCTGGGATGACAAGCATGTGCCACTAAACCTGGCTAATTTTTGTATTTTTAGTAGAGACAGGGTTTCACCATGTTGGCCAGGCTGGTCTCAAACGCCTGACCTCAAGTGATCCTCCCACCTTGGCCTCCCAAAGTGCTGGGATTACAAGTGTGAATCACTGTGCCTGGCCTAATTTTTGTATTTTTAGTAGAGATGGGGTTTTACCATATTGGCCAGGCTGGTCTTGAACTCCTGACCTCAAGTGATCCACCTGCCTCAGCCTCCCAAGGTGCTGGGATTATAGGCGTGAGCCACTGCGCCCAGCCAAGTCTGAGATAGTTTTTTTTGTTTTTTGTTTTTTGTTTTGTTTGTTCGTTTGTTTGTTTTTGAGACGGAGTCTCTGTCACCCAGGCTGGAGTGCAGTGGCGCGATCTCGGCTCACTGCAAGCTCCACCTCCCGGGTTCACGCCATTCTCCTGCCTCAGCCTCTCGAGTAGCTGGGACTACAGGGGCCCGCCACACGCCCGGCTAATTTTTTGTATTTTTTAGTAGAGACAGGGTTTCACCGTGTTAGCCAGGATGATCTCGATCTCCTGACCGTGTGATCTGCCTGCCTCGGTCTCCCAAAGTACTGGGATTATAGGTGTGAGCCACCGCGCCCGGCTGATAGTTTTTATGATAATAATTTTTTAAAAGTATGCTTAGTTAAGACAAATATATATCAAACAATCTAAAAATACATGAGTAGTCAGTTCTGCCTTCTCCCACACACCCTCCTGAGGCAGCTGGTCCCAATAGCTCGGCATGCATCCTTGCGGTCACCTTTGATCTTAACCACACAGACTAGCCAAAAAGCTCTGGTGTGACTTTTGTACCCAAGAAGAGACTGTGTTGGAGTTTTGCCAAATTGCAGTAAGTGTGGTTTATGCACACCACGGTTATCACAGGGCTCTGAGGGAGGAGTTGTGAACTGTGTGTACATGGAAGGAAAGGCTGGTGAGTGGGGCTTTGTTCCCTTTGAAAGAATGAAAGTGATGATTGCCCCCTTAGAATATTAATAAACATACTTAATCCCAAAGGCAGTTCCTTTTGGCAGTGGCAGAATTGTCAGGAATTGTCAGGGGTATGTTGTAACTTCCATTTCTTTTTTCTTTTCTTTTCTTTTTTTTTTTTTTTGAGACAGAGTCTTGCTCTGTCTCTCAGGCTAGAGTGCAGTGGCGCGATCTCGGCTCACTGCAACCTCTGCCTCACAGATTCAAGCAATTCTCCTGCCTCAGCCTCCTGAGTAGCTGTGATTACAGATGCCTGCCACCATACCTGGCTAATTTTTGTATTTTTAGTAGAGATGGGGTTTTGCCATGTTGGCCAGGCTGGTCTTGAACTCCTGACCTCAGATGATCTGCCTGCCTCGGCCTCCCAAAGTCCTGGGATTACAGGTATGAGCCACCGTGCCCAGCCTGTAACTTCCATTTTAACTCTCAGTGACCTCCATCATATATGACCCACCAACCTGACCTATTGCTGGCTCCTTTGAGATACACTTAACCTGTTTAAGCAGAGAGAGAGAGTTTTAGAACTGCTGGTGAGTGATAGGCTATATTAGTATATTCTGGGTTCTAAGGCTGTCTTAATCTCCTTCCAGACCTATGGGTAGATTTAAAGAGCATATGTGGTAGTCATTATAACTGACCAGAATTTGATTTTTTAAAAATCTAGCTGTAGGAACTGAAAGTTTAAAAAGGGATTGAATACCAAGGAATGGGATGAGGAAAGAGAACGGCAAATAGAACATTGCTTGCTAGTTTCTTTAGCATCCTTCTAGAAGAAGGGTTTTTTGTGTTTTGTTTGTTTGTTTTGTTTTGTTTTGTTTTGTTTTGTTTTAAAGACAGATCTCACTCTGTCACCCAGGCTGGAATGCAGTGGCACAATCTTGGCTCACTGCAGCCTTGACCGACTAGGCTCAAACAATCTGTCTCAGCCTCCCAAGTAGCTGGGACTACAGGTGCCTGCTGCCATGCCCAGCTAATTATTTTTTGGTATGTTTTTGTAGAGATAGGGTCTCACTATGTTGCCCAAACTGGTCTGGAACTCTTGACCTCAAACAATCCTCCTGCCTTGGCCTCCCAAAGTGCTGGGATTACAGGAGTGAGTAATAGTAATTGTGAAATAGTCCACAACCAGAAGGAAAGAAAGTAGCTATCTTCAAGTGATGTGTTTCCTAGCATGACATGGCTTTGCTTTTAAAAACAAAGCAAAACAAAACAAAGGAAGTCACCTTCCTCTGCCCAAGACAATTTTTCAGGGAGTAGTTACTGCTTTGTTCTGAACTAACTTGAAGAATTGTCTATGATGGAGACTTGTGCTTTGGGTTGCTTGCCTAATTTCTTCCAGTTGGAAGCAACAGGCTTAGCCACACCTGCTATTAAAAACTTAAATATGGGCTGGACATGTTGGCTCATGCCTGTAATCCCAACACTTTGGGAGGCCGAGGTGGGTGGATCACGATGTCAGGAGTTCGAGACCAGCCTGACCAACATGGTGAAACCCCGTCTCTACTAAAAATATAAAAATTAGCCGTGCATGGTGGCGCGCGCCTGTAATCCCAGCTACTCAGGAGGCTGAGGCGGGAGAATCGTTTGAACCCGGGAGGTGGAGGTTGTGGTGAGCTGAGACCACGCCACTGCACTCCAGCCTGGGCCACAGAGCGAGACTCCATCTCAAAAAAAAAAAATTAAATATTTGGTATTAAGCCAGTGGAATGTAAAATGTTCCTGTACCTTCCTCCCACCTTAGTCTTGGCACTGTAATTCCTCTGAGGGAAATCTGTACTGATTTCAAAAGGATCAACACTGAACCATTTTTTCCTCTGATGAGAAGCCTGACATAAAGGTAACACCTTAGCTGCCCTCATGATGGCAGTGGTATGTGGCAGTCCAAGCCCCCTGTAAAGATCACAGGTGCTCCTGATCCCATGGCGTCTCCTGGCCCATGTTCCCAGTGTAGGCTGGTGGTGGTATTCAGCACTGCCTCTTTCCACCCTCTCCTGATGCTGGCCCATGTGCAAAGGATTCTGTGTGGATTTGTTAATTTGTCAGCTCCTGGGCTTGTGATGCCTACTGAGTTACATTCCCCACATAGAAAGTCGTTGCTCTTTAATAAGCCAAGTTAAAGGCAGTGACCTACATTTGTTGTGCCTTGGATTGGTGGTAAGATTGAACATATATAGAAAAGCTAAACTATTTTCTCAGGTTTCTTTTTAGGTTGAAGCTAAATAAAAGTGAATGTTAGTAACTAGAACTCTAATTTCTTGTAATTTGGAAAAAAGAAACCATTCTAGCCAGAGGAAGAAAAAGACAATTCCCTGGCAACTCTTTTCAGAAAGCTATGCCTCTTTGCCATTCATACCCTGAGATCTAAAACTGGTGTTAAAAGGATCCCTCGCTTGTTCCTTTTCTCCCCAAAGGTTCTGAATCAAACGGAGGATCACCGCCAGAGGGTTCTGCAGGCAGCTGCTAAGAACATCCGTGTCTGGTTCATCAAAGTGCGGAAGATGAAGGCCATCTATCACACCCTGAACCTGTGCAACATAGATGTGACTCAGAAATGCTTGATTGCAGAGGTCTGGTGCCCTGTCACCGACCTTGACTCCATCCAGTTTGCACTCAGAAGGGGCACGGTGAGTCCCCAAAGCTAACAATGCAGCTCGTGGCCCGGAAGAGAGGTTCCCATCAATAGTAACATTAATGTCATTTTTGGCCGGGCGCGGTGGCTCATGCCTGTAATCCCAGAACTTTGGGAGGCCGAGGCGGGCAGATCATGAGGTCAAGAGATCGAGACCATCCTGGCTAACACGGTGAAACCCCGTCTCTACTAAAAAATACAAAAAATTAGCCGGGCGTGTTGGCAGGCGCCTGTAGTCCCAGCTACTCTGGAGACTGAGGCAGAAGAATCAAGTGAACCTGGGAGGCGGAGCTTGCAGTGAGCTGAGATTGCGCCACTGCATTCCAGCCTGGGCAACAGAGCGAGACTCTGTCTCAAAAAAAAAAAATAATAATAAAAAATAAATAAATAGTAACATTAATGTCATTTTTATGGCATTTCACCTTCAGAGTTCTTCAATATATTTATTTGTCTTTTAACTTGACAGCACATTTCATACATAGCCTGGCATATAATATGTATATCATAGCGTAGCATAGCATATCTTTATTTTGCATATGTGGAGACTGCAGTTCAGAGAGCTGAAATAATTTGGTCATATGCCCATGATTCTTCAGGGTTGTTCATGGCCAGGGCATCAGTTTCCTGATGCCCTCTCTGTATATGACTGTTTCTGTTTAGTAGTTAATTAGAACAACTACTCTGTCCACAGAAGTGCTGTAAGTGCCTGGAGGAGTACAGAGATGTATAAAACATGCCCTCGAGTATCTTACAGTTTATTAGGAGAGTTCCAACTATGGAGTTGGAAAAAGCTTTAAGCAGGTGGCATTTGATCAGGTCTTTGAAGAATGATAAGTTGTTGGTAAGACTGCTGAATGAAGAGAAGAAAACAAAGGCAGGAAGTATGGTTAGACCATGTATGTTTGGACAAGAACAGGATTTACAGTGGGTTAGCTGAAGAGAAGTACCTGTCTGCATCAGGTAGTTTGGAACTTAATTGTGAAAGGTTCTTAAATAATAGCTTAGAAGATTTAAATTTTATTCCAGAGGAAGTTGAGAGACATTGGAAGTTCTTTAGGGGTAAAGGAACATGATCAAAGCAGTTTGGGTGGTTTTTTACATTTTTAATTTTGTGTTTGAGACAAGATCTTGCTCTGTTACCCAGGCTGGAGTGCAGTGGTGCCATCTCAGCTCACTTCAGCTTCCAACTCCTGGGCTTAAGCAATCCTCCCACTTCAGACTCCCGGTAGCTGGGACTACAGGTGCCCACCATCATGCGTGGCTAATTTTTTGTAGAGACAGGGTTTTGCCATGTTGCCCAGGCTGATCTCAAATTCCTGGGCTCGAGTGATCTGCCTTCCTTGGCCTTCCAAAGTGTTGGGGCCAGGCGTGGTGACTCACTCTTGTAATCCAGCACTTTGGGAGGTTGAGGCGGGTCATCACTTGAGGTCAGGAGTTTGAGACCAGCCTGGCCAACATGACAAAACCCCGTCTCTACTAAAAATACAAAAAAGTTAGCCAGGTATGGTGGTGGGTGCCTGTGATCCCAGCTACTCAGGAGGCTGAGGCAGGAGAACCACTTGAACCCAGGAGGCAGAGGTTGCAGTGAGCTGAGATCATGCCACTGCACTCCAGCCTGGACAGCAGAGTGAGACTCTGTCTCAAAAAAAAAAAAAAAGTGGGTCACCACGCCTGGTGGATCAAAGCAGTTTTTTTGTTTTTTGGTTTTTTTTTTTTTGAGATGGAGTTTTGCTCTTGTTGCCCAGGCTGGAGTGCAGTGGCATGATCTCGGCTCACTGCAACCTCCACCCTCCACCTCCCTGCTTCAAGTGATTCTCCTGCCTCAGCCTCCTGAGTAGCTGGGATTACAGGTGTGCGCCACCACACCCAGCTAATTTTTTGTATTTTTAGTGGAGACGGGGTTTCATCACGTTGACCAAGCTGGTGTCGAACTCCTGACCTCAGGTGATCCACCCGCCTCAGCCTCCCAAAGTGCAGGGATTACAGGCATGAGCCACTTCTCCTGGCTCAAAGCAGTTTTAAAAGAGTAATCTGCTGATAGTATCTAGGTTGGATTGAGGAGTGAAGAGATTCTGTAGGTAGGGGTTCAGTTAGGAGGTTATTGTAGACATAGAGTAGTAAATGATAAGGATCCCCAGGTAGGACTTGACAATGGGAAAAAAAATGATGAATTGTGAGATGTTCTGCAGGAAAAATCAATAGGGCTACCTGGTTCCTAGCAAGGTGCAGGAGAAATACAAGGAGAAAGATTTAAACATCTTTTTGAGGCATCAAAGCTGACTGGCCAGGAGAATTAGGGTTCCAATGAGGGAAGTAAATGTTCAGCCAGAGAAGCTTATTGATTGGGGAGAGATGGTAAGTTCAGTTCCGGGCACATTGAGGTCTATGTGGAAATGTCAAGCAGACAAGGGAACAAAGCTAAGGAAATGGGAGTCATGAGAATGGAAGGGAATGAGACCTCCAAGAGGGAGGTCATAGAGAGAAAAAAAAGGTTGGGGTCTTGCAATGCTATGAGATAGGCAGAGCAGAAATAACCAGCAAAGATAGAAAAGCAATGGTCAGCGAGCAGGAGGAGAACTCCTAAGGAAGAAGGATTTTCACCAAAGATCTCCAATGTCAGGGGCGTGCATGGGGGAGAGAAGCTCTTTGGTCAGGAGCCAGTCACTTTGCCTAAGCATGCTCAGCCAGACTGCAAGGGATCAGGAAGTTAAGAGAAGGTAGTGAAGAAGGAGAGCCAGAGAACATACTTTGCTTTCTCCATGAAAGGGGGAGAACAACTTTCATAAAAAGGCAGATATGGAGGCAGTTCCACATTTTCTTTGGTGACATATTTTAAAGTTAAATTTTTTTCACATTAAGGATGTATTTCAGAGGATCTAATAGAAATCTTCCATTATAAATGTTATACCTTTTCCCAGTTTTCCCAAAAGCTGGGAAAGATAATCTAGTTTTATTTTTAGGTTTATTAGTTTTATTGAGATATAATTTACATGAAAGAAAATACATACATTTTATGTGTACCATTTGATGAGTTTCAAGAAATGTACACCTGTGTAACCACTACCACAATTAGGAGGATAACCTAAGTTTGATAAATGTGCTAATGTTTTTCAGGAACACAGTGGTTCCACTGTACCTTCCATTTTGAACAGGATGCAGACAAACCAGACTCCCCCAACCTATAACAAAACCAACAAGTTTACCTATGGCTTTCAGAACATAGTAGATGCTTATGGAATTGGAACTTACCGAGAGATAAATCCAGGTAAAAAAAAGCTTGTTATCTTTTTCCTCTAGAGTTTTTTTTGTTTGTTTGGTTGGTTTGGTTTGTTTTGAGACAGAGTCTCCCTCTGTCACCCAGGCTGGAGTGCAGCAGCACGACTGTAGTTCACTGCAGCCTCAAACTCCTGGCCTCAAGAGATCCTCCCAACTCAGTCTCCTGTATAGCTAGGACCACAGGCGCACAGCACCACACCTGGCTAATTTTTTATTTTATGATTTTTTTTTGACTGGGTCTCATTCTGTTGCCTAGGCTGTAGTGCAATGGTGAAATCACGGCTTACAGCAGCCTCAACCTCGTGGGCTCAAGTGATTCTCCCGCCTGAACCTCTGGAGTAGCTGGGACTACAGGCATGTGTCACCATGCCTGGCTAATTTTTAAAATTTTTTTAGAGATGGGTTTTGCTATGTTGCCCAGGCTGATAATTTTTAATTTTTTTTAGAGACGGGGTCTTGTTATGTTGCCCAAGCTAGTCTTGGACTCCTGGGCTCAAGGAAGCCTCCTGCTTCAGCCTCCCAAAGTGCTGGGATTACAGGTGTGACCCACTATGCCTGGCCTTTTTGTTCATTGTTTCTTCTAATGCCTCACTTTAAATGCTGTTGAATAACTGAATTAAAATTAAAGATGTTAATCCTAGCACTGTTTTTTTAATTTAATTTTATTTTTAATTTTTTTTGAGACGGAGTCTCGCTGTGTCACCCATGCTGGAGTGCAGTGGCGTGATCTTGGCTCACCGCAAGCTCTGCCTCCCAGGTTCACGCCATTCTTCTGCCTCAGCCTCCCGAATAGCTGGGACTACAGGCACCCGCCACCATGCCCGGCTAATTTTTTTTTTATTTTTTTTAGGTGAGACAGAGATTTACTCTCGTTGCCCAGGCTGGAGTGCAATGGCACGATCTCAGCTCACCACATCCTCTGCCTCCCAGGTTCAAGCGATTCTCCTGCCTCAGCCTCCCGAGTAGCTGGGATTATAGGCATGTGCCATCACGCCCGGCTAATTTTGTATTTTTAGTCGAGACGGGGTTTCACCATGTTGCCCAGGCTGATCTCTAACTCCTGACTTCAGGTGATCTGCCTGCCTCTGCCTCCCCAAGTGCTGGGATTACAGACGTGAGCCACTGCGCCCGGCCATTTTTTTGTATTTTTAGTAGAGACAGGGTTTCACTGTGTTAGCCAGGATGGTCTCGATCTCCTGACCTCATGATCCACCCGCCTTGGCCTCCCAAAGTGCTGGGATTACAAAGTGCTGGGTGGCGTGAGCCACTGCGCCCAGCCAATCCTAGCACTTTTAGAGGCCGAGGTAGGAGGATTGCTTAAGCCCAGGATTTCAAGATCAGCCTGGGCAACATAGTGAGACCCCATCTCTATTAAAAAATAAATAAACATGTTGACACCTCAGATCTTGTGTACTCCCTGTGAAGAGGTGCTCATTCTGGCAGGGCATGGTGGCTCACGCCTGTAATCCCAGCACTTTGGGAGGCTGAGGCATGTGGATCACATGAGGTCAGGAGTTTGAGACCAGCCTGGCCAACATGGTGAAACCCTGCCTCTACTAAAAATACAAAAATTAGCCGGATTTGGTGGCATGCACCTGTAGTCCCAGCTACTCGGGAGGCTGAGGCCTGAGAATCACTTGAACCCAGGAGGCAAAGGTTGCAGTGAACCGACATCATGCCACTGCACTCCAGCTTGGGCAACAACAAAAAGATGCCCATTTAATGTAAGGGGCAGGTTTACTGTCAGGTAGCGTTCCTTTAAGAGTTCATCGGCTGGGCCAGGTGTGGTGGCTCACGCCTGTAATCCCAGCACTTTGGGAGGCCGAGGCAGGTGGATCACCTGAGGTCAGGAGTTCGAGACCAGCCTGACCAACATGGAGAAACCCCGTCTCTACTAAAAATACAAAATCAGCCAGGCATGGTGGCTCTTGCCTGTAATCTCAGCGACTCGGGAGGCTGAGGCAGGAGAATCACTTGAACCGGGGAGACGGAGGTTGCCGTGAGCCGATATTGCATTATTGCACTCCAGCCTGGGCAAAAAGAGTGAAACTCTGTCTCAAAAAAAAAAAAAAAAAAAAGTTCATCGGCTGGGCGTGGTGGTTCATGCCTGTAATCCCAGCACTTTGTGGGGACAAGGTGGAAGGATCACTTAAGGTCAGGAGTTCGAGACCAGCCTGGCCAACATGGTGAAACCCTATCTCTACTAAAAATACAAGAAAATTAGCCAGGCCTGGTGGTGCATGCCTGTAATCCCAGCTACTCAGGAGGCCTAGACAGGAGAATTGCTTGAACCCAAGAGACAGAAGTTATAGTGAGCCTAAATTGTGCCACTGCACTCCAGCCTGAGTGACAGAGCAAGACTCTGTCTCAAAAAAAAAGTTCATGAGACTGGATTCTTTCATGTGCCCTCACAGCCCTAAAACACCTGGACTTCTCTAGCAAATCATTTGCAGGAACTGTTTTAAGCAAAATGTTTCTTCTAAGATGTCTGATATTTTTAAATGGCTTTTTTTTTGGCTTCCCTGTTCCAAGGTTAGACAGAAAAAATGTAGCAAGTATTGGCCACTTTAGGTACAACACAGATTTCTCCTATATTTGGAGAGTTAATTATTAAATCAAGAGTGTGAGTATTCATTTTCAGTTGGAGCCCTATGGAAGAACTGCTTTGCTCTGGGCTCTCTCCATCTGTACGTTATCTGATATTTAGCTTTATATCACTGGGACATGGTTGCTGCACAAAGAGAAGACAGCTGGCCTGCCCTGGGAGCAGGGTCCCACGAGTTACAAGAGAGTCAGAGAACAAACCAATGTTGTCAAGGTTACACCTTCATTTCCACTGTTCTTTGTTTGAAATGTTATCAGAGCTGCCAGGCACAGTGCCTCATGCCTGTAATCTCGGATATTCAGGAGGCTGAGGTGGGAGGATTGCTCAAGGCCACAAGTTCAGGACTAGCTTGGGCAAAATAGTGAGATTCCATCTAAAAAAATATTATTTATCAGTAATTTTAAAACAAAATTAACTGGGCATGGTGGCACATACTTGTAGTTCCAACTGTTTGGGAGGCTGAGGTGGGAGGATAACTTGAGTCCAGGGGTTGCAGGCTGCAGTGAGCTGTGATGAAACCACTGCACTCCAGCCTGGGTGGCAGAGAAAGACCCCATCTCTCTTTTAAAAAAAGTTATCAGTAGCTCAAATTTCATTAGCTACTTTGTGAAGATGTGTTGATTCTGCCATGAAAGATTTTCTCTGAGAGTCCTATCTGTCTGGCAGCTGGGGAGTAAGTCACCTTATATTGATCTTAAGATTATGGAAGCCTGGGCACGGTGGCTCACGCCTGTAATGCCAGCACTTTGGGAGGCCGAGGCAGGTGGATCACTTGAGGTCAGAGTCGGAGACCAGCCTGGGCAACATGGTGAAACCCTGTCTCTACTAAAAATACAAAACTTAGCTAGGCATGGTGGTGGGCACCTGTAATCCCAGCTACTCAAGAGGCTGAGGCAGGAGAATCACTTGAACCTGGGAGATGGAGGTTGCAGTGAGCCAAGATTGAGACATTGCTGGCTGACAGAGCAAGACTCCATCTCAAAAAAAAAAAGGGGGGTGGGTATGGAAAAGAATGTAATATTTGTGGAATTGCTATGGTTTAATGTACTTTGTATTTTTCTTTTTTTGGTTTCTTCATAGCTCCGTATACTATTATCACGTTCCCTTTTCTATTTGCTGTGATGTTTGGAGACTTCGGTCATGGCATTTTAATGACCCTTTTTGCTGTGTGGATGGTACTGAGGGAGAGCCGGATCCTTTCCCAGAAGAATGAGAATGAGGTAATGTTTAAGTTACATCTGCATTGAACTGAAATTTTATAATTTCCCAAGCATTCATTATGAAAATTATGATCTGGAAGTCTTTTATCCATGAATTTATCAAAAGGAAGTAGAGAAGTTATGTTCATTTTAACACCAAAGACGACATGTGCAAGCTGGAAGTGGTAGTGTGTGCCTGTAGTCCCAGCTACTTGGAGGCTGAGGCAGGAGAATCACTTGAGCCCAGGAATTCGAGACCAGCATAGGCAACATAGTGAGACCCCATCTCTAAAAAAATAAAAATTATTTAGGTTTGGTGCAAAAGTTATTGCGGTTTTGGCTGCCAAAAGAAATGGCCAAAACCGCAGTAACTTTTGTGCCAACCTAATAAAAAAATAGAGGCCACATCCTGTGAAAGTGACTGTCTCATTAGCATTGTATTTTGGTTTTTACTTCAAGCTCTCTGAATCAGGATGGGGTAAAGTAGTGCTGGAGAAAGGGGCAGGTATATTCTGAATAACATTGTCACAATGTGAGCTGCAGTGAGTACATTCTCATTACTTCTTTCTTCTGGTTCCCAGATGTTTAGCACTGTGTTCAGTGGTCGATACATTATTTTATTGATGGGTGTGTTCTCCATGTACACTGGCCTCATCTACAATGATTGCTTTTCCAAGTCTCTTAATATCTTTGGGTCATCCTGGAGTGTACGGCCGATGTTTACTTATAATTGGACGTAAGTTGCAGAAGAAGCTAAAATTCAAAGCTTATTCCTTTCATGTGCAGCCCTGATTTTTAAGACAAGTGGTAAACTGACACTTCTTTAGGAAGTGGTGACAGTGTCTCCTCATTCATGCTCCACACTGTGAGTTGCTTTGTGATTTGTTCAGCAAGTATCCAGGAACTAAGATTAGAAATGATTTTTTTTTTTTTTGGAAACTAAAACCAGATTCCCCAGTTCCCTACTTGATTGTGTGTTTGTGTGTTTAATTTTTCTTTTTGTCATTTTGGATCCCTCAGTCTCAGCTGCTAGTCTCTCCTCTTTATTTTTCCCCTCCCATTTTATTGAAGAGACAAGATAGCTACAGTAATTTATTTTGGGGTCAGTTTCTGGACCCTTGTTGTTTCCCTCTCTTGTTCAAAAATAATGTGACTTTTTCCCTGTCATGGTAGTGAAGAGACGCTTCGGGGGAACCCTGTTCTACAGCTGAACCCAGCCCTCCCTGGAGTGTTTGGTGGACCATACCCTTTTGGCATTGATCCAGTAAGAGGACTTCCTTCCTATATGCTAACCTCAAATTTTTTAACACTAACCCTGAAGCAAGAGAATTAAAATGAAGATAAATAGTTATGTGGGCTTTCACTGGGCATGGTCGCTCATGCCTGTAATCCCAGCACTTTGGGAGGCCGAGGAGGTGGGATCACCTGAGGTCAGCATGGTGAAACCCTATCTCTACTAAAAATAAAATATTAGCCGGGCGTGGTGGCGCATGCCTGTAGTCCCAGCTACCCGGGAGACTGAGGCAGGAGAATCGCTTGAACCTGGGAGGCAGAGGTTGCAGTGAGCAAGCTGCACTCCAGCCTGTGTGACAGAGCAAGACTCCGTCTCAAAAAAAAAAAAAAAAAAAAGAAAGAAAGAAAGAAACAAACAAAAATAGTTATGTGGGTTTTCGTTGACATATTTTTGGGAAACCTTGATGTATGTATTCAGAGGACTTCTAAGCCATAAGAGACCCAAGTGCCTTGAGGAGCCACATACTTTTCCCTGCGCTGCTTATTTCTGAGGTGGTTAATAATATCGACTCTGGGAAGATTGATTTTTCAAGACTCCTTCCCATTTCTTAATTTATTTCTGCTTACTTAGTTTGGTTTTTTATTTTTAGCAGACATTTTAGCAAAGCAGAAATATATTTTTCCTGTGGATTTTAGACTTGCATTCTTATATTTACGAACTTACAAAAACTTATCCGAGAATTAATTTTTTTTTCAAATGCTTAGGCAAATTAAGTATGATCAAGTCTTCTTTATTGTGTGCTGTAAAAATGGAGTGGCGGCAAGAATGTAATACAGGGCATCTGACTGCTGAGGAAAAAAAAAAATAATACAGGCTGGGCGAGGTGGCTCATGCCTGTAATCCCAGCACTTTGGGACACAGAGTCAGGTGGATCACTTGAGGTCAGGAGTTCGAGACCAGCCTGGTCAACATGGTGAAACCCCATCTCTACTAAAAATACAGAAATTAGCTGGGCACGGTGGCATATGCCTGTAGTCCCAGCTACAGGAGGCTGTGGAAGAATTGCTTGCGCCCGGGAGGAGGAGGTTGCAGTGAGCCCAGATCGTGCCACTGCACTCCAGCCTGGGGGACATAGCAAGACTCCATCTCAAAAAAATAGATGGAATGACAGCACCACAGGGCTACAATCAGCGAAACATAGACTGTGGGAAAATATATAAGATAAACAACCCAATTTCTTCAAAAGAAATTTTGTAATGAATGAAAAAGGAAAGATGGAAGGAGAACCTGTAGTTTAGAGACTCAAGAGATATATCTACAATCATAATGTATAAGCCAGGCACGGTGGCTCACGCCTGTAATCCCAGCACTTTGGGAGGCCGAGGCAGACAGATGACTTGCGGTCAGGAAATTCCAGACCAGCCAGGGCAACATAGTGAAACCCCATCTCTACCAGAAGTATAAAAATTGGCCGGGTGTGGTGGTGCACGCCTGTAGTCCTAAGGCAGGAGGCTAAGGCAGGAGAACAGCTTGAACCTGGGAGGCAGAGGTTGCAGTGAGCCAAGATCACGTAACTGCACTCCGGCCTGGGTGACAGAGTGAAGACCCTGTCTCAAAAAAAAAAAAAAAAAAAAATGGTTTGGACACAGATCAGAGAAATTTGAATATTGACTATATATTTTATGATATTAAAGAATCATTGTTAGCTGGGCACGGTGGCTCACACCTGTAATCCCAGCACTTTGGGAGGCCGAGGCTGGTGGATCACGAGGTCAGGAGTTCAAGACCTGCCTGGCCAAGATGGTGAAATCCCATCTCTACTAAAAATACAAAAAAAATTAGCCAGGCGTGGTGGCGAGCACCTGTAATTCCAGCTACTCGGGAAGTTGAGGCAGAGAATTGCTTGAACCCAGGAGGCAGAGGTTGTAGCGAGCCGAGATCATGCCACTGCACTCCAGCCTGGGCGACAGAGTAAGACTCCATCTAAAAGAAAAAAAAAAAAAAGAAATCATTGTTAATGCATTTACGTGTGATGACAATATTGTGGTCATGTTTTAAAAATAAGTCCTGGCCGGGCGCGGTGGCTCACGCCTGTAATCCCAGCAATTTGGGAGGCCAAGGCGGGCGGATCATGAGGTCAAGAGATCGAGACCTTCCTGGCTAACATGGTGAAAACCCCACCTTGCAATAGGCCGAGATTTCACCACTGCACTCCAGCCTGGGTGACAGAGCGAGAGTTCATCTCAAAAAAAAAAGAAAAAAAAAAAAAGCCTTACTGGCCGGGCGCAGTGACTCAAGCCTGTAATCCAAGCAGTTTGGGAGGCCGAGGCAAGCCTCAGGCCAGACCTGAGGTCAGGAGTTTGAGACCAGCCTGGCCAACATGGTGAAACCCCATCTCTACTAAAAATACAAAATTAGCTGGGCATCGTGGCCTGTGCCTGTAATCCCAGCTACCTGGGAGGCTGAGGCAAGGCAGGAGGTGGAAGTTGCAGTCAGCGAGATCATGAACACTGCACTCCATCCTGGGCAAAAAGAGCGAAATTCCATCTCAATAAATAAATAAATAAATAAATAAGTCTTTTCCTTTTAGACATCCACACTGAAATATTTACAGGTAAAATGACATGATATCTGGACTTTTTAGTAATGTGGAGATGAGTGAGTGGCAGTAATCTTTTTTCATGACTATAAGGTGATGTTAATTTTTGAAGCATTCTCCTCAAAAGCAAGATTAAAAAAAAAAATTTTGTCGAAGCAGAGTGATAGGTGCCTGGGAGTTTGTTGTACCATCCTGTCTGCTTAAGTATCTGTTTAGAATTTTCCATAATAAATAATATTGATTAATAAATAAAAATTGTCGACCGGGCGCGGTGGCTCACGCCTGTAATCCCAGCACTTTGGGAGGCTGAGGCGGGCGAATCACGAGGTCATGAATCGAGACCATCCTGGCTAACACGGTGAAACCCTGTCTCTACTAAAAATACAAAAAAATAGCTGGGCGTGGTGGCAGGCACCTGTAGTCCCAGCTACTTGGGAGGCTGAGGCAGGAGAATGGCGTGAACCCGGAAGGCAGAGCTTGCAGTGAGCTGAGATCACGCCACTGCACTCCAGCCTGGGTGACAGAGCGAGACTCGTCTCTAAATAAATAAATAAATAAAAATTGTTTTTTAAACAGAGGAATATTTTTCCCTTTGAGAATTCTTTATAATACCTATTTGTTTTCTCGGGTTATGACAGATTTGGAACATTGCTACCAATAAACTGACGTTCTTGAACTCCTTTAAGATGAAGATGTCTGTTATCCTTGGTATCATCCATATGCTGTTTGGAGTCAGCCTGAGTCTGTTCAACCATATGTGAGTTGTTCCATTTCTGTCATAAGAATGTGCATAGTTTAGAGAATGCTTTTGTGTAAAGAAATCATGACATCTTTGGGGAGGGATTAATAACTCAGAACCTCATTCTACATTATAGAAGTGCTTTTCTAAAAATTTAATGGTGTGGCCAGGCGCGGTGGATCATGCCTGTAATCCCAGTACTTTGGGAGGCCAAGGCCGGTGGATCACCTGAGGTCAGGAGTTCGAAACCAGCCTGGCCAACACGATGAAACCCCGTCTCTACTAAAAATACAAAAATCAGCCAGGTGTAGTGGCACGCGCCTATATTCCCAGCTATTCGGGAGGCTGAGGCAGGAGAATTGCTTGAACCTGGGAGGCAGAGGTCGCAGTGAGACAAGATGGCACCACTGCACTCCAGCCTGAGCGACAGAGTGAGACTCTGCCTCAAAAAAAATAAATAAATAAATAAATTTCATGGTCTGGCCGGGTGCAGTGGCTTACACTTGTAATCCAGCACTTTGGGAAGATGAGGCGGGCAGATCACTTGAGGTCAGGAGTTCAAGACCAGCCTGGCCCACATGGTGAAACTCCGTCTCTACTAAAAATACAAAAAATTAGCCGGGTGTGGTGGCGTGCACCTGTAATCCCAGCTACTCTGGTGGCTGAGGCAGGAGAATTGCTTGAACCCAGGAGGCAGAGGTTGCAGTAAACCAAGATAACACCACTGCACTCCAGTCGGGGTGACAGAGCAAGACTCCATCTCAAAAAAAAAAAAAATGTTGATGGTCTTAAATTAGACTTAATATTAGTCCTTTAACAATTTACTGTTCCAGTAAAGATCCTTGAAAAAAACTTGAGCAATTTTCATCAAAATAAGTGAGGTCTCTTTTTTTCCTTGATGTGCAACTCACATAAAATTATTAGCTGTGGACTGGGTGTGGGGGCTCACACCTGTAATGCCAGCACTTTGGGAGGCCAAGGCAGGCGGATCACTTGAGCCCAAGAGTTCAAGACAAGCCTGGGTAACACGGCAAAAGACCCCATCTCTACAAAAAAAAAAAAAAAAAAAAGTTATGAACTGTGGTCTCAAAATGTACTAGATTTTTCCATTCTCTTTCTCATGGAGAGAATGGTGGGGATGGTATTGGAGCCGTTCAAGGTTCAAAAGTTTAAGGCCTGGCACAATGGCTCACATCTGTCATCCTGCACTTTGGGAGGCCAAGGCGGGCAGATCACCTGATGTCAGGAGTTCAAGACCAGTCTGGGCAACATGGCAAAACCCCATCTCTACAAAAAAATGTAAAAATTAGCTGGGTGTGGTGGCGCATGCCTGTAGTCCCAGCTACTCGAGAGGCTGAGGTAAGAGGATTGCCTAAGCCCAGGGAGGTTAAGACTGCGGTGAGCCAATATTGCACCACTGTACTCCAGGCTGGGTAGCAGAGTGAGACCCTGTCTCAAAAAAGAAAAAGCAACAGCAAAACAAAACCAAGGTTCAAAAGTTTGACCGTGATAGTTAATCCTGCATTGTCTCTGTTGTCTCCAGCTTCTGGTTGCTGCTGCTTAAAGTGATAAAGACAGAATTGAGGGGGTATTAAGTAGAAAAATCTAGTGAATACTCCATTCAGTGTAGGAGTGGCCCTAGGCCCATTTACCCTTAACATTTTTTTCTCTCTCCTTTTTAGCTATTTCAAGAAGCCCCTGAATATCTACTTTGGATTTATTCCTGAAATAATCTTCATGACCTCTTTGTTTGGCTATTTGGTTATCCTTATTTTTTACAAGTGGACGGCCTATGATGCTCATACCTCTGAGAATGCACCAAGCCTTCTGATCCATTTCATAAACATGTTCCTCTTTTCCTACCCAGAGTCTGGTTATTCAATGTTGTATTCTGGACAGGTACGTCAGCCCAGAGGCAGACTGTCTGAGATGATTATACTTGATCAGGAAGCCAGATGTTTCTCTGACCCTAAAAAATTTATAACTGCCCTTCTATGGGACAATTCTAGGGCTTTGCCACAAAATGTGATAATTATTTTGAGAAATTGGATAGTGTTATTCATAGATTAGTAAGAAAGTACTGTTGGGGGAAATTTGTGCCATATTTGGAAACTGCGTATGTGATCGGTAGACTTTTATATGATGTACCTTGTCCTTCTTCTTACTCTGCAGAAAGGAATTCAGTGTTTCCTGGTAGTGGTTGCACTACTGTGTGTACCTTGGATGCTGCTGTTTAAACCATTGGTCCTTCGCCGTCAGTATTTGAGGAGAAAGCATTTGGTAGGTGTATTTCTATTGCTAAAAGTTACTAGACTTTTGTTTTGTTCAAGATCAAGGCAATTCCCCAGTGGATATAATTAATTGTGCACAAATCTATATATTCTTTTTCTTTTTCTTTTTCTTTTTTTGAGACGGAGTCTCGCTCTGTCCCCCAGGCTGGGGTGCAGTGGTACGATCTTGGCTCACTGCAACCTCCACCTCCCAGGTTCAAGCAATTCTTTTGCCTCAGCCTCCTGTGTCACTGGGATTATAGGTGTACGCCACCACACCTGGCTAATTCTTGTATTTTTAGTAGAGACGGGGTTTCACCATGTTAGCCAGGCTGGTTTCGAACTCCTAACCTCATGATCCGTCCACCTTGGCCTCCCAAAGTGCTGGGATTACAAGCGTGAGCCACCATGCCCGGCCACAAATCTGTATACTATTAAAACGCATTTGTGGCCGGGCGCAGTGCCTCACTGCTGTAATCCCAGCACTTTAGCACTTTGGGAGGCCGAGGTGGGTGGATCACTTGAGGTCAGGAGTTTGAGACCAGCCTGGCCAACATGGTGAAACCCCATCTTTACTAAAAATACAAAAATTAGCCAAGCGTGTTGGCGCGTGCCTGTAGTCCCAGCTACTTGGGAGGCTGAGGTGGAAGGATCGCTTGAATCTGAGAGGCGGAGGTTGCAGTCAGCCAAGATTGTGCCACTGTACTCCAGCATGGGGACAGAGTGAGACTCTGTCTCAAAAACAAAAAACCAAACAAACAAAACGCATTTGTGTTATGTCCCAGCACGAGCACTGGGCCTGCCAAGTCAGAGAAACATGTCTGCTGCTCAAGATATCTGGATTCAGCTTTGAGTAGCTAGAGGAGAGAAAAGTCACAAATTTTTACCTTTCCTGGTCATGCTTTTGCTCACGCTGCGCTCAGGAAAATGTAGGCCTATGCCTGTCTAGATGTAGCATCAGCCAAAGCCAAGCAAAGCTGCAAGAGCTGCAGATGGGTGAACTCACTCATGCGGTTTGCCTGGGCAACCACAGGACTGACATTGAGACATTTTCCTTTCAAATGAGACTGTGATAACTTTCACTGACCAAAACATCTGGGAAAAAGGTTTGGTTTAAAGCACGTTGATTTTTTTTCTTTTTAAAAAGCAGCATATGTATATACGTTTACTTAATGTCTGTGTGTATATGAATTCTGCGCGCGCACACACACACACACACACAGAGTTAAATTTGCGAGATGTTCAGTATCATGCATAATTTCTGGGTATCCAATAGCACTTACTTTACACTGCCTGGGAAAACCCAAACGATCTTGTTGCATGACTCTTAAACGGCTGTTAGATGATGACTCCCGTGGAGAGCAGCTGAGTTACAAGACCCTCCTTCTCCCTTTTCTGACCATCTTCATCCTTCCATGTACCCTCCATTTGTCTCCCCACTTCACTCCCTCCCTCTTTTGTTTTCTTTCCCCTTCTTCTTTTCTTCCATTCACTATCAGGAAGGGCAACCTGTGGAGGCCCCAGTCAGCCCAAACCCGAGCCAACAGGGACTAGAGGCAGCAGCGGCTGCAACAGTGAGTGAATTAAAACCAACAAACCATCACATTTCATTTAAAGAGGTGGCAAACAGTGCAGCAGAATTCTTTTTAATTAAATTGAGAGCATGGGACATGTGTACTTTTGGGAAATATGTCCTTGTTACTCACTGAGATGATGACAGAAGTTCCACCTCTTAAGAATAGATTCTGGCATCATCTTTAGCATTGGTCTACTAAGTTTCTATTCAAAAATGTAAGTACAGGCATGTCCATGGCAACAAAGTGGCTTGTTGTACCCTCACTGAGTCCCATCATCTTAATCCAAGATGACAGCTCTTGGACTCACCCACTTTCATGTCTGTATTTTGTGACCATGTATTGGATGATTTTTCAGCATGGAAGCGAGAATATCTCTGTGATTCTTGAATTGATTTCCCTGCACTTTAGAGTTCTACTTTAGAGTGATGCTTGGACATTTGATCTTTTTTAGTAGTAACTTACCTTCTTTTTGAAAGTGAAAGTTTATACATGTTTAGTTTTTTGTGAGAAACTCAGAAGACCTCACATGTCCTCAGCTGTTCCAGTGAGACCTCTGCTCTCCGATGTGTCGTGTGTACTGTCATCTGGTGTCATAACCAAAGTGATCTGTCTTGATCCTTCCCTCTTCTGATACTAATTCAAGATTCAGTAACAGCACTTTGAATATTTGTCCTTAAAAACATCTTTTAAACAAAATCTTACAATGCACAAATATATTAGCCTAATATATTCTAAGTTATGAATGAATCTATAAGATTGTAAAAGTCTCACCAGTAGTGATTACGCATTACTTCTATGTGCTCGAAGCATATACTTCTTTAAATAAAATGAAAGATTTAGATGGATAACCATTTCCTTCATTAAGTGTTTCTGATGATTTTAAACTTGGAAAATTTCTTATGGTCATCCTTCTGGAACTAGTCTAAGTCATCCTTCTGGAACTAGTCTAAAAGGGCTGACATTTTGAGTCAGAAAAAATTTTAATCTTGCTGCTTAAAATACATTTTCAAGTAGGGACTTCCCTGTGAGACATTTAACAAACCTTTAGAACACATACTACCTATTGTCAATGTCCTTAACACATACTCTTTTTTCTGCTAGTCTTAGCATATATAAGATGTGCTTCTGACAAGATCTTAATGCATTTAAGTCTTGCGACTTCTTCTGTGATAAATTCTAAGTTAAAAGTTCCCCGTTTGGAAACCTGCACATTCATAGGGTCTTCTTACCCCACTGGTTCTTTAGCCAAACATCTGTTCCTGGAGAGCAGCCTGAAGGCATCAGGATGATCAGTCTACAAGAAAGTCTCTGGATTTTTGACCCCAGAGGGCTGAGGATATGAACAGTGATCTGGTTTTGTTCTGTTCTTTGTCCCCTTGGTTGTCTGTGAGTGATATATCACAGTTTAATTTTTCTTTTCTTTTTTCTGCTGACATGTGTCTCTCATCCCCCTTCCTGTAACTCTCATTCCTGTGTTCTGAAGAGATCATTATTAGTGTCTGGCTGGGAGATTTAACCTGTCTGCTCCTCAGTTTATCTGCTAGTTGGAGAAAGCTTCAGAAATGGCCTTCTACTTTGGGAGCCTTGAACCTTGAAGCCTTCCTCCTATATCTTATAACCCAGCCGAGGTTATGCAGGAGTCCCCTCCTGTGCCCTTCGTTGCATTTTCAGTCCACCTTCTGAGGGTTGCCAGGTGGAATATGTGCATGACCTGGAGGTGTCCAGGCTCTGGTGGCCCACAAGTCTGACTGCACATCACAGTCACCTGGTAGACTTTGAATTTGTTTCTTAGGGTATTAAAACAAATAAGTGGAAGAAGAAATAAAAGTGGCCCATAATTTCATGGTCCTGACAATCCCCTACTGACATTAAAAAAATAAAGCAATAGGTGCACTTGGCTAGAGAATGCATATAGTGCTAACTAAGAAGAAAACCACCTGCCCCCACTACAGTCCTCCTCTTCAGGGGGCATTGTTAACAGGTGGGGGCCTTGCCTCTGACAGATATCTGCCTGTCTTCTATTGATAGGTGTGTGTGTGCTCTATGCATCTAGAAAAAGACACATGAGGAATTGTGTTTTAAACTGTGGCACTGTTCTGCCTCTCGATCTATTACGTTTTTTAAAAGTTAGTGTATCTTGAAGATTGTTTCATAGTGATAATCACTTTTTTTTTTTTTTTTCTGAGATGAAGTCTTGATCTGTCACCCAGCTGTAGTGCAGTGGCACGATCTCAGCTCACTACAACCTCCACCTCCCAGGTTCAAGCAATTCTCCTGCCTCAGCCTCATGAGTAGCTAGGATTATGGGCATGCACCACTACGCCTGGCTAATTTTTGTTTTGTTTTGTTTTTGAGATAGAGTCTTGCCCTGTCGCCCAGGCTAGAGTGCAGTGGCACGATCTTGGCTCACTACAACCTCCGCCTCCCCAGTTCAAGCAATTCTCCTGCCTCAGCTTCCTGAGTAGCTGGGATTACAGGCACCCACCACCTCCCCCGGCTAATTTTTGTATTTTTAGTAGAGACAGGGTCTCACCATGTTGGCCAGGCTGGTCTTGAACTCCTGACCTCGTGATCCACCTGCCTCAGGCTCCCAAAGTGCTGGGATTACAGGTGTGAGCCACTGTGCCTGGACTAATTTTTGGATTTTTAGGAGAGACGGGGTTTCACCATGTTGGCCGGGCTGGTCTCGAACTCCTGACCTTGTGATCTGCCCGCTGTGGCCTCCCAAAGTGCTGGGATTACAGGTGTGAGCCACTGTGCCCAGCTGACTATCACTCTTTTTTATGGTTGCCTAGCATTCCATAGAATATTCCACTGGACATGCCAAAGTCATTATCTCTTTGATGGATGTGTTGGTTGTTCCCAATTCTTTGCTATCACAAACAGCAATTCAGGGAACATCCTTTTTCATATGTCTTTTTTTTTTTTTTTCTTGAGACAGAGTCTCGCTGTGTTGCCCAAGATGGAGTGCAGTGGTATGATCTCAGCTCACTGCAACCATCACCTCCCGGGTTTCAGCAGTTGTCCTGCTTCAGCCTCCAGAGTAGCTGGGATTACAGGCGCCCACCTCTACGCCCAACTAATTTTTGTATTTTTAGTAGAGACGGGGTTTCGCCATGTTGGCCAGGCTGATCACGAACTTTTGACCTCAGGTGATCTGCCTGACTCGGCCTTCCAAAATGCTAGGATTACAGGCATGAGCCACCGCGCCCAGCCCCTTATCCATATACCTTGCCAAAGTTTTGCAAGCCTAGATGTTCCAGCAGTGGGATTGCTGAATCTCAAAGGGTTCATGCATTTAAAATTTTGATAAACCCTTCACAATGATTATACAATTTGTACTTGGGAATATATTTTTAAAATACAGATTTATTGGGCCCCACCCCAGAACTACTAAATTTACAATTTCTGGGAGTAGTATTTGAGAATTTCTATTTAAAATGCAGCTTTTGGGGTAATTCTAATGCAACTAGTTCTCTGACCAGCATGTTAAGGACCACTGCTAGAGTAGGAGGGAGGATTTGTGCAAATAATTAGATCTGAGGTGGGCATTAAACTGTGATGAGAGCTGTGGCAAAAAATGGCACACCAGGAGGTGGAGCTGAGGATGAGGAGCGCAGGGCAGCTGCGCAGGCCTCCTGCACGCTACTCATGCTGCTGCCCGAAGGCCAGGTTGCAGGAGAGCTGCCCTTGAGCTCTTGCCTTGTTTGGCCCCCTGGACAGAAACCATATGAAGTGATTCTGGGGGCTGCTGTTTAAATTCCTTTTCACGCTGTGGCAGGTTAGCACTAATTGGGATCTGTGAGACTTAACTCATTTCTGCCTGGTTTTTTTTCCCAAAGAGTCTTTTTTGCTTTGGGTTTGGAAAAACTCAAGTTTTTTCAAATCAAGTTGACTTTAAAATCTACTTTTGGAGACCCTACAAAAGACTGTGTTTGTGAACTCAGAAGAAGCAAATGCCCCATCAGCGTCTGCCCACGTGCCTGTGGAAGAATTGTTCTAACATTCCAGAGCTGTCTGCTGAAGAAAAGGAGCCCCTACTCATCTTTTTAAGCTCAGCATTCTCTAGCCACAAGTGAATGTACATTAAGCATTTTTTTCCTTCTCTGACCTTGGAAGCTTTTTGTTCCTGGGCAGAGACATGGTACATTTCTGGAAGAAGTTGCTGGAATTCTTGGGCTCCTGTTAAAAGCTTATCAGACTAGGGTACAATCACAATGTCACTTGGCCCCCCTTCCTCTTAGAAAGTCTAATCGTTAGGGCCAGAAAAGCTTAGGCCCTTGCAGCCTTTACAGATAGAGCTGTACTTGTTGTGAGAATCTGTTCATATTAAGGTTTTCATTCAAGCAGGATTCTCAATTAGTGTTGACCCAGGTGAGGCTGGTGCCTCTTGGCACAGCAGACAGAACTGCATATTTCCTCTGAAGCAGGGTAAGGTGGTAATTGTAGGTTGGGCTGGGGCTGGGGAGGCGGTGGTTGGGGTGGAACAGTTGTTTGATTTTACTTAGCCGTTCAGTCAGTGGGTTTTGTTTTTGTTGTTAGACATATGCTTTTCTGAGGTTTGTGTTACTAACCATCGCCCTTCCCACCTCACAGAATGTCATGTTAAAGCCCAGGCAAATTCTACTCTTTCTGTTCATCTGTGTAGGGAACTCTCAACTTTGGTGGGATCAGGGTGGGCAACGGACCGACAGAGGAGGATGCTGAGATTATTCAGCATGACCAGCTCTCCACCCACTCAGAGGACGCAGACGAGGTAAGATCCCGTGGTGTGGGCTTTCTCTCCTTCCACCTCGGGTCAGCCCTAGTCTTGTGTACCTAAGAGGCCTCACTCCAGTCTTCTCCTTGAAAAATAAAAATACTAATTAATATTCAGCCTGCCTTCTGGACCTCTTAGGGCACCACAGCTTTTTCCAGTGGGCCCTGCCCTAAGCTCCAGCTGTTGCCCCCAGAGCCCGCAGCAGTTTTGCTCCTATCTTGAATTCCAGATTTTGCCCGCAGTGCTCTGCACGCAGGTCTCCATTACTGACTGCTCTCTCACCTGAGGCAGAGCAGGCCTCAGCATCCCAGCTCTTATGACCTGAAACACAGGTCACTAAGCACAGCTTCTTCATCCATTGACCCTTCCAAGGATCGTTCCAATTACATTACTGACCAGCTATAATCACTGGTACTTTTGAAGTCCTACACCACTGATGTGTTCTTGCTGCAGATATTTTGTTTGAGCTTTTTTGGTGTCATTTGCCTACTTTTTACAGGGAGAGAGAGAATTAGGCCAAACTAGACTTTTCCTTAAGATACCACCTCCAAGCCCACTCTCCTTGCCTGACCCCTTGTAGCACAAAGCCTCTGAACTGAACTATTAAATCTCATCTACTCATTATGTTCTTTTTAAAGCAAATAAAATAGGAGTTGAGGACTCAAGTTGGACTTTTCAGTCTGTCTGACCACTTTCACTATATATGATTTTTTAAAAAAGAAATCACAAGGGTTGTGGATGCCTTTAAAAAATATGTATCTTAATGCTCTAAATTCCTGCTGATTTCGCTTTGTGTATATGCTGAGGAGGCCTGCCTCCAACGTGCTAGCCCATTTAACATGAACAGTCCTCCCCAAGAAGCATTCAGTAGCCTTGTGCTCCTAACTTGTGACCTTGTGTGTGGCGTGGCTCCCCACTAAGTGTAAATTTGTGTTTTCAAGCCTTCCGAGGACGAAGTGGTAAGATGAAAGCTGGCGTTGCCTTCGTGTTTATCCGGGCTTCTCTCTTCCCATCCTTGTGATCACTCTGCTGACCCTGCCACACCCTGGGGCCATACACATGACTCCTGTGCCTCTGCATCTCACTGGCCATTTCAAACCAGTTCGTGAGCCTGTGTTCTAAAAAGCTCATCTCCATTAACTGCATCTCATGTCGGTCACCTCTGTCTTTGTTTCATTGACTTTGCTGATTTAACACCTCTGAGAATGGCTTTGAAAGGAGCTACAAGTAATGTCTTCACTGGCATTCTTGAAGTGACTCCTCTTGGGGGTTAAGTCCCATTGGCCTCTGCCTTCCTCTCCTGTGATGTTGTGGTTGATCTACTCCCAGCCACCGGGAGTAGCCGTTTCCTCCCTGCTCCTCCTAGTGCTTGTGAGCAAACCTTACCCTTCCTCCCTGTCTGAGCCAGCCTCTTCCTGCTGCCCTCCTCAGCTTGATGATGCTTCAACTTAGAAGTGGTGGACCCTTCTCGGGGTCAGCTCTACCTCCATGTGACCCAGGTGAGAGGGAGACAGCTTTCAAAAGGAGGCTTTGCCTTCCAGATGCATCCCAAAGGAAATAATCCATCTGTGTGAAAGGAGTTCATATTATATCAGCCACATAGAGAATAACGGAGACTGGAAAGCAAATTGGCTAACTGTTCAGGCCACATCTCGAGTAGAAGGCCCTCTGGCTCAGCAGTAATTCACTTAGCAACATACACTCTTTAAACTGGGTTTTTAAAACACCTTGCTGCACTGTTTGCATCTTCCCCCAGCACTTCTCTCTAAAATGCCTAGACCCACAAACCATACCCTTCCCTTCCTGACTCTCGGTCCTCTCTAGGAGGGCAGTGGGATGGGAATGGGAAAGCCTTTGCTGTTCTGTGTAAACACAGGTAGGGCCTGCTCTTCCTGAAGCCTAGAGAGGCTCCTTTGCTGGCATCAAAGAGTGTCTGTGTTCCTGGACTGCTCATCTATGCAGTCCCTGGCTGAGCTACCTGGCAGGGATGGGTGGGGCGTGCTCCATGTTAATGAGGAGCCCAACCCTTTCCCTGGCTCACTACCTCCAACAACACTGCCTTTTAAATGTTTTCCTAGCCGAGCACCCACATTGTCAGAATGGTCTGACCAACTATTGTGTACCAGCGTTCTCGTTTGTAGCCATGTCCCAGGAGGTTGGACATCCAACAAGATAGACTCTAATTCAGCCTCCCCAGTCTCTGGCCACCCAGCTCACTCAGGGATTCAGCTACCCTTGGCTACCCAAGTAGTCTAAACATTTTATCTTTATCAGGCACATATACAGTCTGGTTCTCTGTAGCCAAATTTAGATACCCATGACATTTATCTAATGATTTCAAACCAAACAGGTTCCTAAAAAAACATTCAGCCTACTTCTAGAACTTCCCCATTTTGCTTGGCTGTGAAAATGTATTTGTCCCATGCAGGCCCTTGCTCCAGCCCAGTGGAAGCATTAGTACCTCTTCCTAGCGGGAACTCAGTCCAGCTACACACCAGAGCCAGGCCAGTGGTTGTCTGGGAAATCTTCAAAGGCCGTGACCACTCAGCAAGGGTCAGTGGCACCTCTCCCCACTGTCTCCTCACCAGGTGCATTCATCCCATCCATCCATGCATTCACTCACCCTCCGTGTTGTCCAGCACTATGTATAGTGCTGCAGAAACAAGAAGAATATAGTGCTTGCCTTCAAAGACCTCCCAAAGTGGGGAGATAGTCTGGATGACAGGTGCTGTAATAGAAGTGTGCCCCGGATGCTATAGGAGCACAGAAAGAGGGCAACTGATGAACACTGGGGTGAGAGTGGAAGAGGAGACCCTGGAAGACTCCCTAAGGAAGTTGTCTTACTCTGGTCAAGCAGGAGGCCCTGTAGAGGGAGTGGTGCAGACCCACCAGCATATGCAGCTTCACAGGGGCAAAACACCTGTAGGTCCATCACGTGTTGGGGACTAGCAAGTATTCAGCTTGGCTGGAGCAGAGGCAGGAGTGGGGAACTGGGGACAGGTGAGACTAGAGGTTGGCAGAAACCAGCCATAGTAGTTTTTGCCTCATTTGGACAACAAGGAGCCATCCAAGAGAGAGCGGTGAAGCTGATGGTGACACAGCCATGGCGCATTGAAATACCCCCAGTGGCTGTGTTGTAGGGTATATTGGGTTGGGGAGGGACAAGGTCAGGAGGCATAGACTCGACATCATCTGATGTGATTCAGGACAGAATGGCGAGCCTGAAGTGAAGTGTCTGTAGGATAAGTTGGAAAGGAAGGAACCAATATGAGATATTAAAGAAGTGAAAGCTATAGGTCCCAGTGCCTTAATAAAGGTAAGGAGTAAGAGAAGATTCGAGATTGACTCCCAGACTCTCCAGTCTGCTGGACATGGGAGATGGAATAGAAGTTGATCTCGGTGTGGTCAGAGGAGAGCAGTTACTGTGTTGAGCATGGAGAGCCTGTCGTTCCCCAGGAGAAGGAGTACAGCTGGCTGGAAATAGGCAAGGCAGAGATGGAGAGATCCACCTTGGAGTCACTCCTAGGGGCGACCCTTGAAGCCCTGAGTAGCAATCCCACCAGAAAGATGCAAGGGCTGAAGCTGAAACTTCAGAGAGCATCGGCATTTAAGGAAGAACCTTGGCTGGGCGTGGTGGCTCACGCCTGTAATCCCAGCACTTTGGGAGGCTGAGGCGGGCGGATTGCTTGAGCCCAGGAGTTTGAGACCAGCTGGCCAACGTGGTGAAACCCCGTCTCTACTAAAAATACATAAATTAGCTGGGCGGTAGTGGCATGTGCCTGTAATCCCAGCTACTCGGGAGGCTGAGAGAGGAGAATCACTTGATTCTCCTGGGAGGCAGAGGTTGTGGTGAGCTGAGATCGTGCCACTGCACTCCTGTCTTGAAAAAAGAAAAAAAAAAGGAAGAACCTCGATGGAGACTAAAAAGAACTGTCCAGAGAGGTAGGAGGAAAACCAAGGGATGGCAGGTATTTCAAAAAGGAGGAAGAGGCTATGGTGACAGACACTGCAGGAGCATGGACAAGGGCACAGAACATCTGTTAGCTTTAACAGCTGGGCCAGGCGCGGGGGCTCACGCCTGTAATCCCCAGCACTTTGGGAGGCCAAGGTGGGTGGATCACCTGAAGTCAGGAGTTTGAGACCAGCCTGGCCAACATGGTGAAATCCCATCTTTACTAAAAAATTAGCCGGGTGTGGTGGTGCGTGCCTGTAATCCCAGCTACTGAGGAGGCTGAGGCAGGAGAATTGCTTGAACCCGGGAGGCAGAGGTTGCAGTGAGCTGAGATCGCACCACTGCACTCTAGCCTGGGTGACAAGTGAAACTCCGTCTCAAAAAAAAAAGTAACAACTGGGAGGTTAGGGTGACCTTACTAAGTAGAGGCATTTTGTGGAGGAGTGAAGGTGGAAGCCAGGGTGCAGTAGGGTGAGGACTGGCTGGGCAGAGAGGAAACTGAGGCAGAAGATGTGGACAGGGACTCTGCAGCGATTCATGGTTGGTCATGGCCGATTGATACGGGCGTGTGCTGAGTGGCAGACTCATAAGTGCTGAGCTGGATTTCTCACCCAGTCCTTGCTTCTCCTGAGAACACCTGCAGGAAGCTGGGAATGAAGGAGAGAAGGCAAGGGTAAGGCCTGGAAGCGAGGCTTCTCTCCTGTCCTGCAGTTTATTCGGTGGGAGAAACTTGAGGTAGAATAAAAACACTGAAGGGATTGGCTGTAAGGGAGCCCAGTGGTCACTGCCCTCCCAGCCCATAGGAGTAGAGATCAGCACTCCTGGGAGCCATGGACTTCTTCCTCTCAATGCGGGCCCTGGGGCGGCAGCCAGCAGTGGTAGGAAAGAGCTCTTAACCACGGTGTTGGGATTTAGGGAACTCAGGGAACTAGGATTACCCTAGTTTTCAGGGTAAGTAAGGAAGCTTGAAGAGCCTGTTCCGGAAGAAAAGCCCAGAAATAGGCTAGGTGTCGACAGAGGTGAGGGAGAAGCAGACGTTCGCCCAGAGATGGCATGGTGGAGCCAGCCCCCTCCACGCTGGCTGCACCCCTGTGGCCTGGGCTGTTGTGGCTTTACCAGCCAAGCCACTTTCTCCCATCCCCATGTTCTCAGTGATTTCCCAAGGCATTTCTGGTGTCCTTTGGGAGTGGAATCACGTGGGTTTTGAAAGGAACTGCGGTGAAAAATAGACCCTGACCTGAGGGCAGGGGCCGATGGGGAGGCCACTGAGCCCTCAGGAGTGTCTGAAAGCTCAGAAGATTCTGGTCTGGGCTCTGCGGGGGGAAGCCCCATAAGGGAGCGCCTCCTGGTCTTTGGTCAGCTTGACAGAGAGGCCCAGGGAAAGTACCTGGGGCTTCCAGAATATACCAAATTCAGAAGCCCACATTCACCCCTGACTGTGCTTGGAGCAAACCTGAAAGTTCACTCCCAAGAGCTTGTTCCAGCCCATTCCTTTATTCTGGAAATAATTCTTGGTATTGAAAGGAAAACTGGGACAAAGGGAGCTTGAGGAAAACGAAAACAAACAAGAAACTGGAGATATGCTATTTAGTCTTAACCCAAACAGATATGCTGTTTGGCCTTAACCCATGTGGAAATTTGTAAACTTTGTCAGGATTTCCCTGTGCATGGTGGTGAAATCATGTAGGGAAAAAAAAATTCACCGTGTAATCTCTTTAGAAGTCACAAAAGAAAAAGAAGGTTATCTTGCTCCCAAAAGGCTGTAAAAAGAATAAGTAAAGTGGCCATAGAGGCCTAGTCTTCTCAGGACAGTGTCCGGGTTGAGAGTCTGTCTCCTGAAGCGCACTCTGGGGAAAATCCCTTCCTGCCCTCCTGCAGGTCCTTAGGGTCCCAGACCCAGACAGTCACTTTCTCAACAGAGTGCCGTCAACTCAGCACACACTCCTCTCTTGAGCACAGAGCCCCAGAGGGAGAAGAACAAATGTGTTGAAAAGAATCTTATTAAGATGTAGTTAATTAAAATGTAATGTATTGAGGGGAATGGAGGTGTCCCAGGTGAGGGCTAAGTCAGGCAGGATTTTTGGGGAAGGCATTGCCGAAATCACCACCTGAGCTCAACACTGGGTGCTTCTGGCCCCTCCAGAGTTGAGGTGCCATCCATGGGAAGTGCAGTCCCCTGCCCTGGCCCAGGTTCAAAGCGCCAAGTAGCCACAACTCAGAATGCCTGCACGTTCCCCTCCTAGCCTTATATCTTCTCTCTGGTTTCCTCCCACGACAGTTTGACTTTGGGGACACCATGGTCCACCAGGCCATCCACACCATCGAGTACTGCCTGGGCTGCATCTCCAACACTGCCTCCTACTTGCGGCTCTGGGCCCTCAGCCTCGCTCATGCGCGTGAGTACCTCTCTCCGGGCTCCGGAACTCTAGTTTCCCCCTCTGTGGGCGCACTGTCAGTTGGGGGGCTTAAGTCAAATGGAAATTACATGAAGGTTCTGGAATTATTCAGGTTCCTGAACCCAAGGAGAATGAGTACAGACAGGAGGCTCAGCACTTGTGCCAGGTTAGCTCTGCATGGTGGTCCCACTAAGGCAGTGGGAAGCCAGGATCCAGGGAACCCTAGAGCAGGGGGATGGCAGAGCAAAATTCATGGCCTACAGCTGCCTCTTGCCAAACTGCACTGGATTTTGTGTCTCCCATTCCCCAGAGCTGTCTGAGGTGCTTTGGACCATGGTGATCCACATCGGCCTGAGCGTGAAGAGCTTGGCGGGAGGTTTGGTGCTGTTCTTCTTCTTCACTGCCTTTGCCACCCTGACCGTGGCCATCCTCCTGATCATGGAGGGCCTCTCGGCCTTTCTCCACGCACTGCGCTTACACTGGTGAGGGGCAGTGGGGCAGGGCGGGCATGGGGGTGGATGTGTCCTTAGCTGCGGTGAGAGGGCAGCTTTTCTCCCACACACAGCCCTGCAGCTCTGTGCAGGAAAGATGAGCTGGCCCTGCACTAGCTTCACCTCAGGACACCCCAGCACCGGCATTGCCACAGAGTTTCGGAAAATGGTCACAGAAAAGCACAGCTCAGCCTTCCCTAGGCTCTAGGGAGATGTCCCTGGTGAGTGGTGTCAGGTCCCGCTCCCTGCCTTTAGCTGTCCCCAGTGCTCCTGATTTTGGCTTAAAGGGGCTGCTGGGGTCTTAGGGTTTCTGGTTTTCTCTCTGATGTGTAACTCTTCTGTCTTCAGAACAGTGGAAGCAGCTCTGGAATGTATGTTAAGTGCAGGAAAGGCTAGAACACGCTGCACCCCAGCTTTATCCTCTTTGTTCTGTCATTGTGCCAGGGGTCTTTGAGTTGGACCCCTGGCAGCTCCATTGTGGACCGGAGGGATTCCTGGCTCTATAGGGTGGAGGTCGGTACACTCACGCAGCTTCTTCACATGGGCAGGTTTGGGGTGGTTCTGTTTGTTTTCTTTAATGAAGCTTGTGACTCTTAATGGCTGTGTGTGGAGAGAGCATGAGTTCAGCCTCTGGGACTGGGAGAGCGGGGGTGTGGTCTGGGCTGTGACCACCTCAAACCAGCGTTGCCAGATGTAGCACATAAAAGTACAGTTTGGCTGGGCACGGTGGCTCATGCCTGTAATCCTAGCACTTTGGGAGGCTAAGGCAGGTGAATCACCTGAGGTCAGGAATTCGAGACCAGCCTGGCCAACATGGTAAAACCCCGTCTCTACTAAATATACAAAAATTAGCCAGGTGTGGTGGCACGTGCCTGTAATCCCAGCTACTCAGGAGGCTGAGGCAGGAAAGAATCTCTTAAACCCAGGAGGCAGGGGTTGCAGTGAGCTGAGATTGTGCCACTGCACTCCAGCCTGGGCAACAGAGCGAGACTCTGTCTCAAAAAAAAAAAAAAAAAAATAGGGGAGGGGTTGGGGGCCAGGCACGGTGGTTCACTCCTGTAATCCCAGCACTTTGGGAGGCCGAGGCGGGTGGATCACCTGAGGTGGGGAGTTCGAGACCAGCCTGACCAACATGGAGAAACGCTGTCTCTACTAAAAATACAAAAACATTAGCCGGGCATGGTGGTGCATGCCTGGAATCTCAGCTACTTGGGAGGCTGAGGCAGGAGAATCGCTTGAACCCAGGAAGTGGAGGTTGCATTGAGCCAAGATCGCGCCATTGTACTCCAGCCTGGGCAACAAGAGTGAAACTCGGTCTCAAAAAATAAAAATACAGGGTGTATTTCACATAAACAACAAATAATTTTTTTAGTATGAGTATTTCCCAAATGTGCATGGGATATGCTTATACTAAAAACTGGGGCAGTCTGTATTTTCTGTGGCTGTTCCACCTCAGACTCCACTTCTTTGGGTCTCTATTTTCTCCTTTATGTTGTGATTCTCTTTTTGGGGGTCTCAAAACCCCAATGTCTCTGGAAGTTCTGGCCCCTCTCCCCAGAGGAGCACTCACACACTTCTCCTGTTTTACAAGCATAGGGGTCTGACTCACTGGTGTGCCTTAGAGGCCCCTGGATGGGATGCTCTGTGGTGTTCATGATCTCAAGGCCAGAAGAGGACTATGAATGTCTCTCTTCGTTCTCAAAACCTGAAGAAAATCCAGCATCTGAACCTGAGAAACTCATTCCCCACTCCCCTTTATCTTTGATTATTCTCATGGCTGGGTGACCCCTGAGCCTCCTCAAAGATTCAGCTGTGGGTTTTTCTGAATGATGGGCGGAGAGTGAGGCATGGAAGGGCAAGACGTGGCTAGGGTGCACTCTTCTTCAAAAGCCCTGCTGCGTCAGTAGACCTGGCTTCCTCTGGCCTGGCTCTCTCCCTCCTGGCCTCCCTCCTCCCCACCCAGCTCATCTGGCTGGCCTCCCTGTTCTAAGCTTATCAGCCGACCCCCGCAAGCACACTTCCTCAGCCCTCCTCAGTGCACGAGAACCTCTGAGGACTCACTTTTTCTTGCCCCTTGGCCTCCTTTCTTTTCTTTTCACTCCTGTCTCTTGAGCCCTGGGTTTGAGGGAACAGTGACCACCTCACCTTGATTCCAGCCCACGTGGGTAGCCGGTCATCTCCCTGGGCAGGGCGGGAGCAAGGCACTGTTGCAGAGCAAGGCCGCCTGGGCTTGAGCCTCATTTTGTTGCCAGAAGATTGCTTCCTCCTCAGGCTCACCTGTGGCCTCCCCGTGTCTTCCCAGGTCCCCCTGAACTGAAGTGATGAGTGGCAGGACAGCAGGCTCCGGAATTGGGCGACCTGGGTTGGAATTCCAGCACTGTCACACCAGGCAGGGAACCTGAGCAGAACATTCACTGCCAAGATTACTGTGAGCAAGTAGGAAGTAATGCACACACCAAGTGCTGCCACAGCAAAAGCAGGTGCTCTAGGATGGGTAGTGGCTGCTCTGCTTAAAAGTGGGATGCCCTTACTGGGTGCGATGGCTCACACCTATAATCCCAGCATTCTGGGAGGCTGAGGCAGGCAGATCACCTGAGGTCAGGAGTTCGAGACCAGCCTGGACAACATGGTGAAACCCCATCTCTACTAAAAATGCAAACATTAGCTGGGCGTGATGGTGGGCGCCTGTAATCCCAGCTACTCGGGAGGCTGAGGCAAGAGAATCGCTTGAACCCAGGAGATGGAGGTTGCAGTGAGCCAAGATCGCGCCACTGCACTGCAACCTGGGCGACAGACCGAGACTCCGTCTCAAAACAACAACAACAACAACAACAACAAAAAAACCTGGGATGCCCTAGAGAGAGGGTGTCTGCCTGGGGTCCCCCATAAAAAGACTGCTTTTAGCCTGTCTAGAGTGAGAGAAGACCCCAGAGGAGGCAGAGGATACCATCAGAATGCCCTCAGGTGCTGTTTGCAAGGAACAGCCTCCCCATATATGTCGTATTTATTTTGGCAATAGGAGTATTGGGTAGGAGAGGAAAAAACAGTGCAAACCTCCTTTGTGCAACTTCCAGAATCTCGTCTTTGGAGGGCTGTTCCCGTGACACGAGTGGGGCGCCTCCCCCACCACTAAAACAGAAGTGAATGAAATTGGTGCTTGTGCGCCCCCTCCTGGCAAAATGCGGCTGTGCGTCCAGGATGCCTGGATCTTCCCTGTGGCCCAGGACTGCAGGAGGCGTTCTGAGCTGTGGCCCTCTTACCAGGGGTGGAGCCTCTGGGGCTGCTGAACCAGCTGTAGGGATGGTGCTGCTGTTCTTCCTGGCATCCATCCTAGGCATCTTCATACCTCCCACTTTATCCCTGCTGTTTCCTGATTCAAGGGCTGCCCCATTATACAAGTTCTGGTCTCCTCAGTGGGGACAATAAGAAAAACATTTGATTCGATAACATATAAACCACTAGTGTGAGATTCATGCAGCATCATAGGAAGGGGGGTGATGTGTTTGAAAACAGTGAGCAGGCTAATGTATTAATCTGCTAATTCTGTCTCCTGAGTTTTCTCTCTTTTCCTCCCTCCTGCCACATGAAGTGTGCTTGGCTTCTTACCTACCATAATTAGACATCTTTTCTTCCTCAGAGAAGGCATGAGACAGGGATTTGATTGTAGTTATCACTGTAAACATCAAACTGATTTTTATGCAGAACTATTGCCCCAGGGCATACCTTCCAAGGAACCTGGTCTCTCCTTACCTAGCGAATTCCACATACACATAGATGTACACCTACCTGTACACTCACAGATTGGGTGGTGATTAAAGGGACAGAATCGGGGACCAGCTTCTTGTTAGGAATGCAGTGTTGCCACGGCATGACAGCATGGAGCAGTTGAGGGAATGGCTGCCCAGGAGAACTCAGAACTCTTGAAATGTAGTTCCAGGCTGCCATCATTGCCCTGATATTCAGGCCGTCAGACAGATGTGTGTTGTAGGCCCTGAACGGCACAGAGAGTGGCAGAACAGGCTACATAAACAGCTCAGCCCAGAATTGTCTTTCCAGACTGCCTGCCCTCAGTCACAACCCCCACCAGGGAAGGGAAGCGGCCCCAAGACTCCTTCCTCCTTCACCCACTCGAGGAAACAGAGTTCCTGTTACGTGGCATGAATGATGTCTTTTGGCCCCAGTTAATCCCTCTGAGTCACCAGGTGGCCTTTGCCAAGTGCTGGAGCTGGAAGAGATGATAGAGACACTCATCTGGCGTCCTGAGGCTCTCCTCACAGCTGTTGAATTCTAGAGGTGCATTTCAGTGTCTTGGGGCATGGCAAGACTTTGGAGGCTCCCTGAGCAGAGCAGTGGAGATGCCCAAAAAGAAGGAAGAACCTAGGATGGCAGATGGGGCCCCCCTTGCCCTGGGGAACTTCATGTTTGTACTTTCTCAGGAAGCACACATTTCCCCAGTTCAGCGGGAGAGAGTGGGGAGACTAGCAGGGAAATTGCTTTCCAGCTTTGTGCTGGGTGGTTGGGGTGAGGGTGGCCACGGAAGGAGGTGAAATCAGGCTGACCTCAAGATAGACCCAAGATGTCCCAGTTCTGGCCGCTCTAAGTCTCTAAAGCAGCAGCTGGTGGGAGGGGCAGTATTGGGCAGTATGTCAGGGAGGCCACCTGTCTGCTCACACAGTACAATTGATGTGCCCCTCCCAGGCATATATCCCTCTTCCTCCTTGCTGGGCCCCCATGGGTAGATAAGGTGACTGGAGGGGTGCCAAGAAAAGGGCGGTGCCCCCACAGGCATCTGAAAACAAAGCTGCTGCTCCATTTGCCCAGTTTGAAGATTAGAATGGTTTTGTGATTAGCCAGGAGGGGGTGGGGGTCAGAGTTCTGGACACCTCACTGGAGTCGGGGGTCAGCATACCCTACCAAGGCTGACATTCACTCCTAGGTAATGGCCTGGGACCCTCAGGTGACTTGTCCACTCTCTGGCTATGTATTGTTGAATGAAAAGGGGACATGTAAATCTCGTTTCAGCTGTTCTGAAATAACCCTTGCCACATGGGAACACAGTCTATTCAACATGAAGAATTCAAACCTAACACAAGTGGGTGAGAAGCAGGAACCCACTGCTAGGCCCCACCGCGTTCCCTCAGAGGTGGTCTCAGTAGCTGGAACTTGGAGAAGTAGTTTTGGTGGGGTGTTGGGACGTGGGTGAATCCAGGTCCTGGTTTGGAATTGCTCTGGTGGGAACCGTCAGCTAACGTCAGTTGGAAGCTCTGTGTCCTCCCCCTCCTGAGTCCTGTTTTTCCTGGAGGACCTTGGCCCACCCCTGTGGAATGTGGGGATGTGGGGAAGAAAGCTGACTGCTTTTACTCCCACTCAGAAAATTCGGTTGCGCTCTTCTTCAAGGGGGTGCTCCTCAGCCTGCACCCCAGTGAAGGGGCCTCTGAGGAACTCCCAGTGCCACTGGCAAACAGTCTGTAACCTTTGGGCCCCAGCCACCTCCCAGCCCCTGTTCTCTTAATTCCTGCCTTCTTGGCTTGGAGGGAGGAATCTCCATTTGTAAAAGCTGAGTTAGGGAACTAGAGGGTTCCTGAAGCTTTAAAGCGCCTCAAAGCCCTCACCCTGCACGTGACCTGTCACCTGGAGCCTGCCCCAGCCCCCACGCCTGCCTGTTCTTATAGGGGCTCCGGTGCCTCCAGGGTCACACAGCACCATGTGGAAACTATTCCTCAGGGCAGCTCTCCTTGGCCTTTTTATCCCCTGAATCATGCATTTTTCTGCCCTTATTTGGTGTGGTTTGGTTGCTGGGCAGCTGTCCAGGGTGAGTTTGCAGGAGGAAGCACAGCCAAGCAGCCTCGCTCTGCTTATGGGACAGTCTTCCTCCCACCCTCCCTGAGAGTGAAAGGGCCCCACAGAGACCATCAGGCATGGATGCTGAACTGCTGGGAAGGGAGCTCAGGCTTTTTCTTTTTAGTCCCCAAGAGAAGAATTCTTTCTCAGATGTTTTTGTGGTTGGAGAATATTTTTGCCATTGCTTTGAGAAGACTTCCCCTCCTAACTCCCCCTCTTTCCTTGGAATTTCCTTCCTTAAATGGAAAGCCTTCAACATTCACTCCAAGCTCGCCCTTTTGCTCCCCCAAGGAAAAATAACAAGCAAACAGAGGTGCTTGCCCAGTGTCTCTGGAGGGGCTTCCCTTAGAGGTGGGCTGTGTGATCCCCTGCCAGGAGGGGGCGATGGGGGCCACTTGTTCATTAACGATGTTAGGCTCAAGGTAACTGAACTTTTTTTGCACATGCCTCTCTGCAGAGAGTTGTGCATAAACACACTGCTCGGCAGGACAGAGCAAGATTGGGAACTGAGGGCAAATCCCTTCCTCCGTGCGTCGAACTCTTGATCCCAGGCCTTAAAAGTGGGATCTCTGCACTCTGGGCTTTCTCTAGCTTCCCCAGGGAAGGGAGGCTCGGGGTGAGGTGGGCACGGGGCATCTTTCCTGCCCAACTGTGAAGTCCTAAAAAGCTTCACAAAGTTTCTATTGAATGACAGCTTTCTTCTTCTCTTTCTCCAGGGTTGAGTTCCAGAATAAATTCTACAGCGGGACCGGTTTCAAGTTCTTACCCTTCTCCTTCGAGCATATTCGGGAAGGGAAGTTTGAAGAGTGAGTCCCTGTGAGGGCCGTGTGCCCCATGCTACCCTCCCCGCCTCCCTCCACAGTGATCAGCTGTGCCTCTCTGCCTGTTGGTTGTGATCTGTGGGCACCAGCTCATTCGTGTCACCCTGTCTGTGAGTCATTTAGATAGAATAGTCCTCCTTGGGTCTCCCACCACCCCTAGCTTTGTGTGTAGTGTAGTGATTTTCTGGCTGTCACTCATACTCACTGGGCACCAGCCTTGCCCTCTTAGCCTCCATCCATCCAGACAGCCCTTCCCACCTCCTGGTGGTGAGCCAGTCTGCATTCCCACGCCATCCCAAAGCCCTTTCATCTTCCCCGTGCATTGTAGATGGAAGGAGCACCCATGCCATTCACATCTAGACTTTGAGTTCCCTGCATCTGCCACCGTAGTTTCTAGCAGGAGTAGTGGGGGGAGTAATACAGATTCTTCCCTAGAAGGGGACACTGGTAACATGTCCCACTCTTGGATTAGCAGGGGTGGGTCCAGGAAGATGATATTTGCGTCTTTTGCCCACCCCCCTGGCATTCAGCTGGACCCAACTAGGCCATCATGAGTGGCTTCTCCCTGTCATCCCCAGGGGTCATAGGATATCTACACCGCCTTTCTGACCCCACCCTGCACTCCCATCCTTTCCTCTCTCCCCGTTCATGCCCTGCACTACATAGCACAGCCGGGATGCTTGGAACAGAGGCCTTGGCTGCTCCGCAGTGCACAGGGCTTCCCTCTCTCGGGGTTGGCTTCTTCCCAGGCCTTGCATGGGCCCTGCCCACAAGCACACCCTCAGGCCGAGGGTGCAGACTGATGCTCTTCCCTGATGGAGACCCTGAGATCTTCCCCACCCCCAATCATGATGTCTTCAGTGTGGGACTGGGGTCCTCTTGGTTCTGCCTGCAGCCTGCCTGGCTCCGCCCCTAGTGCCCCCTCCTCACCACACTGGCCCCAGGTCTCAGGAGGGGTGTCCTGGGCAGGGAAGGTCAGTGTCACTGATGGTTTGCTGTTTGGAAGCCATTGGCAGGGCTGCCGTGCATGTGGCTGTGAGGGCTGCACAGTCCTGCCAAGGGGCTTCCTCCTTGTCACCCCGAACCTTGTAATCGTGTGCTGGCGTGGCAGCCCTGGCTAAGTTAATCCCCACCGCTTTCAGTGGTAGAAAGAATTCCCTGAGTGGGCCAGGCTGGTGCCCTCCTCCTACCCTGGCTTTTCTGAGTGAGCTGCCTGGAGCCCTCATCCCCTCTCCCAGGCTGGGCTGGCCCTGGGCGGGGCCACTGTGTGCTGGCCCACTGTGACCTGACCCGACCTTGTGCAGCCCCCCTGCCCTGGTGTCCTGGGTTTTCGTGATGATCTTTGCTCTGTTTCCAGTGGGGTTTGAAGCAGAGTTCAGGGAACCCTGCCCAAGGTCCTCCTGTTCAGACATTCCTATGTTGAATAAAGTATGTTTGACTTCCCCGGAGAAGCTGCCTGTCACTGTGCCCACAGCCCCTGCGTCGCTCCAGGCTCAGCCATCTTGAGCCCCTGTGGACCCCTGACCTTCGCCTCCCTCCTCCAGCATTGCTGCTTTTCCTTCTATCAAAGGCCACAGCTTCAGTAGGCCTGGCTGGGCAGTTGGTTTGGGAAATTCTCACCTTGTCCCAAGTTTCCCAGGCGCCTTCCCACTCACAGGATCCAAGTCAGCTCTGCAGACACTACCTGTGGGAAGAGGGGACTGGGCAGCCCATCTTCGTCTCCCGTTTACTCATTGCACATCCAGACAGCATGGGGGCAGAGGGGCACTGGGTATCTCCCCACGCGCCTCTCCCTCTTCTCCAAGTGTGCCCTCCAGGGCCCAGTGGCCTGGCTATGTTGAGCCCTGATACCCCGGCCTTAGTGTAAGTGGAGGCTCCACACAGGTTCCTCAGGGCAGCTGGGGAATGTGAGGTGCTGGGATTGGCAGGCGGCAGGGTGGAGAGCAGGCAGACCGTCCAGGGTGGCAGGCTGGGCAGGAGGCCCCCTCCCCACTGCCTAGTGAGGCACTGCATTCTCGGTACCCTCCCTCTTCACTCCTCCCTCCAGGGGCCTCCAGGGCAGGGGCTGCCCAGGAATGTGACCTGGGCCCCAGACAGGTGAAGGGGCCACAACCCCCTGTTCATTCCATGTTCCAGCCTAACCTAAAGCCCTTCCTCCTCCCTAACAGTGCTACCTGTCCCTGGTGTCGGCCCTGAGAGGCCCACCCCACCCAGCTCCTCAAAGATAAGGTCCCGAGTGGAAACTCTGGTCATTGAGGTCTCAGCTTCTGCTCAGTGGGAAGGGAAGGCCTCATAAGAATAGATATTTGGAATCATTGGATTCGAATTGAGAGTCCAGGAATAAATCCTAACATTTATGGTCACTTGATTTTTGATAAAGGGGTCAAGATAATTCAATGAGGAAAGATCTCTCTTTTTCAACAAATGACACTGGTACAATGGGGTTTCCACATGCAAAGAAACAAATTTGGGCCACTATCCCCACCATATGCAAAAATTACCTCAAAGTGGATTCCAGACCTAAAATGTAAGTGAAAACGATAAAACTCTTAGGGGAAACCATAGGAGTACATCTTCCTAACCTTGAGTTAGCCAGTGATTTCTAGATATGACACTCAAAGCACAAGTGATAAAAAATAAAAAAAAACACATAGATAAGTTAGCCTTCAGCAAAATTAAAAGCTTTTGTGCTTCGCCGGGCACGGTGGCTCACACCTGTAATCCCAGCACTTTGGGAGGCCGAGGCAGGCGGATCACCTGAGGTCAGGAGTTCAAGACCAGCCTGGCCAACATGGAGAAACCCCGTCTCTACTAAAAATACAAACAATTAGCTGAGTGTGGTGGCGCATGCCTGTAATCCCAGCAACTTGGGAGGCTGAGGCAGGAGAATCGCTTGAACCCGGGAGGCAGAGGTTGCAGTGAACCGAGGTCGTGCCACTGTACTCCAGCCTGGGCGACGAGTGAAACTCCATCTCAAAAGAAAAAAAAAGGGTTTGTGCTTCAAAGATCAGAATCTAGAAACTGAAAAGACAACCCTCATAGAAGAAAATATTTGTAGATCATATATCTGATAAAGGACTTGTATCTAGGATATATAAGTAACTCTTACACCCAATAATAAAAACAACTCAGTTTTTTTAAATGGGCAAAGGGGTTGAATAGGCATTTCTCCAAGTAAGCAATATGAATGGCCAATAAACCCATGAAAAGATGCTCAACACCATTAGTCATTACAGAAATGCAAATGAAAACCACAATGAGATACCACATCACACCCACTAAAAAGGCAATAAGAAAATTACAAGTGTTGGGCCGGGCGCGGTGGCTCATGCCTGTAATCCTAGCACTTTGGGAGGCCGAGGCGGGTGGATCACGAGGTCAGGAGATCGAGACCATCCTGGCTAACACGGTGAAACCCCGTCTCTACCAAAAATACAAAAAATTAGCCGGCCATGGTGGCGGGTGCCTATAGTCCCAGCTACTCGGGAGGCTGAGGCAGGAGAATGGCGTGAACCTGGGAGGCGGAGCTTGCAGTGAGCCGAGATTGCGCCACTGCACTCCAGCCTGGGCAACAGAGCAAGACTCCATCTCAAAAAAAATGAGAAAATTACAAGTGTTGGCAAGGAGAAATTGGAACCCAATTCACTGCTGGTGGGAATGTAAAATGGTGCAGCTGCTTTGGAAAGCAGTCTGGCAGTTCCTCAACATATTAAACAGAATTGGCTGGGCACAGTGGCTCATGCCTGTAATCCGAGCACTTTGGGAAGCCGAGGTGGGTGGATCATGAGGTCAGGAGATCAAGGCCAGCCTGGCCAAGATGATGAAACTCCGTCTCTACTAAAAATACAAAAATTAGCCAGGCGCAGTGGCAGGTGCCTGTAATCCCAGCTACTCAGGAGGCTGAGGCGGGAGAATCTCTTGAACCCGGGCGGCAGAGGTTGCAGTGAGCTGAGATCGCACCACTGCACTCCAGCCTGGATGACAGAGTGAGACTCTGTCTCAAAAAAAAATATTAAACAGAATTAACGTAAGACCCAGCAATTCCACTTTCTTATCTACCCCAAGAAAAATGAAATCATACCCACAAAAACTTGCACAGAAATGTTCATGGAAGTATTATTCATAATAGCCCCAAAATGGAAACAGCCCGATGTCCACCAGCTGATAAATGGATCCATAAAAGGTGGGATGGGCATGATGAATATTATTCTACAATTAACAAGAATGAGGTACTGATGCATGCTACAACATGAATGGACCTCAAAAACCAGCCACAGAAGACCAACAATTTATGATTCCGTGTATCTGGAATGTCTAGAATAGACAAACCCATAGACACAGATTTGGTGGATACCAGGAGCTGGCTGCCAGATGGGGCTGGGGAGAGAGTTATGATGGGGAGTGACTCCCAAGGAGTATGGAGTTTCTTTTTGAATGATGAAAATGTAAAGTTAGGCTGCTGATGGCTGCACAATTATGTGAATATACTAAAACCCATTGAATTGTACACTTTACATTGGTAAATTTTTTTTTGAGATGGAGTCTTGCTCTGTTGCCCAGGCTGGAGTACAGTGGCACAATCTTGGCTCACTGCAACCTCTGCCTCCCAAGTTCAAAGGATTCTCCCACCTCAGCCTCCTGAGTAGCCAGGATTACAGGCACGCACCACCACACCTGGCTAATTTTTTTTTTTCCTGAGATGGAGTTTCACTCTTGTTGCCCAGGCTGGAGTGCAATGGCACGATCTTCACTCACTGCAACCTCTGCCTCCCGGGTTCAAGCGATTCTCCTGCCTCAGCCTCCTGAGTAGTTGGGATTATTGGCATGGGGCACCACACCCTAATTTTTGTATTTTTAGTAGAGACGGGGTTTGGCCATGTTGGCCAGGCTGGTCTCGAACTCCTGACCTCACGTGATCTGCCCGCCTTGGCCTTCCAAAGTGCTGGGATTACAGGCGTGGGCCACCGCGCCCAGCCTTACATTAGTAAATTTTATGGCATATAATCTGAATAAAGTGGGAGTGGCCTAGGACTTCCTTGGGAAGAAATTCCTCCCATGTCTCTCTGATGAACTGGGAGGAAGCAGGGCCAGTGAGTCCTTGGCTAGACTGAGTTCTCAGAATCTAGTGGCCTTGGGCTCCTTCCAGCTAAAGATGGGCTGACCAAGACTGAGCTGTGGAGTGTGCAGGAAGTCCCAGAGCCCTGTGGTAGGGGGTGGGGAACAGGATGGCTGCATCCACTTGTTCCTGGGGGTTTTTTTCTTTGTTTTTGTTTTGTTTTGCTTGGTTTTGTTTTGTTTGAGACGGAGTTTTGCTCTTGTTGCCCAGGCTGGAGTCCAACGGTGCGACCTTGGCTCACTGCAACCTCTGCCTTCCGGGGTTCAAGCGATTCTCTTGCCTCAGCCTCCCAAGTTGCTGGGACTACAGGCGCCTGCCACCACGCCTGGCTAATTTCTTGTATTTTTAGTAGAGATGAGATTTCGCCATGTTGGCCAGGCTGGTCTGTAACTCCTGACCTCAAGTGATCCACCCACCTTGGCCTCCCAAGTGCTGGGATTACAGGCGTGAGCCACTGTGCCTGGCCATTTGCTTCTGTTTTTTTTTTGTTGTTGTTTGTCTGTTTTTTGTTTTTTGTTTTTTTGAGACAGAGTCTCGCTCTGACACCCAGTCTGGAGTGCAGTGGCGCAATATCAGCTCACTGCAAGCTCCGCCTCCCGGGTTCACGCCATTCTCCTGCCTCAGCCTCCTGAGTAGCTGGGACTACAGGCGCCCGCCACCATGCCTGGCTAATTTTTTGTATTTTTAGTAGAGACGGGGTTTCACCGTGTTAGCCAGGATGGTCTCAATCTCCTGACCTCGTGATCCGCCCGCCTTGGCCTCCCAAAGTGCTGGGATTGCAGGCATGAGCCACCGCGCCCGGCTGCTCCTGTTTTTAAGAGATGTGCCTTTACCCTGATCCCCCTCTTGTGGAACCCCAGGACCCCAGACATCTGTCTGATGAGTCTGTGCCCTGGTCCAGGAAATGCCCCTCATCTTGAGGTCCTAGAACCAGTGTGGGAGAGGGTGGCCTTGGCATGCTTGGCCTGGGGAGTCCCAAGCTTTGTAGAGATAGGGGACAAGTCTATCACCACCTTCACTGGATGGGACTATACTTCTTTCTGCCCCAGGAACCTTGGGTAGAGGGGGCATTGGACCTCAAAGCCAGCTGGCAGCCTCAGCATTTCAGATCAAAGTGGCCTGCCTCTTCAACGTCTCAGCCTACCCAAGGCATGTCCTAGGTGTAGGCTGCTCTCTGGTGGCCAGATAGGGAAGGACTCATTCATCCTTTGGCAAGGTGGGCTGCGATCTGAGCTGGGCTGTGTGATAGGCAGGCAACTGGATTAGACGGGCAGAGACAAAGCAATCCTGGGGTATTCTGGAGCACATAAGCAGAGGGGTAGGCTAGCCAGGAGCAAAAGATGAGATGGGCTGGAGAGCACGCAGAGAGCCCAGCCAACTTGCTTCACACACACTACTGGAAAAGTAATGAGTTGTGTCACAACTCAGGCTGGGCGCAGTGGCTCATGCCTGCAATACTAGCACTTTGGGAGGCCAAGGCGGGTGGATCACCTGAGGTCAGGAGTTCAAGACCAGCCTGGCGAAACCCCGTCTCTACTAAAAATACAAAAATTAGCCAGGCAAAACCCCGTCTCTACTAAAAATACAAAAATTAGCCAGCCAATGCATGACAGTAGTCCCAGCTAGTCTGGAGGCTGAGACAGGAGATGGCACCACTGCACTCCAGCCATGGGGGACAGAGCCAGACTCCATCTCAAAAAAAAAAAAAAAAAGGCGATCAAACAGTACTAAAGGCCCTATTATCAAATAAATAAATAAATAAATAAATAAAGGCTTTCACTCACAGTGTGACTCTCCCCCTCCCTCCCACAACCACTGTTTACAGAGCCTTAAAAAAAAAGCAAACAAACAGATGATAATGTGTTATCTTGCTCTGTCACTCTGTGGCCTGGCCTGCAGTGCTGTGGTGCCATCTGGACTCACTGCAGCCTCGACCTCCCAGGCTCAAGCGATCCTCCCCTCTCAACCTCCCTAGTAGCCGAGACCACAGGTGCATGCCACCATGCCGGGCTAATCTTTGTATTTTTTGTAGAGAAGGGGTTTTGCCATGTTGCCTAGGCTGGTCTCGGACTCCTAGATTCAAGTGATCCGCCTGCCTCAACCTCCTAGGATCAGGGGCCACCGCAACGGGCTAGACTTTTTTTTTTTTTTAAGTCAGGGTCTTGCTTTGTTGCTGCCGAGACCAGCTGGGTCAGAGAGACCCTAACCCAGCGGCGCTAGAGGAATTAAAGACACACATACAGAAATATAGAGGTGTGAAGTGGGAAATCAGGGGTCTCACAGCCTTCAGAGCTGAGATCCCTGAACAGAGATTTACCCACATATTTATTAACAGCAAGCCAGTCATTAGCATTGTTTCTACAGATATTAAATTAACTAAAAGTATCCTTTGTGGGAAACGAAGAGATGGGCAATTAAAGGAATAGGTTGGGCTAGTTAACTGCAGCAGGAGCATGTCCTTAAGGCACAGATCGTTCATGCTATTGTTTATGGCTTAAGAATGCCTTTAAGCAGTTTTCCACCCTGGGCAGGCCACGTGTTCCTTGCCCTCATTCTGGTAAACTGACAGCCTTCCAGCGTGGGCGTTATGTTCATCATGAACATGTCACAGTGCTGCAGAGATTTTGTTTATGGCCAGTTTTGGGGCCGGTTTATGGCCAGATTTTGCGGGGCTTGTTCCCAACAGTTGCCTGGCTTGGAGTGCAGTGGTGTGATCATGGCTCACTGCAGCCTCAAACCCCTGGGCTCAAGCCATCCTCCCACCTCAGCCTACTGAGGAGCTAGCTGGGACCACAAACACAGGCCTCTGTGCCCAGATGATTTTTGTAGAGACAGGGTTTTTCCATGTTACCCAGGCTGGTCTCAAACTCCTGGACTCAAGTGTTCCACCTGCCTCAGCCTCCCTAAGTGCTGTGACTACAGGTGTGAGCCACCACATCTAGCACACCTAGTGCAGTCCTTCTAGAGACTGGGCCACTCCCAGCCCCGGAGCAACCTTACTTAAGCCCTCCCCGATCAGATAGGCAGCCTGACAAGTTGCATTTCCTGGGGAAGAGCAGCAAGAACCCTGCTCTGGGAGTCAGGAGTTCCCGATTCTAGCCCAGAGCTGCTTTCCTTACTAGTTATTGATCTTGCCCAACTCACTTCCTGTCTCTGGCTCTGTTTCCCAATCTGTAAAATTGTTACTGGAAAGGGGTCCCAATCTAGACCCAAAGAAAGGTGAGGAGAGCAAAAATCACCCCCCCCAAGACAAAAAGTTCTTATCTGAGCAATTTAGATAAGGAGCAATCCGCCAGGCGCAGTGGCTCACACCTGTAATCCCAGCACTTTGGGAGGCCGAGGCGGGTGGATCACGAGGTTAGGAGATCGAGACCATCCTGGCTAACATGGTGAAACCTCGTCTCTACTAAAAATACAAAAAATTAGCTGGGCGTGGTGGCGGGGCACCTGTAGTCCCAGCTACTCGGGAGGCTGAGGCAGGAGAATGGCATGAACCCGGGAGGCGGAGCTTGCAGTGAGCAGAGATCGAACCACTGCACTCCAGCCTGGGTGATAGAGCAAGACTCCGTCTCAAAAAAAAAAAAAAAAAGGAGCAATCCAAGGAGCAAAGACCACCTGTTGACCATCAAACAGGCCATCTGGAGGCGAAACTCCTTGCCTGGGGAATTTAGAAGTAATAAAGGCCAGGCATGGTGAATCACACACACTTTGTGAGCACTTTGGGAGCCAAGGCAGGTGGATCACTTGAGGTCAACAGTTAGAGACCAGCCTGGCCAACATGATGAAACACCCTCCCTGCAAAAATTAGCCGGGCATGATGGTGCATGCCTGTAATCCCAGCTACTCAGGAGACTAAGACAGGAGAATTGGTTGAACCAGCAGGCAGAGGTTGCAGTGAGCTGAGATCAGGCCACTGCACTCCAGCTTGGGCGACAGAGGGAGACTCTGTCTCAAAAGAAAAAACAAACAAAAAAAACTTCCCTAGTATTTAAAGTCGGCATCTGATTCCAAGCCTCTTTCAACTTTTATAAGTAACTAAAATGTCTATACATTCTTTTTAAAAAAAAAAAAAAATTCAACAAACACTTATTTCTCACACTTCTGGAGGCTAGGAAGTCCAAGATCAAGGTGCTTATAGATTCAGTGTCTGGTGGGGGCTCACTTCCTGCTTTATGAGCTATGCCTTCTCACTGTGGTTTCACATGGTAGAAAGGGGTAGGGCTTTCTCTCTGGCCTCCCTTACAAAGGCACCAACCCCATTCCTGAGGGCTCTGCCCTCACAACGTAAAATTTCTGTACATTCTATGCCATGCTGAAGCTCATTTTACAACCCTAAGCTCTCACCTTAAGGTCCATACATGCTCCTAAGGAAAATCCACCACAGCGCACTCAGTCCTCCCGTGGAGGCACCTGCTGCACTCTGCTGCAGTGTTCTTCCTTTCTAATAAACTTTCCTTTTCCAAACCTATACTGTTGTCAGTAAGTTCTTTCTTTTTTGAGACCCCTCCCCCCACCCCAAGACATGCCAGTAGTCCCAGCTAGTTGGGATGCTGAGACAGGAGATGGCACCACTGCACTCCAGCCTGGGCAACAGAGCGAGACTCATCTCAAAAAAAAAAAAAAAAGGATCAAACAGTACTAAAGACCCTATTATAAAAGTCTTTCACTCACAGTGTCCCTGAATCTCCCCCTCCCTCCCACAACCACTGTTTACAGAGCCTTAAATAAACAGATGATAATGTGTTACCTTGCTCAGTCCCTGGCCTGGAGTGCTGTGGTGCCATCTGGACTCACTGCAGCCTTGACCTCCCAGACTCAAGCGAGCCTACCCTCTCAACCTCCTCAGTAGCTGGGACCACAGGCACATGCCATCATGCTGGGCTAATCTTTGTATTTTTTGTAGAGAAGGAGGGGTTTTGCCTTGTTGCCCAGGCTGGTCTTGGACTCCTAGATTCAAGTGATCTGCCTGCCTCAACCTCTTAGGATCAGGGGCCACTGCAATGGGCTAGACATTTTTTTTTTTGAGTCAGGGTCTTACTCTGTTGCCTGGCCTGGAGTGCAGTGGTGTGGTCATGGCTCACTGCAGCCTCAAACCCCTGGGTTCAAGCCGTCCTCCTGTCTCAGCCTCCTGAGGAGCTAGCTGGGACCACAAACACAGGCCACTGTGCCCAGATGATTTTTGTAGAGACAGGGTTTCTCCATGTTACCCAGGCTGGTCTCGAACTCCTGGACTTAAGCGCTCCACCTGCCTCGGCCTCCCTAAGTGCTGTGACTACGGGTGTGAGCCACCACATCTAGCACACCTAGTGCAGTCCTTCTGGAGAGTGGGCCACTCCCAGCCCCGGAGCAGCCTTACTCAAGCCCTCCCTGATCAGATAGGCAGCCTGACAAGTTGCACTGCCTGGGGAAGAGCAGCAAGAACCCTGCTCTGGAAGTTAAGAGTTCCCGGTTCTAGCCCAGAGCTGCTTTCCTTACTAGTTATTGATCTTGCCGAAGTCATTTCCTGTCTCTGGCTCTGTTTCCCAATCTGTAAAATTGTTACTGGAAAGGGGTCCCAATCTAGACCCTAAGAAAGGTGAGAGAGCGAACGGGCCCCGGAGACAAAAAGTTCTTATCTGAGCAATTTAGATAAGGAGCAATCTAAGGAGCAAAGACCACATGTTGACCATCAAACAGGCCATCTGGAGGCAAAACTTGTCTGGAGAATTTAGAAGTAATCCCAGCACTTTGGAAGGCTGAGGTAGATGGATCACTTAAGGTCAAGAGTTCGAGGGAGCGGCAGCGGCGGCCAGGCACGGCGCGAGGCGACGCCACAGGACAGCGGCGGCAGCAGGAAATGCAGCGGCGGCCGCAGCAGCAGCAAAACGGATCGGTGGAGAGGCGCCGCCGCCGCCGGGCCGGGCGTCGCGCGCCGAGGCTCGGGGGGAGTCGTCGCAGCCGCCGCCACCGCTACCGCAGCCGCCGCCGCCGCCGCCGCCCAGGTGACTGAGGAGAGAGGCACCTCCTCGCTCCCGCCGCCGCCGGACTTCAATGCCCAGTCCCCAGCTCGCCAGCGTTTTTCGTTGGAATATACGTTGCACATTTATGGCGATTCTGAATGTGAGAGCAGATTTCTGCCAGGCTGAGCACAGCGTTTTCGCTGACAAGTGAGCTTGGAGGTTCTATGTGCCATAATTAACATTGCCTTGAAGACTTCTGGACACCGAGACTGGCCTCAGAAATAGTTGGCTATTTATTTATTTATTTATTTATTTATTTATTTATTTATTTATTTATTTTGAGACGGCGTCTCGCTCTGTCGCCCAGGCTGGAGTGCAGTGGCGCGATCTCAGCTCACTGCAACCTCCGCTTCCTGGGTTCACGCCATTCTCCTGCCTCAGCCTCCTGAGCAGCTGGGACCACAGGCGCCCGCCACTACGCCCGGCTAATTTTTTGTATTTTTAGTAGAGACGGGGTTTCACCATGTTAGCCAAGATGGTCTCGATCTCCTGACCTCGTGATCCACCCGCCCTGGCCTCCCAAAGTGCTGGGATTACAGGCGTGAGCCACCGCACCCCGGCAGCTTTTTTTTTTTTTTTTTTTTTTTTTTTGAGAGAGAGTTTCCCTCTGTCGCCCAGGCTAGAGTGCAATGGCGCAATCTCGGCTCACTGCAAGCTCTGCCTCCCGGGTTCAGGCCATTCTCCTGCTTCAGCCTCCTGAGCAGCTGGGACTACAGACGCCCGTCACTGCGCCCGGCTAATTTTTTGTGTTTTTAGTAGAGACGGGGTTTCACCGTGTTAGCCAGGATGGTCTCGATTTCCTGACCTCGTGATCCGCCCGCCTCGGCCTCCCAAAGTGCTGGGATTACAGGCGTGAGCCACCGCGTCCGGCCAGCTTTTTTTTTTTAATTGCAAGCATATTTCTTTGAATGACTCCAGTAAAATTAAGCATCAAGTAAACAAGTGGAAAGTGACCTACACTTTTAACTTGTCTCACTAGTGCCTAAATGTAGTAAAGGCTGCTTCAGTTTTGTATGTAGTTGGGTTTTTTGGAGTCCGAAGGTATCCATCTGCAGAAATTGAGGCCCAAATTGAATTTGGATTCAAGTGGATTCTAAATACTTTGCTTATCTTGAAGAGAGAAGCTTCATAAGGAATAAACAAGTTGAATAGAGAAAACACTGATTGATAATAGGCATTTTCATGGTCTTTTTAATGTTTTCTGTTGTTAAACATTTCAAGATTTATTGATTTTTTTTTTCACTTTCCCCATCACACTCACAGGCACGCTCACACTTTTTATTTGCCGTAATGAACCGTCTAGCCCCTGTGGAGATCTCCTATGAGAACATGTGTTTTCTGATAACTCACAACCCTACCAATGCTACTCTCAACAAGTTCACAGAGGAACTTAAGAAGTATGGAGTGACGACTTCGGTTTGAGTTTGTGATGCTACATATGATAAAGCTCCAGTTGAAAAAGAAGGAATCCACGTTCTAGATTGGCCATTTGATGATGGAGCTCCATCCCCTAATCAGATAGTAGATGATTGGTTAAACCTGTTAAACACCAAATTTCGTGAAGAGCCAGGTTGCTGTGTTGCAGTGCATTGCGTTGTGGAATTGGGAAGGGCACCTGTGCTGGTTGCACTTGCTTTGATTGAATGTGGAATGAAGTACGTAGATGCAGTTCAGTTTATAAGACAAAAAAGAAGGGGAGTGTTAAATTCCAAACAGCTGCTTTACTTAAGATGCGATTACGCTTCAGAGATACCAATGGGCATTGCTGTGTTCAGCAGAAAGAAATGTAAATGAAGGCTGACTTGATTGTGGCATTTAGAGGGAACTCCTGGTACCTGGAAATGTGAATCTGGACTCTTACCTGTGTCATCAAAGTAGTGATGGATTCAATACTCCTCAACCACTCTCCTAATGATCAGAACAAAAGCAAACAAGAAATCTCTCTATAAAATGAATAAAATGTTTAAGAAAAAAAAAGAGTTCGAGACCAGCCTGGACAACATGGTGAAATCCCATCCCTACAAAGGTTAACTGGGCTTGGTGGCACGTGCCTGTAATCCCAGCTACTCAGGAGACTGAGACAGGAGAATGGCTTGAACCTGGGTGGCTGAGGTTCCCGTGAGCTGAGATTAAAAAAAAAAATCATACTTCCCTAGTATCTAAAGTTGATATCTGATTCCAGGCCTCTTTCAACTTTTTTTGTTTGTTTGTTTGTTTTTTTGATATGGAGTCTCGCTCTGTCATCCAGGCTGGAATGCAAATGGCACGATCTTGGCTCACTGCAACTTCCACCTCCAGCGTTCAAGCGATTCTCCTGCCTCAGCTTCCCAAGTAGCTGGGACTACAGGCGTGTGCCACCAAGCCTGGCTAACTTTTTTTCTTTTTTTTTTTTTTGAGAGGGAGTCTTGCTCTGTCCCCCAGGCTGGAGTGCAGTGGTGTGATCTTGGCTCACTGCAACCTCCGCCTCTCCGGTTCACGCCATTCTCCTGCCTTAGCCTCCCGAGTAGCTGGGAGTACAGGCGCTCGCCAACACGCCCGGCTAATTTTTTGTATTTTTAGTAGAGATGGAGTTTCACCGTGTTAGCCAGGAGGGTCTTGATCTCCTGACCTCGTATCCGCCCGTCTTGGCCTCCCAAAGTGCTGGGATTACAGGCGTGAGCCACCGCGCCCAGCACCTGGCTAACTTTTGTATTTTTAGTACAGACGGGGTTTCACTGTATGTTGGCCAGGCTGGTCTCAAACCCCTGACTTGAGGTGATCTGCAAGCCTCAGCCTCCCAGAGTGCTGGGATTACAGGCGTAAGCCACCGCTCCTGGCCTAAGGTTGGCTATTTTTATGGTTATTTCTTGATTATATGATAAACAAGGGGTGGGTTAGTAATGAATTTTTCAGAAAAGGGGTGGGGATCCCCCCCAACTGAAGGTTCCTCCACTGTTTAGACCATATAGGGTAACTTCTGGACGTTGCCATGGCATTTGTAAACTGCCTGGCGCTGCTAGGAGTGTCTTTAGCATACTAATGCATTATAATTAGCGTATAATGAGCAGTGAGGACGATCAGAGGTCACCTTCCTGTCTTGGTTTTGGCAGGTTTTGACCAGTTTCTTTGCTGCATTCTGTTTTATCAGCGGGGTCTTGTGACCTTTTATCTTGTGCTGACCTCCTGTCTCATCCTGTGACGAAGGCCTAACCTCCTGGGAATTCAGCCCAGCAGGTCTCTGCCTCATTTTACCCAGCCCCTGTTCAAGATGGAGTCGCTCTGGTTGGAAACTTCTGACAAAATGACAGCTCCTGTTATGTTGCTGCTGCTGCCGCCAATGGACAGCCTTTAACGTGCCCGCCAGCCCTGCTCCACCGCCGGCCTGGGCTCACATGGCCCCATCCCTCCTCGAACCTCCTAGCCTGTTAGTTACTCAAATCTGCAAGCTCTCTGCCTTCTCAGGGCCTTCAATAAATGCATTTCTTCTGTCTGGAAGGCTCTTCCTTTCCCTCTTCTAGCCAATTCCTATTCATCCCTGAGTTTCAGATTAAAAGTCACTTCCTTTGGAAACCTTACTTCGCTACTTCGCTACTTACTGCACTACTTCGCAGCATCACAACTATGATGGAAATCCTTACTTACGTTAAATATCTGGTTTCTAGGTCACCTCCCTGACGGGGACGGTAGGGACCGTCTTCTCGTTCATCAGTAGGGAAGTAGCTATGGCAGTGCCTGATACAAAATAAACTCCAAATGTGTATTTATTAGATGGTTGGATGGAAGTTATTTGCGTGTGAAAGCGCGTTTTACCCGAAGGCGCTCTGTGAGGGCCAGCGGGTCCCCTTCGGCCCTGGAGCCGGGGTCACACGCTCCCCACCGCGTGCGGTCACGAGACGCCCCCAAGGGAGTATCCTGGTACCCGGAAGCCGCGACTCCTGGCCCTGAGCCCGGGCTTAGCCTTCGGGTCCACGTGGCCGGAGGCCGGCAGCTGATTGGACGCGGGCCGCCCCACCCCCTGGCCGTCGCGGGACCCGCAGGACTGAGACCATGGAGGCGGTGGCGGTGGCCGCGGCGGTGGGGGTCCTTCTCCTGGCCGGGGCCGGGGGCGCGGCAGGCGACGAGGCCCGGGAGGCGGCGGCCGTGCGGGCGCTCGTGGCCCGGCTGCTGGGGCCAGGCCCCGCGGCCGACTTCTCCGTGTCGGTGGAGCGCGCTCTGGCTGCCAAGCCGGGCTTGGACACCTACAGCCTGGGCGGCGGCGGCGCGGCGCGCGTGCGGGTGCGCGGCTCCACGGGCGTGGCGGCCGCCGCGGGGCTGCACCGCTACCTGCGCGACTTCTGTGGCTGCCACGTGGCCTGGTCCGGCTCTCAGCTGCGCCTGCCGCGGCCACTGCCAGCCGTGCCGGGGGAGCTGACCGAGGCCACGCCCAACAGGTACCGCCCCGAAGCTTCCCCGCGTCCGCCCGAGGCGCTTACCCCCTCCCGGAGCCGCTGCCACCCAAATCGGGAGGCTGAGCGGGGAGCGCTGGCCGGAAGGCCCAGCTGCGCCGCCTCCAGCAGCTGTGTGGCCTTGAGCCAGCCACTCTGCCTTTCAGAGCCTCGGCTGGCCCACCTGAAAAACGGAAAGAAGACGCCTACCGTGCAGTGTTATTGTGAGGATTTGCACGATGATGGGCATAGAATTTGTGGTGCACAATTGGTGATGAGTGAATTTTCTTGCCTTCCTCCCCCACCTTCTCTTTGAACCTGCGGACTGAGGAAGGACGCCTCCATCCCCCACCCTACAGGCCTGTGTTCCAGCGCCTGCCACACTATGGAGTGATGTGTTCACACAGCTGTCCTCCCCTGCCCATCTGTTAGACTGTGGGGGCAGGGATTCCCCGTTCCAGGAAAACACCGTGCAGAGGAGGGGCTCTGGCAGTGTGGCATGAAAGTGGAATATGCCACCCAAATACCCGCCAGGCTAGAGGGCCCTGGGAGAGTGCAGGGGACGAGTGCCTCAGAAGCCCAGCCCCGGTACCTGGTCTCAGCTCCACCTGGGGTGGGTCCCAGTGTGCAGCAGAAGGGCCGAGTTTGGAGCCCCTCCCCTCTCCTCTAGGTGGGGGATGGGGGATTTGTTCCAGGGCCGTGGACCCTCCAGGGTGGGATGCGCCCCTGCTCATGACACTGCCCGCAGGTACCGCTATTACCAGAATGTGTGCACGCAAAGCTACTCTTTCGTGTGGTGGGACTGGGCCCGCTGGGAGCGAGAGATAGACTGGATGGCGCTGAATGGCATCAACCTGGCACTGGCCTGGAGCGGCCAGGAGGCCATCTGGCAGCGGGTGCGTGCCCACTGTCCCTTCCCCACCCTCCTCTATGGCGGGAGCCACCGTAGGTGTTTTCACCCGCCCCCCAGCATGGGCGCAGTGTCTCTCTCTAGAAGTGCTTTCAGCGTGCACAGTGGCTTGGGCCTCCTAAAAACTGAGGCTTCCGGCCGGGCGCGGTGGCTCACGCCTGTCATCCCAGCACTTCGGGAGGCCTAGGCGGGCGGATCAGGAGTTCAGGAGATCGAGACCATCCTGGCCAACATTGTGAAACCCCGTCTCTACTAAAATACAAAGAAATAGCAACCTGGGCAACAGAGCGAGACTCTGTCTAAAAAAAAAAAAAAAAAAAACTGAGGCTTCCAGTTTGAGGAGTGGGGCTCCTTCCCCCATCTCCCCTATGCAGCCAATCACCTGGTCCCTTGGATCCAACTCATGGGCAGCTCTAGATCTGCCTCCCTGGAAGCTTCTGTGCTGCAATGGCTGCTCCAGGCTCTGCTTAAGCTCTTCACACAGTTGCCCTGCCCTTCCATCTGGCACTCTTGCTCCATGAAGCCTTCTAAGGCCTTCCTGTTGGGGGAAAGCCCCTTTGTGCCCCATCTCCTCACCCATGCGACAAAGGCAACACAGTGAACTCACCTACTCACAGGTCTCTTTCCTCTGGGCTGTGGGCTCCTTGATGGCAGCGTTCGGATTTTGTCTCAGTAGCCCTAGCACCCAGCACAAAGAAGCAATGAGTGAATGGTTGTTGAATGAATGAATGAATGAATGAAGATGAATATATTTCTATGTGTGGGCCCTTCTTCCTCAGGTGTACCTGGCCTTGGGCCTGACCCAGGCAGAGATCAATGAGTTCTTTACTGGTCCTGCCTTCCTGGCCTGGGGGCGAATGGGCAACCTGCACACCTGGGATGGCCCCCTGCCCCCCTCCTGGCACATCAAGCAGCTTTACCTGCAGGTAAAAGGATGGAAAAGGGAAGGGGCAGAATCGGTGATAGATGGTCATGGGCCCAGGAAGGGTGGTATTAGGCCGGCCCCAGGGCTCTTAACTGAGGCGGGGGGCTGCGTGTATCCTGGGAGATGAGGGCCTTCTCATAGGACAGCAGTGGCCATGCTCACCACCCTTCCTTCTGTTCCTCCAGCACCGGGTCCTGGACCAGATGCGCTCCTTCGGCATGACCCCAGTGCTGCCTGCATTCGCGGGGCATGTTCCCGAGGCTGTCACCAGGTGAGGTTCCGCTCACCCCCTCCACTTAGCTCAGAGAGGGAATTTTATTCCCTTCTAGAACATGACTTAAAAACTTAAGCTCTGGGCCGGGCGCAGTGGCTCACGCCTGTAATCCCAGCACTTTGGGAGGCCGAGTTGGGCGGATCACCTGAGGTCAGGAGTTCGAGACCAGCCTGGCCAACATGGTGAAACCCTGTCTCTACTAAAAATATAAAAATTAGCTGGGCATGGTGGCACGCGCCTGTAATCCCATCTACTTAGGAGGCTGAGACAGGAGAATTGCTTAAACCTGGGAGGCAGACGTTGCAGTGAGTCAAGATCACGCCATTGCACTCCAGCCTGGGTGACGAGCGAAACTCTGTCTCAAACAAACAAACAAGCTCTGGACGTAGGCCTGGGTTTGATTTCTGACTCTGCTACTAATTAGCTGTGTGACTTCGGGCAGATGACATGACTGCTCTGTGCCTCAGTTTCCTTACTTGTAAAATGGGATCTCTACCCACTTCGCTGTAGGGTTTGTAATTATCTCTCGATCTATCTGTGACTTTGCACAGAGTGCTAGCAAATGGCAGCCCTTGGGAGTGGCAGCAGGGGTGCTCCAGTGTCCCTTGTCCCTCCTGTTCCTCTGTGCTTCCCAGCCATCCTCTCACATGTGGTTGGGAAAAGTCTTCAAGGCTCACCTGAGACCTCCCCTCCTTCAGGAAGCCTTGCTAGTGCCCCGCATGACCTCCTTTGCACCTGCTAATGTCTGGCTCCCATACTCTCGTAGGACTTAATGCATGCCAGTGGCCTCCCTGCCCGCCTCTTTGCCCCCATCACCAGGTGGCAGGAAACTCACTCATTCATTCAATAAACTTGGTCCAGCTGTCTGAGGCTGCCAGAACTGGCTGTGCTGGGTCCTGGGAGGCGGCAAGAAAGGTGCCCAAGGGCTTACCCCTGATAGGAGAGATATGTTGGCTGAAGGATACAATGTGGGGACAAGGACAGGAATATATGTGGGTTCCGCTCTCCTCTGCCGGGAGAGAGGGGCAGGAAGGGCTCAGGGCAGAGCCCAGCCTTGAAAAATGAGTGTTGCTTGGACGGACGCTTGGCTAATGCTTGTAATCCTAGCGTTTTGGGAGGCTGAGGCGTATGGATCACCTGCGGTCAGGAGTTAAAGACCAGCCTGGCCAACATGGCGAAACCCCATCTCTACTAAAAGTACAAAAATTAGCCAGGCGTGGTGGCGGGCTCCTGTAATCCCAGCTACTCGGTAGGCTGAGGCATGAGAATCTCTTGAAGCCAGGGGCCAGAGACTGCAGTGAGCCGAGATCACACCACTTCACTCCAGCCTGGGTGACAGAGTGAGACTCCGTCTCAAAAAAAAAAAAAAAAAAAGGAAAGAAAATTAAACACCTCATGTTCTCACTCATAGTGGGAGTTGAACAATGAGAACAACATGGACACAGGAAGGGGAACATCACACACCGGGGCCTTTCGCGGTGTGGGGGTCAAGGGGAGGAGTAGCATTGGGACAGATACTTAATGCATGCGGGGCTGAAAACCTAGATGATGGGTTGATGGGTGCAGCAAACCACCATGGCACATGTATACCTATGCAACAAACCTGCATGTTCTGCACAGAACTGAACTGAAAGTATAATTAAAAAAAAAAAAAAAAGCTGGGTGCGGTGGCCCACACCTGTAATCCCAGCACTTTGGGAGGCCGAGACGGGCGGATCACAAGGTCAGCAGATCGAGACCATCCTGGCTAACACAGTGAAACTCAGTCTCTACTAAAAATACAAAAAATTAGCCGGGTGTGGTGGCGGGCACCTGTAGTCCCAGCTACTAGGGAGGCTGAGGCAGGAGAATGGCATGAACCTGGGAGGCAGAGCTTGCAGTGAGCTGAGAATGCGCCACTGCACTCCAGCCTGGGGGACAGAGTGAGACTCTGCCTCAAAAAAAAAAAAAAAAAGAAAGAAAAAGGAGCGTTGCTTGTTTCAGGCCACAGGAAGGGGAGAGATAGTGAAAGTTTTTCAGAGAAGGTGGCCAGGGAAGGAGAAGAAAGGACTGTAGGCAGAGAGCATAGCCTGTACAAAGCCATAGAGGCAAGAGAAACCAGGAGCTGTAGAGAAGTTGGCAAGGCTGTTGAACACTATGGTGAACACTATGGCGGCTTCCATGAAATATCTGAGCTTTTGCTCCCCACTAGGGTGTTCCCTCAGGTCAATGTCACGAAGATGGGCAGTTGGGGCCACTTTAACTGTTCCTACTCCTGCTCCTTCCTTCTGGCTCCGGAAGACCCCATATTCCCCATCATCGGGAGCCTCTTCCTGCGAGAGCTGATCAAAGAGTTTGGCACAGACCACATCTATGGGGCCGACACTTTCAATGAGATGCAGCCACCTTCCTCAGAGCCCTCCTACCTTGCCGCAGCCACCACTGCCGTCTATGAGGCCATGACTGCAGGTACAGTGCCTGGGTGGGGTGGGAGAGCCCCCCAGACCCTCAAAAAGAAGGGAGTAGCAGATGTCAGTAGGGGTAGGCAGAGGGACTGGAATAATGCCTCGCCATAACACACAGTACTTCATAGTTTACCAAGCACGTGTACACATGCGTTGTCTCAGTGAATCCCACTGTGGTTGAGAGGTGAGCTCTGGAAGCCAACAACCTGGGTCACACCTCGCGCTCCTATTTCCTGGCCGTGTGACTTATGACTCATGACCTCCTTCCCAGTGTCTCGTTTGCTTTTCCTGTAAACTGGGACTACCTCATAGGTAGAATAACGCCTGGCCCAGAGCAAAGGCCACTAAGAGCTAGCTATGAACAAGGATTTTGTTTCATCTCTGCGTGGTTGCTGAAGTAGGCACTGCAGGCAGGAGGTGAGTGGATGTGCCTAAAGGCACTAAGTGCGCATCCTGCTACAAAACTGTGAAGCCAGGGCTCCTTCCTGCCACTTAAAGGAGGAGTGGAGCAGAGGGCGCCCAAGTCAGGAATGACTTAGTGGAGAGGCGTCTGTGTTGGCCAGGAAGGGAACAGATCAGCTCAGCCTTTCTTGAGCAGTACTGCTCCAAGTGTGACCCAAAACCAGCAGCAGCAGCAGCAGCAGCCCGAGCTGTGAGATGGCAAATTCTCAGGCCCTACCCAAGACCTGAAGGAGAAGCTACATTTTTTTTTTTTTTGAGACAGATTTCACTCTGTTGCTGAGGCTGGAGCACAGTGGCACAATCTCATCTCACTGCAACCTTCGTCTCCTAGGTTCAAGCGATTCTCCTGCCTCAGCCTCCCGAGTAGCTGGGACTATAGGCACCCGCCACCACGCCCGGCAATTTTTGTTTGTTTTGAGATAGAGTCTCGCTCTGTCACCCAGGCTGGAGTGCAGTGGCACGATCTCAGTTCACTGCAACCTCTGCTTCCTGAGTTCAAGCGATTCTCCTGCCTCAGCCTCCTGAGTAGCTGGGATTACAGGCGCCCCCCAACCACACTCGGCTAATTTTTGTATTTTTAGTAGAGACGGGGTTTCGCTATGTAGGTCAAGCTGGTTTCAAACTCCTGACCTCAAATGATTCGCCCACTTCAGCCTCCCAAAGTGCTGGGATTACAGGTGTGAGCCACCTTGCCTGGCCAATTTTTGTATTTTTAGTAGAAACAGGTTTCACCATGGTGGCCAGACTGGTCTCAAACTCCTGACCTCAGGTGAACTGCCCACCTCAGCCTCCCAAAGTACTGGTATTACAGGCGTGATCCACTGCGACTGGCCTTGATTTTGTTTTTGAGACAGAATCTTACTCTGTCGCCCAGACTGGAGTGCAGTGGCACAATCTCAGCTCACTGCAACTTCTGCCTCATGGGTTCAAGTGATTCTTGTGCCTCTACCTCCCGAGTAGCCGGGATTACAGGCACCTGCCATTACGCTAGGCTAATTTTTGTATTTTTAGTATAGACAGGGTTTCCCCACATTGGCCAGGCTGGTCTGGAACTCCTGGGCTCAAGTGATCCACCTGCTTCAGCCCCTCAGAGTACTGGGATTATAGGTGTGGGCCACCACGCCCATTCAGAAACCTCCATGTTTTAAGGAGCCCTCTGGGTAACTCTCATGTTCACCCAAGCTGCTGAACCCTGTCCTGGAGTTTTCAGAGGGACGCGTATGTGCCACAGAGCGTCCCGCTGGTGGGGGTCATGGGAAGCCATGACCTGGGATAGACAGTCGTCTGTAGAGTGGGGTGAACATTCCCTGGGCCCTCTGTTTCATCACTCCTCTTCTCTGTTCCCCCTACCTCCTGTCCACAGTGGATACTGAGGCTGTGTGGCTGCTCCAAGGCTGGCTCTTCCAGCACCAGCCGCAGTTCTGGGGGCCCGCCCAGATCAGGGCTGTGCTGGGAGCTGTGCCCCGTGGCCGCCTCCTGGTTCTGGACCTGTTTGCTGAGAGCCAGCCTGTGTATACCCGCACTGCCTCCTTCCAGGGCCAGCCCTTCATCTGGTGCATGCTGCACAACTTTGGGGGAAACCATGGTCTTTTTGGAGCCCTAGAGGCTGTGAACGGAGGCCCAGAAGCTGCCCGCCTCTTCCCCAACTCCACCATGGTAGGCACGGGCATGGCCCCCGAGGGCATCAGCCAGAACGAAGTGGTCTATTCCCTCATGGCTGAGCTGGGCTGGCGAAAGGACCCAGTGCCAGATTTGGCAGCCTGGGTGACCAGCTTTGCCGCCCGGCGGTATGGGGTCTCCCACCCGGACGCAGGGGCAGCGTGGAGGCTACTGCTCCGGAGTGTGTACAACTGCTCCGGGGAGGCCTGCAGGGGCCACAATCGTAGCCCGCTGGTCAGGCGGCCGTCCCTACAGATGAATACCAGCATCTGGTACAACCGATCTGATGTGTTTGAGGCCTGGCGGCTGCTGCTCACATCTGCTCCCTCCCTGGCCACCAGCCCCGCCTTCCGCTACGACCTGCTGGACCTCACTCGGCAGGCAGTGCAGGAGCTGGTCAGCTTGTACTATGAGGAGGCAAGAAGCGCCTACCTGAGCAAGGAGCTGGCCTCCCTGTTGAGGGCTGGAGGCGTCCTGGCCTATGAGCTGCTGCCGGCACTGGACGAGGTGCTGGCTAGTGACAGCCGCTTCTTGCTGGGCAGCTGGCTAGAGCAGGCCCGAGCAGCGGCAGTCAGTGAGGCCGAGGCCGATTTCTACGAGCAGAACAGCCGCTACCAGCTGACCTTGTGGGGGCCAGAAGGCAACATCCTGGACTATGCCAACAAGCAGCTGGCGGGGTTGGTGGCCAACTACTACACCCCTCGCTGGCGGCTTTTCCTGGAGGCGCTGGTTGACAGTGTGGCCCAGGGCATCCCTTTCCAACAGCACCAGTTTGACAAAAATGTCTTCCAACTGGAGCAGGCCTTCGTTCTCAGCAAGCAGAGGTACCCCAGCCAGCCGCGAGGAGACACTGTGGACCTGGCCAAGAAGATCTTCCTCAAATATTACCCCCGCTGGGTGGCCGGCTCTTGGTGATAGATTCGCCACCACTGGGCCTTGTTTTCCGCTAATTCCAGGGCAGATTCCAGGGCCCAGAGCTGGACAGACATCACAGGATAACCCAGGCCTGGGAGGAGGCCCCACGGCCTGCTGGTGGGGTCTGACCTGGGGGGATTGGAGGGAAATGACCTGCCCTCCACCACCACCCAAAGTGTGGGATTAAAGTACTGTTTTCTTTCCACTTAAACTGATGAGTCCCCTGGGTCTGTCAAAATGAGAAGGTCACTGCTGCCACGCTTGGGAGGACTCAGGGCTATAGCATGGCCCTGGGGTGGGACCTGTTCTCCCATCCCTTGCCTCACGTCCCTGTTTTTGTTTGTTTGTTTGTTTGTGACGGAGCCTTGGTCTGTTGCCCAGGCTTGAGTACAATGGCACAGTCTCGGCTCACTGCAACCTCCGCCTCCTGGGTTCAAGCAATTCTTGTGCCTCAGCCTCCCCGGTAGCTGGGACTATAGGCATGCACCACCACGCCAGGCTAATTTTTTTTTTTCCAAGATGGAGTCTTGCTCTGTCGCCCAGGTTGGAGTTTAGTGGCACCATATTGGTTTACTGCAACCTCTGCCTCCCGGGTTCAAGCAATTCTCCTGCCTCAGTCTACCAGGGAGTTAGGACTACGGGCCTGTGCCATCACGCCCGGCTAATTTTTGTATTTTTCATAGAGATAAGGTTTCACCATGTTGGCCAGGCTGGTCTTTAACTCCTGAACTCAAGTGATCCACCTGCCTCGGCCTTCCAAAGTGCTGGGATTACAGGAGTGAGCCACCGTGCCCGGCCACGTCTCTCTTTTTAACACTAATGTTACCCTGACCTTTGAACGTAGAATGCCCTTCTGTTGCAGGAAAACCTCTTTTCAAACCATGTTTGTCCTTTGCTGGCATGCCACAGCAACAGTCACCAACACAGAAGACTTCTGTGACCAAATATTTGGAGGATTTTCCCCACACACACCAAGCAGCAGACATCAGCTGGGTGTCCTCCAATTCAGTTCCAATGTAATCAACCAGAGACAGCATCAGATCCCACAGGGTTAGGGTGCAGATCCATGAGACCACCCCCTCCTTCCCAACGGTTACAAGTCCTGATCCCTGGAACTTCTGACTAACTGGCTTCAAGTTGGAGTTCCCATGACCCCCTTCCCCTCTTTGGAGTCAACTCATTTGCGACAGTGACCCACGAAACACAGGGAAACCCTTATTATGTTTATTGCTTTATTACAGAGGAAAAAAATTTTTTTCTTTCTTTTTTGAGACAGGGTCTCACTCTGTCATCCAGAATGACTGCAGTGGCAGGATCTGGCTCCGTCACCCAGGCTGGAGTGCAGTGGCATGATCTCGGCTCACTACAGCCTCCATCCCCCCAAACCCCACGCCTCAGCGCCCCACCCCGCAAGTGGCTGGGACTCTAAGCATACACCACCACACCCAGCTAATTTTTTTGTAGTTTTTGCAAAGACGGGGTCTCATTCTGTTGCCCTGGCTGGTCTTGAACTCCTGAGCTCCAGCAATCCCCTTGCCTTGGCCTCCCAAAGTGCTGGGATTACAGGCATCAGCCACCGTGCCCAACCTCAAAGGATATTTTAAAGGATAGAAATAAACAGCCATATGAAGAGATACAGACAGGGCGGTCTGGAAGGGCCCAGAGCAGGAGCTTCTATCTCCATAGAGTTGGGGTTACATCACCCTCCAGGCACATGGATGAGTTCTTCACCTTCTGTCAGCCTCCACACGTTCAGCTCTCAGAAGCTTCCCGAACCCTGTCCTTTGGGCCTTTTATGGAGAACTCCATTGGCTGTCCATGACTGAAGCATGGACAACTGTGATAATGTGATTGGGCAAAAAGGGTCTGATCTAAGCCCAGCAAGGCCAGTCCAGATTCTTTGGGCCTTTGTGCAGCATTCCTTTCTCCAGGGTATGGGGCAAGGACCCACTCTGGAATGAGGATCCTACAACCCACAATCAGATTAGAATCCTGCCTTGGGCAGCTGAAAAGAGGACAGGAGAAGGTCAAAGAGAGGAAAGGCTGTTTTTTGAGGCCTGAGGCGCCCCAACATGACAACGAAAGACTGTAACCATGGTCATGTGAGTTATGAGCTAGGAACCCTGGACGAAACCAACACATATACAATCATCTCCCACCTCCCAACACCTTTACTTTCACAGCCTCTGCAGCAAACTGCGGTCACTATAATCGCTCCTGTGGCACAGAGGCATACCCAGGGGAATCTGCCCAGGGGGCCACTCTGTGCCCACGTGGGAACCCACATCTGCTTGTAAAGCCTCCCCTCCCTCTGACCAGAAACGAGGACAGTTTGTTGTTCCAAGCAGTGGGCTCATGTCTGTTTTGGCTCAGAACAGGGTGGGGAGAGCGGGCCAGGGACCCGCAGGAGGGCTTATCCTTGAGATTGCGTGGGAGACACAACAAGGGGTGGGGGCCCGCAGGCGGGGCGGGGCGAAGCAGGTGATATCCAGCCCAGAGCCCCAGCCTCTCCCCACAGTCTCACCATGGCCTGCACCGTGGTGCTCATCACCGGCTGTTCCTCAGGTATTGGCCTGCACTTGGCAATACATCTGGCTTTGGACCCATCCCAGAGCTTCAAAGGTATAGATAGGTAGGGACAGGGAGGGAGAGAAGGGAAAAGCCCTTGGAGGCCAGAAGAGAAGTCAGATCTTCCTCCTCTCCCAAAACCTCCAGTGTATGCCACGTTGAGGGACCTGAAAACACAGGGCCGGCTGTGGGAGGCGGCCCGGGCCCTGGCATGCCCTCAGGGATCCCTGGAGAGGTTGCAGCTGGATGTAAGGAACTCAAGCTCCCTGGCCGCTGCCCGGGAACGCGTGACCGAGGGCCGTGTGGATGTGCTGGGTGAGCCTCCTGGAAGCATATGGGCTCCTAGGAGCCTTCTCCGCCCTGCGTTGAAACCAACATGTCCCCAGGCCCCTGGAGCATGAGGGGACAGGCCGTGCTGAGGGTGATGCTGAGGCGGGCTGGTTGGGCCTCTGTCCCCGCAGTGTGTGACACAGGCCTGGGCCTGCTGGGGCCGCTGGGGGAGGACGCTGTGGCCTCTGTACTGGATGTGAATGTAGTAGGTACTGTGCGGGTGCTGCAGGACTTCCTGCCAGACATGAAGCGGCCGGGTTCGGGACGCGTGTTGGTGACTGGGAGCATGGGAGGATTGATGGGTGAGTGGCAGGGACCGGGCCCGGAGCTCCAGATTCTTTGTGTGCAGAGCTGAGCCTTGAAGGCAGGCTCCTTAGGGGGTGGGGTGCAATCAGCTTGGAGGGGCACTGCCTGCCGGGGGATGACCCCCTGGCCGCTGCGCCTCAGGAACCTCATCTTCCCACCCAAGGGCTGCCTTTCAATGACGTTTATTGCGCCAGCAAGTTCGCGCTCGAAGGCTTATGCGAGAGTCTGGCGGTTCTGCTGCTGCCCTTTGGGGTCCAGTGAGTCAACACCCCCGTCTCCTCAACCCTCTTAACTCTGACCTAGAGATGCCGAGCACCCTGTCCTGCGGAAGCCGCTCTGGTCTCTGCCCGGCTTACATTTGCTGCGTGCCAGGCACTTAGGCTGGAGCATTGGCACGCATTGTGCCACTTGCTGACCTGGCTGCTGAAGTGTTGGTATTGTTATGGGGAAGCTCCAGCCAAGAGAGGTTAGGTGACTGGCCCAAGGTCATGCAGCGGCCGGGGATCCCGCCAGGTTCGAATTCTGACACCAGGGCTACCTGGCAGCCTCAGATGGGTTTGGGAGGGCTGTCGAGCAATAACCCGCTATTCAAATGTTCTGGTTATCCCCAGCGCTCTTTCCACCTTCGGGACGCAGCGGTGCTGTTCTGGGTCGTGGCCAGGGCCGGGGTCGGGGCCGGTGCTGGGGCAGGAGATGGGACTTGGCGCCTGGGTCGCCTCCGTCCCTGCCCACTTGCGGCTCTCGGGCCAGCAGCGTGAGCCTGATCGAGTGCGGCCCTGTGGACACCGCCTTCATGCAGAAGGTGTTGGGCGGTCCCGACCAGGTGATGGACCGCACGAACACCCGGACCTTCCGCCTCTTGCACTAATACCTCCACCACAGCAAGGAGATCTACCGCGAGGAGGCGCAGCACCCTGAGGAGGTGGTGAAGGTGAGCGGGGGGCGGGACTCCGGGAGCGGGGGCGGTGCGTCGTCCTGCGCGCAGCCCGGGCCAGAGCTCCTCTCCCGCCGCCGCAGGTCTTCCTCACCGCTATGCGCGCCCCGAAGCCGACCCTGCGCTACTTCACAACCAGGCGCTTCCTGCACCAGCTGCTGATGCGCCTGGACGACCCCTTTGGCTTCGACTACGCCGCCGCCATGCACCGGGACGTGTTCGCCGACGATCCCGCAGAGGCCGAGGCTGGGGCCGGGGCTGGGGCCGAGGCCGGGGGCGGGGCCGGTGGGATGGGAGACCCTGAGCTCAGCGATCCTCTGGCCGCCCCGCAAGAAAGGCTCCGTCAGCCACTGTCTCCCGCGCCCTCCTTTGTCTCCTGGGCCTGTGCGGTCCCTGGGGATGGGACGGCGGTGACGGCTGTGGATGGCTAATTAAGACAGATCACGTTAGCCCGTTATATCTGCGCGGCTAGGCGCGATGGCTGTCGCCTATAATCCCAGAGCTTTGGAAGGCCGAGGCAGGAGGATCGCTCCAGGCCAGGAGTTCCAGACCAGCCTGAGCAACATAGTGAGACACCCCATCTCTAAAATAAAAAAATTAGCACAGTGGCACCATTCCTTGAGCTCAGGAGTTGGAGGCTGCAGTGGGCATGATCGAGCTACTGCTCTCCAGCTTGGGCGATAGAGTGAGACACTGTCAATTAATTAATCTAATCAACCAACCAACCCAACAACCCAGAAACCAAGGTCCAGAAAGAAGCCAGCCCAGGATCATGCCTCAAGTCCACAGTAAAGCCCAGACACAGTCACTGGATACCCAAGGGGCATCTGCAGGACGAGTTAGGTGGGACTTGGGTTGGGGTAGAGTCAGGTTGTGACCTGCACTCCATTAGCCATGAGACCTCAGGCAAGTTCCTTGCTTTCTCTGAGTGCTTTCCTTTCCTTTCCCTTTTCTTTTCTTTTTTGTTTTTCTTTTGTTTTGAGACGGAGTTTCACTCTTGTTGCCCAGCCTGGAGTGCAATAGCGCGGTCTCAGTTCACCACAACCTCTGCCTCCCGGGTTCAAGTGTAGCTAGGATTGCAGGCATGTGCCACCACGCCCAGCTAATTTTGTATTTTTAGTAGAGACGAGGTTTCTCCATGTTGGTCAGACTGGTCTTGGACTCCCGACCTCAGGTGATCCGCCCGCCCTGGCCTCTCAGAGTGCTGGGATTACAGGCATGACCCACCCCATCCGGCCCTCTGAGTCTTTCTTATCTGTAAAATGGGTATAATAATACCTATCTAATCGGTTTTAGTAATGGTGGAGATAATGCCTGAAAGTGCTAGTATAGAGGTTTAATACCCAGCAAGGACTGTTATTAGAATGAATAGTAATATGACTACTGTCACATTTTGCAAATGTGTAAAGAAGAAAGAGGGCTAAGTGAATCAAAGGGAGACAGCCCCACTCACCCTGTTCTGCCCCAGAGGACTGAGCGATCCCCACCATCTGGGAAGCTGCCTCACCAGGAGGTCCAGCTGGGGCTACAGGACTGGCTACTTTGCTACAATGGCCCATCTTTCCTGAGCCCAGTGGAGGGTCCCAGGGGGGCAGAAGTCATTGATAGGGGCCAGTAGGGTTGTAGAGCCACTGTCTGAACTTCTGTGGAGGTCTGGTGCAGGGGAGGTGTGAACAGATAGGAGGCTAGGTGAGGATGCAGCAGAGGAAGGGGGCAGGAGTGCCCCAGGAGGGGGCGGTACCGAGGCAGGGATTCAGCTGGGTCTGAGAGGGAGGGAAGGCTGAGGGGGATGGCCCTTTGGAGTGGGCAGGGACATGACCACAGAAAGCCTGGGAAGTGGAAACAGACAGGAGCCTGCTGGAGCTCTTGGAGCTTTGTGTGGGGCACTAGGGGAAGGAGGCAGGCACTCCACCCTGACCTGCCCCTACCTCTGGATGAGGGTCTTCTCTGCCTGTTGGATGATGTGCTGCCCCTGCTCTTGGAGGAAGAGGCCTCCCAGCCACCCCCTCCTGCCAGTCGCCTTGCCCTGCTGACCCAGACAGATCTGCTATCCCTACAGCATCCAGGAAGGCCACAGGGAGGGGGCCCAGGTGGCATGGGTTTCTGAGGCCTGGGATCTGCTCTCAGTCCCGCTCTCGCCAACCCCCTTTGCCCCTCTGTGACAGTGTGTGTACATATGCGTGCATGTGTGTACCTGTGTGGTGTGGCTCACAAGGTCACCCCTGGGGGTGGGATAATAAGAGGTAAAGTGTGACCCCCTCTCTTCCGTACATTCATTTTTTCAAGCTTGTGAATATTCACATTGTTAATATAATCTTCTGCAGTCCCATGACTTCGAATAGCACTTAGATGCCGATGACCCCCCCACCAAAGAAACCCCACTGTCTCCCACAGACTCCAGGTCTGTATCTCCAACTGCCTACTCAATACAACACGTCCACCTGATACAATGAACTTAATGTGTCTAAACCCCAATTCCACATTTCCAGTCCTCCTACCGGCTCCTCCCCCAGTCTTCTCTACTTTACTATATGACAACTCCATTTTTCCCAATACTGGTTTTAAAAACCCTGGAGTAGTCCTTGACTCCAGTCTCTCTCACCTTTCAACCAATTCAGCAGCAAATACTGACAGCTCTACCTTTGCTCATCAAAGCATATCCCCAAATCACCCTATTCCAGACTGCACACTGTCATCTCTCCCTTCAATTACAGCAGTAGCCTCCTAACTAGTTTTCTTGATTCCACTCCTGCCCATCAGCAGTGAAATTACCCCAGAGCAGTTAAAATGATCTTTTAGGATGGGCACAGTGGCTCACGCCTGTAATACCAGCACTTTGGGAGGTGGAGGCTGGCTGATCCCCTTAGGTTGGGAGTTCAAGACCATCCTCACCAACAGGGAGAAACCCCATCTCTACTAAAAATACAAAAATTAGCCGGATGTGGTGGGACGTGTCTGTAATCCCAACTACTTGGGAGGCTGAGACAGGAGAACTGCTTGAACCCGGGAGGTGGAGGTTGCAGTGAGCCAGAATCGTGCCACAGCACTCCAGCCTGGGCAAGAAGCGCGAAACTCCGTCTCAAAATAAAATAATCTTCTAAAAATGACAGGGCCAGGTGGGGTGGCACTTTTTTATAATCCGAGCACTTTGGGAGGCTGAGGTGGGCAGATCGCTTGACATCAGGGGTTTGAGACCAGCCTGGCCAACATGGTGAAACTCCGTCTCTACTAAAAATACTAAAAATTAGCTGGGCGTGGTGGCGGGTGCCTGTAATCCCAGCTACTCGGGAGGCTGATGCAGGAGAATCGCCTGAACCAGGCAGATGCAGGATGCAGTGAGCCAAGATTAAGACACTGCACTCCAACCTAAGCAATACTTTGTCTCAAAAATAAAAAAAAGCCTGGGAAACAAAGTGAGACCCCGTCTCTACAAAAAAGTCAAAAAATTAGCTGGGTATGGTGGCAGTGATGGCACACACCTGTAGTCCCGGCTACTTGGGAAGCTTTTTAATATTTTTTGCAGAGACCGGGTCTCACTCTGTTACCTGGCCTGGTCTTGAACTCCTGGGCTCCAACAATCCCCTTTCCTGGGCCTCCCAAAGTGCTGGGATTACAGGCATGAGCCACCGTGCCCAGCCTCAAAGCATATTTTAAAGGATAGAAATAAACAGCCATATGAAGAGATACAGACAGGGCGGTCTGGAAGGGTCCAGAGCAGGAGCTTCTATCTCCATAGAGTTGGGGTTACGTCACCCTCTGGGCACATTCTGTCAGCCTCCACACGTTCAGCCCTCAGAAGCTCCCGAACCCTGTCCTTTGGGCCTTTTATGGAGAACTCCATTGGCTGTCCATGACTGAAGCATGGACAACTGTGATAATGTGATTGGGCAAAAAGGGTCTGATCTAAGCCCAGCAAGGCCAGTCCAGATTCTTTGGGCCTTTGTGCAGCATTCCTTTCTCCAGGGTATGGGGCAAGGACCCACTCTGGAATGAGGATCCTACAACCCACAATCAGATTAGAGTCCTGCCTTGGGCAGCTGAAAAGAGGACAGGAGAAGGTCAGAGAGACGAAAGGCTGTTTTTTGAGGCCTGAGGCACCCCAACATGACAACGTAAGACTGTAACCATGGTCATGTGAGTTATGAGCTAGGAACCCTGGACGAAACCAGCACATATACAATCATCTCCCACCTCCCAACGCCTTTACTTTCACAGCCTCTGCAGCAAACTGCGGTCACTATAATCGCTCCTGTGGCACAGAGGCATACCCAGGGGAATCTGCCCAGGGGGCCACTCTGTGCCCACGTGGGAACCCACACCTGCTTGTAAAGCCTCCCCTCCCTCTGACCAGCAACCAGGACAGTTTGTTGTTCCAAGCAGTGGGCTCATGTCTGTTTTGGCTCAGAACAGGGTGGGGAGAGCGGGCCAGGGACCCGCAGGAAGGCTTATCCTTGAGATTGCGTGGGAGACACAACAAGGGGTGGGGGCCCGCAGGCGGGGCGGGGCGAAGCAGGTGATATCAAGCCCAGAGCCCCAGCCTCTCCCCACAGTCTCACCATGGCCCGCACCGTGGTGCTCATCACCGGCTGTTCCTCGGGCATCGGCCTGCACTTGGCCGTACGTCTGGCTTCAGATCCATCCCAGAGCTTCAAAGGTATAGATAGGCAGGGACAGGGAGGGAGAGAAGGGAGGAGCCCTTGGAGGCCAGAAGGGAAGTCAGATCTTCCTCCTCTCCCAAAACCTCCAGTGTATGCCACGTTGAGGGACCTGAAAACACAGGGCCGGCTGTGGGAGGCGGCCCGGGCCCTGGCATGCCCTCCGGGATCCCTGGAGACGTTGCAGCTGGACGTAAGGGACTCAAAATCCGTGGCCGCTGCCCGGGAACGCGTGACTGAGGGCCGCGTGGACGTGCTGGGTGAGCCTCCTGGAAGCATATGGGCTCCTAGGAGCCTTCTCCGCCCTGCGTTGAAACCAACATGTTCCCAGGCCCAGGGAGCACGAGGGGACAGGCCGTGCTGAGGGTGATGCTGAGGCGGGCTGGTCGGGCCTCTTGTCTCCGCAGTGTGTAACGCAGGCCTGGGCCTGCTGGGGCCGCTGGAGGCGCTGGGGGAGGACGCCGTGGCCTCTGTGCTGGACGTGAATGTAGTAGGGACTGTGCGGATGCTGCAGGCCTTCCTGCCAGACATGAAGAGGCGCGGTTCGGGACGCGTGTTGGTGACCGGGAGCGTGGGAGGATTGATGGGTGAGTGGTAGGGAGTGGCCTCGGCAGCTCCAGATTCTTTGTGTGCGGAGCTGAGCCTTGAAGGCAGGTTCCGCGGGGGGGGTGGAGTGGGGTGCCGTCAGCTTGGAGGGGCACCGTCTGCCCGGGGATGACCCCCTGGCCGCTGCGCCTCAGGAACCTCGTCTCCCCACCTAAGGGCTGCCTTTCAATGACGTTTATTGCGCCAGCAAGTTCGCGCTCGAAGGCTTATGCGAGAGTCTGGCGGTTCTGCTGCTGCCCTTTGGGGTCCAGTGAGTCAACACCCCCGTTCCCCGAACCCTCTTAACTCTGACCTAGAGACGCCGAGCACCCTGTCCTGCGGGAGCCGCTCTGGGGCGATCTCCCTGGCCCTCTCTGCCCGGCTCACATTAGCTGTGTGCCAGGCACTTGGGCTGGGCGCATGGCACGCATTGTGCCACCTGCTGACCTAGCTGCTGAAGTGTTGGTATTGTTATGGGGAAGCTCCAGCCCAGAGAGGTTAGGTGACTGGCCCAAGGTCACACAGCGGCCAGGGACCCCGCTAGATTCGAATCCTGACACCAGGGCTCCCTTGTAGCCTCAGATGGATTTGGGAGGGCTGCTCCGGCAGGAACCCGCGTTTCAAATGTTCTGGTTATCCCCAGCGCCCTTTCCGCCTCACTTCCCAGCGCAGCGGTGCTGCTCGCGGTCGGGGGCCGGGACGTGGTTGGGGCTGGGACTGGGGTTGGGGCTGGGACTGGGGCCTGGCTGGCGTCCGCCCCCTCCCACTCGTTGCTCTCCGGCCAGCAGCTTGAGCCTGATCGAGTGCGGCCCAGTGCACACCGCCTTCATGGAGAAGGTGTTGGGCAGCCCAGAGGAGGTGCTGGACCGCACGGACATCCACACCTTCCACCGCTTCTACCAATACCTCGCCCACAGCAAGCAAGTCTTTCGCGAGGCGGCGCAGAACCCTGAGGAGGTGGCGGAGGTGAGCGCCGGGCTGGACTCCAGGAGTGGGGGCGGTGCGTCCTCCGGCGCGCAGCGGTGGCCACAGCTCTCCTCCCGCCGCCGCAGGTCTTCCTCACCGCTTTGCGCGCCCCGAAGCCGACCCTGCGCTACTTCACCACCGAGCGCTTCCTGCCCCTGCTGCGGATGCGCCTGGACGACCCCAGCGGCTCCAACTACGTCACCGCCATGCACCGGGAAGTGTTCGGCGACGTTCCGGCAAAGGCCGAGGCTGGGGCCGAGGCTGGGGGCGGGGCCGGGCCTGGGGCAGAGGACGAGGCCGGGCGCGGTGCGGTGGGGGACCCTGAGCTCGGCGATCCTCCGGCCGCCCCGCAGTAAAGGCTTCCTCAGCCGCTGTCTCCCGCGCCCTTCTTTGTCCCCTGGGTCTGTGTGGTCCCTGGGGATGGGGCGGCGGTAGCAGCTGTGGGTGGCTAATTAAGATAGATCGCGTTAGCCAGTTTTACCAGCGCAGCTAGGCGCGATGGCTGTCGCCTGTAATGCCAGCGCTTTGGGAGGCGGAGGCAGGAGGATCGCTCAAGCCCCGGAGTTGGAGACCAGCCAGAGCAACACAGTGAGACCCCCATCTCTACAAAAATAAAGAAAATTTAAAAATCAGCACAGTGGCACCATTCCTTGAGCCCAGGAGTTGGAGGGTGCAGTGAGCATGATGGGGCCACTGCACTCCAGCCTGGGTGACAGAGTGAGACCCTGTCAATTAATCAAATGAACCAACCAACCGAAAAACTCAGAAACCAAGGTCCAGAAAGAAGCCAGCCCAGGATCACACCTCAAGTCCATATTAAAGGCCAGACACAGTCTCTGGATAACCAAGGGGCATCTGCAGGAGGAGTTAGGTGGGAATTGGCTTGGGGTAGAGTCAGGTTGTGACTTGGACCCCATTAGCCATGAGACCTCAGGCAAGTTCCTTGCTTTCTCTCAGTCTTTCTTTTCTTTCTTTCTTTCTTTTTTTTTTATTTTCTGAGACAGAGTTTCGCTCTTGTTGCCTAGGCTGGAGTGCAATGGGGCAATCTCGGCTCACCACAATCTCCGCTTCCCAGATTCAAGTGATTCTCCTGCCTCAGCCTCCCAAGTAGCTGGGATACCGGCTAATTTTGTATGTTCGGTAGAGACGGGGTTTCTCCATGTTGGTCAGGCTGGTCTCAAACTCTCGACCTTAGGTGATCCGCCCGCCTCGGCCTCTCAGATTGCTGGGCATACAGGCATGAGCCACCGCGACCGGCCCTCTGAGTCTTTCTTATCTGTAAAATGGGTATAATAATACCTATCTAATCGGTTTTAGTAATGGTGGAGATAATGCCTGAAAGTGCTAGTATAGAGGTTTAATAGCCAGCAAGGACTGTTATTAGAATGAATAGTAATATGACTACTGTCACATTTTGCAAATGTGTAAAGAAGAAAGAGGGCTAAGTGAATCAAAGGGAGACAGCCCCACTCACCCTGTTCTGCCCCAGAGGACTGAGCGATCCCCACCATCTGGCAAGCTGCCTCACCAGGAGGTCCAGCTGGGGCTACAGGACTGGCTACTTTGCTACAATGGCCCGTCTTTCCTGAGCCCAGTGGAGGGTCCCAGGGGGGCAGGAGTCATTGATAGGGGCCAGTAGGGTTGTAGAGCCACTGTCTGAACTTCTGTGGAGGTCTGGTGCAGGGGAGGTGTGAACAGATAGGAGGCTAGGTGAGGATGCAGCAGAGGAAGGGGGCAGGAGTGCCCCAGGAGGGGGCGGTACCGAGGCAGGGATTCAGCTGGGTCTGAGAGGGAGGCAAGGCTGAGGGGGATGGCCCTTTGGAGTGGGCAGGGACATGACCACAGAAAGCCTGGGAAGTGGAAACAGACAGGAGCCTGTTGGAGCTCTTGGAGCTTTGTGTGGGGCACTGGGGGAAGGAGGCAGGCACTCCACCCTGACCTGCCCCTACCTCGGATGAGGGTCTTCTCTGCCTGTTGGATGATGTGCTGCCCCTGCTCTTGGAGGAAGAGGCCTCCCAGCCACCCCCTCCTGCCAGTCGCCCTGACCTGCTGACCCAGACAGATCTGCTATCCCTACAGCATCCAGGAAGGCCACAGGGAGGGGGCCCAGGTGGCATGGGTTTCTGAGGCCTGGGATCTGCTCTCAGTCCCGCTCTCGCCAACCCCCTTTGCCCCTCTGTGACAGTGTGTGTACATATGCGTGCATGTGTGTACCTGTGTGGTGTGGCTCACAAGGTCACCCCTGGGGGTGGGATAATAAGAGGTAAAGTGTGACCCCCTCTCTTCCGTACATTCATTTTTTCAAGCTTGTGAATATTCACATTGTTAATATAATCTTCTGCAGTCCCATGACTTCGAATAGCACTTAGATGCCGATGACCCCCCCACCAAAGAAACCCCACTGTCTCCCACAGACTCCAGGTCTGTATCTCCAACTGCCTACTCAATACAACACGTCCACCTGATGCAATGAACTTAATGTGTCTAAACCCCAATTCCACATTTCCAGTCCTCCTACCGGCTCCTCCCCCAGTCTTCTCTACTTTACTGTATGACAACTCCATTTTTCCCAATACTGGTTTTAAAAACCCTGGAGTAGTCCTTGACTCCAGTCTCTCTCACCTTTCAACCAATTCAGCAGCAAATACTGACAGCTCTACCTTTGCTCATCAAAGCATATTCCAAAATCACCCTATTCGAGACTGCACACTGTCATCTTTCCCTTCAATTACAGCAGTAGCCTCCTAACTAGTTTTCTTGATTCCACTCTTGCCCATCAGCAGTAAAATTAGCACAGTGCATTTAAAATGATCTTTTAAAAATGACAGGGCCGGGCGTGATGGCTCATGCCTATAATCACAGCACTTTGTGAGGCTGAGGCGGACGTTATTGCTTGAGGTCAGGAGTTTGAGACCAACCTGGCCAATATGGTGAAACCCTGTGTCTACTAAAAATATAAAAATTAGCCAGGCATGGTGGTGGGCGCCTGTAATCGCAGCTGCTCCAGAGGCTGACAAAGGAGAATCTCTTGAACCAGGGAGGTGGAGGCTGCAGTGAGCCAAGATTGGGACACTGCACTCCAGCCTGGGCAACAGAGACTTTGTCTCAAAAAAATAAAAATTGGCCGGGCGTGGTGGCTCATGCCTGTAATCCCAGCACTTTGGGAGGCCGAGGCGGGTGGATCACCTGAGGTCAGGAGTTCAAGACCAGCCTGGCCAACAGGGTGAAACCTTGTCTCTACTAAAAACCCAAAAAATTAGCCAGGCGTGGTGGCACGTGCCTGTAATCCCAGCTACTCAGGCGGCTGAGGCAGGGGAATTGCTTGAACCCCGGAGGCGTACGCTGCAGTGAGTGGAGATTGCGCCATTGTACTCTAGCCTGGGCAACAAGAGTGAAACTCCATCTCAAAATAATAATAATAAAATTAAAAAAAATTTAAAATAAAAAAGGGAGCCTGGGCAACAAAGTGAGACCCCGTCTCTACGAAAAAACAAAAAAAATAGTTGGGTGTGGTTGCACACATCTGTAGTCCCAGCTTCTTGGGAGGCTGACATGGGAAGACTGTTTGAGCCCAGGAGGTTGAGGCCACAGTAAGCTGTGGGCACACCACTGCATTCCAGCCTGGGCAAGAGAGGGAGACCCTGTCTCATAAAAGAAAGAAAGAGGCCAGGTGTGGTGGCTACGCCTGTAATCCCAACACTTTGGGAGCCCAAGGCCGGTGAATCACTTGAGATCAGGAGTTCGAGACCAGCCTGGCCAACATGGTAAAACCCCGTCTCTACTAAAAATACAAAAATTAGCTGGGCGTGGTAGTTTGTGCCTGTAATCCCAGCTACTCGGGAGGCTGAGGCAGGAGAATCGCTTGAACCCGGGAGACGAAGGTTGCAGTGAGCTGAGATTTCTCCACTGCACTCCAGCCTGGGTAAAGAGTGAGACTCGGCCGGGTGCGGTGGCTCATGTCTTTAATCCCAGCACTTTGGGAGGCCGAGGCGGGTGGATCACCTGAGGTCAGGAGTTCAAGACCAGCCTGGCCAACCTGGTGAAAGCCTGTCTCTACTAAAAATAGAAAAATTAGCTGGGCGTGGTGGTGGGTGCCTGTAATCCCAGCTACTCAGGAGGCTGAAGCAGGAGAATCACTTGAACCTGGGAGGCAGAGGTTGCAGTGAGCCGAGATCATGCCGTTGCACTCCAACCTGGGTGACAGTGAGACTCTGTCTTAAAACAAAACAAAAGAAGCAAAGTTTATTTTGCTCAGAGCTTCACAGTTTTAGGGGCTGGAAAGTGCAAGAACTTCATGCAGTATCTGGCAAAGGGCTGTCCCAGGATGGAAGGGCAGAAGGTGGAAGCAAATGAGAGACACGAAATTGGGCCAAATGTCGTCCATCCATCAGGAGCCACTCCCATGATAACAGTATTTATCTATTCAAGAGGGCAGAGCCCTCATGATCTAATTATCTTTTTTTTTTTTCTCCTGCCTCGGCCTCTTGAGAAGCTGGGATTTTAGGCGCATGCCACCACACCCCGCTAATTTTTGTACTTTTAGTAGAGACGGGGTTTCACCACGTTGGTTGGGCTGGTCGCAAACTCCTGATCTCAGGTGATCCACCTGAGATCCACCACTTTGGCTTCCCAAAGTGCTGAGATTACAGGAGTGAGCCACCTCGCCCAGCTGACCTAATTACCTCTTAAAGGCCCCACCCTGCCCAGTGCAGTGGCTCAGGCCTGTAATCCCAACACTTTGGGAGGCTGAAGTGGGAGGACTGCTTGAGTTCAGGAGTTGGAAACCAGCCCAGGCAACACAGCAAGATCCTGTCTGTATGAAAAAAAAAATTTTTTTTTTAATTAGCCAGGTGTGGTGGCACACATCTGTAGTTCCAGCTGCTCAGGAGGCCAAGGCAGAGGACTGCTTGAGCCCAGGCAGTTGAGGCTGCTGTGAGCCATGATCAACCCACTGCACTCCAGCCTGGGGGACAAGAGTGAGACCCTGTCTCAAAGAGAAAAAAAGTCCCATCTCTTAAGACAGTAGCAATTGAATTTTTTATTTCAACATGAGTTGTGGCAGGGACATTCGAACCATAGCACCAAGGTTCTCCCCAAAGCTCTCCAAGACCTTCTTTGATCTGGTTCCTGCCCCCTTTCTGATCTCATCTCCCACCAATCTCCATCTACATCACCCAGTTCAGCCCTCCTGCCTCAGGGCCTTTGTACTTGGCCCCCTCTGGGTCACATTCCCTGATCTCTGATTCTATGTCTTCCTTCAGATTTTTGCTGTTTTCCTGAACCACCTTATCTAAAATAGCCTCTCAGCTTCTCCACTATAGCTCCCTTACTCTGCTTTACTTTTGTTCTTATCCTTTATCACCAGTAGATATATTATGGATTTGGGTTTTTTAATTTAATTTTTATTTTTTTTGGAGACGGAGTCTCTCTGTCACCCAGGCTGGAGTGCAGTGGCGTGATCTCGGCTCATTGCAATCTCTGCCTCCCAGGTTCAAGCGATTCTCCTGCCTCAGCCTCCTGAGTAGCTGGAATCACAAGTACCGCCACCACACCCAGCTAATTTTTTGTATTTTTAGTAGAGACGGGGTTTCACTATGTTGGCCAGGCTAGTCTTGAACTCCTGACCTCAGGTGATCTGCCTGCCTCAGCTTCCCAAAGTGCTGGGATTACAGGCGTGAGCCACCGCGCCTGGCCATGTATTATAGATTTATTTATGGTGGCATGATTCCTGTCTGCAACCCCAAGACACACAGTACTCTATACCCCAGGATGGCAGGGACATTGTTTTGTTCACTGGTCCATCCCTGTGGGAGGCAGTAAAATACACATTTACTCAATAAAAATGACTCTGTATGTGGTGTGTCAGACTGTGTGTCCAGATGTCTTGGGACATTCTCTGGCAGCCTTTGCTGTTTGTGTCTTCAAATCAGACCCTATCTTTAAATCTAACATGTCTCCTGTGAGAAGCCTGGTCCCTTAATACCTTTGTGGCTCTACAACTCTTCCCTCCTTGACTGTATCTCTTCCTCCAGGTCTTTGCTGTTTTCCTGAATCACCTTATCTAAAATAGCATCTCCTTTTCTCCATCATAAGCCCAGGTTTTGTGGGGCTGGGGGCTTATTTGCTTTTGGAGACCGTCTTCAAGAATACAAAAGATAAACACAAAATTACATATAAAAGTGAGTTTTGTTTTTTTTTTTAAGTTTCGGATACCACGGCACATTACTGGAATCTTGGAGACTGGCTTCTCTCCCTTTTGATCTCCATGCACAACTTACCTGAGATGTATTCTAATAGCAACCTGGCTTCCCCTCCACACTCAGCCTTTCAAGCGCCCATTAGCTTCGCAGTAAATCTCCCACACTAGGTATCCAGCCTTTGCCTTTTTCTTTTTTCTT